>NC_000017.11:52560980-53185980 GCF_000001405.40 Homo sapiens | reverse complement strand
GGGAAAAGAAGCAAAGATAAGGTTTTCCTGTTGTATCTGATATTCTAACCTTAGTTTAGAATGATGAATGTTTATATTTAGGAAAATGGGGATGTATACTATGGTGAACTGGACAGGGCTCTGTTATAACAAAAAGAAAATACAAAAAAAAAAGAATTAGATCCCTTGGGACATCAATCTGTGTCTCCACCTTCTTCCACTGTCCCTGGGCTCTAAAAATGTTAATCAAATATCTGAGAATGAAGCCATGCAGAGCCAGGGTGGGCACTACCATTAAGGACATGGTAGGGAGTAGAGGAAGATCCTGGTTTTTGGGGGAGTAGCACAAAAGATCTTGACAAATTTCATCTGATAAATATAGTTGATAGTTGTAGCCTTCATTTGAAAATTCCTTGTTTACACCCTAGGTTTCAAAGGATAGCACAAAAGATTTGCAAGAAGTTCAAAACAGCAAAGGGAGCTTCAGGTAAAAGGTCAATATTCAACTCAATGACCCTAAAGTCCTTTCTGAGGACAAATTCCATGACACCCATGAAGAATTAAACACCTTTTGATCTCTATAGCCCAAGGATCTATATGCACATTGTACAATGCAGTGAGTTGAATGATTAAAGAAGATGAATTTCAGTGAAGTATCATGTAGGCAGATTGTGCCTAGAAGGCAGAATTATAAAATGAATGATCTAGAAGGAACTAGTGTTTCTTAAGTCCCACTGTGACTTCAGTGGAAACTGGCTAATGTGAGGTAAACACACAGATGTCAGCAATTTTTACAAAAAGTTGAGGCACCATGAAGCAATTGCCATTTGATTAATGCCATTAAAGTTAGTGAGGTTTGGAGAGAACCCACAGACCCTCTGAAGGAAGTGGATTGCTCCTGAAGCACCAGGAGGCACCCCAAATACTGTGCTGGCATTCACAGCTGAGAGACCCACAGTCAGTTCACATCACAGGACTCTGTGCAGACAACCTCCAGTATCAGCCTGGAGCCTGGTAGACTTGTTGCATGGCTAGATCCAGAAGAGAGATAACACTCACTTCAGCTCAGCTTTCAGGAAGCCACATCCCTAGGAAAAGGGGGAGAGTACTACATCAAGGAAACATCCCGTGGAACAAAAGAATCTGAACAACAGCCTTGAACCCTAGATCTTCCTTCTGACAGTGCCTACCCAAATGAGAAGGAACCAGAAAACCAACTCTGGTAATATGACAAAACAAGGTTCTTTAACACTCCCCCAAAATCACACTAGCTCACCAGTAATGGATCCAAACCAAGAATAAATCCCATTTACATTAAAAAGAAATCGGAAGGTTGGGATGGGCATGTTGGCTCATGCCTGTGATCCCAGCACTTTGGGAGGGCAAGGGGAGCGGATCACCTGAGGTCAGGAATTCAACACCAGCCTGGCCAACATGGTAAAACCCTGTCTCTACTAAAAATACAAAAATTATACAGGTGTGGTGCCGGGCACCTGTAGTCCCAGCTACTCGGGAGGCTGAGGCAGGAGAATTGCTGGAACCCAGGAGGCGGAGGTTGCAGTGGGCAGAGATTGCACTACTGTACTCCAGCCTGGGTGACAGATCGAGACTCCATCTCAAAAAATAAATAAATGAATAAGTAAATAAGAAGATGAGTTATTAAATTAATCAGGGAAGCACCAGAGAAAGGCGAAGCCCAATTTAAGGAAGTCAAAAAAAAGATACAAGAAATGAGAGAAATTTTCAATAAAATTGATGGTATACATTAAAAAAAATCAAAACTTCAAGAAACAATGCACTTATAGAAATGCAAAATGCTCTGGAAAGTCTCAGCAATAGAATTAAACAAGCAGAAGAAAGAACTTCAGAGCTCGAAGACAAGGTTTTCCAATTAACCCAATCCAACAAAAGACAAAAATAAAAGAATAAGAAAATATGAACAAAGCCTCCAAGGAGTCTGGAATTATGTTAAACGACCAAACCTAAGAATAATTGGTGTTCCTGAGGAAGAAGAGCAATCTAAAAGTTTGGAAAACATAGTTGGGGGAATAACAGAGGAAAACTTTTCTGGCCTTGCTAGAGACATAGACACCCAAATACAAGAAGGTCAAAGAACACCTAGGAAATTCATTGCAAAAAGTTTATCACCTAGGCACACTGTCATCAAGTTATCTAGAGTTAAGATGAAGGAAAGAATCTTAAGAGCTGTGAGGCAAAAGCACAAGGTAACCTATAAAGGAAGCCTATCAAAGTAACAGAAGATTTCTCAGCAGAAACCCTACAAGCTAGAAGAGATTGGCACTCTGTCTTCAGCCTCCTTAAACAAAACAATGATCAGCCAAGAATTTTGTATCTAGTGAACGTAAGCTTCATAAATGAAGGAAAGATAAAGTCTTTTTCAGACAAATGCTGAGAGAATTTGCCACTACCAAGCCAGCACTACAAGAACTGCTAAAAGGAGCTCTAAATCTTGAAACAAATACTGGAAACACATCAAAACAGAACCACTTTAAATCTTACAGGACCTATAAAATAAAAATAAAATTAAAAAACAAAAGCAAGGTATACAGGCAACAAATGGCATAATGAATGGAATGGTACCTCACCTCTCAGTACTAACTTTGAATGCAAATGGCCTAAATGCTCCACTTAAAAGATACAGAATTGCAGAATAGATAAGAATTCTTATCTATGCCTTCAAGAGACTCATCTAACACATAAAGACTCACATAAACTTAACGTGAAGGGGTGACAAAAGCCATTCCATGCGAATGGATGCCAGAGCGAGCAGGAGTAGCTATTCTAACATCAGACAGAACAAATTTTAAAGCAACAGCAGTTAAAAAAGACAAAGAGGGACATTATATAATGACAAAAGGCCTTGTCCAACAAGAAAATATCACAATTCTAAATATATATGCACCTGAAGTTTGGAACACTAGAGTTCCCAAATTTATAAAACAGTTATTGATAGACCTAATAAATGAGACAGGAACATAATAATAGTGGGGGATCTTAATGATCCACTGACAACACTAGATGGTTCATCAAGACAAAAAGTCAACAAAGAAACAGTGGATTTAAACTATACCCCGGAACAAATGGACTTAACAGATATTTACTGAACGTTGTACTCAACAACTGCAGAATATACATTCTATTCATCAGTGCATGGTACTTTCTCCAAGACAGACATATGATAGGCCACAAAATGAGCCTCAATAAATTTAAGAAAACTGAAATTATATCAAGCACTCTCTCAGACCATAGTTGAATAAAACTGGAAATCAACTCCAAAAGAAACCTTCAAAATCATGCAAATATGTGGTAATTCAATAACCTGCTCCTGAATGATCATTGGGTCAAAAATTAAATCAAGATGAAAATCTAAAAAATTCTCAAACTGAATGACAATAGTAACACAACCTATCAAAATCACTGGGAAACAGCAAAGGCAGTGCTAAAAGGAAAATTCATAGCCCTAAATGCCTACATCAACAAGTTTGAAAGAGCACAAACCTATAATCTAAGGTCACACCTCAAGGAACCAGAGAAACAAGAAAAAAAACAAACCCAAACCCAGCAGCAGAAAGGAAATAATCAAGATCAGAGCAGAACCACATGAAACTGAAACAAAAAAGTACAAAAGATAAATGAAACAAAAAACTGATTCTTTGAAAAGATAAATAAGATTGATAGACCATTAGCAAGATTAACCAACAAAAGAGGAAAGAAAATTCAAATAAGCTCAATTGGAAACGAAACAGGAGATACTACAACTGACACCACAGAAATACAAAAGATCATTCAAGGCTACTATGAACACCTTTATGCACATAAACTAGAAAACCAATAGGAGATGGATAAATTCTTGGAAAGATACAACCCTTTTAGCTTAAATCAGGAAGAATTAGATACCCTGAACAGACCAATAACAAGCAGCAAGATTAAAATGGTAATGAAAACAATTGCCAACCAAAAAAGGTCAGAACCAGATGAATTCCCAGCAGAATTATGCCAGACATTCAAAGAATTTTTACCAATCCTATTGGCATTATTCCACAAGAAAAAGAAAGAGAGAAACCTCCCTAAATCATTATGTGAAGCCAGTATCACCCTAATACCAAAGCCAGAAAAGGACATAACCAAAAAGGAAAACTACAGACCAATAATGCTGATGAACATAGATGCAAAAATCCTTAACAAAATACTAGCTAACCAAATTCAAAAACATATCAAAAAGATAATCCACCATGATCAAGTGGGGTTCATACCAGGGATGGAGGGATGGTTTAACATATGCAAGTCAATAAATGTGATACAGCACATAAACAGAATTAAAAACAAAAATCACATGATCATCTCAATAAATGCAGAATAAGCATTTGACAAAATCCAGCATCCCTTTGATTAAAACTCTCAGCAAAATCGGCATACAAGGGATATATCTCAACATAATAAAAGCCACCTATGACAAACTCACAACCAACATCATACTGAATGGAAAAAAGTCTAAAGCATTTCCTCTGAGAACTGGAACAAGACAAGGATGCCTGATCTCATCAGTTCTTTTCAATATAGTACTGGAAGTCCTAGCCAGAGCAATCAGACAACAGAAAGAAATAAAGGGCATCCAAATTGGTAAAGAGGAAGTCAAACTGCTGCTGTTTGCTGATGATATGATTGTTTACCCAGGAAACCCTAAAGACTGCTCCAGAAAGCTCCTAGAACTGATTTAAAAATTCAACAAAGTTTCTGGATACAAAGTTAATGTACACAACTCAGTAGCTCTTCTATACACCAACAGAGACCAAACTGACAATGAAATCATGAACTCAACCCCTTTTACAATAGTTGCAAAAAATATATAAAACAAAATAGTTAGGAATATACCTAACCAAGAAAGTGAAAGAACTCTACAAGGAAAACTATGAAACACTGCTGAAATAAATCATAGACAACACAAACAAATGGAAACACATCCCATGCTCATGGATAGGTAGAATCAATATTGTGAAAATGGCCATACTATGAAAAGCAATCTACAAATTCAACACAATCTCCATCAGAATACCACCATTATTCTTCACAGAACTAGAAAAAATAATCCTAAAATTTACATAAAATCAAAAATTAGCCCACATAGCCAAAGCAAAAGTAAGCAAAAATAACAAATCTAAAGGCATCACATTACCTGATTTCAAACTATATTATCAGTCCACATTCAACCAAAACAGCATGGTACTGTTATAAAAATAGGCACATAGACCAATGGAACAGAATAGAAGAACCAAGAACTAAACCTGAATACTCATAGCCAATTGATTTTCAACAAGGCAAACAAAACCATAAAGTGGGGAAAGAACACTCTATTCAACAAATGCTGCTGGGATAATTGGAAAGCCACATGTAGGAGAATGAAACTGGATCCTTGCCTCTCACCTTATACAAAAACCAACTCAAGATGGATCAAGGAATTAAATCTAAGACCTGAAACTATAAAATTCTGGAGTTAACAGTGGAAAAACCCTTCTAGACATTGACTTAAGCAAGTGTTTCATGACCAAAAACCCAAAACCAAATGCAACAAAAACAAAGATAAATAGCTGGGAGTGAATTACTAAAGAGCTTTTGCATGGCAAAAGAACAGTCAGCAGAGTAAACAGACAACCCACGGAGTGGGAGAAAATCTTTGCAATCGATACATCTGACAAAGGACTAATATCCAGAATTAATATCCAGAATCTACAACAAACTCAAACAAATTAGCAAGAAAAAAAAATCCCATCAAAAAGTGGGTTAAGGACATTAGCAATTCTCAAAAAAAGATAAACAAATGGCCAATGAACATATGAAAAAATGCCCAACATCACTAACGATCAGAGAAATGCAAACCAAAACCACAATGCAATACCGCCTTACTCCTGCAAGTATGGCCATAATCAAAAAATTAAAAAATAATAGATGTTGGCACGGATGCGGTGAACAGGGAACACTTCTACATTGCTGGTGGGAATGTAAACTAGTACAACCATTATGGAAGACAGTGTGGAGATTCCCTAAATAACTAAAAGTAGAACTACCATTTCATCCAGCAGTCTTACTACTGGTTATCTACCCAGAGGAAAACAAGTCATTATTTGAAAAATATACTTCCACATGCATGTTTATAGCAACACAATTCACAATTGCAAAAAGTGGAACCAACCCAAATGCCCATCAATCAATGAGTGGATAAAGAAACTATGATATATTACTCAGCCATAAAAAGGAATGAATTAACAGCATTTGCAGTGACCTGGATGAGATTGGAGACGAATATTCTAAGTGAAGGAACTCAGGAATGGAAAACCAAACATTATATGTTCTCACTCACAAGTGGGAGCTAAGCTACGAGGATGCAAAGGCATAAGAATGACACAGTGGGCTTTGGGGACTCAGGAGGAAAGGATGGGAAGGGGGCGAGGGATAAAAGACTACAAATTGTGTGCAGTGTATACTGCTCAGGTGATGAGTGCACCAAAATCTCACAAATCATCACTAAAGAACTTACTCATGTAACCAAACACCACTTGTTCCTAAATAACCTATGGAAAGAAAAAAAAATTTTTAAGTTAGTGAGGATTAAGTTCTGGAAGTTAGAAAAGAAAATGTTAAAGAGCTTGGGTGGAAGTGAAAGGGAGACAGGGTTTGGAATAATAAAATAATTTGAAAACTATAATGTAAACAAGAAATTTTCAAAAGAAGGATATGACTATCAAATGTTTTTATTAGATGACATCTGTCATGTATCATGCTATATTGAGAAGTAAGTTAAAAGGCACACATAACATCATTTCTGATACTCAACTGTTATACCCTAAGAGGAACAGAGAAGGTATCAAATATTTACATAACTAGTTGAAGGCAAGATGCTTGAGTAGAAGATGAGGTCTGCAAAGTGAATAAGGTTCTCTTCTATGCTAGAAAGTATGTAGAAAGTAAAAATTTGGCTCTAAATTTAAAAGTATTTTAAAAGGCAGAGTAAAGAGTAGATGTAAGGAGAGAAAGACATGATGCTGGAAACGGAAGAAACAGAAGGCTTTTTGCCTTTTACTAGGATTGAGAGAGAGGAAGAAAAGGAGAGCTAACTGCATTTGAGCAGTTTTAGCAACAGAAATGATTTTATTTATAGACAAATAATTGCTGAAGAGACTGTATAATTTAATCCCTTGAGAGGTTTTTTCTTCCTTAATAACATACTTATACATGTTTTGAGTGAAACAATATTTGTAAAACATCTGGACAAATTTATATGAATTCTAATGTTTTGATGTATATAAAGGTCTTTGAAACATTATCAAGGCATAGATAATAGAGATTCTAAGTAGGTTTGCTTCACCTCTCTAGACATCCTAGGAAGTCACAAAGGAAATAGCAGTTTAGAAATATAATTACTTAAATGATAATGTGATTCACATATTTTAAAAATCTGGATCATTATAAAACTATATGATTACAACTTTTCCCAATAACTCAGCAATGGGGCCCTAGATGCTTCTAGGCTGACTTTTGCAGGTAAGAATAACATATCTGGTCATGACAACCTTCTCTTTGTAACTTCAATACTCAAAGTGATCATAAAGTGAAATGATTTCAAACTAGAACAAATGCATGTGGGTAGTAAGAAAATACGCATGAAATACGAGACAGAAAGAAAAGACACTTTTGCCATCAAAATTAAAAGATTACTTCTGAAATGTAAAGGAAGAGTAATTAGGATGCTTTTCCATGGCAAAAAGCAAAATGTAGGTTTCTGAAAGAAAAGAGAGAAAGGGAATAAGCAGATGATACCGTTTGAATTGTCAAAAAAATACCTCAGGAAATAAAAATAATTTTTTTATTTTTTAAATGGATGTTAATATTGCTTGTATTTATACAATGTATTTGATATGCACCATTGGGCTTATTCTTATTTTTTTAAACAATTAATGTAATATATTAATTATTCTAGGCATAAATGAATTGTTACCCCCAGGTGTAGTTTTGTGGAAGCAAGCTTTCCTTTTCTTATTTATTAGATTTCACTAATATAATTATGTCGTTATGGAGCTTTAATGTAACTATTTAAATTTCACTCCCATTACTCATGAACATATAGAACATCTTTTGTGCATGTGAAGCTAGAGCCACTGGATAGTTTTAAGTAAGCTTACCTTTTAAGTGAATCACATAACAATACTGTCTGATTTCAAGCATGAATGCGATCTACTCTGGTTAGAATGCAGAAACTTTTCAGTATGTCATGGAGCTGGGTATGGGAACTTAGATGGAGGAGAAGAGCTGGGCTGGAATTGAGTTCAGAAACATATATACTATTTAACTTTTGATAATCACTTTAGTTTAATTCATTTATCCTTAAAATGATATTTAAGGAAGATTTTAATTTTATAAACTATCACACTAATATTCTATGTGTTTTTAGCAGGTAAATATAATCTTATTATCTATCTTGTATCATCCTTTCGAAATATGACTTGTGAAATTTTGATCTCCAAGTCAACATAATAAATACATGTGCACACACACAGAGTTTAGGGATGCTGACCACCTTGAGGAGTCAAAAATTTACATATAGATTTATGAAGATAAGTCTACATTAACCTATATTTATATCATCTATATGTTGACTGGAAGTTTTATGAATAACATAAATAATTGATTAACACATATTTTTATGTTTTATATATATTATATACTGAATTCTTACAATGAAGTAAGCTAGATAAAATGTTATTAAGAAAATCATAAGGAAGAGAAAATATGTGTACTATTTATGAAGTGGAATTTGATCATCATACAGGTTTTTATCATCATCATCTTCAGGTCAAGTAGGCTAAGGAGGTGGAGGAAGAGGAGGGACTATTCTTTCTGTCTCGGGTGGCAGAGATGGAAGAGGTGGAGGAAATGGAGGGAGGAGGCAAGAAGAGGCAGGCACATTTAGTGTAAATTTACAGAAATACATCCTGATTTCTGTCTGACTTTTGCTTTTTTATTTCTCTAAAAATATTTCTATATGGCACAAACCCTTCTTCCATCATTTGCTTTAGTTTCAGTGCACATATCATAGAATAGTTGATGTCATGAGAGAAGTCAAAAGCACTCTAAAACAATCAGTCTGTCAACTCTGATTGTTGTTAGACACTAGATCATCTTCTCTTACATCATTAGACACTAGATTGTCTAATGTCAATTTGTTTTCTGGCACTGCTTTTTCTACATCTTCTTCCTGTTCATCTGGCACTATTTCAGAAGCACTCATCTCCATCAAGTTGTATTGTGTTAATTCCTCTGGTGTGGTGTCTGTTAGTTCTAGAATTTCTCCAAGAACCATATCTCGAAATCTTTTACTTCCTTTTTTTGGCCAAATCCACAATCTTTTTCATGATTTTATTGATTAACTCTGTTATAAATCCTGCAAAGTCACGCACAACATCTGGACAAAGTTCTCTTCAGCAGGATTTGTTGTTTGGGGCTTGATGCTTTTTCTGTAACAATGATGACATCTTCAGTTCTGTAATCTTTCCATAATTTTATAATGTTCTTGCTACTGATATTGTCTTCCATAGCACTGACAATCCTTTTCATAGAGTACCATGTGTAATGACCACTATAAGTCCTTATGATCCTGAGCTAGAGACTGATATAGAGCTGTTGTGTTTGGGGACAAGTAGACAACTCGACACTCATGGTGTTGAACTCATGGGGTTCTGGGTGGCTAGGGGCATTGTACAGCATCAAAAGAGCTTTAAGAAACAGTTCCTTGCTGGCTGGTTACTTCCTGACTTCAGGTGCAAAGCATCAATGGAACCAATCTAGAAAATGGATTTTCATTGTCTAGGCTTTTTTGTTATACAACCAGAAGAATAGCAGCTTGTGTTTATCTCTTCAAGACTCAAGGGTTGGTGACTACATAGATAGGCATAGATAGGGACAGTCCAGATCATAAACCCAACTGCATTTGCACAAGCAGTAGAATTATCCTATCTTTTTCTGCCTTAAACTCTAATACTCATTTCTCTTTCTAACTAGTAAATGTCCTTCGTGACTTTTTTTTCCCCAGAATAGGGCGCTTTCATCTGCATGAAAAACCTGTTCATGCAGATATTCTTTCTTCTCAATGATTTCGTTAACGGTATCTGGAAACTCATCTGCTGCTTCTTGGTCAGCAGAAGCTGCTTCTCCTGTTATCTTGACATTTTTAAGACCAAACCTCTTTCTAAAATTATCAAACCATCCTTTGCTGGCATTGAATTCTCCAGCTTTATATCTTTCACTTACTTTTTGCTTTAAGTAGTCATATGATGACTTTGCTTCTTCTCAGGTTATATTAGAGTCTGTAGGTATGCTTTTTTATAGCTATTCTGCAGCCTCATAAAAGCTGCATTTTTAATACAAGATTTTTTTAAAAAGTATTTCACAAAACAATGCAAGATTTTTGTCCCTATTGGATAGCTGCAGCAATGACTTTGTGAATATTTTTATCTTTTTTCTATTTGTTTTTCTTTACAATGGTCCTTCTGTGGGATCCTTTTATTTTGAAATTCTGGACAACTGCAGCTATATACCCCAATTCAATGTACATATTAAGCAATTCAGCTTTTTCTTGATGTCATGACTTTTCTCTGCTTCTTGGGAGCACTTCCAGAATCACTAGTGGTACTTTGCTTGGGTTCCATAGTGATAGTCAAGGTTTGTGCTATTGCACTTAACATGATGAAAAATATGTGAGAACCAGGATAAATCACTTTTTGCTGTAATATGCAATTTACTGGAAAGACAAATTGCTCACACAGAAATGATTAATATCACACAGCATTTTAATTGGATACCTACAACTCTTCAGCTCACCATAGTAGCAACAGGAGGTTGCTACAAAGTTATTGCAGTAGTAGAGTATACATTACAGTGAATTTTATGCAGTTATGTTTTAATACTGCATCTTTACATTTCTTTACATTACTGCCAACTGTAAATGGTATAATGGTATAATGTATGGTCGGTGTTTCTGTAAGTTTTAATACATTTTAACATTTTATCATAGATTTGTGGATATTTTATAGTAGTAAATGACAAAATAAACTATCTACATGTATTTTATGCATTCATGTCATAGTTTACTTCTTAAGTTTTCAAATTTATAACCCATGTGATTGATCTGTGAGTTTTTTTCCAAACTCTCACAAATCTCCAGAAACTTTTCCAATATATTTATTGAAATAAATCCACATTGAAGTAAATTCATACCACTTAACGTGTTGTTCAAGGATCAACCATATATATAAATAATATTATAAAATCCATTATTCCAAAATAATGAATTACTATGTCAAGCTTGAAAGCAAATATAACAGTTTTATTTTAAAAATGAAGTTCACATGATAAACATGAAGATTACATTATGCTTCTAACACAAAATTCTATGAATTTCTTTGTGCATCTCTCTGGATTTTCACAATGATATGGCACTGTACATACACATTATCATCATGTCTTTGCTATTTCAGCATGGATCCAATTTCAAATGTGTTTTCTCATTGGAAAACCATGTGTCAGGTAGACTTTCCATATAATTGGCTTAGGCAATCTGATCATTGTTTCCACAACATGTTAATCTACCTTGTACTCCTTTAAGGCAGCTAATCACTAGAAATAAGAGGCATGCCAATTACATTTTCAATATATCCTGAGAAGGGTATCTTAATTTGTTTCCTGTGAATTTTACCCTGTAAATGGTGATAAATAACAACTTCTGAAATCTTTCTGAGAGTTAAGTGTAGTTTAAAATTTTTCTGAGAGATATGTTTGGAATATATTTGGAACTCTTTTAGGAAAGAAAAGTCCCTCTACAAAATAATGGAGCTTAAAATCTATCAATCTTTCTCTATGTTTGTGTCAAATAAACACAGATAGCAACATTAATTCAAGAAAGTTTCATAAACAGAGCTTAAAAGAAAAGGACATAGGTTTAGTTTCTTTTTAAAATCTGCAACTTTTTTAATGGATTAAATAAATTAAAGTTTATTTAGAATATAAGAAAATAAATTTTGAAGTATTTTTACAGTTGAAATGCCTTTATGTTACTGAATTCATTCACTCACAATTTAATGTAAGATATTGCAATGTAAATTTTAAAGCAAGCCATGTATATACGCAGAAATATTTAATAGCACCCACCTATTCTGCTTTGAGATTTGTTTTTCATGATGAATAGCAACATGTGATACAGTAATAAAAAAACTACAAAAGGCAAAAGAAAAGCGTTTCTGTATAGCACTTCAAGGCAATTTGGAAAGTCATAGGTTCATCATATAAATAATGGCTTCTGAGATCTGATCCTTAGAGTTTCATAAAAATAAATTGCTTTTCAATAGTTAGTGCTGAAGCATTCATTAACAGAAAGAATTCTACAACAAGGCTCGAGTTCTATATTACACAATAATATTTTTTAAAGATACATAGACTAAATGGCAAACGTAACTACGTGACTTGATTTTGAATAATCTTTGAAGAAGTCTTAAGGAAAAAAATATTATGATTCCTAGGTGGTGTTTCTGTGTAAAAATAGTCAGTACTCCATTTTTGCCCTTCCCTGACCGTGCTTGACAATACCTGTACAATTTCAAGCTACTTGACTTCAAGGAAAAGTATTATGCAATATCAGGATTAAGCCCAAGGTGAAAGCAATATTTATAAGGAACATAAGTGTTAAAAGAGCCCATCACTCATATTTAATCACAAGATAAAAGGTGTTGATAAAAGATGGTTTGCTATGTTCTTTAAAAGATGGTTTCAATTTATTATAATAAGTAATAGCTAGCAGGTGACACATAACAATTGTACTTTAATGTGATTTCTGAGTTCCCTAAGAGTTGGAAAACTTTCTTCTCATTCTTAAAGAGTTGGATGTAGTGTTGGTTTGTGTGGGGGGTGGTGATTTTGAAAATTGTCAATCAGTTACCAGTTCAACAGTTAGAAAGAGACCTTCATACTTCCTACTGATGGACTGCAAAATTTGTCATGTATCAGTACACTCTGGAGTAATGCAAAATTCCTTCCAATGGGCTATCAGTAACTCAGTTGGCCTCACTAGGGTATTACAAGGAGTTTTTTTTATCGCACTTTGAAGGACAGTAGAGTGCCGTTGTATTCCGAACACGGACATTAAAGAGGTAGAAACATTTACATTACCCTTTTGATCTGACAGTCTTTTAAAAACTAGAAAATAACTTTGCTAGTTTTCAACAGAGATCTAACCAGACATTCACAAAGCATTGGTTTTCACCCAACACTACTGTCAACCTTCCATGAATTAAGTATAGAGCATGAATCCTTAGTTTTCAGTCCCTAGTTGTAACTAAAATATCTGCAATCGCTCTCCTCCTGGCATCACCATCTTCCCTTCCTTGCATCACCTCCTTACAATAAATTCTATGTGATTGAGAATGAAAAGCAAAAGCCAAAGTGAAATGGGAAAAAATAGAGCAGGATAAACTTTATCTATCTTGTTGCTTTCTTAAAGAAATCACAGATCAATCTGCTGGGACACACGAGAATTGGAAATTTCACTTCAAAGCATGGAATGAATGTTATCTCATTATTTTGTCCCTCACTTTTGAAGGTATTTGGTTTAAGTGATGGCATATAAAAAATAAAATGAATTCAATTCATCATTCTGGCTATGTTGCTGAGTGTCCTGGTAAGAAAATTGATGCTGTATACCATGATTAGAATGTTTTCCATCTTGGCCTGGGATCATTTCATTTTCTTTTAGGAAATGAAAAGAAGTTTTTGTATATGCTGTCAAAACTTCACATTTTCTCAGATGTGTTTAGAGGCATTTTAAGCTCATTGTATTAGATGAATTAGAGGATATGGTATATATGGTAACATCTAACCTAAAACTATACACTCTAGGTTATCCAATTTGTTAATTTTCATTTCAAGGTTCAACTAATATGATTTCAGTTTTTTTCTTTTAACAGTGCTATAAATTGCTTGGTGTTGGTTGCAATACATGCAAGAATTGTAACCTCAGGGAAAGGAGTATAAATTAGAACCTAAGGTGGAGGCTCAAGGATAAAATTAGTGAGCTGATTAAAGGTGCTAATAACACTAGAAGCAATTGCCATTGGAAATAGAAAAACTTTCCAATATTCCAAACGCCACCGGAAATACCTGTATTTTGACTTATTGGTTAGAAAACTCATGATAATAATTATAAATAATAAAATAGAAGCAGAGAGCTTTTCTAGCTTAATTCTGTGATTTGTTTTATATGACACAGTTTAATAGTTACATGGGCCCTGTGTATAAAAAATCTATACATTTCAGTAAATAGCTTAAGACTATACATATAGAACAATAAAAGCAAAAAGTGTGATACGAGTAGGAGTAACATATTAAAGCATACTCTAAGTAAGTGTGTCAAGCCATGTCTGTTTTCTACCTTCAACACAAAGATGGCCAATCAGGTGGCTGTGCTTCTACTGTAGAATTCTACAGGCAGAGTCAATGTTCATGAGTTGGGGAATAATGTCTGTTTTCCTAGGGCGTTCTATTTAGGATTAAGTAAGATTCTAAACAACTAGAGACAGTAGGCAAAAGGGCAGGGAATTATTTAAATTTTTATCAGGATTGCAATCAAGTAGAGAGATGTTTATTGCAGCATTCCAGTCCAAGTAAATCGAGAAAGAATGACAAAACAGAATACGAGAAATTGACGCAATATTTTACAGGTTGAGATGGTGAGGAAATGTGTGCCGTATGACCGCCCAAAACTCTAGTCCACAGCATCCTGTTTTGACTTGGAAAAGTAAGACTAGGTAAGAGTTCCCAGCTGGGTGAGGCTAGAACTCCCTTTCATTTCCCAGCTTGACTGCCAGGTATTCACTATTTGGGGTAGGCTGCGTCTGCAAGTGGAATTTCTTCAGTAGGTAAGGCTCCAGATGTTTGAGGAACTTAATTATGGGCAGATATCATTCAACAGTGTTCAGTTCTTAAGAATATAGAGCTGTTTACAAGAAATGCATCACTCAGGAGCCTGTAGTTCCAGAAAATATTTATAAGGATTGCGTATTGGTGGCCCATTGGTCAAATACCATCTGCATAAATGCTTTACTCAGACTCCACAGAGCTTTATACATCTTGAAGTAATTTTCTGTTTTAAAAATCAGAGTGTTTTCAAATAAATATGTGGATGGTAGGTGCTTTGTGAGAAATTAGTGATGGTGTATTCACATCTCTACATGATAAGGATCAACATCACCAACATTCATGCTCTCTACTTGACCATAAACCCATCATTCCTTATTTATTTATTTATGAGATGGAGTCTCGTTCTGTCAGCCAGGCTGGAGTGCAGTGGCGCGATCTCGGCTCACTGCAAGTTCCACCTCCCGAAACCCATCATTCTTACACCTAACCTGTTTTACATACTTGTATTAATTTAACTACCAGCCACTTGGGCCTTTGGGTTTTTAACTGTAGTATTGCCAGCCTCTCCTTCTCACTTTATTTCTTTTAAAATATTTTTTGCCTTTATTGAACTGGAAATGATTTTTGTTACTTACTTCTTCAAATTATGATATATGCCTATTAGAGGAAGAATCTCCTCTGGAAAAACAGAGTATGTGTGCATTGTTCAAGTGGTAAAGCATTATCATGGTTAACTGCTTGGCTTTGAGTCTTAGCTCCATAACACACATCCCTTGTGACACTGGTAAGTTTCTTAACTTTCCTAACCTCAACTGTTTCATCTCTAAAATGAAAACAATTACTATTATAGTATAATATTATGTAATACACATATGCGTGTGCATGTATACATATGTATATATTCTTATAACATATTTAAATAGAGTGCTTTATATGAAAGTATTACAATGGGATAGTAGAGATTATTACAATATAATACAGTATAATAATGGTAATGATAACAATATTTAAGATATATCTATATGCTCACCACTACTTTTCTCTGTGCTCACCTCTACTCTAAGTGCTTTCTATCTACACTTTATTTATTCATTATAATAACCCCATGAGTTTGGTATTGTTATCATTGTCATCTACATTCAGATGAGATTTTAAAGCCATCATTCCAACTTCAGAGGCTATATTAAACCTTGGAAATAATGCAGCAAGGTACCTGACACATAAGAACTGATTTTCTAAGGAATACAGCCTAGGGTAGTTTTTTTTTTTTTAATTAACTACACTAAGCAACTGGGCAATGCCAAAATATTTGGGCAAATCAGTAGCTGAAGAATTTTATTACAGCAGTGCTTATGTTTACGTAGTAGAAGAAGGGAAGTACAATGTATTAGACCTATGTTAGTGTCAAGAATAGCAGACGCTGTAAATTTGGAGAACTATTATATTGTTTAGTCAACTAAATGTTATTGAGTGTTAGCTACTGTGATATTTACTTGCATAGTATTCTGAGATTGAAGCTATGCCTGTATGACAAATCTAAAGTCAATTAGATTTTTTTAAAAGAGAAACAATAGGGGTGGGACTACAATCAATAAAGCAGTGATCTGCAACAATGTTTGCTTTGACAACTGACAAAATCCAGGAACTCTAGCTTTTATCACTCCAAAGAGCAGGCAGTCAGTCCACCTTGACAGGTTGCACTGTCTTCCCTTTGATAAATACAGTTGCATTCAGTTCAAATAAAATAGCAGTTGTGTGGACAAATGCTCTACAAACTCAGTGAAGACGGAATCACACTCAAAGCTTCATTCTTTTTTACTCAAAAGGGAGCCAGACTTGCCACTAATTAATTGATTTCCTGTATGAAAAGATCTGCTCCAAGAGCGCTTCACCTATTGAAAATCCTGATTTGAACACTAGATAAATAGAGGTCCTAGAAAACCTCCAACAAAAACATTTGATTGAGTAGCTATGTATGAATGCAATCTAAAAACCCTGTTATAACTTATTATTAAGCTAATTATACTGATAATGGTAATGCTAGAGGCAGAACAATTAGAAGAAAAGAGTCAGAGGACCCCTGTCGTTTTTCCCCTAACTAAATTTGTGCTTCTGCCATTACATTACATACAGTGCTTGACATTATTTTATAACCCTCTACCAGTAAGAAGTTGAAAAATCAGTAGACAAAGCAAGATCACACAGAGAAAAAAAGTCTGAAGAATAATTATAACATTTTAAGCACATATTAAGCACCAGGCATTGTGATAAATGAGCTTTATACTTTTAAATGTGATATTCATTTAAATCATTCCATGGGCTATATATATTATCATAGCCTCCACTGTATGGGTGTGAAAACTGAAACCCAAAAGAGTTACATAAACTTCTTTAGAATGGACAGCTCCCACATGGCACAAACAAGATCTACATACCTGCGGTCTGACTAGACCACAGCCTCTCAACCACTGCCCACACTATTATAAATGGTTTTGTATAATTTTATTTAAGTATCCCCCAAATCATACTTAAAGGAATATTGAGAAGTATAGAAGTTAACTGACTTGTCCATTAGAAGCAGTGATCTAAAGCCCTGATTCCCTGTACAAAGTCCATTCTCTTTTCTTGACATCACATTTCACAGTAACTATAGAAAACCTGAAAAAAAAAATGACCTATAACATCATTCAACATCTACCATAGGCAATATGTCCATGAAGTCTTATGAATGGAACATGGAAAGAAGACAGCACATGCTCTGAGTGAGAAATCTCAAGGAAAAAGCAAATTTAAAGGTGGACCTTCAAGGTATTATAAGGGCTTGCATATTCTGAAAAGAGGGTGCCTGGGATTCCCTGTAGTTAACCCAGAATGTATAACTGCACTGCCTCAGGTAAGAACATGGCATGCTCCAGAGCCATTGATAACCGAAGGCTGTGTCTTTACGCTTTCTTTGGAGAACTGTGTCCTGCAGAACTTGGCGAGATACTGGGCATTTAAATAGGCTCTTATGTGCTATTTCCACTATACAATGTTGGCTTGTTACCTAAGTGTGCTTTAAAAAACTTCCATGCATTTTCAGGCACAGTTCTGAACTCGAGCCCAAGTAACCCCAAAGTCCAAGTTAGAGCTGCCATTAAATGTAGTACTCATAATTCAAGGTGCTGAGAATTTTTAAACAAGATTTTTTTGTTTGTTTTTGAGCATTGCACATTATTGTTGTGGGCTCAATTTGTGATATGCCACGTTCTGCCTCAGAACACTTTTGTTCAAAAGAGGTGCTGAGGTAGCCCTCTCCTATCATATAGTTATGGACGATATTAATATTTATCCAAAATAATGTTTTCCAAGTGTGTTCTGATTGAATTTCATCATCATTTTAAAATACTATTCTTATAAATAAAAGGCAATTTACCTATAACCTTTCCATTACAATTCAAAAAACATCTCTGTAACTGCAAAATAATTGATAAAATATGGGGTAAAAATCACTATTCTTCTTTTGGTCCTGTTTGTTTTCAAAATTTAAATCAGGGCTTGTAATTTAATTCTGTGACTCTGGAAAGCATGATGATCTGATGCTATTCATTTGCTTTTAAATAAAATCACACTGATGAATATGTATTGGGAATTAGTTATTTTCCAATTTTATGCAACTCTTGTAGAACTCAATTGCTAACAATTAAGTCAGAAATACTGAGAGGAAAAGTTTAAAGAGATATAGCAAATTCTAGAGAACATGGCAGTGGTTGGGGGTGCACAGCAGTCAGCTGAGTAGCAGACTCTCTGAAAAGGGGATTAATATGTGGAGGCAAAAGAAGTAAGATATTCTGCTGAGGTACATATCATCTGAGTTGAACAACACATCCTAATTGGATGTGTCCTCGGAGCTAGGCACCATGCTAAGGACTAGAATTATAAAAGTGACTGCTATGACCACCATCTAGAAGAAGCTTTTGGTTTCAGTCCTTTTATGGCATTTGTTCCTAGTAGTAAATGTCTGCAAAATTCACTTCCATTTACCAGCTTTCTCATTTGATAGGAAAAGAAAATTTGGCACCTGATTCTGCTCTCTGCCTGACTTCCAACTGGAGTTCCTCCTAGCTTTCTAAATTACTTGGCACCAAGCGAGTCTCCTCTGCCAAAAAGTGACTAGCTCAATATTTGAAACTAGGCACATCAGCAAAATCCAGATTGAACACTGAAGTCACTTTGATTCAAATAAAGTGAGTCACCTGTACCTGGGAGGAAATTACTTATTACAAAAGATAACAGATTTGAAAGTGAAAAGAAAAAAAATAGAAAATGGGTTCTAAGTAGCTTTAGTAAGGTGAATTTTTTATTATAGATATTGTTGATATGTTCCAGAAGATGACGTATATAGACCTAATAAATATACTTAAGAATAAAATATATGCGTAGGGATCTTAGAAAATAGACAAATATATATCTGGACTAATATGTATATTCTATAATTTAACTGAATGGATTGTGGCCCACTGGCATTCTAAACAGGAAGAGAGAAATGGGGAAAAGCCACTGCTCTTTTAACTCATTAATTATTTAATTATTCCATTTATTCATTTATCCACCATCCAGTCATCCATTTAGTGAAATATATTTGTATTGAAAGCATACAATATATCAGTAACCTGAGAATGTTGAGGATAATGAAATGAATAAAACTATACTCTTTTTGTGGAACATACTCTAGTGGTAGAGGGTAATGGGTAAACAATAATTTGCAATACAGATGTGTCTATAGATAGGCATTTTTTATGTTTTATGGCGTGTCAAGCAGAAAAATTAAATTGCCTATTGTCTTGTGCCATGGGAACCTGAGGTCTCTGCTGCATCAGCACTCAACTTCTGCATACACACTCCCATACAATGCCCTCTCAGAGACACAAGCTTTAGCGTCATCTTAAAATGCCTACCCAGTTACAGCAAGATGGTAAAGAATTGTTACTTCCCACTCTCGTGGATTACAGTATAATACATAGGAAAATTTCCATCAAGTTGAATACATGTTTGAGGAATACATGAACTAGGTTGAGACATTAAATTGTTTCCCATGAAGTTACAAGAAATATTACATTATAATTACAGTATACTACTGTATTTGTTTATATTTTATTATATTTTTTGAAACTAATTTTCTAAGTTATTTCCCATATCCTCTTTTTTTTAAGTTCTTTAACACCAATTAATAAAATGTGATTCTCAAAGTGTTAAATGCAATATTCTGGAGAATTTGGTTTTCAAAAAAACAAGGATATAGACAGCAGGATTTGATTATTGTTTCATTTATGTACTAGAATCTATACAAATTGAATTTCATATTATGGACTCATTTTCATGCCTTGGGGAAAACTGTTCAGAGTTTGTTTGTTTCTTATCTTTCTTGTAAAGTACTTTTTCATTATCATTTTTATATTTACATACAGTAAAATTGATTTTTCTATGTAGAGTTCAGTGAGTTTCAACACATGTATAGATTCATGTAACCACTATCACAGTCAGAATACAGAATAGTTTGATGTAAACTCCTGAAAATTCCCTCATTCTGTCTTTTATAGTCAAACTTTCCACCGTTCATAATTCCTGACAATCATTGATCTGTTCTCAGCTTTATCTTTTCTAAAAAGTCATATAAATGGAATCATACAATATGCAACTTTCTGAGATTGGCCTCTTTAATTTAGCATAATGTTTTTGAAAGTAATCAATCAATGTTATTGTATGTATCAATAGTTTGTTCTGTTTTATTGCTCTTACGACTCTTTATGCATTTTCCTGTGAGCATATTTGGAGAGTTTCTTGTTTTCAGCAATTACAAATAAAACTGTTGTAAATATTCATGGCCAGGTTTTTTGTGTGTATGTACGTATGAGTAGGTGTGTGCATAGAAAATTTTTATCTCTCTAAGATAATGCCACAGAGTAGGATCTCTGGGCTATATCCGTGGGTTTTATCTTCCTAAGAGACCACTTAACTGTTTTCCAGAGTGTCTACACCATTTTGCATTCCCACAAGCAATGTATGAAAATTCCTGTTGGTCTATACCATTGCTAACGGTTGGTATTGTAAGTTTTCTGATTCTGTTTATTTTCTATTCTACTAATTGTGTACCAGTATATCATTTTGGTTTTAAATAGCATTCACAAGTTTAATTTTCATCCATATTACAAATATATGCTCTTTGAAATACACTGCTACAAGGATGAAGAGACAAACTAGTTATACTGAGAGAAAAATACAGCCAGCCTTTCATATCCATGGGTTCCTCATATGTGGATTCAGCAAATTTCTTAATAAAAATATTGGGAGAAACAAAGGATGGTTGCACCTGTACTGAAAATGTACAGTCATTTTTTTCTTGTAAGTTTTCCCTAAACAATACAGTATAGCAAATATTTACATAGCATTAACATTGTTTTAGGTATTTTATGTAATCTAGAGATGATTTAAAGTATACAACAAAGTATACATAAGTTATAGGCAAATACTATACCATTTTATATAGGCGACTTGCGCATTTGCAGATTTTGGTATCTGCAGAGAGTTCTGGAACCAATCACCCATGGATACAGAGAGAATTGTCTATTTGCAAATCACATAACTGACAAAGGCCTTGTAACCAGAAGATTCAGAACTCAGTATCAAGAAAAGAAACAATTCAATTAAAAGATAGGTAAATAATTTGAACAGGCAATTCACCAAAGAAGATATACAGATGGGAAATAAGCTCATAAAGAAATTCTCAACTTCTTTAGTCATTAGAGAAGCACAACTTAAAACCACAATGAGATATACTATACATCTGTTAGAATGGCTAAAATTAAAATAAAATTTAAAACCCAACAATACCAAGTTCTAGTTAAAATGCTGAGCCTTTATGTTTTTGTTTGTATGCTATTAATGTTTTAATAATCAGCAAATGACTATATCTGCTAACAAAACACACATCTGAGATAGCGTGTGCACAAAATCATATATTGTACATGTTTTTTCATGGTCTCAAATTGTACATGTGCATGTGAAACCATCATCTCTCCCATTAGTAGTGTGAAATAACCACATTAACAGTTAAATTAATATGCTTCTTTTTTTCAGTATATGTTAAAGAGGGAAATATCTATTACACAAAAACAATTGCTAATCTTAACCTACACAGTTACAGTAGCCTTAGAAGCACATCTATTTAAGGAAAACAAATTTTAATAGCAAGTACTACTACTGGTAATAAAAAATGTATCACTCTTCTCTGTATTTGTTGCCTCATCTCTAGTCTGAAACATCATCATTTCTAGCCAGGACCACTATTTCAACCTTGTAACCATTCTTCTGTTTTCATCTCGCTTCTGCCTTTATCCATTTTCCACTTTTTGTTCAGAGTAATAATGCATCATAAATATAATCGTATCATGCTATTGCTTGAAGTTTGCAATAGATTTGAACTATAAATAAAATTAAGATTCTTCTGTATTAATTTTAGCTAAGGTGTTGCAAACAGCTTTAATGAGTGAACTTGAAAATATATAATAGCTCAAATATAAGCACATTTTATTTATTTCTCTGGTAAAATCCAAAATATGTGTTACTGACTTGAAATGGAACTCTCCTTTAACTGTTTATTTGAGGTCTTCAGTGCTGAATTCCTCCATCTTCCCCATGTGACATCCAAGTTTGACATGATTATCTTCATCCAGCATATGAATGGAAAAAAGAGCAACTGCTCTCCTCTTGCATGGACCACACTTGGCCTATTTGCACAGTTAACTGTATTTTGTCCCGAGGTATACAGGTCTAATCGGAGATGCTTTCTGAGATAACCCTAAATTAGTTCCATCCACACTGCCCATAATTCTGCTCATCACATCCCTTTGCTTATTTTTTTCATAAAATTCATAAAACATTTGAACTAGGTTATATATGCATCTACTTAACTTGTGTCTCTTTCTCTATCAGAATTTAGTGTCCTGGAAGGAAGCAAATATGTTTCTCTTGCTCTCTATTGAAACTTCAAAGGCCAGTAAAGTATCCGACACATAGTTCGCCCCAGATAAATCCAGCTTATGCATGTGTTTGAATACTCTGATTGATAAAGAAAATAACAAGGTCCCTCTTCTCACTATTAGGCCCTCTGGCTTGTGTATATCAATACTTTATTACAGGATCATAATGCTCCACTTTACTGTAAGATAACCATTATCTTCAATAAAAAGTTGTTTTGAATTGAAGGTTGCTCTCAAGTGAGTCTTAATAAACAATATTTATCATGCAAGAGGTGAGGGAGAGCAAAAATTATACTAAATGGGTTCTAAAGCCCTAAGGCAAGGATGTGGTTTGCAGTTTTTAGGGTCTATGCTATACTAATAATTACACATAATTAACAAACCAATAGTGGAGGGTAAAAAAATATTTTAAAATACTGAACAAGAGCTAAAGAGGGAGATAAATAGAAACATAGGACACAAGGAATGAATTGAAAGTGAATGGTAATGTGGTAGATTTAATCACAAACAAATTAGTCTTACTATGACAGAAGAACTGACTAAATACTCGCATTAAAAGCAAAAGTGAAAACTAGCTACAGTAGTAACAATATAGTGTTTACATGAAGAATATCT
Organism: Homo sapiens; assembly: GCF_000001405.40. Classification (NCBI taxonomy): domain Eukaryota; kingdom Metazoa; phylum Chordata; class Mammalia; order Primates; family Hominidae; genus Homo; species Homo sapiens. The sequence continues at coordinate 53,162,392 of NC_000017.11, read as the reverse complement.
TAAATAAATGGATATAAGAAAGAATGGAAAAGAGGCCGGGCACGGTGGCTCATGCCTGTAATCCCAGCACTTTGGAAGGCCGAGGTGGGTGGATCACGAGGTCAGGAGACCGAGACCATCCTGGCTAACACGGTGAAACCCTGTCTCTACTAAAAATACAAAAAATTAGCTGGGCGTGGTGGCGGGCGCCTGTAGTCCCAGCTACTCGGGAGGCTGAGGCAGGAGAATGGCATGAACCCGGGAGGCGGAGCTTGCAGTGAGCTGAGATCGCGCCACTGCACTCCAGCCTGGGTGACAGAGCAAGACTCCAACTCAAATAAAAAAAAAAAAAAGAAAGAAAGAACGGAGAAGAGTTATATCACATAAACAATTGCCAAAAGAAAGCCCTTGCAGCTAATTAAAGGTAAAGGAGACTTTAAGAAAAAAAAAGTAAGGAAAAAGTTTATATTTTTAAATGTTTGAACTCACCAAAAGTATCTAACAATTCCAAATTTTAAATAGTAGAATAACCTCAACTTCGATAACACAAAGGTTTACAGAACTGAAAGGAAAGCCACACAAATGCAAGACAGCTTGAGAAATTTTTCATGTACCTCTCTCAGTATTTTATAAACAGACATAAAATGTTAAGTTTGAGATGATTTGATAAACACAATTAAAGTTGATCTAACTGACATATACATAAAATTGGCAAGGGCAATGGAAACAGTTGCTTCAAGCACACAAACAACATTTCCAAAATTGTACATATGCTGGATCATAAACCAAAACTCAAGAGAATCCAAAGGCCTGATACCATACAATGTAGTTCTCTGCTAATAGTGGAATTAAGCTTCTAAACAAACAGAAAAACACTGCTGAAGCCCTGTATGTTTAGGAATTAAGATACATTCATTTGGCCGGGTGCGGTGGCTCAGGCCTGTAATCCCAGCACTTCGGGAGGCCGAGGCAGGCGGATCACAAGGTCAGGAGATCGAGACCATCCTGGCTAACATGGTGAAACCCCGTCTCTACTAAAAATACAAAAAATTAGCTGGGCAGGGTGGCGGGGCCTGTAGTCCCAGCTACTGAGTAGGCTGAGGAAGGAGAATGGTGTGAACCAGGGAGGCGGAGTTTGCAGTGAGCCGAGATAGCACCACTGCACTCCAGCCTGGGCGACGGAGCGAGACTCCATCTGAAAAAAACAAAAACAAAAACAAAAAAAAACAAACAAAAAAACAAAAAAGATACACTCATTTAAAGATTGCTTTGATTTCCCATGGAGAACTCATCGTCTCAACTGACCTAATCATTGCTTTATATTTTTGACTAGGTTTGAAGATAAAACACAGATCACTGGCAACAGGAGACAGTGGTATAGCATAATGGGTTATACTATGAGTTAGATGTACTTAATAAAAAAATTTAAAAAATAAGCATAACTCGAACTCTTCCTATTTAGCTCCCTTTTTTGCTCTCGTTTAGTCTTTTAAAAGTGTTACATTCATTTTATTTTTTGTTTTGTCTTTTTTTTATTAACTGAATTACCTACCTCTAATCACCTAACCAAAAATTTGATTAATGTAGGTAGATTGTCTTGCCATCAATATATTTCATAGTAAAATTAAGATAATAGAGTATTTATTCACAAAATTGTCAACAAAAATGGTATCAGACAATGCTTACTAAACACTTAGAAGTGTTTCTGGCACACATTAATCGCTTTATATACTTAAACTCTTATTGATATTATCATTATTGCTGCATTATCAACATTAATTTGCCTTCTGTGGTAAAACAAGGTCATATGTCTGTTAAATATTACAATCAAACGGTGCACACCCCTGTCTCATTTTTTATCATAACAGCCTCTTCTCCATGAGTGTTGCCTTCACCTTTCTTACAATAATCCAAACATTTCTCTAGGTATTTCTTTCTTCCCCCTCAAAGATTAGTTTATTTTGTACTGTCTTGCCCTTGGGCCTCTTCTTATCATATTGGTTCTTTACAATGCAAGAGACAATAAATTCCTCACATTTCTGTGATACTAGCTTAGGGTGTCCCAGGTCAAAAAATATTATCTTTTGTTGTTTACTTTCTTGGGACTTTTCCCTAAAGAATGTCACTGCAACTTTTGTTATTTATTGACTCAGAACCAAGACCTCCTTGATTACCTGATTTGTCCAAAGAGTCAGCCTAGAGGTACCATTTCTTTCTACCCCCAAATTATCTTGCTATCCTTCCCTGACACTAGGTCCTGACTCATTTTTTTAGTCCATAGCTGTGATGGAGATCTTGGTCCTCTCATTTACAATACTTCTGGGATGCTTATGTAGTTTTCTGACTATCTGACTAACTTCCTAAAAGCAGGAGGAGTAAACAAATTAGCATTCCACTTGTTAAAAACACACATAGTCAGTCCCCCGAATGAGAATCTTCAGACACCTGGAAATCTATATTTATAACGTAGGCCTATCTTTTAGAATGTTTTAATCACTTCCTAGTGAGATTACTTCTGCCTGACTTATTCCTTTTTCCACTCATTTACAAAACTGCTATAGGAGTTATTACTCTCTAGCTCTAAGTACATATTCTACTCCCCTATTTAACAAACTGTGTCCTCCTACTACCGCAAACCACACTTCTTAGGGTGGACTTTATTTGCTTAAGTAACTTAGATTCATGTATCAAAATGTATCTCAATACTGTTGCAACTTTATTTGACTCACTCCTTATTTTCTCATTGAAACAGAAACACGAATTACATTTTTATATTGAACTGCCATGGTTTATGTGCAAATACTTCCATGTCAAGAATCTAAGCCTTATAACCTGTGTAAATCAATCATGTTAAAGTATGTTTGTCTTCTCCTTAAGATTTAATTTTCATAAATCATCAACTTCTTTTGTGGGAGGGTCCAGGATAAGATGTGTTGGGTGATTGAGAAGTCAGAAAATATCGGCCAGCTCTTAATCCCCAGACATATTTATATAAAAGAAGACATCTATTCCAAAGCAAATTCGTAGGGATTCAGGATTAAAATAGGGAAGTGGAGTCATTTAAATTATCATCTGATTTATGTCACCAGGAATTTGTCTCAGGGTAGCTCAGGCAGGAGAATTGCTTGAACCCGGGAGCTGGAGGCTGCAGTGAGCCGAGATCGCGCCACTGCACTCCAGCCTGGATGACAAACGAGACTTGGTCTCAAAAAAATAACATAACATAACATAACATAACATAACATAACATAACATAACATAACATAAAATGGCTGAGTAAATGTGCAAAAATAAAACACTACTAAACTGAGATCATCTGCCCAGCGTGCAGTCTAACAATAAAGCTTAACATATTTGGGAGGAAGGTACATATGCCTGATTTAACCCTGGCCACTACAGAATACTGCTTACAGCAGTGTCAGCCTGGATACGACTGAGAGCAGAGCTGCTGCAAGATAATTGATGCCAATACAAAAAGCAGAAGACCTGTGCCCAAGAATTGTTAGCACCGAGACTGGAAAACAATCACATGAAGTAGAAGAAAAAGTCATTTATGATTCACAGGGACTAATGTGAGCTACTTCTTAAATAAGAATATGATGATGTAGTGGTGGGTGACTCTGTGTCCCTTGTGGTTTGTGTTCTCATAAATTTCATCTGTTTTTTTGTTTGTTTGTTTGTTAACTCCTTAATGAGGCTTTCCCTAAGCCCTCCCTCCAACCCAACCTCCCAGTTTAAATCTTTTTCTAACCCTAAGTCATTCTTTTTCTAAAAATTAATTAATTTATTTTTTATTATACTTTAAGTTCTGGGATACATGTGCAGAATGTGCAGGTTTGTTACATAAGTGTACAAGTGCCATGGTGGTTTGCTGGACCCATCAACTCGTCATCTCCATTAGGTATTTCTCCTGATGCTATCCTTCCCCTAAACCCCCACCACCGACAGGCCGAGGTGTGTGATATTCCCCTCCCTGTGTCCATGTGTTCTCATTGGGAGTGAGAATTTCATCTGTTTTAACATTTGCTCTTGATTTCTTTTTTACTTTTTATTAATCATTGAATTTAAGTAAATTCAGAAGCAATTGATAAATACATACGCAATGAAAATACTTTTTACCTTAACATGGTTAAATCAAAATAACATTTACCCTACTCACACCTTCATGTTTGGAGAAGTATGCAAGACATCTACTGATAGAGCAAAATAAGCTCAGAAAAACATAGTTAGGGATACCTAGTTCGTTCCCATAATGGGTGGTAGTAGAAGGGGTATTTAATGCTGCTGTTTCTGTCAGATGCTTGTTTACTATTCAATTGTCCCACGGCTTATGCCATTGATGGTGTGCAATGAATGAAATCACCAGGCCATTATTCAAGAGTTAGTGGGAAACATGAATAATATATGCCAGGAAAGAGAGACAGAGTGGGCCAGTTATAAGACACATAATGAGTAGTTAACTTTCCTGCTGTGGTGGGTTTGGCAAGTCTTACGTAAATCTATAACTATACAATATAATTATACAACCCTTAAATTCATATTTTGGTTTTATAAAAATTTTTCCTTTTGTAATAAACCCTGAAGAATCAGCTAGATAATGAAAGTTTATTTTATAGTTAAAAAGTAAGTACTGGATTTTATTTCAATGAAGTAAGTAATGATATAGTTATACTATGCACAAAATATTTGTTTATATTTATCATCTTCCATGGGGCTAATGGAGACACCAGTCACAGAACAAGAGAAGGAGAGGAAGTAAGTCTGCCAAAGACAAAGTGGCATTGATATGGTTTGGCTGCATTCCCACCCAACTCTCACCTTCTATTGTAACTCCCATATTCCCCACGTGTTGTGGGAGGGACACAGTGGGAGGCAATTGAATCATGGGAGTGGGTTTTGCCTATGCTATTCTCATGATAGTGAACAAGTCTCATGAGATCTGATGGTTTCATAACGGGCAGTTCCTACGCAAATGCTTGCTTGCCTGCTACCATGTAAGACATGCTTTTGCTTTTCCTTGGCCTTCTGCCATGATGGTGAGGCCTCCCCAGCCATGTGGAACTCTGAGTCTATTAAAGCTCTTTTTCTTTATAAATTACCCACTCTTGAGTATTTCTTCCCAGAAGTATGAAAATGGACTAATATGGGCATATATCTCCAAACATTCTTAGTTACCTAAAGAGGACTGTTTCAGAAAACAATATTTTAATCTTTGTAGTTACTAAAATGTGTTGATGTGTAATACTCTGAAGTATGACTTTACATTTGGATCAAATAACTGTTGTAAGTTATTTTTTTCTTCTTTCTTAAACAGATAAATTATGCCAGTTGTATCAATTACAGAAAAGCTTCAAATAGAATATTATTTAATTCTGATAATGGTTCAATTGTTTTATCCTTCAATATTTTGCCCCAAATTAATTTTTTTAAGTTTACTTTATTGAAGCTGGAACATGAGACATTACTATGAATGCTCTTGTAAATTCTGTTAAAAATTTCAGCTTTAAACACAAAATCTTAAATCTTTGTTTTTATAGTGACAATATAAATGGAAATTTTGACATAGCATAGAATCATGCTAAAAACATTATTTTTACATTAGTATATACATACATTGAATAGGTTTTTGTGCACACATAATTCATTAATCATGTTCAAATAAGCTGAGACAATCTACTAGTTAAACTAGAAATATAACCATTGCTTATTAAAATGCACAAATGTATATTTGAATTTACATAGTCACACAGAATTAGAATAAATAAACTATACTTTCTGGCACTGAAAATGATATTGAATAAAACAAACAAATGAAATCCTAAGCATGACAGATATGAACATGTGCTTTCTCTTTTCACCATATAATTACATTGATTTTTGAAATGTTTGGGCCTGTTCCTTTGAATAACTACTTCATTAATCAAATGACATTAGATTTTTTTAAAATTACAATTCTAAATTTTGGCAGTATTTGGATCAAAATCAGTAGAAATTTGTAAAAGACTGAGAATTAAAAATAAAATCCTAAAACCCCCAATTGACTGAACAGGCAAATACCTATTGGCCAAGGGAACCCCAGAGAAACCTTAAAAACTGAGTTTCTGGCCATGGTTTGATGGGAGGTTGAACAGGCTTCATTGTGCTCCCTCACTTTTGTGGTTTGGACACAACTGACCATCATTAATGTTAAAATAAAGATCAGAAGACTGACCAATTGCTATTCATATGATATTCAATACAAAGAAGGCCTAATTATTAGACAAAAGTCTAATATCCAGCATCTGTAAGGAACTTAAACAAATTTACAAGGAAAAAAACCAACCTCATTAAAAAGTAGGCAAAGGACATGAACAGACACTTTTCAAAAGACAACATACATGTGGCCAATAATCATATGAAAAAAATTCAACATCACTGACCGTTAGAGAAATGCAAATTAAAGCCACAATGACATACCATCTCACACCAGAAAGGCTATTATCAAAAAGTCAAAAAATAACTGGTGCTGGCCAGGCTGTGGAGAAAAGGGAAGGCTTATACACTGTTGGTGGGAGCGTAAGTTAGTTCAACCAGTTTGAAGGTTCCTCAAAGACCTAAAGACAAATACCATGTGACCCAGCAATCTCATTACTGGGTGTATATCTGAAGGAATAGAAATCCTTATATTATAAAGACATATACACACATATGTTCAATGTAGCACTGTTCACAATAGCAAAGACATAGAATCAACCAAAATGCCCATCAATGATAGACTGGATGAATAAAATGTGGTACATATACACCCTAGAATATTTTGCAGCCCTAAAGAAGAATGGGGTCCTGTCCTTTGCAGGAACATGGATGGAGTTGGAGGCCATTATCCTTAGCAAACTAAGACAGGAAATGAAAACCAAGTATCACATGTTCTGACTTATAAATAGGAGCTAAATGATGAGAACATATGGACACATAGAGGGGAATAACACACAATGGGGTGTGTCAGAGGGTGGAGGGTTAGAGAAGGGAGAGGATCAGGAAAAATAACTAATGGGTACCAGGCTTAATACCTGGATGATGAAATAATCTGTACAACAAACCCTAATAACACAAGCTTACCTATGTAACAAACCTGCACTTGGACCTCTGGAATTAAAATAATTTTTTTTTAAACCTGGAAAAACCTTCCTATTTGCTTATTTATACTTACATATCTTTTTCTATAACCAATAACAAAATATAAAATATAACAAAATAATACATTAAGTACTATTTGTTATTCATTAGCAATTTGCATATGCTAGGTCATTTAATGCTCATCAAGCAATATTGAATTGATAATGCTTATATCTGCAGAGCACACATTGAAAAAAAGATGCTCATAAGCATCAAATAAATCTAATCAAGACTTATTACAAATATTAGATCAATAATTTGAGCCAATGCCCTGCAACTCCAGAGATTTTGATTTCATGTTCTACCCTTGATTTAAACTCATTTTCATGTTTGAAATGTGTTTCTTTATATTAAATCAAAATCTATTTCTGCATTACAGTGGATCTCAAGCTTTAGAGACCTTAAGTATCATCTGGGGAAAAAAATCAGTTTCCAGCTGTGATGAAAAAATTTGTGATAGACCAGTGAATCTGCTGAGAACAACCAAAACAGTTTATTAAAATTAGAAGAAGCCTGATGAAAGAAATAAAAGATCTAAATAAATGAAGAAAAATTCAATGTTCATGGCAGGGGGACTGACAATTATTAAGATGCCAGTTCTTTCATACTTGATCTACAGCTTCAATACAATCCCAATCAAAATCCCAGAAAGTTATTAAGTTATTTTGTGGATCTTGACAAAGTGAGCTACAATTTATACGGAAGGTAAAACAAATGAACGAACAACAACAATAACAACAAAAACCACACAGAATTGTCAACACAATATCTGAGATGAACAAGTTCTGCTGACTGACACTACCTGACCAAACACTGTAGGAAACAAGGTCCTATGGTATTGGCAAAAAGATAAGTCAAACAGATCAAAGGAACACAGTAGAGAGTCAAGAAATAGACTCATGCAAATGCAATGAACAGATCTTTAACAAAGGCACAAAGGCAATTCGTCTGAGAAAGAATATTCTTTCCACAAACGGTGCTGGCACAACTGAACGTCCATGTACAAAAAAAAAAAAAAAAAAAAAAAAAAAAAAAAAAGAGAGAGAGAGAGAGGGAAACAGACAAGAAAATAAAATAAAATAAAATAAAAGAAGAGAAATTTTAAAAAGACAAGAATCTAGGCAAAGACCTTTGCTTCTCAAAAAATTAACTCAAAATGGATTATAGACCTATATTTAATGTCAAACTATAGAAACTATAAAATATCTAAAATGCAACATAGGACAAAATCTCGGTGACTTGTATTTGGCAGTAACTTCTTACATACATACCACATTGAAGCAAAATTATGAAAAAACGATATTGGACTTCATTAAAATTAAAAAGTTCTGTTCTGTGAAAATACCGTGAAGAGAATTTTTAAAAGTCACATATTGGAAAAACTATTTGCAAAATCTGTCTGATAAAAGATTAGTATCTAAAATATGAAAGAACTCTTAAAATAAACAAGCAATTCAATTTAAAACCTGGGCAGAAGGTCTGGATACCTCACCAAATAAGATATACAAGTGAGAAATAAACATGAAAAGACATAACATTAAATATCGCGAGGGAATTGCAAGTTAAAATAACAATGAGATACTATTAGACATCTATTAAAATGGAGAAAATGTGAAATACTGAAAATACCAACTGATGTTAAGGATGTGGAGCAACAGGGACTGTCACTCATTGCTAGTGAGATTGGACAAAGGCACACTCACTTAAAAAAGACAGTTTGTCAGCATCTGACAAAATTAAATATACTCCTATCATAGAATCCACCAATCACATTCTTTCGTATTTACCCAAATGAGTTGAAAACTTACAACCACAGAAATACCTGCACATAAATGTTCATAGCAGCTTTATTTATAATTGCCAAAACTAGGAAGTAATCAAGATGTCCTTCAATAGGTGAATGGATGAACAAACTCTGTTATATCATATAATATTATTCAACAATAAAAATAAATGAACTATCAAACCAAAAAAGACGTCAAGGAGCCTTAACTACCTATTGCCAAGAGAAAGAAGCCTATCTGTAAAGGGTGCCTACTGTATCATTCCAACTATATGACATCCTGGAAAAGGCAAAACTATTACAGATGGAAAAAAGATCAGAGGTTGCTAGGGATTTGTGGAGAGGGAGGGATGAATAGGTGGAATACAGGTGGATTTTTAGGGCAGTGAAACTGTTTTGTATGATGCTGTAATGATATGTACATTTCAGTATTCATTTGTCAAAAGCCATAATATGCATAACATAGAGAGTTAACCCTAATGTAAATCATAGATTTTGGCTAATAATGTATCAATATTGGCTTAATAATTGTAACAAATGCACCAGGCTAATTCAAAATGTTAATAATAAGAGAAACTGAGGTAGGAGGGGTGTATGGGAACTCTATACTTTTCTCTAATTTTTTTCTGTAAGCCTAAAGTTACTCAAAAATAAAATCCATATATAGATTATATATGATTATATATATTATATATGTGTATACACACACATATATACACACATATATAATATGTGACTCCATTATATCATTATAAGATATCTTATACTGGGGAAACAAGTAAACAGAAGTGAGAGTTTAAGATCCTTCTGTGAAGGATTTGGGAATAAAATATCCAAGGCATTATTTGAGACAACAGGAGGGCGATACTAAAGAGAAGGCCTCCGGAAGTGTTGGCAATGTTCTCTTTCTCCTTCTGGGTGATAGTGACAAAGTAGATCATGATTTCTGAAAATATATGCATGATATTACACTTGAATAAAATACAAAGAAACATGCAAATATAACACATATAAAGACTTTATGGTATTGGTTAGCTGTGGAGAGGGGAGAAATAGCATAGAATGGGAGTGAGGTTTAAAATTCACCTAAAATATTTTGTTTAAATTTTAGTTAACTCATGAATGCAAAAATAAATGGCTGTGTACTAAATCTGGATATTATATAAACTAACAGGTCCTTTTAACTATTTCTTGAATTTTTATCTTTTTTTTTTTTTTTTTTTTTTTGAGATGGAGTCTCACTCTGTCACCAGGCTGGAGTGCAGTGGCGCAATCTCGGCTCACTGCAACCTATGCCTCCTGGGTTCAAACAATCGTCCTGCCTCAGCCTCCCAAGTAGCTGGGACTACAGGTATGCACCACCACCCTCAGCTAATTTTTGTATTTTTAGTAGAGACGGTGTTTCACCATGTTGGCCAGGAAGGTCTCGATCTCTTGACCTCGTGATCCGCCTGCCTCAGCCTCCCAAAGTGCTGGGATTACAGGCATGAGCCACCATGCCCAGCCGAATTTTTCTATTTTTAATATAGTTTATAACTTCAATAATATTAAAATAACTAATAAATAGAATGGAAAGCATTGAGGGGTATCTAGTCACCTGGAATGCTTGCTAAAACTACATTTCCTGACATCAGTCCCAGAAACTGTGTTCTCGGTTTTCTGATAATCTCATTAAAACTCAGGAATCTGCATTTCTGCATTTTTAGTGAGTTACCCAAATTTTAAAAATCTAGATTTTATAAAGTTTCTGCCGTTTATTCTTACTTAGAAATGAAAAGGGAGTCAAGTCTCAGAAGCATTTTTTTTTTTTGTCCAGCAATCTCAGGAACTCCTTTATACTCAGAATATTTGTAATTATCTTACCTGTAGTGAAGAGAGAGGGGAGCAGGGGTTTTCAGGGAACTAAATGCGGGAAGGGGAGGTCACTTCGTTGGGGAGTGAGAAGTACAGAAGAAGATGCCAGTATGTCAGAGACAAACTGACCTATTTCTAGGGAATATTTGTGTAAGGCAAGTGCTTGATTACTTAGGGAAAAACGTGCCATACAAATGCAAATGATTAAATTACTAAATGGGCTCTACTATAGTTCTTGCACCTTTCCCTTCTGAGAGCACTATTAATGCAAGTCACATTATTGGATTGAGCAATGAGGGAGTAGAAGTAAAACACCACTTTCCCCCCAGAATAAGGAGTGCAGTACTCATGTAGCAGTACAAGCTGCAGACAAAACCCCTCAGACACCGAGTTAAAGAAGGAAGGGCTTTATTCGGCTGCGAGCGTCGGCAAGACTCACGTCTCAAAAACGGAGCTCCCTGAGTGAGCAATTCCTGTCCCTTTTAAGGGCTTAGAACTCTAAGGGGGTCCATGTGAGAGGGTCGTGATCGTTTGAGCAAGCAGCGGGTACGTGACTTGGGGCTGCATGCACCAGTAATCAGAACGGAACAGAACAGGACAGGGATTTTAATGATGCTTTTCCACAGAATGTCTGAAATCTATAGTTAACATAACCAGTTAGGTCAGAGATCGATCTTTAACTACCAGGCCCAGGGCACAGCGCTGGGCTGTCTGCCTGTGGATTTCATTTCTGCCTTTTAGTTTTTACTTCTTCTTTCTTTGGAGGCAGAAATTGGGCATAAGACAACATGAGGGGTGGTCTCCTCCCTTACTCACAATGCACAAAACCTTGTGTTTTCCTACATCATCACCCCCATTCCCCATACTCACATATATTCACGTTATTTTAAGAGTCACCTTTACAAATTGTTTATTTGATTCTTCCCAGTTACATTGATGTTGGTGTGAAAAACAAACAAAGATATTTCAAACAAGCAGAGAGTTGTGCTGATAGCCAGGTGTGTAGGGATTTGTTACATTTTTCTGACCATCTTTAATATTGAAACCCCACGGTCGAGGTCCCTTCATTTTTAATCCTGAAAGCATTTTAAAAGTCATGCAGGCTGAAAGATAAACACAATAGTTAAAATTGTCCTGTCATGTACAGCCTTATTACCTAGTATATTGCAATGGGAAATCATCTACAAGTCTAAGAAGCCCAGATTGGTAATTTTTGGTTAAATAGTTACCTTTCAGTATAGGTCCCTTTAGGGTCCAATTTACATAATAATGGAATAGATACAGTGTGCTTTTTCTAATTTAGTCTGAAGTGGTCCATGAGAGGGCAGTATTTTCATAGCTAGCTTTAGAGAGCCAGGGCCACCTGTGTGGAGAGGGTTAGGGAACTCATTCTAACTCAGTTTTCTTGTTTCCCTATACATTGAGAAATATCAATTTTTTCATATCTACATTCTTGAGTTTATTCATTTATGTATTCAATACATATTTATGAAGCACACACTATACTTCAGGAATTGTGTAAACTAAGGACAATACATCAGTGAACAAAATGGACAACAGACTGTTCCTTACTCTTGTGAATTTCACAAACATCACACAGAATAATTGCATATATAATTACAAATTGTGATAATCTATGCAATATAATTAAAGGAAATGAAGAGAACTTAGATTTTATTTCAGCTGTGTTACTAGTTAGAATCTGTATCAGATAATAAAAAGAAAATCTACTTGAATAAATATAGGTATAAAATTGTGCTGAGTGTGTCCTATGTGCTGGTAACTGTTGTGGCCACTGAGGTTAGAGTATTAAAAATGTCTCTGACTTAGAGTGTTATGTTCCATGGGGAGACATTGATCTTTAACAAGAAAGTATATAAATTATGCAAATTTCAAATAACCACTATTAAAAAATTAAAGTAGGTCAAAGGATAGAGATTTATGGGGGAATGGTATTTTATATAAGAAGATCGGAGATCTCTTAGAGGAGGTATCGTTTGCACAGATATTTGAATGAAGTGAGCAAGTCAATAGATTTCAGAGGCAGTGGCTGCCTGGGAGATGGAACAGCAAACATGAAGGTCTTGAATCTGGACTAAACTCACAGTGTTAGAAAAACTTCACAAAGGCCAGCGTAGCTGTGATTGAGTGAGTAAGAGGCACTGGGAGAAGATGAGTTTAGAGGAGCAGGCAGAATGTAGATGGTGCACAGCCTTAAAATCCAAGATAGATGTTCTATTTTTATTCTAAATGTAATGGAAAGCTTTTGTAAAATTTTGCCCTTTAAGAAATAATATTGTCTTATTCATGTAAACTGCACAGTTACTCTGGTTGCTCCAGGGCACAGTAATTGAAGCAGGAGCATGAGTTCATTGAACTCTCTTAATAAACTGGGTGAGAGAAGCTGTTGGCTTGATGAGAAAATGAAAGGTGCAGGTGGAAACGTGTGGTCAGATTTGTCATATATTTTTCTATTAAAGCCCACAAAAATTGCTGATGGCCTGAGATAGGGAGATGATTAAGCAAATAGCAGATTCCCAAGTTTTTAGTTTGAAAAATTATTTAATTTATGGTTTCACTTATTAAAATGAGAGACTCAAAAATGTCGTGGAAGAGGGAATCATGATTTTATTTTTTACCAAAGCAGCTGAACCTAACCGGAGAATCATCCAATTCTATTTGCTGATTCCCCTTTACATTTATGCCGTTTATTTCAAATAGGTTCATCTTATTGCCCATCAATACTACTATTCACAATTTACTGCACTTGTATATTATATTTACTCTTCACTTTTTCAAATTATTATTTTCCATGTTTCCTTCTCAAACTTCCAGGGCCCTTTTTCTATTCCTCAACCTCGGTAATTTTATAAATTAAAAGCAATCAAGGAAAAATAATATTCTTATCTATTTACTAACAAAACTATAAACCAACCTACTTTGTTCTAATACCTTCTGACTTTTGTTCAATTGCAGTGGAGAAAATATCACCTATCCTAATAAAAGACGACACCTCCAATTATTATCTGGATCCCTTCCGACTTGAAACTTTCAAAGACTTTCCTCAAATAATCATCCCTGCTTTGGCAACTTTTTTTTCCTCCTCTCTTTACAGAATTTGTTCCAATGAGTATGTAAGCAACCTCGATTTCCTTCATTTACAGGAAAAAAAAATAAGTAAATCTCTTCCTTAAGCTTGCTTTCCTCGCCAGCTACTATCTTTTTTATTCAATAACCTTCACTGCAAATCTTCCTGAAAAAGTACTTTGTAATTGATGTTTCTACTGCCTCACCATCAACTCTTGTCTACAACCCCAATCTGGCTTTTGTTACAACCACTTAACCAAATTGTTGTCAAGGTTATCAGAAAGGTCCAACCTACCATACTTTGTGCTCATTTTTTCTTTTTGTCCCTATGTTTTTAAAGCTCTCAGCACATTTCCTTCAATTCAGCACTCAGTCCATTTTAAACACTCATGCTCTACAAACTTCTGTGACAGCACAAAATCCTGATTCTTTTCTTATCTCACTGATCAGCTCTTTTCAATTACTCCTTTACTAGGTCATGTGAGCATCCCAAATTATGAGGCACCAAGGGCTTTGTACTTCAACTTGTTTTTATCTTTTCCTGTAAGCTGGTGCACTTTACATATCATCCTGATGCCCAATATTCCAAATTTTTTTATCTCTAGCTAGATATTTTCTTCAACCTCCAAAATAATATATTCAGCTGTCAATCAACATTTTTCCTTAAATGTGAAACAGGCACTTAAAAATTAACACATACGAAAGAGAACTCTCCTACCAACCTTCTACATTCCATCATATATCACCCCCATTCCAATAACTGCTCAAATTAAAAACCAAGAGGATCATCCTTGCTTCATCTTTTTTCCTCATCTTCCTAATCTAATTCCACAGAAACTTCTGCACTATAACCCAATTTATTCACTTCTCTCTATCTCCTCTGAAAACAATCAGGTTGAAGTCACACTTGTCACATGGATTATTGCAATTCCATCTAAACTAGATTCCATTGCTTCCCATCTTAATACTTTCCAATCTACTTCTCATGTAGCAATCTAATATTTTCTCCACATATAAATCAAATATACTTAAGACTCTTGGTGATCTTCCTATCATATCTTTATTTATAGTATAGCATCTATACTCTTTGCAAATTGCCCACAATAGCATCTGCATGCAGCCTTCTGTATCCCTGTATTCTGCTTCCCTGAATTCCACCAGCCACAGATAAAAATATTTCAAAAACAAGTTTCATAACGTTCCAAAAGAAAAGCAAAACTTGAATTTGGCGTGCACTAAATACTATGTTGAATCCATGCAAATGAAGTGATGTGTAGGCATTATGTTAGGTAATAAAGTAATCTAGAGATGACTTAAAGCATATGAGAGAGTGTGCATAAGTTATATGAAAATATTTTGCCATTTTATATAAGAAGCTTGAGTATTCCTGGATTTCAGTAACTACAGGGTTCCTGGAACCAATCCCCCACAGACACCATGGGATGACTGTATTTCATAGTAGCAGTATGGGTATGATGCTCACAATAGCATTCTATTTCCTTGTGATAACTCTACTTTAGCCCTGTCATGGTTATTAAGATGCCATGTCTCACCTTGGACTGAAACTATGCTAAGGTACTTCTGCCTTACTATCTGGCTCCCAGTTAAGTTTTGCCAACATGATGTACAAGAAAGACAGTGGAAAGCTTAAAGAGGGAGACAGAGAAGATCCTTTTTGTTTACTGACAGTTCTTAGCAGTGTCACCCCAGCAACACCACCTCCCCATGGCAGTGGCGGGTTGGTTCTAGTTTTCAGGGTTTATTCATATTCCCAGAACTAACTTTATTATACCCCTCAGAGAGTCCAATACAGCCACATGGGACCCTCAAAACCTATAGCCCCAGCTAGGGCCCCTCTTCCAGACCTTGAACTTGTATGAACCCTACTCCTTTGGTTCTCACTGCCCTAAAAGTAGCAACTGCCTCCTGCAGTAGCTTCCTCTGTGTTAATACAGCAATTCCTTTTTGCCTGTGTAGTCTTCTACCACGTCATTAGAATATTTCAAAATTAATTTGTACTTATTAAAATAATTGGTATTCTTCCTATTTTCCTGACTAGACCTGACTGATAATAGTGACAAACACCAATGGTATTTGTCCTCTTTTGTAACATGAACCAACCTCATCCCTTTATTGGAAATGTTTTCCCCAGGTCTTCACATTCTGGTTTTTCATAGAATTTAGGTGTCACTGGAATATCTCTGCCTAAGCAAATACTTCCCTGATGATCCAATTTAAATTATTCCTCACTCCTTGCCAGTCGAACTCACATTACTTTGTTTTATTCTTATTGTCTTTTTGAATTTCTAAAATTAATGCATTAATTTATGTACACATTTGTTTTTCTCTCCCTCGATAAAATGTAAGCTGCATGAGAGCATTTTTATTTTCTAACACTGTGCTCAGTACTTAGTAGGTAATCAACAAACATTTGCTGAATAAATGAAGTAATGAGCAAATAAATTCCAGAAAATGTGTGATGACCTAGAATATTGTTTTTTATAAGATTAACTGTGGGGTCCTTTATTAAGGGTAGAGCCCTTAAATTTGGTTTTGAAAAGAAATAAAATTAATTTATCATACAGAGTGCCACACAACAAGGGAAAATAAACTGAGGCATAACATATAATTTATGAGTATAAGCATTTATTGAGTATAAGTATTGGGTTTGATTATTTTGATGAGTGGCAGAAAAACCATTTGGATATTTTTACTTAACAAATATTTTGGTACTAAGTGCCTAAGTAAATGTTAGGCACTATTCTAAGCACTTATTTTTAATTATATATATATATATATAAAATATGTAATTAAGTATAAATAATTTGCTTTATCCTGCCTCATTTCTCCATATACTCACTCATTATGTCAATTTTTTACTTAAATCTTTGAAAGTATTTAAAATAGTTGAGTTAACCTCTTGGCCCATGAGTTTCATTACCCTTATCACTTCTGGCTAAGTTTGTCTTGACTCTTTCCTCCAGATTATGGGTCAATATTCTGATTCTTACATGTAGTATGTTTTATTGTAAGCTGGGCGTTATGTATGCTATGTTACTAAGATTCTGGACTTTGTTGTCTTTCAATAAAGTGAATTAACCTTTGTGTTGGAAAGCACTTAAGTCACTTGTGAATCCACTTGATCCTCCCAAGACTTAGTATTAACCTTTGTAAATGTAAGGTTGCAGTAGTATTGAGTCTGAAGATATTTCTGGGAGTTGAGTACATGTTTTTAAAATATTTTAGGAGCGAAAGGATGATAATAAAGACACAGAAAACAGTGGGGGATATTTTACCACTATAAAAAGTAATGTGATGTTTTAAAAATATAAGAAAAAATAATTGACAGTACTTGGAGAGCATTTGCATTTAGAGAATGAAGAAGAAACTCATGTTTCTTCCCTTCACTTTCCCAATATCTACATGGTGTGAGAGAAGCAATGCACCTACAACTACTATCATTTTCTCATACTATTCATGTTAAGAAAAACAGAGTAATTTATGCTGTTTAATAAATTAAACTCATTGTTTCTTTGACAAAACAAAGCAGTTTCATTCTTTGCTTGGAGAACAGATCCAAACAAGTTAGCAGGGTAAGGCTAGGAAGGACCATGATTCATAAAGTCACTCAGGAATCCAAGGTGACATAAATCCCATTATCTGTTATATGGGACTACCTTTTTAAGTTAAGAAGGAATAACGGGAACTGGATTTGCACAATTATTTGAAACAAGTAAAAGAATGGGACAAAATACATAAAAGTTTTCAGATATTGGAAGTGAGGCAGCATGGGACAGTGATAGCTCAGATAGAGAAAATAAACAAAGTAAGCCCAATTATTTACCCAAATTCCTGTCTGGAAAGAGTTTGAGTTGCAGTTCAGAAAGAGGGAACTCAAGAGGGGCCTAGTGGTCTCACACAGTTGAGCAAAAGGAGCTGGGAGTGTGCAGGGGTAGCTAAAATTTTCATGGAAGAAAACCAGACAGGAGAGAGCAACACAGAAGAGCTTTGAATATCCGCCTCCTCAAATATTTGAGTGCTGATCAGTACATGAGTGTAATGATCAGGTTGAAGAAAGAGCTGCCTGAAACAAACTGGGGGCACAATTCTCAGAGCTCACTCTTAACTAGTCACTCTTTGTACTCCTGCAAACCTTCAAGGAAGTAAAAGTAACTCAGTCTAACAAATCCCTTTTATATTGTATTAGAAATCATCAAACTACATTGTGGTTCTACTCAGCAAGAAGCATTTTACTATTCCTTTTACTTCTTATTGTTAGTCATTTCCTGCAACTAGAAAGATCTCAATTTACAGATTAAAAATCTGGGTCTCAGAGAGGATAAGTAATTCTCCAAGAGTATACAAATGCAAGGTTTCCAACAATGGTCTTTTAACTTAGTGTTTTCTAAGTTCAATGTCTAGTGTCAGGAAGTTACATGATTTTGGTTTTTATGCTTTGGTTGATTTGTTTGTTTTCTAAGTTAGAAAATCAAACTTCTGATGGGCAATAGATTTCTTCCTTCTTTTCTTTTTTGTTTTAAATTTGAATGTCAAATTTAAGCTGAAATTTTCCATATTATATAAAGAATCTTTATAGTACACCTGAACCAAATACATATAAATGAGTCTCTTTCTCTTCCAATTCATAGAATATGTGAATATATTGAATATATAATTGCAGACAGAGTCACAAACAATCAATGAGAAGCATTAAATTGCAATTATAGCACTTTATATTACTAATCAGGAATTGTGTTGGTAATTTTCAAGTAATATATACAAGGGGCTTTTTGGTATTCAGGCAATAGGAGTGGAAAGATCATCATCAAAGATAATAGCTTTGAGTTAATAAACCTAAAAAAGAATTCTCTTTTCAACATTATATGAATATAATTTAACAACCAAATATCTTGTATGTTGAATCAGTCAATTGTTTCAATAAAACACTATTTTAAATAATGTAATTTTACTCAAAAAGTCCCTCCCATAAATTTAGGAAATGTTATAGATTTTCTCACGCAGAAGATAATATTTACCTGAACACCCTAAAAGGAGAAAGAATAGTAATATTCTTATAACTGCTGTACCGATTTTGGATTATAGCTCTATTACTTTGAAAAATAAAAGTAAATTTCTCTTTATATATTCATCACCAAACATTTATTTAGTGTCTGTGTATTGGGCATAAAGCAAAAGCTTAGAATACTTAAATGGAGGATGATTTATTTTTGTTTTTGAGGATTTTAGAGTATGGTTGGGGAGGCAGAGAATTCACAAGAGACATGAACCTCTCCATCATACCCTTTCTCCTGGGAGGCTGAACTTTATGGACTGCCTCAACGGGAGTCACTAGCAGGAGATAAAAGGACGATCAGCAATTACAGTCAGCGTATTTATTCTCACAGTCACTTTCTTGCTGAGTCACTGCAGACTGGCTGTGCTGTGGCTTACTCTATACTGCTCACAGATTTAGAGACAGCCCATGGTCTTTTTGGGCTTCAGGGTGAAAGGTGGCCCACTAAAGCTAGTGTTATGCCATTGTAAAGTACCTTTTCAGTTTCCTTAAATCATAGCCACACCATTGTATGTGGTTGCTTTACTAAACTCTCCAATTAGCAGTGTGCTGCTTCCTGCTGGGACCTTACTAATGTTGGCATGTGCAAAGTGCCAAGGGCAAATAAATGAGGCACAAGCATGAGTGAGGACCTAGTACTTTCTGGGGAGTCAAACAAATCTAAAACCCCTCCAGAATATATAAAAGAAAGAATCCTGAAAAATTGAGAGTAGCCTAGTTGAATGCAAGGTGAGAATGCATAAAATTGCATAGATTGTTGCAGGAGAGGTAACTGGTAAAAATTAAAGATCATTATCAGTTACGAATAGTATGTTTAAAACCTCATTAACTACATTTCTACTATCATGTTATAAAAAACAAATATTCTGTAAATCTCAAGAAAACTTTTTTATGGATATATTTGCTTTTCCAAAATAAAATCAATGCCAAATTCAGCATTTGATAATCATATCCAAATTTCATTTTGAAATGAGATAATTTTTCTCATCCAAGTTCAACAATTTTGCCAAGAATTATGCTTATTAGTTAAAAACCAAAAACTCCATTTGTCAGTCTTTAAGCTTTTCCTCTACTTTTCTATGAAGGGGATTCTTGGTATCACCTTCAAGACAGAAGGTTCTAAAATGACTTACAGTAATAATTTAGAATACTTTCTGTCATGTTCAAATTTCAGAAAAGAAATATTTTAAAAAGGAAGAATACAGATAAAACTATCCTTTGGTAAGTTAGATATTTGTGAATATGCATTAACATAAAAGATAAATTGGAAGGTGATTATTGTAGTAGCATCATCTGACATATACTCACTAAGGCTGGACAGGGGTTCAGAGAATTGGCCGCTATAGTCAGCTCCAGAAGGGCATTCATTCGGGCCCAGTGTGGAACAGAGTGAAAATATGTCAATACTAATTCTGGAAATGGTCTTAATTGGTGTATTCAGCAACACAGGACACATTTGGAGTCAGTTAATATTAAGGGATAAGACAGATGGAAAAATATTGGTCAGAGGGCATGAGCACTGGGTCCAGTCCAGGAAAGAGGATTATTCTCTTAGAAGGTAAGTAGGCTGCCTTGGTCACGGCCAACAGACTGGAGTGCAGAAGAAGGCAGTGCTCCTGTTAGGGAATGGGAGTGAGTAGAGAGGGTGATGTGGACTCTGGACTAAGTCACAGGCAAGAAAACTGCTCAGGTCCAAGGAACTAAACAAGTAAAAGCTCAGTTGTGTCTGGTTTACATTGAGGTGAGAAAGAATACAATAGAGAGGGGAAAAATTAGTTCAATTGGAAAGATAATAATGTTCTCTAGGACCAAGTCCTGAATAACCGAAACTTGGCTTTGGTTGTTAGTCAAGGAAAGGGTAGGAAACCAGTGTGTAGATATGTTAGAGGCAAGACTCACCTAACTGGAAAACGAGGCAGAGATTACAAGAGGATACTATAAAAATGTCTGTTGCTTCTGTTTTATGGGGCCCAAGAACTGAGGTAAGCCCAAAGGCACAAGTAGGAGATGAGACAGATTACAAGGCAATAAATGGCACTGTTAAAGAGATAAGCTCATGTGTTTGCAGACAAATGTACCTATCACTCTGACGGAAATGTCTTTTTAGTGGGAGTAGTAAGCTTTCTTTAAATGCTATTCTATAAGACAGTGGTTTAGAGCCCTTCAGAATGAGTGGAAGATTAACAAAAATGTCCAATTAGTAGATTAACAATAATGACAACAAATTGCCTTTTTAAGAAGTACTTCTGTTTATTTATTATGTAGGTGTCTTGGATCTACAATTTGGTCTTTACATTCTGGGCACAGTATAATGTCTGAAAATTACTTCCAGAACAATCACATATCTATATTCAAAGATATGAGCAACAATTTTAACACAAAGAGTTAGGTGTAATGACTGACTCTGAAATAAATTATGCAATGTAGAGATAAGCAAACTGCTTTTCTAAAAATAAGCAAACATATTCAAATGACAACTGTTAACAAATTGTACATGACGCCCACTGTGAATTTAATCTCACCTTCTCAAACACTTCTGAGTCTGTGTGGTTAAGAGAAATGATATCCATCAGAGAGCATTCAGATTCCCATCTTCCTTTCAGCGGTTTTCTTTTCTATCCTCTACTTGGTTACTATCGTCATCTGCTCCTGTATGGCGACTTAATCTATGAAAGTCCTTATCCTAATTCTCTGTCTTTTTGTTTAAAGCCTATGAAGTTTCATAAATTGTGAATAATTTTTAACAATGTGTAGATTCTTCAGCCATGCTTTCATAGCACCAGTTATCTCTGTCATAGCCCACTTGTGAAATATTCTTAAGAAACTGGTGTGCTCTATGTTTAGACTATTCATTGTACGGGTATCAAATGACAATTCTTTTATGTCATATATTCTCCCTATGATCTGTTTTGTGCCTCCAGATAGAAGGTGTATAATCTTAAGCTGTTACTTTACCTTGGGAAGTCTCAGTTTCCAAATCTGTATAGTGAGACAGTAATTTTAACTACCTCTGTGCTTTTACGCAGATAACGTTAGAATAAGACATAGAAAAAGTATATCATAACCCATAGAAAATAAAAAGTTAATGTTAGCTCTTACTATTACATGCGTTAGCAATAATGTCTGCAGAATATCTAACATTTTTTATTATTGTTTGATATTTTAAAGTTTATGTGTATGCTACATATTTTTCTGTAGATGGAAAACAATGAAGATAATATGATGAGAAGTAATTATGTGTCAACTATACATAGTAAGACAATTATATTGAAGTCTTGGACGCTTTGTATACCTAAATATTTATCTAGGGACAATATATATGTTACACTTCTAAGCACTTACACGCTAGGTGCATTCTAAGTAATTCACGTGTATTATTATCACATAATTTGCACAATAAAAATTTAAGACAGATACTCATTGTACAACTTTTATACCTTAGGAAGCTGAATTGCAAATCAATAAAGAACTAGACAAAAGCCCCAGGTTTGTTTGAAATAGAACTCCCTTTTAAATCATGTTGTATTGGCTCCAAAGCACATATTCTTAACAATTGGACTTGGGAGGCTGAGGTGGGAGGATCACTTGAGGCCAGGAGTTTGAGACCAGCCTGGGCAACATAGCAAGATTCTGCCTCTAAAAAACATCCACCCAGGCTGGGCCGATCGCTTCCTTATATCAGAGCCCTTAGTTCAATGTCTGCTTAATCAATTGCTCAAAGTAAGCCTTAAGCAAAGACTTTATCAATTGGATATATTATGAAGTTTTGATGGGCAGTTTACTTATTTCAGGAACAGATCCTGTTTACTTTCCCTAAGTAGCTGCACTGCTCTCTAAACTTAGTTCTATAACCATGTCACACTTTCTCGGTGGAAGAAAAAGTTTATCTGACAGCAGATTCTCTCATGAAACTGCTCAAGGTATAAATTTAAAATCCTTACACAAATTTAAAATGAATAGGTGCCAAAGATTTTATTTAACTCATTGATAAGATTACCATTGAACTATTACTATTGATTCCAAGGAAAATTCAAACACACACACACACACACACACACACACAAACACATATGCCATCATGAACACTGAAACGAATGTCAAATAGAGACAAAACTGGTATTTATATAGAAATAATTGTACTCTAATCAGACAAAATGATTATTTTCAGTACTATCAGTTTTCTTTTTTTTTTTTTTGAGACGGAGTCTCGCTCTGTCGCCCAAGCTGGAGTGCAATGGTGTGATCTTGGCTCACTGCAAGCTCCGCCTCCCGGGTTCATGCCATTCTCCTGCCTCAGCCTCCCGAGTAACTGGGACTACAGGTGCCCGCCACCACGCCTGGCTAATTTTTTGTATTTTTTAGTAGAGACGGGGTTTCACCAGGTTAGCCAGGATGGTCTTGATCTCCTGACCTCGTGATCCACCCACCTTGGCCTCCCAAAGTGCTGGGATTACAGGCGTGCGCCACTGCACCCAGCCAGTACTATCAGTTTTCTACAATTAAGAGCAAAGAGTTCAAAGACAGATAGGTTCGGGTAACTCAGGAAGGTATGCTATAAAAGGCATTTAGTAATATAATATTTCTTGCCCATTGCAAGTTTTTTTTTTTCACCAACTTTCCTTATAGAACAACGACAGTGATGCCATTAACACTTCTTATTTAGTACCATCGAAATATCTTTCTGGCAGCCAGCAGTGCAGAGAGGCTAATTGTTTAATCCTTTCATATACATTACAGTATATGCTACATGGTATTTGTACTTTAGAGACAAGTATATTTCATTACTGTATGTGCATGCATTTAATTTGCCTCCGTAGTAGTGATTATTGCAAGTATTAAAGGGACTATTTATCATCACTTTAAATGCTCTTTAGAAATCCTGACATTCTCAGTCTGCCCTGTCACATTAGGATTTCCCTAAAGGACATCAAGATTGGAGAAAACGTCTTAGTCATATTGTTCCTGCTTATCACTTCATTATTTTTTTTCACTCTTTTCTTCATCCACACCATTATCTATTTTCTTCTACTCTAAACCTGACATATTTTGTATTGTTCCTGGTTATTGGTGTTGTGCTTACAGCTTATCACCAGTTTATTATAGCTCTCCTTTTTGGGAGGAATATTTCCATAGTTTGACCTATTAGTAATGATGCCCAGTTATAAAAGTTCCACTCTTGTGTTTTCTTTCAATGGAAATCCCCACACCTCAAAGCCAGTTTCAGGGGTTATGCCTGGTTATTACTATTCCTAGTTTACTAGGTTCCTTATCTGTGTTATTTTTCATGAGCAAATACCAGCATTTGCTTTCCCTTTAAGTAATAGGATTCCAAATAAGCAATGAATAACTATCTCTACAACCTCCACTAGGATAAAGGAGGCAGAGGGCCAGAACAAATAAATAACTTATCCTGTTAGTTTTTGGCATGGTCTCTATAATTCTAGGCAATTTTTCCAGCTTGCCAGATGGAAATAATTCAACATTGTGTTAATGAGATAAACACCAGGGGAAGAAAATATTTTTTAAAAAGGAGAATAAAGGAAGAAAGTAAAAATTAGGATAGTCATGCATTTCTTTGAAATAGGGTGACATCTGACACATGCAGGAATTACTGCCAATTAGCCTGAAGTGATGGAAGATTTAAAATATTGACATGGATCAGAAAGGCATGTATACAGCCAACATGTTGTTGAGCAGGGTTCATAGTGGGCAGTTTTCTTCCTTTGAGCAAGGAAGAAAACTGCTTTGCCTAAATGAGAAATCACAGTTTTCCTGATTATGGGATTGAATGCATCCAGTTAGATTACTACAGAATTTGTGTATAGATTTAAATATTCCTTTCTTAGCAGCTGGGACATTAAAAATTTTTACAAGAGTAAGGTGGCAACAATCGTTCAATAAATGCTCTGCATATTCAGATCAACATCCCTTGTTAAAACGTATTTCACCAATCCCAGTCTGATCAAGAAGTTGGAAAGAAGGCAATCAAGAGTTTATAGCAACAACATTTAGGAGAAATAAAACAAGAGCCGAAAGGCAAATCACCCTTTTCTATCTAAGTTATTAGAGCATATTTTAAAATACCACTCTATCCCTCACCTGTACAAACTGGGGGGAAACTAGAATGTATACCTAGGAAAGAGTAGCATAAATACCATATTTTAGAGCAAAGAGAAGGAAAGAGTAGCTATTTCCCCCTAAACCTAAGATTCAGCCCAAGTCTAGAAGGCTGGTGAAAAAAAAGTCTTTAATTGTCTCATGTGAATACACATTTGTACGTGGCACATCAAAAGAATTAAGAATCTTTCCTCGTGTGATTGCCTGGAGGAAGAGAAAAATTCCAAGGATAGAGGATAAAGAGAAAGATTTTATTTGTAACAGGAAAAGTCTTGTGATATGACTTCAGCTACTTTGCTCTGTAATCTTTTCTACTTAAGCAGGAAGGGTGAACTAATTTGATTACATTTTTGCTAGAATTTTTCTGTTTGCAGCATGAGAGGTTTAATGGAGCATTATTTTTGTGTGTTGTTGTCTTTGTTTTCAAACTAATGTGATCCTCAGTTTTGGAAAGCTATGGTGACAAAATAGAATGATATACAAGTTACTGAAAAAGAATTACATATGAAATCTTGCCAGGGATTGAGAAAGACTTCTGTATATTTATGGAGAAAAAGAAATAGGGTAAAGGAGAGAACTAACTTGTTTCTGGTGTAGGAGAGGATGTTACTTTTTCATGTCCAGTGAAGTTCATAAATTTGAAAAAGAATACAGAATTAATAAATACATGGTGATTTTTATTCAGATAAGTAACCAACAGAGGTATTTGTGTGTATTTTAGAATCAAATTAAATAATGTAAAATCAATTAAGGTCTTCTCCTGTAAAGAAACTAGCCCTCTTAACACAGAGATTTGCATGATTACATATGAAAGTTAAAAAATTGATACTAATTTTTATTGAAATATAATACATTATTATTGAATAAAATACCACTTAATAGATTCATGTCACAGTTAAGAACAAAGTAAATTGTTTGCTTTCATGATTTGATATTTTTTCTTGAGAGTTAACTTCCATTTGCTTTCTGTTTTCTGTAGCTTTCCACTAGTATGAAAACTTACACTGCCTGAAAATGAGTTTGCATTAGAACCCATGAACCTGTGGTTGAATTTCCAGTAACCATAGATCACAAAGACAAGAGAGGAGATAGGGTGCCCCAGTGTGGATTTTTATTAATTTAGAGAGGATGCCGGCTTTGACCATTTCCCCTTCGGCAAACAATCCTGGGAACCTGATTAGAAATCTGAAACATTTTCTAAATCTTTGCCTGAATGTATCTGAGCTGGAAGCTGGCTTTTGTCAAGGAAATGAGTCTGGAGGATATCTTGACCATTACATAGCACAGCCCTGGCTCCCTGCTAGAAATTGGTGCCCTGTGATCAACCAAACAGGGTCTCTAAAATGGAGATGGAAGGGAAAAGCGAACTTTACTTTACCTTAAAATATTCAGTAATATGCATTACATAATAATTCTTTAACATTGGTATTTTAAAGTAATGCTACACATAATTCTACC
This sequence comes from Homo sapiens, assembly GCF_000001405.40. Lineage (NCBI taxonomy): Eukaryota > Metazoa > Chordata > Mammalia > Primates > Hominidae > Homo > Homo sapiens. Next base: position 53,135,885 of record NC_000017.11, on the reverse strand, counting down.
AAACTAACTAGTCCACATTTTATTTTTTGCTTTTCCATTTATTCTCACTTTTCTGTAAGTTACCTTAGATTTGAGATATTATAACCTCAACATAATGCTTTAATTAGCTAATTTCTTTTCAATTTATATCTTAATTGTATGTCATAATTTACTAAGTCTTTCATGTAATAGCAGTTAGGTTGGTTTTAATCTTTTACTGCTAATAACATATGTTGCATATAAACACTTTCTGATTATAAATCTCTGCTTACTTCCTTAAGTTAAATTCAAGGGACCAGATGACCTTGATAAAATTGATAGATTGCTTTCTAAAAATGTATATGGGTTACTAGAAATATATGATTTAATCAATTTCAAGAAAAATATAAATTTTCCTGTATACATATTTTCTCATGAACCCCTTCCAACAATACTATTTCCTGATGATTAACTGTTTGGCTATCAAGTTACTATATTTATTAGAGCCTATTAGGAAATTGCTAAATATATTTGATACATAGTAGAAACTCAATTACTATTTTTTAAATAAAATTAATCTGTGTCTTAGCGGAAGTCATGTAAAATTTTGCTTAGCTGTAATACTACTTACTATCATTTTTATTTTAGCTTAAAAGTAAAAATACATCAGTAACTTTTTATCATTGATGTTAACATTTATACATAGCATATCTTGGGAACAGAACCTTCCACTCTTTTTCTCCTGGTTCTAAGGAAAATAGTGAATGCAGTACAATCATTGTTATTGTTCACAAAGAACAGTTATACAGAAGTCTGGATAAAACTAGTACTAGAAATAGCAGCCAGAAAAGGCACAAAGGGACAGTGGGTCTATCTGCTCATTATCAATTGCATATATAACAGCAGAATAAGCTAAAATAAATCAGAGTTACCCAAGGAATTTGATCCATTGTATCAACAATAGAGTTTACACACTTCTGTTTTTGCATTAAAACTTTCTGATTATCTACAGCACAAGCTACTCAGGTATATAAAAATGTGCCTATATTTCCCAGGCAATACGTACAAAATGAAAGCAGCAAACAATAAGCGATTCTGTGGGAGAAATCACTCAGATTATAGCTGTGTAAACAACACCTTTGGTTTAATGACCCACTCTGTGCTTCGTTTTTCCCTTGCCTCCTTTGGCAACAGGTTAAGGTCACTGAGTGTGTTTCACCTGGTTGTAGTTATTCAGAGATGTGATCTGCCACACAAGCTGTAAAAGCTGGGATACGTGTAACATAGCTACACTCAGAGGTCTAGTTTACTGAGAAACGGTAAACATATAATTTATTTCTATTTATTTTTCACTGTAGCAATACTAAGCTATCTTACTACAACTGTTACTTTTATCATGTCATCTAAATATGAGTGTGTATAAAACAGTGACAGTTATTTAAATAAAAATAGAGATATAATATTTGTGACTCTGTATTTTGTTACTTGCTACTATTTCATTAGGTTCCTAACACCATCAGCAAAGTACAAATTTTCTCCACCATTGACCAAAGGCTTGGGGCATAATTTTTCATCACAAAGCCAATAGGGAACATTTTGAGTCAGGCAGTGCCAAGTCTAGCTGGGCTCTCAAAACCAAAGTTGCCGATCTTTCCATACGAAAAAAAAAAAAAAAATTCAGCTGTGCACAATTAACAAACTCAGTAGACCAGGCGAAAGTACAGCCCCCTTCTACACAATTCAGCTGCCAACACTACTTTGACAGCTATATAATTACGTGGGCCATAAATTATGCTCAGTAATCACCTTGTTTATAATTTCATTCTCTGTAAATTAGTAGTGTAATGAAATGAGATTTCATAACCACCAGATGCATAGTGAGCTTCTCACCAGAGACTCTGGCAACGGCTAAGAGGCAACCCCTGTCCAAAGAATGAGATTTTGGTGGGCTTTTGTTTGCTGGTGAAACCATTGGCAAGCGATCTGACCCTCCAAGGTTGGGGCTGCCAGTGACATTCAAGCAGCTCCAGCTCTGAAGCTGAATGATGTACTGCAGCTGTGAGAGGCATGGCATTCTGTTTGAAAGAAAAGCTTTGCCTATGTTGAGTGTATGAACAGCAACTCTCACCTACATTTGCGTGTCATGTAATGTGTTCACATTGAGATTACTCAAGCATCTATCTTAAAAGTAGTAAAAATAAGTAAAGGTTCCATAAAAAAGGTATATACTTCACTGTCGGCCAGAAGGTGATTAATTTTTTCAACATGGTGATGCTGAGCAATGAGAGACAAATATAGCCAAATTTCCTAAGGTGTTTTTTCCCTCTATACAGAGAAATATTTTTGAAAAATCTTTTGTATCATGCTCAGTTGCCATAAAAGAGAAAGAAATAAGACTGGAAATAATAAAAATGCTGCTCTTCTTTGCTTTAGGGTTTTCACCAGTAACTTGACTTCTGGGACAAAATTCTCTATTACTTCATAATAAAACAATGACAAATTATAGTTTTTAGAATCAATAGCATACAACTGGGAATTACACATTTTTGAGAAAAAGAAGAACAAATGAACAGTTGATAATTTCTGTCTCATATTCCACAGCCCAGACAAGTTATTTGCAAGAGATTTATTAGAACTTGAGCCATTACTGCAACAGGAATTGTGCTGCAAGGAAAAATACAAATTATCTGTCACTGCTTCTAACAGAGCTGGGAGGGGGAAAATGCATGAATCTAGAAGCTTTAATTACCTGCAGAAGTGTGAGTTGGTTATGCAGTGCCTATTTTAATTACCATCTGATTAAAATTAATCTTAGCTAAGAAAGGAGAAAGTGAAATAAGGAAACTGCAGTCTGAAGGTTAATGTTCCAAATGTCACCAAATGCAGACGAGTAAAGAAGAGAAGATTGGGATGAAGGGCACGTACGGTGAGTGACTATCTACAAAGTAAAATATGGTTTTAAATTTTGTTGTGTCAACACGCTTTCATTTTTTCTGAACTTCTGGAAAAGTTGCATTCATCATTTTTCTACCAGAGGCATCTAGATATGGCAACACTTTCCTTAAGTAGAAGCATTCCAGGTGAAATGAAATTACTCCAGTTGTTCCTGGGACTTTGACCCCAGTTCTCAGTGGCTGTTTCTTTCAAGGGCAAATCTAGAATATAGTTGAACATCATATCGTTCATTTTTTAATCATTCCAGTATTTATAGTTAATTTTTCAGAGCGAAAGAACACTAAGAAGATCCTTATTATGTTCTCAAAATTGACCATTAGTAACTTCTTTGAAAGTAATGACAAATGCCCCAAAAGCTCACGTTTCTGTGTAGTGGTGTGTATGTGTGTGCATGCATGCTTATTCATACCACCTGCCTTGATGGCACACATCAGCAAACCTGGGAATATTACCAACATGTTAAATAGTATCTTGTCAACATTGAGACCTTAAAAACTATCTTTTACACACACAGGTAATTTACAACTGCCTTGCCATCAATAAGATTTAAATTTTGAGTTGGTTTTACACTGAAAATGATGGACTTACACTCAAACAACTGTCCTCAGTCACCAGTTTAAATATTTGAATGTTTAGTTGGCACGTCATAATTGCACATATTTATAGGGTACGGTGTGATATTTCAAAGAGTGTATACCTAATGAAATCATGGTTATAAACATATTCATCATGTTACAAATTTACCAGTTCTTCCTGGTGATAACATTCAGTCCTTCTAGTTATCTTGAAATATACAATACATTGCTACTAGGTGTAATAACCTTACTGTGTAATAGGACACAAGAACTTATTTTTCCTGTCTAACTATAACTTTTTTACCCATTAACCAACCTCTCCCCTATATCCATTCCCCTTACCCTCCCCAGCCTCTGGTAGCCACTATTCTACTCTCTACTTCGATAAGATAAACTTTTCTGGATTCTGTATGTAAGTGAGATCATGCAGTGTTGGTCTTTCTGTGTATGGCTTATTTTACTTAACATAATGTCCTCCAGGTACATCCATGTTGCCACAAATGTAAATATTTCATTCTGTCTTATAGCTGGATAGTATTTGTGTGTGTGTGTGTGTTTATATACACTTATGCCTGTGTAGAGATATATACTATATATTATATGATTGTGATGTATATGCATATATATCACAATTTCTTTATCCATTCTTCTGTAGATAGGCACTTTGGTTGATTCCATATCTTGCCTATTGCAAATAGTGCTGCAATAAAAATGGGACTGCAGTTATCTCCTGGATATACTGAATTCATTTCCTTTGAATGAATCCCAGTAGTGGGATTGCTGGATCATATGGCACGTCTATTTTAATTTTTTAAAGAACCCTAATGCTCTTTTCCATAATTTCTATACTAATTTACAATCCCACCAGGAGCATATAACAGTTCTCTTTTCTCCGTAGCCTCACCAGTACTTGTTATTTTTTGTCTTTTTAACAGTAGCCATTCTAACTGGGATACGGTGGTATTTCATGGTTTTGATTTGCATTTCCCCTATGATTAATGATGTTAAAAGCATTTTTCACATATATGATGGCCATTTGTATGTCTTCCATCGACATGTGTCTTTTTAGTTCTTTTGCCTATTTTAAAAATTGTGTTTTTTTTGCTATTGAGTTCCCTATATATTCTAGATACTTTCAGATGCATAGCTTGCAAATATTTTCTCCAGTTCTACAGGTTGTCTTTTCACTCTATTTATTGTTTCCTTTGCTGTGCAGAGGCTTTTTAAATTTAATTCATTTGTCTATTTTTGCTTTTGTTGCCTGTGCTTTTGAGGACTTACACACACACACAAAAAAACCTTGCTCAGTCCAATTTGGTGAAGTATTTCCTCTATATTGTCTTCTAGTAGTCTCATAGTTTCAGGTCTTACATTTAAGCCTTTAATTTATTTACAGTTGATTGTCATGTATAGTGAGAGATGTGGGTCTAGTTTGATTCTTCTGCACATGGACGTCCAGTTTTCTCAGTACCATTTATTGAAGAGACTTTCTTTTCTCCAAAGTGCGTTCTTGGCACCTTTGTGGAAAACAAGCTGCCTATAAACCCATGAATTTATTTCTCTGTTCTCTATTCTGTTCCACTGGTCTATGTGTCTGTCTTTATGCCAATATCATGCTTTTTTGGTTACTATAGTTTTATAGTATGTTTTGAAGTTAGGTAATGTGATGCCTCCAGCTGTGTTCATTATTCTCAAGATTGCGTTGGCTATTTAGAATCTTTTGCACTTCCATAAAAATTTTAAGTTTTTTTTATTTTTGGGAATAATTCCACTGGCATTTTGATAGCTATTGCATTGAATCTGTAGGTCATATTTGTTAATATAGACATTTTGACAATATTAATTCTGTAAGAAATTACTATGAACTACATGCCCACAAATTGGAAAACATAGAATAAATAAATACCTGTACACATACAACTTATTATGATTGAATTATGAAGAAATATAAAACTTCAACAAACCAATAATGAGTACATAGAGAAGCAGTAATCAAAAATCTTCCATCAAGGAAAAGTCCAGGACCTGATGGCTTCACTGCTGACTTCTACCATACAGTTAAGAACTAAAATCAATTCTAACCAAACTGTTCCATAAAATATAATAAAAGTGAACACTTCCCAACTCATTCTACAAGGCTAGCTTTACACTGATACCAAAACTAGACAAACATACAAAAAAAGAAAACTACAGGCCAGTATATGTGGTGAACATAGATGTAAATATTCTCAATAAAATAATCACAATTCAAATTCACTTGTTCTTCTGACAGGGAGAATGGTGATAATAATGCTAATTATTCCCAATTATTATTATTACTAAATATTAAGATTTAAATACTTATTTTTATAATTAATAAAATTAAAATAAAAAGTAAATTTAAACTCTAGATGTATATATCACTAAGTGGTAAACACAGTGTCCCAAATAAAGGCCATCTACCTACGGTGAATAAGGAATGACACAGCGAGAGATGGCATGGGCCTCATTTTATTCCCTGTTGCACTAGCTTGGAAGGAAACAGGAATGGATGCTCTGTGAACATTAATGCTGGAATCATATTAAAACAGGAAAACTGCACAAATCAAAGCTCTTCCATCCCCATTGCCTGCTATACCTTATATGAATCCAACAAGGCAGTATGAAGTTTAAAAATGAGTGAGCAATGAAAAAAATTCACTGGCTATAAAACCCTCACTGCCCCACACCACCACTAAAAGTTGGTAGAAAATCAGAATACAGGGCATAAAATAGAACCTATAGCCTCCAGTCATCAAGTTGATGCTATTAAGAAGAATCTAGGTCGGGCACTGTGGCTCACGCCTGTAATCTCAGCACTTTGGGAGGCAGAGACGGGCGGATCACCTGATGTCAGGAGTTCAAAACCAGCCTGGCCAACATGGCGAAATTCCGTCTCTACTAAAAATGTAAAAATTAGCCTGGTGTGGTGGCACACGCCTGTAATCCCAGCTACTTGGGAGGCTGAGGCAGGAGAATCACTTGAACCCAGGAGGTAGAGGTTGAGTGAGCCGAGATTGTGCCACTGCACTCTAGCCTTGGAGCGAGACTCAGTCACAAAAAAAAAAAAAAAAAAAAAAGAGAGGGAGAGAGAGAAAGAGAGAAGAATAAAAATCTAAACATAAACATAGAGCTCATCTAAAAATAATATGTTCACAAAATACTTGGTCAAGGGTAAGGTTCAGGTTCAGATGATGCTGCCAATTAACAAAATGTCTAGAAAGATAGGACAGGGCAATAACACAAAAATAATAATGGAAAGAAATGAAGACAGAAATTATGAAGCAAAACAGAAAGAAATGGAAAAAAAAGGAAGAATTGGTTTTGGAAAAATAAATTATTCTGAAAAATAAAAGACATTTTTTTTCAACAATAACTTTGGACTTTTCTGTGAATTAAGGAAAAGACAAAATATATGGAATCAAATTAAAAATGAAATGTTAAGGTAACAATAGGATGATAAGTGATATTATAATACTAAGAAAGCAAGCTATCAGGGTAAATTATTTCATGGCAAATTAAATTAGAAATAGAACACAGCATACAGTAGAAGGTAACATAAGTGACACAGATAACAAGCATTAAAAATGAGACATGATGTGGCATAAAAAAGGCTAAAGAGTAAAATAATTTTGAAAAAGTTGAATAAAAACGGTATGTAACAAAAACCTAACTTCACAATTTTTCAATCAATGCAAAGCAAAAAGCATAAAAAATGAAATGAAAATAAGAAAAAACCTACTTAAAGAGAGAATAGGTGAAAACATTCTTTTAATTTAGGAGGAAATTATTCTTCAGATAATAACACATTTGCGTACTGAGAAATTTTAATATAGTATCATCAAAACCTGAGAAGACCAAAAACGTTTTTAAAACAAAGGGACTCATGAGAATCTAGGAAGAACTCAACTAAACAAAAATAGCACCTAGTTTTCCATCATAATGGTAAAATAATCAAAAAAAACAAAATATAGAGAAACTAATCTTATTAATAATTAATTGTAAGGAGGATACTTAGCTTACCAGATAGAAAAAGATTAAAAATATGTATATATTTTAATTTAATATACTGTTTAATTGCTTCAGAAAAATACAGAGAACACATTAGCAACAAGGAGAGCCCTTAATCAGATCCAAATAAATAATTAAATTACACTTCTGATACAAAATAACATTTCAAATGACTGGGAAAAAAAACTTTGGAGACAATAGGCTATTAATTACAATGATAATTTTCATTTGAGTGATATACTACACAAAATATGAACCACAACTGTACATTTATAAACACTGTAAACTTAGGCTACACCAGATAAATAAAAAATTATTTCTTCAATAATAAAATTAACCTTAGCTTACTTATACTTTTTACTTCATTTTAATTTTTTTATTTCTTTTATAATAGCACTTAGCTTAAAACACAAACACATTGTACCGCTGTACAAAATTATTTTTCGTTATATTCTTGTTCTATAGGCTTTTTTCTATTTTAAAAATTATTTTTATTTTTTTCTTTTTGTACATTTTTCTAAAAATTCTAATACAAAACACATACATTAGCCGAGACTTACACAGGGTCAGTATTATCAATATGGAGATTGGTGTATTAATTGATGGATAAATATGGAGATCTTCCACTTCTACTCCTTATCCTGCCGGTAAATCTTCAGGGGCAAACACATATGGAGCTATAGTCTCCTGTGATAACTAGGCCTTCTTCTGGAATCGCTTTTGAAGGACCTGCCTGAGGCATTTTACAGGTCACTTTTTTTACATAAATAGGAGTACATTTCAAAACAATGACAAAAATCAGCACAATAGGTTTATTTACAACTGCATCATCACAAACCCATGAGTAATGCATTGTGGTAAGACATTATGACAGCTACTACGTAAAAAGGTGACAGGAATTTTTCAGTTCTATAACAATCTTATGGGACCACCATGGTATATGCAGTCCATGATTGAGCAAAACATCCTTACAGGGCACATGACTGTATTTATAAGAAACTGGTGGGAAAATCATTTTGCATGTCAACCACAGTAGATACTGGGAATAATAAAAAGGAAAGCTGACTAAAATTAAGAATACATGATTCTAACATGTGAAAACTACATGATTCTAACATGTGAAAACTGCATGATTCAGGAATCACTAGCCTATAAATTACCAATTTATAATCTGAAATTAAATTACCATTATAGGTTATAACTAGAATACAAAAGAATGAAGCTAATATATATATTATGAGCCATGGAACAACCCATATTAAAATATCTGTCTCATATTCTCTCCTTAAGAATATTTAAGACATCATTCTAGTCTGAGAGTCTCACTGATCTTCTTAGTTTCATGCTGAGACACTTGCTATCTTTAAAATTTAGTTTTCTAAAAGCAAAATGAGGCGGTTAAATTAGATGATGCTTAAATTTCTCTTACTTCTTATTTTTTATAATGTCATTGCATCGAATGAGAGACACAGAGTAAGAAGCCAGGATATCTGTAACATATTACAGAAATATTAATTGGCAGGTTGGGAAACTTACTCTCACCAACCGCGAACTAGTATTTTCCTCTTTTTGAATTCCTAAGTCATAGCCAAGAGTATGCCAAGTCTAATCACTAAAGATTTTAAACGTGATATCTTCAAAGTTTATTTTCATTTCTAAAAGAAGGGTGGGAGGAAAAGATATTTATAAAGTTAGTTTATTTAGATCATTTTCATATCATGAAAAACAAAAATATTTCTTATCCACATAAATACCGAATAGGAGAAATAATAAATTTTATAGTACATCAAATTCATTCAAAATTATATTGCTGGTTAACACTAAATCACCAGCTATTTATTGGCTCCCTTCTAGAACTTGAAAATACCAGTTTAAAAGATAATTATGAAGATTAAGTGGCAACTTGTGAAAATAGTGAAGTAATGTTAGTAAAATAAAAGGAGAATGAAAATATATATCTCTGCTGTCATTTAAATGATTTAACTATTATATACGTAAACAGATGAAGATTGGAAAGAAACTTGGAAAACTGAAAAATATTTATGTCTTATGACAGTGGATTTTGAACTACATTTTTTATTTGTAAACAAATATTTGTTTAATTTCTGCTTAGGAGCACTACTGTCTGGGGCAATAGTGATACAAAAATGAATAATAAGACAACTTCTAATAATGTTTTAGGAGTACAGTAGGTATGAAAGAATAAACAATTTTTTGTCAAATGATTAAGTATAATAGTACAGATATGTAAAACATGCTTTAGAATATTAAAGTGGTTAAAATTTGGGATTTTTGCTCATTAGTTTGTTTTGCTCCCTACACTTAAATGCCATCTCCACCATTCACTCACTCTATTACCTTGGGAATTGTGTAGATGTGTTCCAGGGGCAGGAAGAAGATTTTATGGAATCATTATGGCATTGATAATTTTGAATGCCTCTATACAAAGATATGCTATAAAGCATAGCTTGTTTGGAAAATGACAGGGAGCGCATTGTGTTAGAAGCTTAGGTTGCACTCAGAGAAGTAACAAAAAGTAAAAATAGTGAACTTATTGAGGCTACAGGGTAAAGCCTCTACTCTAAATACAAAACTAGGAATTTCTTCTTTACTGAGTAAGCAGTGAAGAATCGTTAAAAGTGTTAAATGGAGGTTCATGATCCATACCAGATAACAAATTATTTTAGAATTAAATTCTCTCCGGCTGTACTTAAGAAGGACAAATCTAAGCCATTTGATTATTTATACTTTTTCATGAAACACAACCAAAATGACAAAATAAAGCAAAATATTATATATCTACAAGAACAAAAACAATGAGTGAAGAGGCAATAATGAACTAAAGAGATCAATTCATTTTTTAATTAAAATTTTATTTTGTGATAACTGTAAATTTATATGCAGTTATAAGAAATATCACAGAGAGATTCTTTATACAGCATGTCCTTTACCCAGTTTTCCCAAATATTAACATCTTGCAAGACTATAATACAATATCACAACCAAGATATTGACATGGATAGTCAGGGTACAGCACATGTCCATCACCAGAAGTATCTCTCACCTCTCCCTCTTAGTCACAACCACTACTCTCCCTCCATGCCTACCTTGTTAACACCTGACAACCAGTATTGTGTTCTTCATTCTATTTTTTAACTATATTTTGTCATTTCACAAATGTTATTTATATGGAATCATACAGAATGTACTGTCGTGGGATTAACCTTTCTTTCACTAAGTATAATTTTCTGGAGAGACACCTAGGTTTTTGTGTTTATCAAAAGTTTGTTCATTTTTATTGATGAGTATTTTTCTATGGTATGACTATTCCACTGTCGGTTTAAACATTCACCTCTAGAAGGATATCTAGTTGTTTTCAGTTATTGGCTACTATAAATAAAGCAACTATAAGCATTTGTGTACTCTTATGAGTGTGAAACCAAACCTAATTAAATAAATTTATCTGGAACAAAAACCTGAGAATGCAATTACTTGGCATATGATAGTTGTATGTTTACTTTTTTTTAAGAAGCTGCCAAAACTATTCCCCAGAATGACATGATGATGATATCATAGTTGCAGTTTCTCTACATTTTCACCAACTTTTGACGTTGTCACTATTTTTTAATTTAGTAGTTCTGATAGGTGTGTAGTAATATCCTATAGTGGTTTTAATGTGCATTCCATAATAGCTAATGATATCAAACATCTTTTCATATGAGATATATATATATATATATACACACACACACGCACACATATATATATACCTATGTATATTTACTTTCTGTATATTCTCTAGGGTGAAATGTCTGCTCATGTATTTTGTCCATATTCAATTCAGATTGTTAGTTTTTCAACAAAGTTTTCAAATGTATGCCTACAGAATTATCTGCAATATTCCCTTATTATTCGTTTGTTATTTTTAGGGTCCATATGTAGGAATTCTTTTTTTATTACTGATATTGGTTATATGTATCTTGATTTCTTTTGTCAATCTTGCCAGTAGTTTGTCAAATTTATTGCTCATTTCAAAGAAGCAGCTTTTTATTCCATTAGTTTTTTCCTTTTTTTCCCTTTTCAATTTTATTGAAGTATGACCTTATCTTTCTTATTTCTTTCTGTCTGCTTGCTCTGTGTCTTGTTTGCTCTTCTTTTTCTAGATTTTTCAGGTGGGGGCTTTGATTGCTGAGAGTTTTCTTTTTTTCTAATATATGCAATGAATGCCATTAGTTTCCCTCATAGAACTGCTTTAACTATGTCCCACAAATTTTTATAAGTTGTAGTTTTATTTACTTTGACTTTTTATTTCCCTTAAGACTTTTGATCCATGCATTATTTAGAATTGTGTTGCTTTTTTTTTTCCAAGTGTTGGGAGATTTTCTTGTTACCATTCTGTTATTGGTTTCCAATTAGATTAGTGGGTAGGAAGAACAGATTGACAACAAAGGGGCACAAGAAAACTTTTTGAAATGATGGCAATATTCTATCTTTTGATGAGGTAATGATTACACAATTGAATTATTTCTCTAAACTCACAGAATGGTGCACATGCAATGTAAATTACAATGAATATAATTTATAACTTAATGAATGTAATTTAAAAATAGTGAAGTGGCTCAGGTCTACAATCCCAGCACTTTGAGAGGCCAGGTTGGGAGGACTGTTTGAGTCTAGGAGTTTAAGATCAGCCTGGGCAACACAGGAAGACGTCTCTACTGAAAAAAAAAAAAAGAGGCTGGAAATGGAAAATCAAATCTTTAATAGAAAATTGGTATAAATAATAAAGAAATAAAAAGTTAAGACAAGTCAATGAGAAGGGTGATAGAAGAAACAAAGAAAATTAGGAATCAATAGAGTCCAAAACTCACTATAAATTAATTTCAGAAAAAAAAGAAAGTGTTAAACAAAGAGAGCTAACTTAAGAAATAATATAAGCGTATTTTCCAAAACTGAAAGACCCAAGTTTCTGTATTGAAATATAACAGCAAGACACACCATAGTGACATTTTAGAACAAAGGGAAGAAAGAGAAGATATAAAGTCTTCCATGTGAAAAAAATTAAAACAAAAAGATAAGCAAACAAAGTTTGGAACATATAAATAAATCTCTACAAAAACTGTACTGATCCTCTTAATGGCAGTATGCAAACTCATAATAAATCAATCATGTCTTGGGATTTCCAGAAAAAAAAATTTGCTGACTTATGATTCTGTACCCAGAGAAATTATCAATCAAGGTAAACATTTCCATGATGTAAGACTTGGGGCAAAAGAAAGGTTTTGTTCTGAATATAAAGGTATTTATCCTACAGATATTCAGCAAACAAGAACTCTGATAGGTGGGAAATGTAAAGAGAATTCCAAGTACAATTATGAAGAAGAATATCATGTTGCACTGAGCTATGTATTTAGCAAACAACCAACTGAGTTTGCAGCAGAAGAATAAAGAACTCCAGAGGGGAAATGTCAAGGTAAAATATTTTGGAATAATTGCATTAACTGGTACATTTCACCATTTAGAAAAGAATATTGGAATTCTATTAGAGAGATTGGAAAAATTTTCTTATAGCTACATAGAAAAATGGTGAATAATATGTTAAAATTATTTATTTCTTAAACCTACATGGTATCAACATAATATTAATTTTAAAATATTAGTATTAGTTTTTATACATGTGATTATCTTTAATTATCTTCTTTTTCTCAAAACCAGTTTCTTACATGCCCAGAAGACTCATGAACAAACATTTTAAACTGGAAGAGTTTGAGCTGAGGTATTCAACTTTTATAACAAGGAGGAGCCTTTAGTTAGTAATTAAGCAATAATAATCAAGGCAGAGTAATGCTTGTCTCAGAAAGTTCATTGTTGTGGGCCATTAATTCTAGCATAGCAATTAATTTTCAAGGAAATGCTCTATGTTTAAAAGGCCATTTCTATAGTTAGAAATTATCAGAAATCATACCAAACTGTTTATTGTGAAAAGTAATCATGCCATTATTAATCCTGTGGTAGTTAAATTTATGTGCAAACTTGAATGGGCTATGGGGTGCCCAGATATTTGGTCAAGCATTATTCTGGATGTGTTTTCTGAAGGTGTTTTGGTGGACAAATACTTAAATAATTCTCTCTCTCTCCCTCTTCTTCCCCCCCACCCCTCTACACACACATACACACACACAAACCTATATATCTCCTAATAGTTCTGTTTTTCTGGAAAACCCTAATTCATAAAAGTCCCTCTCTTTGTATATGTATAAAGGAAAATATTGATATAAAGTACTCTAAAAAAATCAGTAACAATTTCTTAAGCTCATGAATTTCACTCAAGTTTTCTTATAGCTTAAAATCTTTTTAAAATAAAGATGAAACTAATATTTATTCAGAATGAATTATGTGACAGGTGCTTTATGTATATTGTTACAGTTATTACTCAAGACAAATGATATTATATAAAGCACATTTTAAATATGTGGATAAATGAGGCTCAAAGTGTTCTATCAGCTTTCTCATATACATACATTAAGTGATACCTAAGGGGCTCTGACTCCAAGTTTCCTGGCTTCAAGAGCCATGACTTTTCCATGGTACTATTGCAGTCTTTCTGGAGATTCTGTTTTAGACTAGCATATGACAAGGCATTCTTGCCAGAAGCTATAAAAAAAGATGCTTTTTGTAATGGCTAAACAAACACCATACTAATATATATGAAGAATTTAAAGAATCGAACATATTTACAGTTAACTTAAATAGTAATTAATATGGCAAGAGTATGCATAGATATCTTTTAGAGGAAATTATTACCATCTGAAATTTTATATATTACAAATATATCAAACTTATAATGCAAATATATATATTAATATGCTTCTTGAGAAGTAATTTCTAGCCATGGCAATAAAATATGAAAACAGGTATAATTCTCTCCAGGGAAAAGTATTACAGATTAATTTTGCATGCTTGAACATTTTTATGTATTTCTCATTTTTGTAAAGGGTATATATTATTACAATTACACAAAAAGTAACTAGAAAATGGTTTAAAATTAAATATGTGTAAACCTCACCTTAAACAAATGTTTGCATCAGAAGCCTAAGGAGAAACCATAATATCTGTTAATAGATCAACATATTGCATGGCTCCCCCTTAGGAAACATACTAATTAATCAAATATTAATTAATTTGCAGAGAGACAGAAATAAAAGGTTAGAAATTACCACTACAGGTCAGGGATACAATAACATTCCTGAAGGATATGGAGACATTTAGGTATGATTATGACTGGAGTGATACTGTTAATAAGTATGGGTATTGAACTAAGAATATTTACAAATAAGTAACCTATATATCTTTAGCTTTTAAAAATATTAAAAACTTCCTGTCTTGTTTGTTTTATTTTCTTAGCTTTGTCAAGCTCACTTTCCTTTTGAAACCATACATGAAAAGCAGTATGTTTTTTGTAGGTGCAAACTGGATTTGCTGGAGGGATATTGGCAGAGATAGAAACCAAGGGGGAAAGGAGCGTTTTTCATGGAAACTAAGTGCTTGTTAATTGATTCTCATTTTATTGCTCAGTCATGCATACGTCTCATGAGGGATATTGTTTGAGAAATGAGAAATGCCTTAATACAAAAATTTATTCCATCTAATATTTGTTTTATTTGTACATTATTTCTGTTTTATCTTACATTTTTATTTTTTAAGATATTGCGGTCTAGATGCTAAAAATCTGTAAATTATAGTTAATATATAATAAAATTAGATTATTGGAAAAGAAATGGACTTTAAAATAGATTCATCTTACATAGAAAATATAGATGTTAGCATTCATCTGCTAGCCTCAATTAAAGGAGCATCCTTTTTCCTCGATATTGTACCTCAAAATGTTAATCCTCAGGCCATCTTTATGATTATCTACATTCAATAGCTTATAATTTTCTCACTTTTTCAAAATGTTATGCCTTCTTATCTATATCTCTACCTTAGACACAATATGACCCTTACCATGATGTTAGACTCTTCATCCAGTAACTTGAAAATTTATGAGCTGACCCAGCATTCAAGTACAGACTTAAACATAATTAGTAATTATTAACTGTCTTCTAATGCTTAATTCTATCTCATATTGTTACATTTCATTCTCATAATAACTCTGCAAAACATTGTTAATCCTATTTTGTAGATAAGGTATTTGAGTATCAAAGATTAAAGTGGCTTACGCTTAGGTTAATGAATATGCTTTTTAGGTTAAAAACATAATACTTGTCCATGAATTAAATCACAGGCCTGAGCAACGAGGATCTGAGTGTAAACATTACTATTTAAAAAGTAATACACACAAGCTAGAATTTATAATGTATTAAAATGTGTAAGAATTGTAGATGTGTTGCATTCTAGCTTTAGTATTTATTAGATGTTAAGTTCATTCCTTCCTTCCTGTTATTTTTTCTTTCCATCTCTTTCTTTCTTTTCTTTTCCTTCCTTTTTTCTATTTCTTTTCTTTCTTCTTTCTTTCCTTTCTTCCTTTCTTCCTCTTTCTTTCTTTTTCTTCTTTCTTCCTTTGTCCCATTTTTTTATATGTTTATTTTTTTGCCTATATTCCTTCTATCTATGAGCCAATGTTTCCACAATTTCATAATTCTACAAAATACTTTCTTTTAGATGGAACTAAACCGAATCCTCATCTGTGCCCCACTATGGCAGCCTGAATACTCTGAATCTTACCTTCCTCTAAAGAGATTAATAGTTCAGGGATGAACACAAGTTAGCATCTTCCTCAGGACTTTCATGAATATTAGTGGGAAAGCCACTCTACTTTTCCTGAGAGTTTAAGCCATAGAAAAAAATATATATAAGCAGGGAGCTACAGATGGCAATCACTCCCACCACTTAGACAAAAAAATACTCCCGGGAAATGAAACTAATTCTGCGAAAAGCAAACTGCATTGATGAAACTGACAGAGCCTTGATCCTGCTATGCCTGAAGAAAATCTGTCTCAGGATCTTTCAATAACAAAGCTCAAGGAAGTTCTACTTTACTTAAGCTACATTGAGTTGATTTCTGTAAATTGCAATTTAAAGTCTCCTGATTAATTGAACAATTAGTATCTGGAAATCATATGTCTCCAATAATAGATCTAGAAACGAAAGTGGCTAAATTGAGAAGTGCAGTGAGTCCTTTGTCCAGATTAAGAAGGTATTATTGTACTTGAGGAGAAACAGATGGTTAAACTGTCACCTGCTATTTTTGTGAAATCAGATCATGTGTCCATCAAAACTGAAGAGTTAAGGTTTGGTAAAATGTTTCAGAACGTGGGTGTCTTTCTGTAATATCTTTTTATAAATGCTACCAAAAACAGAGAAAGTTACAGTCTAAGGTAATCTGTTGGGAAGCAAAGAGGTAAACACACTGTGAGTTGCTATGAAGATTCCTTCAATCTGCAGTTAACATTGAGCAAGTGATAAAATCTTGCAGACTGTTGGATTATAAAACAACTAAACAAAAACAACAAACTCTGTCTCCAAGCTAAAGTAAGTTAAAAAATGAAATTTAGGAAATAGAGGACAATATAAGAAAGAAACCCAGGGGTTTTCAGAAACCCTCTTGCTAGATACATCTTGCTATTTAAAGTTAACCATTATCCAACTGTAAAGGGCAACTCTATTTGAAGTAGCCCTGGTTTAAGGAGCACATGAGGCCTGCTATATTGGACAATATATACCCAAGCCTGTTGTTTCAAAAGCAGATACCAAGATGGACCAGTTAAGTTTTTAAATTCTGGGAATCCTGGGCTGAGCACTGCAGCCCATTGCAAAGCAACATAAATCGAAATAGAAAAATCTATTTTCAAATACTGTTGTCACTATAGTTGGGGCAGTACTTTTTGATTTAATTATTGGCCCACGTATTAGTCAGAGTTCTCCAGAGAAGCAGACCAACTGGTGTGTGTAGATATATATATCTCTCACATATATCATAATAAATCTCACTATATATATATCTCTCTCTCAAATATATTTATATGAGATATACATATATATTTATATGAGATATACATATATATGAGAGATATGTATATATAGTGAGATTTATTATGATATATGAGAGATATATATAAAAGCAGATTTATTATGGGAGTTGGTTCACACAGTTATAGAGGCCAGAAGCTCCTATAATATGTTTTCTATGAACCATAAAAGCCAGTGATGTACTTCAGGCTGATTCAAAGTCTTGAGAACCAAGAGAGCTGATGGTCTTCATCATGGGCACAGGGTGGAGTAAGTGGGGTTTGCGTTGGTATTCCACTTGCACCACAAGAAGCCCCTGGTCCCCAGGTCTCAGAAGGTGGCCCCTAAACCAGGGCAGGGCTTCATGCACAAGCTCAAGGCTATGGCTGCTGCTTCCTCCTGGCATCCTTGAAAAAAGCCCCAGCAGAGTGAGATGTTGCAGCTCAAGCTTCACTAAACTTCTGCCTTGGGAATTCTCCCTAAATAATTCCATAAAGCCCGTGTCACCCTAATAGCAAAATGAGGGAAGGTCATAACAAAAAAAGAAAACTACAGACCAATATCCCTGATGAATGTAGATACAAAAATCCTCAAGAAAATACTAGCAAACCAAATCCAACAACATATCCAACAGATAATCCACCATGACCAAGTGGGTTTCATACTAGGGATGCAGAGATGGTTTAACATATATGTAAGTCAATTAATTGATACATCACATAAACAGAATTAAAACCAAAAGTCACATGATCATCTCAATAGATGCAGAAAAAGCATTTGACAAAATCCAGCATCACATTATGATTATAACTCTCAGCAAAATCAGCAAAGAAGGGTCATATCTTAAGGTAATAAAGTTCATCTATAACAAACTCACAGCCAACATTAAACTGAATGGAAAAAGTTGAAAGCATTCCCCATAAGAACTGGAACAAGACAAAGATGCCCCACTTTCACCACTTCTATTCAACATAGTACTGGAAATCCTAGCCAAAGCAATCAGACAAGAGAAAGAAATAAAGTACATCCAAATCAGGAAAGAGGAAGTCAAACTGTTACTGTTTGCTGATGATATGATTGTATACCTAGAAAACCCTAAAGACTCATCCAAAAAGCACCTAGAACTGGTAAATGAATTCAGAAGAATTTTAGGATACAAAATTAATGTACACAAATCAGTAGCTCTACTATACACCACCAACAACAAAGCTAAGAATCAAATCAAGCACTCAACCCCTTTTCACAATAGCTTCAAAAATTAAAAAAAAAACAACTTGAAATATACCTAACAAACAATGTGAAAGACCTCTACACCAAGAATTAGAAAGCACTGCTGAAAGAAATCATAGACAGAGGCCGGACACGGTGGCTCACGCCTGTGATCCCAGCACTTTGGGAGGCCAAGGTGGGTGGATCACTAGGTCAGGAGATAGAGACCATCCTGGCGAGCACAGTGAAACCCCATCTCTACTAAAAATGCAAAAAATTAGCCGGGTGTGGTGGTGGGCACCTGTAGTCCCAGCTACTTGGGAGGCTGAGGCAAGAGAATGGCGTGAACCCAGGAGGCGGAGCTTTCAGTGAGCTGAGATTGCACCACTGCACTCCAACCTGGGTGACAGAGTGAGACTCCATCTAAAAAAAAACAAAACAATAACGACAAAGAAAGAAATCATAGACAACACAAACAAATGGAAACACATTCCATAGGATCAGTAGAATCAATATTGTGAAAATGACCACATGCAATTACCATTAAAATGCCACTGCCATTCTTCATAGAGCCAGAAAAAAAATTCCAAAATTCATATGGAACCAAAAAATAGCTCACATAGCCAAAGAAAGACTAAGCAAAAGAAACAAATCTGGAGGCATCACATTACCTGACTTCAAACTATACTATAAGGCCATAGTCACCAAAACAGCACGGTACTAGTAGAAAAGTAGGTACATAGACCAATGGAACAGAATACAGAACTCAGAAATAAACCCAAATACTTAGAGCCAACTGATCTTCAACAAAGCAAACAAAGACATAAAGTGGGGAAAGGACACCTTTTTCAATAAATGGTGCCAGGATAATTGGCGAGACACATGTAGGAGAGTGAAACCAGATTCTCATTTCTCATCTTATACAAAATCAACTCAAGATGAATCAAGGACTTAAATCAAAGACCTGAAACTATAAAATTCTAGAAGATAACACTGGAAAAACCCTTCTAGACATTGGCTTAGGCAAGGATTTCATGACCAAGAACCCAAAAGCAAATGCAATAAAAATAAAGATAAATAGCTGGGACTTAATTAAACTAAAGAGCTTTTGCATGGCAAATGGAATACTTAGCAGATTAAACAGAGAACCCACAGAGTGGGAGAAAATCTTCACAATCTATACATCTGACAAAGGACTAATATCAAAAACCTACAACAAACTCAAACAAATTAGCAAGGAAAAAACAAACAATCCCATCAAAAAGTGGGCTAAGGACACGAATAGACAATTCTCAAAAGAAGATATACAAGTGGCCTACAAACATGAAAAAATGCTCAACATCACTAATGATCAAAGAAATGCAAACCAAAACCACAGTGAAATACCACCTTACTCCTGCAAGAATGGCCATAATTAAAACATAAAAAAAAAAATAGATGCTGGAGTGGATGCAGTGAAAAGGGAGCACTTCTACACTGCGGGTGGGAATGTAAACTAGTACAACCACTATGGAAAACAGTGTGGAGATTCCATAAAGAACTAAAAGTAGAACTAACATTTGATCCAGCAATTTCAATACTGGGTATCTACTCAGAGGCCCAGAGGAAAAGAAGTCATTATATGAAAAGGATACTTGCTCACCTATATTTATAGCAGCACAACTTGCAATTGCAAAAATGTGGAACCAACCCGAATGCCCATCAATCAAGGAGTGGATAAAGTGAATGTAGTACAATGGAATACTATTCAGCCATAAAAAAGGATGAAATAATGGTATTCACAGCAACCTGGATGGAACTGGAGACTAGGTAAAGTAATTCAGGAATGGGTACCAAACATCACATGTTCTCACTCACACGTGGGAGCTGACCTATGAGGATGCAAAGGCATAACAGTAATCCACTGAACTTTGGGGACTCAAGGGAAAGGGTGGGGAATAGTGAGGGAAAAGAGACTACACATTGGGTACAGTGTACACTGCTCAGGTGATGGGTGCACCAAAATCTCAGAAATCACCACTAAGGAACTTCTTCATGTAACCAAACACCACCTGTTCCCCAAAACCTGTTGAAATAATAATGAAAAAAAATAAAAATTTTAAAAATTAAAAATAGAAATAAAAATAAAAGTTGAAAATAGAATGGTTTAATTTGTTTTGTTGCAATATTTAAAACATTTTAGCTACAGAAAAAATATGCTTTGGATTTTGACATATGTACTTAAGATACAAGCATAGATGAAAAAGTATTACATTTCTTAGACAAAGCAATTTCTTTTTATATGGTAAAATGACCCAAAATATATATTTAATATATTTAATACTAAATAAAATAGCCAAAAAAGCAGATTTCCTTGATGCTCAGAATGAGGTCCACAAGGCTAAGATGGCATTCTAAATTAAATGTATATAAAGAATGGTTTTTTAAAAACATCATACTTTGTTCCACTTTACTGATATGAAGAATGTAGTAAGAAGATACTTGACAGCTTACTCTCACTCATATTTACTTACCACTTGTCAAACTACAACCTGAATCACAGAGTTCACTCTTCTGTGCAAAATGACATCCAATTAAAATTTTCCTACATTTATTAAATAGCAACTGCTTAGATATAAAATAAATACACTGCCACTGGGATTGGAGTAAAGAATAATCTACTTTAGTCTAGCAAAGTTCTGTTCACTTTCCTATATAGTGTGACCTCATACTAACATGCTTTGAGATAAGATGAATATGGAAATATGTGATGAGCTTCTGTCCTCTACAGAGGATTCACCCCAGTCATCTCATTAGCCTTTAATAATGTGAACTCACGTTTTATGACATTGATTTCTGAACTCCTATACTGTTGTGGTGGGTTTTTCTAGGTTTTAATGCCCCTAATAATTACCTAAAATTAGGAAGATGAATTGAATTTAAAAAAGTAATACTTGTTTTGGGAATAATAATTATACTGTACAAAGTTTAAAGAGCTCACATTGTGCTACATTCTTTTGGTCATCCAAAGTGACAGCCAAGGAGTACTGACATGCCACAGGACTCTCACTGAAGCTGTCTTTCTGCTCCCAGCTTTGTAAGGTAAAGCTCTTTTAAAACTAGAACAAAACCATAAGCTCCAAAGTACCATATTAGAAGGTAATCCTTTTTTTCTGTTATTGTATCTACAAAGCTCATTTAACGCCCATTATAATTTGGGATCTACTATGTGCACGATGATAGTGATAATGTTACCAATAAAGCTGGTTTCCCCAAAGATGAGGTCTTTCCCTGTTCAGTGTCATGAAGCCAACACATGAAACTGAAAGTAAGTGTCAAACAGTGCAAGCTTTATTTGATTGCCATGGAACTGAAAATGGGAGAATGGCTCACAAATCAACTTCTCAACAAATGAAAAATGAGAGGATTAAAATACAGAATGCCTCTAAAGAAAATGTTGAATATTAAAAGCAAGGCGAGGAATATTCGTGGCTTTTCTGGAAATGGGCTGTAAACTTCTCAGAACCAGAGTGCTGCCCTCCTTTTTGTCTTTTTGTGGCTCCTTACAGTCATTATTATGCCAATTGTTAACTATCCTGGCACTGGTAGGAGTGTCATTTAACATGGAAATTACATTATAATGAAGCCTGAGGTCCGTTTGAAGTCAACGGTTGGCTATCTTGGTTCTAACTAGTCTCAGGTGGCCTGGTTACAAAGGAAACTTTTGATCACAGAAGTCCTGTTTCTAAAAGATAAGCAGAGTTAGGACAGGGTAGAAATTCAGGTATGTCACATAGGCATTACACCTAATAACACAACAAAAGAAAAGAAAATGAACTATCCCTATCCTTAACTATCTTACAACTTATGGGAAGACAAGCTAGTAAACAGACAATTACAAGATAAAATGTGGAATGCTACAATGAAGATAAGCAGTGAAACAGCTGCATTCTAATTAGATACACTACTGTACTGGTCAATTGGCTCTTGGGGGAATTTTTTAAAAACCTGATTTGTGTAGTGTTTGTTAATTTCCACACTGTAAACATTTCCACCATGACTGATTTCAAACCACCAGTAATTTGACACCTGTTCACAAGGTTCTTGAATATTTTACTTTGTGAACCAACGCAAATGTGTTCTGCCCCACTATTGAGGGAAATAACACAGTAGGTGGCCATGTAAACTTTCCAGAAGAGTGATATCTAACTGAGGTATGAATAAAGAATAGTAGATAGTGGAGCAAAGAGAGATAGAGAAAGCTTTGCAGGCACATGCATCAGCACAGACAAATATTTAAAGGTGACAGAAAACATATTTGGGAAAACTGCAAGGAATTCATTTTGATTTGCTAATAGTTTTATACATAAAGTAGATAAAAATAAAACTGAAGAGGTAAATATGTTTTAGGTGGAAAATGCTCTTTCTAGTCACAGTGAGCCACTTGAACACTTTCTGTTTGAAAGACAACAGAAGATCATCACAAAATTTGGGGGCTATAGCATGGATACAATCAGATGTGTACTTTAGGAAGATCACTTTGGTTGTCTTATGAAATATCCTAAGAATATCCTTCTTAGGAGATTGGAGGAGGTATATCTAAGAGCAGAGAATCCAGCTTTCAGAATATTATTAATTCAGGAATTATTGTCAGCACCTGGTCCTAAAGCTATGGCAGTGGGGATGCACAGATCTTGAGTTTGGAGATCCAAGGACACATGAAGGGTGACAATTTGGCAAGGAGTAGGCTGTGGTGAGGACACAGAAGTGTGAAGCATGACTTTGAAATTTCTGTCTAAGTAAATTGAGAGGATGCTGTTGCTGCTTATTAAAAAATGGATATAGAGGCCAGGTGTAGTGGCTCATGCCTGTAATCCCAGCATTTTGGGAGGCCAAGGTGGGTGGATCACTTAAGGTCTGGAGTTCGAGACCAGCCTGGCCAAAATGGTGAAACCCCATCTCTACTAAAAATACAAAAAATTAGGCTGGGTGCAGTGGCTCACGCCTATAATCCTAGCACTTTAGGAGGCTGAGGCAGGTGGATCACCTGAGGTCAGGAGTTCAAGACCAGCCTGGCCAACCTGGTAAAACCCTGTCTCTACTAAAATACAAAAATTAGCCAGGCATGATGGCAGGTGCCTGTAATCCCAGCTACTCAGGAGGCTGAGACGGGAGAATCGCTTGAACCTGGGAGGCTGAGTTTGCAGTGAGCGGAGATCGTGCCGTTGCACTCCAGCCTGGGCAACAGAGTGAGACTTCGTCTCAAAACAAAAACAAAAACAAAAATAAAACGGGGATATAGAAAGAGAATACTGTTTCCTAAGGAAAGGAAATCTCAATTTTGCACAAGTTGTGTTAGAGTCGTCTATCAAACACACACATGCAAATGTTTATATGCAGGTGTGAAAGTCAAGATCTGACCAAAATAAAGCTATAGTTTGATTAATTTCTGAATAAGCAGGATAAAATTGTAATTGAGATATATTTCCCAATCACAGGGTTCTGTGGCCTTACGAAATATGCAAGCAAATAACCTAATGATTCATTTAAGCACGGTGTGAAAAGTATTTCATTCTGTGGAATTCACAAGATGCTTTTGCAACACGTAATTTAGACTTAACAGAGTGAAGTGTTTTGTAAAGTTAAGTGGAAGTCAAATGGTAGAAAAGGAAGTAACGAATACTCTTCATAGAGGGAATAAAATGCATAAAGATACAATGGCATAAAGCAACATATGTTTGAAATGAAGCCTGCAAGAAAAATAAGTGGAAGGGAAGAAATTAGAGATAATGGTAAGAACTTCATTATGAATGGATATTTGTGCTAAGGTGAGGAACTTCCACTAATACTCTTGAAACAATAATAGACATAAACACATTTAAGGTCATGGCCAGATAGGCATTTCAGAATGATAACTTGAGCAACAATACAAGTTACTGGCGGGATTTGAGGAAATAGGAATAGAATAAGTTAGTCAACCTTTTTCAGGTTTTATCATAATTATGGAAAAATTTCCAGTACAGAAATTATAAATCCATCCTACCCAATTAGAAATCCTAGAAGATCTACAGGGGGAAAGAAATTAGAATAAACATCCTATCAACCACCTAGGATTCAAATGGCTTTATAAAATAATAGTGATACTAACAATAGGAGATCTCTGAGAAGTCTAGACTGGAGCAGTGGTTTCTACATTTGTTGGAAGAAATAATAAGAGATGAGAGTTTATTAATCTGTTCTCACACTGCTATAAAGAACTAACTGAGACTGGATAATGTGTAAAGAAAAGAGGTTTAATTGACTCACAGTTCTGCAGCTTAACAGGAAGCATGACTGGGAGACCTTAGGAAACTTACAATCATGATGGAAGGTGAAGGGGAAGCAAGCACCTCTTGCCATGGTGGAGCAGGAGAGACAGAGAGAGAGAGAGAGAGAGAGCAAGCAAAGGCAGAAGTGCTACACATTTTTAAACAACCAGATCTCCTGAGAACTCACCCACTACCACAAGAACAGCTAGGGAGAAACCCACTCACATGATCCAGTCACCTCCCATCAGGTCCCTCCTCCAACACTGGGAATTACAGTTAGATATGATATTTGTTTGGGGACAGAGTCAAACCAAAAGTTTAAAAGTTAAAACACTTTTATTTAAGATTCAGAGGTGGGTTTGTTATGTAAGTACTCGTGTCATGGGAGTTTGTGGTACTGATTATTCCATCACCCAAGTACTGAGCCTAGAAGGCAATAGTTTTGTTGTTTTTTCTGAACCTCTCCCTTCTGCCAGTCTTCACCATCCAGTAGTCCCCAGTATCTGTGGTTCCCCATTTTGTGTCCATGTGTTCTCATCATTTAGCTTCCACTTATAAGTGAGAACATGTGGTATTTGGTTTTTTTGTTCCTGTGTAACTTTGCTAAGGATAATGACTTCTAGTTCCATTCATATTCTTGCAAAGACTATGATTTTGTTCTTTTTTATGGCTTCACAATATTCCATGGTGTATACGTACCACATTTTCTTTATCCAACCTGCCATTGATGGAAATTTAGGTGCATTTCACAACTTTGATATTGTGAATAGTGCTTCAATGAATATACACATGCATGTATCTTTATTGAACAATTTATATTTCTTTGGGTATATACGAAGTAATGGGATTGCTGGGTCCAATGGTAGTTCTGTTTTTAGGTCTTTAAGAAATTGCTAAACTGCTTTCCACAATGATTGAACTAATTTACACTCCCACCAACAGGGTATAAGCATTACCTTTCTCTACAACCTTGTCACCATCTGTTATTTTTTGAATGTTTAATAATAGCCTTTCTGACTGATGTGAGATGGTATTTCATTGTGGTTTTGATTTGCACTTCTCTAATGATTGGTGATGTTGAGCTTTTTCTCATATGCTTGTTGGCCCCATGTATGTCTTTTCTTCAGAAGTGTCTGTTCATGTCCTTTGCCCACTTTTTAATGGGTTTGTTTTTTTTTTCTTTTCTTTGTAAATTTGCTTAAGTTCCTTATAGATGTTGGATATTAGACCTTTGTCGGATGTATCATTTTCAATCATTTTCTCCCATTCTGTAGATTGTCTGTTTACTCTGTTGGTGGTTTGTTTTGCTGTACACAAACTCTTTAATTAGATCCAATTTGTCATTTTTTGCTTTTGTTGCAACTGCTTGTGCCATCTTCATCACTAAAATTTCTCCTGTTCCTATGTCCAGAAGGGTTGTAAAGATCCATGGGAAAAGCACGGGTCCCTAGGGTTGCTCACTCACTCACCACTTCCCTGGATGAAGGAGGCTCCCTGGCTCCATGTTATTCCTGGGTGGGATGTCATCCAGCCTTGCTTTTCTCTGTTCTCTGTGAGTTGAGTTGTTTTCTTGATGAATCCCAATGCATGTACCTGGATGTTTCAGTTGAAGGTGCTATATTTACTCACCCTGTCTATTTCTCTTCATGAAAGTGGTACACCCTAGCCAGTTGGCCATCTTGGTCAGCCTGAGATTCTATTTCATACTGGTATGATTAAAGTTTTAGAAAAGCTTCAAGAGATTCCCCAGGAAGGCCTTCAGTGGCAGGTGTTCAACAATTAACTGTTTAATACTTGTGACTAACTTTATTGTTACTCTCTTAAATAAGGAAATTGATATTCAGATAGTAGTGGCTGACTACTCTAGCTACATCTGAAATGTGCTCTTTTATCAATAAATTTTACTTCCACAACTGCATGAGTTAATGTATAATCTAGCAGGGAAGGGGACTCTACTATTTAGGTTGAAATTCAAAGATAGTCCTTAAGGTATTCTTGTGTGTCAGTGATGTGATAAAAAATAACTGTTGGATCAAGTTGAGGGTAACAAAGGGAGATAAAAATACACACATGGCTTATAATAAAGACAAACAAAATAATGATTTCTTAGAGTCCCGATGTGTGAAGCTGTTTTGCTATTAGCCCACCAAACCATTAGTTGAAAATAAACAGACTGTGTTTTGGAATGATACTTATTCCTACTCCAGATGTCTTTTAGATATTCCAACTGAGAAGCATACTAATAATTCTTATTTCCAAGTAGCATCAGTTCATCGTTTAGCCTTTACCCCTCTTCTCTAATAATTTCCTATATATACACAAACCTATATAAAATATGGTTTCTGTAACCCTTGTAAGGTATTGATAGTAGAGAATACCTTGTATATCTCCTCTGAATAACCCTATTAATAGTAATAGCACTTAATTTATAGAAATTACTTTGAGGCTGGGTGCGCTGGCTCACGCCTGTAATCCCAGGACTTTGGGAGGCTGAAGCAGGTGGATCACGAGGTCAGGAGATTGAGACCATCTGGGCCAACATGGTGAAACCTGTCTCCACTAAAATACAAAAAATTAGCTTGGCATGGTGGTGCACGCCTGTAGTCCCAGCTACTCGGGAGGCTGAGGCAGGGGAATCCCTTGAACCCAGGAGGCGGAGATTGCAGTGAGCTGAGATCACGCCACTGCACTCCAGCCTGGCAACAGAGTGAGACTCCATCTCAAAAAAAAAAAAAAAAAAATCACTTTGAAAAAAATCTTTTCAAAACCCAAATTTTACCTGAAAAAAAAAATACATCAAAGAGTGGTCCCAATATAACATTCATACTATGATGCTAAAGAAGATGTCTCTAAAAATAGAAATAATGCTGTGTCTATATAAGGATTTACTTAAACATATAGGAGCTGGAAAAGGAAATAAAAATTTTTTAGCCCTATTATTAGTAGATACCCTAGTTATTGAATCTCAACAATAGGTTACAAGGATTGAGCATCATGCAATGTGCAGTGTTTAAAGAATAAAACTAGCCAAGCCACCCTAACTCAGTCTTCTCATTTTACAAATTGGAATTAAAATACCCAAAGAAATTACTTGATATCCCTATAATTATTCACGAAGTTGCTCTCAAAGTCTAGAAAAGTATTCAGATCTCTTCTTACTTCAAATCATTGTTTACAAATGAATACTCACACATATTAAAATGTGTTATTTTTGTCATGAGACTTAAATGTTATCCTAGAGAAAACAATGTTCACAAAATATATGTAATTAAAGAAAGCATTAATATACAAGTTTAAAGAAGGTCTTTGATTACAGTGGCCAGAATTTAGTTCTCAGCTATGGTGGACAGTGGGAATCAAGTTCTTGCTTTGCTGTTTATGAGGGTGAAGGTATTCAGTATTGGTCTTAAAACTCAGAAATTGAATTTTCTCATTTGTAAAATAGAAAAAGTAATTGCTTATTTTTATTTGTTGTATAAAAGAAACAAAATAATTTTGAGAGTGTACTTTTATGTAATATTAGTATTTTACATGTGATGTTGCTTTTAACATTCTCCTTTTACTTGTGCAATTGTTAGAATGATCAATAAATCAAATATTTGAGAATGATTAGCTTTAGGTGTATTGCCTTTCTAAGATGTATAGGCTCCTCAAAAAGATAGAAACATATTTTTTACTTAGGTCTGAAGGAGATAGAAGCAAAGCACCCCTTTGTGAAAAATGTGATGTGGCATATGGCAAGTGGAGCACCCCATAGAGATAAGGTCTTTGGGGATGGAGGCATTCCACCATGGCTTCTGTCTGGTTCAGTGGTATAAAACTAAGCTGTTCAGCTGGGATACCAACTTGAGATTTTTAATTAAAAACCTAGACTGTTGCCTGAGATACTGTTACAAAACTAAGGGAAGTTAAAAATAAATCCCTGTTGGGTGAACATAACAAAACAAAACAAACAACAAATCCAAGCTCCTCAAGGAAGAATTTAGATTTGACCTGTAAATCTCACTAGAACTGCCTTGTACATATTCATCCCACACATTTGAGTGAGTTTGTAAAGCTCTGGAAAGGGGGTCAATTCAGTTTTCATTTCTTTCTCTAGCTCTATGGCAGCACATTTCCAGAAAAAAAAAGTGTCCAAATCCATCCAATCATGCAGTTTATTTCCGTGTTTCTCTGTGTGTGTTTCTTTGTGGAGGTGCACAATACTATCCCCTCGTATATTATTACCATCAAATTCCAGATTATTTCTTTAATCCATCTCTGCTAGCCTTGTTATTTTACATCAATTGCTCATTATCTTAATGAACAGCCTGGATTGTTATTTCATATATATCCAGGCTGTTACGTATTTTCATAAATATCCAGATTTAACTTTACTGTGAGATGTTGAAAGGTAAGTAAGAATTAACATGTGTTAGTATGTGCACTCAGCTATTGTGCTGGAATCTTTCATAAGCATTCATTTAGGTAATACTCCCAGGGGGTTCGATTCCTTCCTTTTTTGTCTAGATTTTATGTATACGGGTTCTTCGAATGTGTGGTAGGGTGGGGCGCATCCATATAGTCACTCCAGGTTTATGGAGGGTTCTTCTATTATTAGGACTTTTCGCTTTGAAGCGAAGGCTTCTCAAATCATGAAAATTATTAATATTACTGCTGTTAGGGAAATGAATGAGCCTACAGATGATAGGATATTTCATGTGGTGTATGCATCGGGGTAGTCCGAGTAACGTCGGGGTATTCCAGATAGGCCAAGAAAGTGTTGTGGGAAGAAAGTTAGGTTTACGCCGATGAATATGATAGCGAAATGGATTTTAGCGTAGGTTTGGTCTAGGGTGTAGCCTGAGAATAGGGGAAATCAGTGAATGAAGCCCCCTATGATGGCGAATACAGCTCCTATTGATAGGACGTAGTGGAAGTGGGCTACGACGTAGTATGTGTCGTGTAGTACGATGTCTAGTGATGAGTTTGCTAATACAATGCCAGTTAGGCCGCCTACAGTGAAGAGAAAAATGAATCCCAGGGCTCAGAGCACCGCAGCAGATCATTTCATATTGCTTCCGTGGAGTGTAGCGAGTCAGCTAAATACTTTGACGCCGGTGGGAATAGCGATGATTATGGTAGCGGAGGTGTCCCAGCAGCTCAATGAGAGAATTACTATCCTTCTTATTTTGTGGGTGAGAAACCTGAACAAGTCTCAGCTCATTGTACTTTATGTATCCTAAGCTTATAGAGTAAATGTATGACAGATTTGAGGTGATAACTCAGGTGTATCTGGCTTCAAAGACTGTGTTCTTCTTGCATTTATTGTACTATAATAAACACCCGTATCTGGACAGTGTTCAAGGGCCTGTTTTCAGCCACAGAGTCTAAAATATGGAAAAAGCCATATCCAAGAAGAAACCAGGGAGGGCTTTGCTTATCCACAATATCCTTTCATCTCCATATATTTGTGTTCATTTTATATGACTACTGTATGAAATTACTATAAACTTAATGATTTAAAACAACAACAGTTTATTATCTTACAGTCCTGAAAGCTAGAAGTCTGAAATAGTTCTTACTGGGTTAGAATTAACGTGTTAGCAGGGCTGCACAAACTGCTTTCCCTGCCTTTTCCAGCTTCTACAGGCTGCGCACATTCCTGGACTAGTAGCCCTCTTCCTCCACCATCAAAGCCAGCAATAGCAAGTTAAGTCTTCTTCACATTGCATCAGCCAGCAATAGTATATTAAGTCTTCTTCACATTGCAACAGTCTAGCTTCCTTTTCCGTAGTCAAACCTCTCTTGCTTCCCTCTTCTGCCTTCTTATTCCACATTTTAGGACCTGTGAATATATTAGAGCCATCCAGATAATTCAAAATTATGTTCTGATTTCAAAATCCTCCAGTTAATCACATCTGCAAAGTCCTTTTGCCATGTAAGGTAACACATTCAGTTTCTGAGAATTGGGTGAACATCTTTTGAGGAGAGGCCATTATTCTATCTATCACAAGTTCTAAACCATCAATTTTTCCAAAATATTCCCATACTGAAACCATCATTAACTGGAGAATATGGTCCAGACAGTACAAATAGGCATGACTCTTCTTGTGCCTACCCTTTTCATTCCATTTACCACAGTGTTTCTACCTCGCCCAAAATGTCTATATTTTACCATATTAATGCCTTTATATGGTCTTTCACATATCTATGACTTGAGATGCTAGTTTCACTGCCTTAATGGTTTTTTGTCTCTTCTCTTTGTGGACAATGCCTAATTATCATTCAATTCTGTTCAGATGTTTTCTCTTTGGCAAAGTATTTCTAGACTCACCCAGATAGAGTCAGTTCTTTCCTCTGTAGACCCATAACACCTAAGGCAAACTTTTGTTTAAGTACTTCCCATACTATGTGATGTTTATCATTTAAGCAGCTCTCTTTCTTACATTTACTGTAAACTCTTGGAAATCACATGTAGTCTTATTCATCTTTTTATTTCCAGTGCCAAGCACAAAAGCTAACACTTAAAATTTTGCTTTAGAGGAAAAGGAAAATGAGCTAGTTATAAGCTTTATTGGAATAAATTCCTTCAGACAGCAGGTTGATAGAACCCACAGGACATTCTGCTTGAACTTACATAAGTCTTTTGTTGAAGCCAATGCTCTGTACCATTTCATGCTTCTTTTGCCTGAGCTGTTTTACATCTTCCTTGATCCTGGGCTTGTTAGGGCCATAAGTAACACATGGCATGTATAAAATGTCCAGATACTTAGAACAGTTAAGCTATTAAATTTTTTGTCATTATTAATCTGTTTTACCATATTGAGGGCATTTCTCTGAGGACCAAATATATTTAACAACTTTACATTTGTTTACTGACATTTGCATATGCTTTATTGGGAAGTGTATGCTTAAATCTTTTGCCCATTTTTAAATTGGATTTGTAATTTATTTATTTTTATCGCTAGGAGTTCCTTGTATTATCTGAACACAAGTCTTTGGCCAGATACATGTATTTTGGATATTGCTTCCAAGCTTATACCTTGCCCACTCAAAATATGTATACAGACACGCACACACATAAAGGAATACACATAAAATTACATAAATTAAAATTATAGGCAAAATAATTATGTGATTCAATAATATTTTATGTAAAAGGAGAAATATATGGGACAGGTGAGGGCATGAAATATTTTTAAAGGAATTCGGTTTCACTCTAGATGCAACTAAAACTCAGATGGTGGCCATGATTGGATTTATGTTATTACATAATCATTCTGGTTCCTCCTTAGTAACTGTTTATAGTGGAGAAAGGTGAAAACAGAAACTGGTTTGGAGGCATTGCAGTTTTCCAGGCAAAATATAATGATTGCTTGCACTAGGTTAGTAGAGTTGGATGTGGTAGCAAGAGGGACCTATTTTGCAGAAAGAACTGACAGGACTTTGTAATACATTGATACATATTATCCTTGATAGGATGGATTGAATCATTTCCCAAACCAGGTACCACATTCACGTTGCTGAATTTTCACTTGTGGTAAACTACTGCCATGTGGACCCTGTGCACACAGCACCTTATATTCAGTGGTAGATCAACAATCTTACTCAGTTGAAGCTTTTCTCTTCTGATATGCCTGACCTTTTCAGGACAGGCATATAGCCAGAAGAACTAGGGTAGGCTTTTTAGAAGATCTGGGCACTTCTCTTCCTAGTATGTTCTGAAGCCAAGAGTGGCTCAGGAAGCACATGGCGGACTCATTCAAACATGTTTGTTCTCTGAAATCTTTTAATCCCTTTCTCTGTATTGGGTAACGATGATCTGATCAATCAATAACATGGGGAACAATCAGGCATGGTGTTCATGTTTGCATTAGCAAACTTTTTAAAGGGTTAGATAGTTGTTCAATGTAAGACATTAAATGCAGTCATTATCTATGTTCCATCCTCCTGGTTAAGATACTTCAAAATCTCTAAGCACTGATTCTAACTTCCCACCCACTCTGCTACCAGTTTTATGATATTCCTTGGTAAATTACAAATGTAAACACTTTGATCGTTATTCTGATACTGCTCATTATATTTCCAGATAGAGCGATTTTGAAAATAATCTCTTAACAAATGACAATGAGGGGTGAGGCATCAGTTGATTTGGTAGTTCCTTCAATAAGAGTGACCCAAGTTAAGTACTTAATATAGATATGAGGGGAGGTAGGACAGCAGGACTGTTGATACAGTCTCTGAGTGCATATAAGAAATTCTTCATCTAATCTTCAAAAGTCTAATTCTATTTGACCAATAACACAATATATGTTTTATAACTATCGATAGTTCATTTATTAAGTTAAAGCAATCAAATAAACTAAATGAATACATTTCTGTATTTAGTTTTCAAGGATCATAGCCTAACTGCTAAAAAAAGCAATAGAACATTGGTTCAGCAGTCATTTTATACAATGCAATCAGGATCAGATTGACCATCCAATCCTTCAAGAATGGCATTTCTCTCTCCAAGGGATCAACTCTCTTAGAGCTTTATCCCTTGGTAATAACTGTAATGAACTGTTTCTAGGTTGCTAGCTTTCTTCCAATTACATGGAAGATAGTCTTGTGGCCTTTCACATAATCATCACCGATTCTAAATAGCCCACATTTCACTGAAGGTCTGTTTCTACAACATACTCTTCCATACATATTTAAATGTCAGTTAATATTCATTTAGAGCACCTGCATTTTTTTCTAGCTTAAGGCAAAATAAAAGGAGGGGGCAAAACATACATATTGATGGGGCAGGATAATTGTGATTTATTACAAGATCAGAGACAAAGCATCAGGATGGGAAGGGACTAGGCCAGTTCTGGGAGCCTCAGCAGCAAGACCTACTACTTCTCCCTGGAGGGTCTTCATGTAAAGTGACTCAGACAGAGAACCTCCCAAGCTTTGTGCTCTCTATTCTCAGTTCCAGTTTCTTAGACAGAGAATCTGCCTGGCCCAGATCCAAGCCAGATAAATTAACTATACCCAGAGCAAGATCAGATGGCACTGAAGTAGCCACTCAAAGTTCTGTTCTGTGTCTTCAAAGCCAATCCCACAAAAGAGAAGGGCTGTGGCGTACGGCTGTTTAAAGAGGTGTCTCCCAGCTAGTGTTCTAGGAGCTTCACATACATTATACCTACCATTCGATCTTCACTTCCAAATTATTTCATGATTGAGGAAACAGTACTACAAAAGATTCAACAACCCACCCAGAAAAAATGACAAAGCCACTACTTAAACTCCACTCTATTAGACTCCAAAAACAGTAAAAACAGATTTTTAAAATCATTCTAAGTGCATAGAAGTATTTTAAAGATCAGCGAGGTAATATGGGTACTCAGGCTGACTGTATTACTGTATCTTGAACTGTGTAAGAAAAAACTTACTCAGTGCCAGATATTTTGAAATGGAAAAGAGATAATTTCTATAGAAAATTTAAAAAAAAAGAAAGGACTGTCATATCAAACAATGTGTCCAAATTTCTTTAAATGAGTTTTAAAAATATTATACTTTAGTAAAAAAAGACAAACATTTAAAAAAGAAATTAAATCATCAAAATTAGAACAATGGTTTATTATTGGCAATCATAAAGAACCTAATGTCGGCTAAAATAAAATTATAAACTGGGTATCTGTGGCTATCTTAGGCACATAAGTCCTTGTGTTAGAATTGTTATTAAATATGTGTTTTACTGATTATAAAGATGATTTACTCGTTGTTGTTTACCGGCATTTTTTTTCCTCTGCATTCTCATAATCACTTCACATTTGTGAAAAAAAAAAAAAAAGAGAGAGATAGGCTGCTCAGGGTAAAAACAAAAAAAAAATAGTAAGGAAAGAAAGAGAAAGAGGAGAGAGAGAAGAAAGGAAGAAGAAAGAAAGAGAAAGAGAAGAAAGAAAAGAAAAAGAAAGAAAGAAAGAAAGAAAGAAAGAAAGAAAGAAAGAAAGAAAGAAAGAAAGAAAGAAAGAAGGATTTTT
Organism: Homo sapiens; assembly: GCF_000001405.40. NCBI lineage: Eukaryota > Metazoa > Chordata > Mammalia > Primates > Hominidae > Homo > Homo sapiens. The sequence goes on along the minus strand of NC_000017.11, from coordinate 53,100,869 downwards.
CTTTATATTTTAATATTAGCTCTGTTGTTTTATTTTAGAATTCATCCTGGCCATTTTTAAGAACTTAAATTTGGTTCCTCTTAGTAGTTCAGCCCAACTGCTCCCATGAGGGTAAACTGAATTTCAGTTAACTCGAACTTCTCCCTCAAGTTGGGATTACAGTGTACTTGTAAGATATCTCTGAGGTCCAATCGGAATTCCATTTCTATGGAGATTAGACTGGAACCTGAAACCAGGAATGATAAAGTGAAATACTAATGAATTTTTTCTTTCAAGGACTGTTACAGGGCATTTTTTTCCTCTTGCTATGAAGTGTTATTTCAGGAACTTTCATGTTTATTGTGTTTTGCATGACAACACTTTGAGAACAAACTATTTATTTGATTCACTGTTTTCATTAGTGTTCCAATAATTAAGAACTGATGTTTTTTTTTTTCATGAGTTTATTTTTTCCTTCCTCCATTTTTTTATTTGTTATTTTTTTCTATATTCATGAATTGTTTTGGCCATTACTAGTGATTTATGCAAATCTGGGCAAAAAGCCAAATGAGAATATGAGAAGTAGGGCGGAACAACTGGTAACTACAAGTTTTTTTGATGATTGCCTCCCGCAGAGAAATTTCTTTTGCTAGCTATTCACCCTCACGCCCCCTTTGAGTTTTGCTGTTAAATCAAATTTCAAATAAATGGGGAAATGATTGAGATGGCATTATTCTACAACTGTAATTATATTTAGCTGTTTTATGTCTATGGAGAATTTTTTAATGAAAATGCTTCTGGTTACTGTGATATATGGACCTCTATAGAAAAATTCGGTACTATTTTGCTAAGTAATGTGTCTAAATTAAAAAAAAAATGCTCTCTTTTGTTTTCTTCCTAGTTCTCTATTCCTAGCCCTTTAATATAAAAATTCGTTTTAAAAGCTTCTGGACCTATCAAAGTTCCTCCCAGCACTTGGTGGTGTTATCTCCATCATTCTATTCTCTACTTCTGTGAATTCAACTTCTTCAACTTCCACATATAAATACAATAATCAGGCATTTGTCTTTCTGTGTCTGGCTTATTTCACTTAACATAGGTTCACTCGTGTTGTAGTGCATGATATAATTCCCTTTTTTTAATGCTGAATAGTATTCCATTGTGTATATATACCATATTTTCTTTATCCATTCATTGTTGATGGACACTTAGGGGTGATAAGTTCAAGAAATCCATTCTACAACATCATGACTATAGTTAATAATATATTGTAATCTTGAAAAAGGCTAAGGTAGTAGAGTTTAAATGTTTTCACCACAACAATTATAACTGTGAGGAAACAGATATGTTAATTAGCCCAATTTAGCCATTTCATGTGTATATATATTTCAAAAAGTTTTGTATGTGATGAATATATACAATTTTATTTTTCAATCAAAAAATAAAGTAAAACATTCAAAAAGGTCATTTGCTACTTAAAAAAACTTGGAAGAACTGCTTATTTATACAAGAATGTTCATATATACTTTTACGTTCATATGCATTTTTCTATGAAAAACAAGTCTTAGTTCTCTACCTCTGACATAATTTCACATCCACTTCCTGCTAAAACTATTAGAGATTCATTGCTTTATCACCTGTGAACTCATATCTAAGCTAATGTGTGCACATACAATTTTATATATGCAGATCTGCATTAGCTAAAATTAGCTAATCTAGCTGAGTATTGTATTTTTTTTTCTCTGTGTTACTTATTATATAGCATGCTTCCACATCCTCTCCTGTACTTGGAAATAACAGTCTTTTAATTGTTGGCTCTTTTCGTGGATGTGTAGTGCAATATCTATGAGATTTTAACATGAATTGTCACAGTGAATAATGGTCATCATTTTCACATACTTACTGCTTATATATGATCCTTTGTATAGTGTTTAATTTTTGCCCATTTTATAATATGCCATCTTCTTACAAGTAATTTGAAAAATGTCTTATATATTCTAGTTAGAAATTCTTTGTTAGATATATATATTGCAAGTATTCCCTCTCCCACCTTGCCTAGGTGGATGCTTGGTGTATTAGTCTGTTTTGAAGCTGCGAATAAAAGCATACACAAGACTGGGTAATTTATAAAGGAAAGAGGTTTAATTGACCCACAGTTCAGCATGGCTGGGGAGGCCTGACAATCATGGCAGGAGGCAAAGGAGGAGCAAAGTTATGTCTTACACGGTGGCAGGCAAGAGAGCTTGTATAGGGGAACTCCCTTTTATAAAACCATCAGATCTCATGAGACTTATTCACTACCACAAGAACAGCATGGGAAAGACCTGCCCTTATGATTTAATTACTTCCCACCAGATCCCTCTCATGACATGTGGCAATTATGAGAGCTACAACTCAAGATGAGATTTCATTGGGGACTCACCCAAACCATGTAATTTCACCCCAGGCTCTTCCCAAATCTCATGTCCTCACATTTCAAAACCAATCATGCCTTCCCAACAGTCCCCCAAAGTCTTAACTCAGTTCAGCATTAACTCAAAAGTCCACAGTCCAAAGTCTCATCTGAGAAAAGGCAAGTCTCTTCTGCCTATGAGCCTGTAAGATCAAAAGCAAGTTAGTTACTTCCTGGATACAAAGGAGGTACAGGCATTGGGTAAATACACCTGTTGCAAATAGGAGAAATTGGCCAAAATGAAGGCTCTACAGGCCCCATGCAAGTCTGAAATCTGGTGGGGCAATGAGATCTTACAGCTCCAAAACGATCTCCTTTGACTCTGTGTCTCACATCTAGGTCACGCTGATGCAAGAGGTGGGCTCCCATGACCTTGGGCAGCTCCACTTCTGTTGCTTTGCAGGGTACAGCCCTCTCCTGGCTGCTTTCACAGACTGGTATTGAGTACCTGTGGCTTTTCAGGCACATAGTGAAAGCTGTAAGTGGATCTACCATTCTGGGGTCTGGAGGATGGTGGTCCTCTTTTCAGAGCTCCACTACTCAGTGTTCCAGTGGTGACTCTGTGTGGGGGGCTCCTACCCTGCATACCTCTCCCTCACTGCCTTGGAAGAGGTTCTTCATGAGGGCTCTGCTCCTGCAGCAATCTTTAGCTTGGATATCCAGGCATTTCCATCCATTCACTGAAATCTAGGCAGAGTTTCCCAAACCTCAATTCTTAACTTCTGTGCATCCAGAGGCTAAACACCATGTGGAAGCTGCCAAGGATTGGGGCTTTTATACTCTAAAGCCATGCCCAAGCTGTACCTTGGCCCCTTTTAGCCACAGCTGGAGCAGCTGGGATGCAAGGCACCAAATCTCTAGGCTGCACACAGCATGGGGTCCCTGGGCTCCACCCAGGAAACCATCTTTTCCTCCTAGGACTCTGGGCCTGTGATGGGTGGGGCTGCCACAAAGGTCTTTGATATGCCTTGGAGACATTTTCCCCATTGTCTTGATGATTAACATTCAACTCATGGTTACTTAGGCAAATTTCTGCAGCAGGCTTGAATTTCTCCTTAGAAAATGGGTTTTTCTTTTCTACTGCATCATCAGGCTGCAAATTTTCCAAACTTTTAATGTCTGCTTCCCTTTTAAATATAAGTTCCAATTCCAAATTGTATCTTTGTGAATACATGAAACTGAATGCTTTTAACAGCACCCAAAGCACCTTTTGAATGCTTTGCAGCTTAGAAATTTCTTCCACCAAATACTCTAAATCATCTTTCTCAAGTTCCAAGTTCCACAGATCTCTAGGGCAGGGCCAAAATGTCACCAGTCTCTTTGCTAAGGCATAACAAGAGTCACCTTTGCTCCACTTCCCAACAAATTTCTCATCTCCCCCTGAGACCACCTCAGCCTGGACTTTATTGTCCATATTACAATCAGCATTTTGGTTAAAACCATTCAACAAGTCTCTAGGAAGTTCCAAATGTTCCCACATTTCCTATCTTCTTCTGAGCCCTCCAAACTGTTCCAACCTCTGCCTGCTACCCAGTTCCAAAGTCACTTCCAAATTTTCAGGTATCTTTACAGCAGCACGCCACTCTACAGGTATGAATTTACTGTATAAGTCTGTTCTCATGTACTAATAAAGACATACCCGGCACTGGATAATTTATAATGGAAAGAGGTTTAATTGACTCACAATTCCACTTGGCCACGGAGGCCTCACAATCATGACAGAAGGCAAAGGAATAGCAAAGTCACATTGTACATGGCAGCAGGCAAGAGAGCTTGTGTAGGGGAACTCCCCTTTATAAAACCATCAGATCTTGTGAGACCTATTTACTATCATGAGAAAAGCTCTGGAAAGATCTGCCCCCATGACATATGGGAGTTATGGGAGCTATAAATCAAGATGAGATTTGGGTGGGGACATAGCCAAACCGTATCATTTGGACATTTATTTCTTCTTCTTCCTCATCCTCTTCCTCCTACTCCTCCTCTTCTTCTTCCCTTCTTCCTTCATCTTTCTTCTTCTTTCTTCTATTTTCTTTATATTTCAATACCTACACAAGTTATCAAGCTTTATTTTATGGTCTATGCTTTGTATATCTTAGGTGATAAATATTTCCCTAGTCAAGGTTCCAAAACTTTTCTGTTTTTTTTTTTTCTTGGTGTATTATAGTGTTAGCTTTTACATTTTGACCTAAGTTTTGTTATGGTGCAAGAAAGAACTCAAGTTAACTAAAGATAATTTTTTCATATGGACATCCAGTTGTTGCTGAACCATTGGTTGAAAAGACTTTCATTTCTTCATTGAATTTCGTCAGCACTTTTGTCAAAAGTCAATTGACTATATATTTTTGGGAGTATTTCTTTATTCTAAATACTTTTTCATAGATAATCTCTCTTTTCACTAATACCTCAAGCAATATAATTTTTTGGTAAATCATGGAATCAGTATTCTAATTTCATTCTTCTTTTTCAAAATTTGCTTTGGCCAGTCTTGGTCATTTGACTTTTTCTATATTTATTTTCCTTTTCTAAAAATTAGTTTGGGTCCAAGATAGTTATGTGTAAATATATATATTTTTATTGGGGCACATGTGATGTTTTAATACAAGCATCCAATGCATAATGATCAAATCAGGGTAATTGAGATATCCATCACCTCAGGCATTTATCATTTATTTCTTTTAGAAGATTCTGTTCCCACTCTTTTAGTTATTTTTAAATTTATTATTAGTTAGTTACCTTACTGTGATACCAAATACTAGATATTAATCATGCTAACTGTATTTTTGTACTCATTACGCTGGGAAGAGTTTTAAATAAATTTTATAAATGTCTTCTCAATTTCTTTAAAAGAGACGATTCTGCTAAGATTTTATTTGGAAATACATCAAATCTAATCACAAAAAGTAGAAATAATAAATAAATAAGATATTGATTAAATCAGTATGAATCTTACAAACATGTTGCTGAGTGAAAGAAGCCAAATTCAAGACAAATTATGCCCCTTGTAGAAAGGTCAAGAATAAGCCAAACTCATGTATAAATGCTAGAAATCAGAAAGATAGTCCCTTTGGAGAGGAAAAGGACTTAGTAATTTGGAGAGCATTAGAGGGGATTTTTATATACAATTACAATTATACTTCTTTATCTGGGTGTTATTTATGCATGTGTGTTCACTTTATAAAAATCTATCAAACTAAACAATTTTCATTTTTTCTACTTTTTTTGTAAATAGATAATATTTCAAAATCATTTTTCAAAGAAATTAAGCATACTTTTAACTCTGTGAGAAAGTGTAGGTGTGATTACAAATAATAAATTGTATAAAATGTGTGTGGGGGAGTATGCATGTAGTTAGTTTCAGAGGTGGCTGTTAAGAAGAGCTCATGTTAAAAGAGTCATTGAAAACCAATAATCCCTGAAGTCCTTCTAAAAGCTTTGCCTTTCTGACTTTCTGTCTCTGTTTTCCCAATTATTTTCTAATTTTTCTCCCTTTCTTGTCCCTTTTCTCATAGGCTGCAACACTAATCTTCTGCCATATTCACCCAGATTTGGACTCTGATCTAGCTGTCATACTCCTCCAAAATACTAGTTGATAAGGGCTTGTGGTGTCACCCCCCTGAGGGGTATATTCATTTTAACATAAATCATGAAGATCAATGACCCTATGAGACAACTGAATGTGTCTGCAATGTTGAAATTTCAGACTCCATGAACAAAGAGAATCAGGAATTCTTTTGATCAGGAACTCCAGTTGGTTCTTGAATCACATTTGCAAATTTTATACATAGAATTTGCCTTTCAAGCCAGCTCTAATGAGTGGCCTCACTTTCATTAAGCCATTCAAGTTTCCCTAAACTATCTTCAGTGAAGATTTTTTAAATCTCTTATATTTTATCTTCTGTTGTAAGCTTTACAAAACTTCACGTAAAGGCATTTAACACTGTTCATTATCATAGAGTCTCATGGTTGAAGGGAGAACCTAAAGTTACGTTAACACAACCAATGCATTGTTTGTAGAATCCTTCCACATTGTTATGAAACATTTTTTGTCCCTTTTCTTGGACATCTGTAAAACAGTTACCACCTCCTAGGAAACTACATTCTATTTCAGACATCTCTAATCATGCATTACTCTGTTCAGTCATCTTAACGCATAAAAATATACCTCTTTTACTTCTTCAAAATGCCTGAAGGCATACATGGACCTTCTCACAGCCTTCTTTATGCACCGCATCTTATTTTCTTCAAATGCATCACATATTTAATAGTTTGGACTTTGTTCATTAAACTGGTCTTCCATCATTGATGAGGTTTTACTTTATCAATATTTCCCTTTAGGTTTTATACATAGAACTTATATAAACCATAATGTACCTTGGTTTACCAGACTTTTTTTTAGGGCTGAAATAATAACTGGTTGACACTACTTTCTGGGTATTGCTGTAGAGGGAACTGGCTAAAATGCATCTGTCTCTTGAAGACCTGTGAATACTGAGGACATTAGTAAGAATTCCTTATATAAAACTTGGAGTTAGAGGAGTTGTATTTAAACCTCTGTTTGCCTATGCATTGTCTAGGCTACCTTTAGCAACTTCTTTGTTTCTCCAAGCCTTAGTTTGTTGATCTAATAAGATTAAAATAGGGTTTGTGTAAGATATTTGTTAAGGTAACATACGTGAAAGCCCCCAGGAGAATACTTGACACATAGTTATAGCTCAATAAATATTACCTGACTCCAAAGTACAAGAGAAACCTAACAATATTTTGATCATGGTGACCTTTCAACACCTTCCAAAATTATGCCAGATGGCAGCTGCTACCTTCCAATTATAAGACTGGCCATAAATAGAGGGTATGTTATTCATGCTCTGTCTGACTTCACCACCTGCTAAAGCTTGGCAAGAAATGTAGGCTTGAGAAATAGGAATTTTCCCTTTTGAGTGTAGTTTATACTGACTTCCACTCTCTCACCAAGTTCTAGGTTTAAAGACACTATCTTCTCATCAGATCTATGATTTTGGAAAGGCTAAGTAAACACTTAAATATTCAGTTACCACTAAAGTCTAATAAAAGTAAAATCCACATTAACAGTTAAGCCAATATGATTAGTGCTGTACAATGAACACTTTATCATTTTGCATACCTTAATACACTTTTATCTTTGAGGCAACTGAGCTCATTAAAAACTGCCATTTGCTGAACAAATCATAAGAACTTTATGATGCAGAGTGACCGACATCATTAATCTCATCCTAAAGATTTTCGAATACTGAAAACTCCACCAATGGAGGGTTACTCTAGGGAAAGTCCACTTTTGAAAATAATATTTATTTGGGTCAAAATTGTGAAGACTTATATGTGAGTCAATATGATACGAAAAATGCATCCCAAAGGAGCAACTGCCAAAAGCTCAAAATTACTCAACAAACTGTTCCAAGTCTTATTGGTCATATATTGATATTGACATTTTAAAAACCAATATTTTACTATCCAGATACAGAAGAATCAATGTTACAGTTTTTGGAATCTTTAAGCAGATACGTTTCCATTTTGGAAGAATGCAAACCTAAGACCTCTGCTTCAATCCCAACTCTAGGCTTATGAGTTATGAAACTTCGCATTTGTGACTTTGACTATGTGACTTTAACGTGATTATCCATCGAAATGTGCATAATAATGCATACATGTTGAACAGATCAGATGATGTTGAGAAGACAATTACTATTAAATACTCAGTAAATTATAGCATTAGTTGCTGTTTGCTTATAGAATTAGTGTTAATAGACTAAATGTTCTCTAAAGTTGTTCAGTTCTAAGAGTAAGTTTTCCATTCTGTAAATTTCTTTTATGTCAGTCCCCCTTACCAACTGCTATTGTACAATTTGTTCACTTGGTTTAACAGGTACTTTTTTTTCCCATCCCAGGGAAAAAGGAAAGAGAGACCAGAGAAGAGTGATTGTTAGTCATCTGCACCTGAATAGCAATTAATATATTAGGTTATTTACTCCTGAGAACCTTCTGATAGTTGAGTAATGAGACAATGGAAATTAAGACAGAGTATCATTTTAGGATCCAGGCCAGTCTGCGCTCACCCTGGATACCACGCATCTTGGGTACAGCCTTATGTTTAAGCAGGGGAGGCTGTGCTAGATCTGAAATCTTCATTCACTCAGAACTTGACAAGTTAACCTTGGAGAAAACAAACTGGTTTCTGTGGTTTTTCAACTTTTGAAGTTGTTCCACTTCCTGACTGCCTGAACAAGCTAAATTCTTCCATATTTAGAAGTACAGTATGTTTTCTTAATTCTGTACCAATTTAGTATAAGTGAATATTAAAACATCATTACTATTTTCAGATTTTAATTTTGATTGCCTTATAGCAACTTCAGGGTAGCACCTCAATTTATATGCTCTTCAAAATGGGACCAAAAAAGTAACTTAAAATAAAAATATACTAGAAATTATATAATCTTGAAATCATTTTCATATTCTATATTTTTTGTTTAAAAGCTCTCTATGCACAGTTATTTTGATTATTCTCATTTAGCATTTTAGGTACCTGAGACTCAGAAAGATACAGCCTCTTGTTCCATCAAATAATTAGTTTGCAACAGCACTACGATCTCTTTAGTGTACTTATTACATATTTATCTTGTTCACTCTGTCTTTGTCATTATTCCAGTGAATAAAACAGAAAAGAGACTTACTCTGATGTAGCTCATGTACTAGGAAGGAAAGGCTGATAAACAAATGTAAATTAAAAGTTGTATGAGCTATTAAAAAAAGTAAAATAATGTAGTGATTGATAGAGTACTGGTGTACTACTTTGATGAAAAAGAGAGACCCACAGTATTTAGATTAGCTTTCCTGTCAAAAGGGAACAATGTGGAATATTTGAATATTTGATTAGATGAATAGGAGGTGGCCAGTCATGGTTTTGCTGACAGATTGAGCATTTTGGTAGTTTAATTTGCTTTGGTTCCTGTGCAAGATGAATTGGGCGTCAGAAGTTAGGCATGTAGGCTCAGCACAATAGACCAAGAGATTAGTTTGGGATTGTGAAAGATAAAAAGAAAGCAACCATAGTGTTGGAGTTCTCAAGACAGAAGCACATTCTTATGGACAAGGCTAAAGTAGCAATAATCGGGAGAAAACTGCAACGTGAAGGCAGATTCCTTTTCTGTCTCATTTGCTGGAAAAGTGAAACACAGAGTGGGCACTCAACAAATATTTGTTGACTAAAGTGAAGAAGTCTTAGCACTGTGCTATTTGAAAAAATAAGTCACTTTATCTTTCTGACCCTCAGGTAAGGCCAAATAGAAAATAAAAAAAATACTGTGCAGAGTGAAGTTATATGGTGGAAATATAATACATGAAAGTGATCTGAAAATTATAAGTCTACAAAGGCTCATTTCAGACACGCAGATTACCAGGCCAAATGACTCCAAGACTATTTTGAGACACCCATGAATGTGGGAACTAAGACTGAATATCCTCTTCATGTTACAGTCAGAACCACTCTGGGCTCAAGTCTCAGCAATCAGTAGGTATCAGTGACTTTTTCTAAGATGAATTAATAGTAAGGGTCAGGAAGGGAACCACTGGGTACTAGAGCAGGTTATTAAATTAAATAAGAAAAAACCTTGAAGATAATGGAGGAAATTTACTGGGAATCATACCCTTATATATCACAAAAATTAAAAAATAAAAATGAATTTATCAAATGCAAAAAGATAGCAAGAAGAAAAGACTAATTGGCCTTAAGCCATCAAAGAAAATTAATATTTTAAAAATAAGAAAAGCCAAAGAAACCAAAGAAACTTTCTTTTCTTCTATATTGTCTTTAACCATGTATAATACATCCAAGCAATAGAAAGTAGTGAGATAGGATTTATGACACTCTAAGCCTTTAAAATGTTAAATAAAGGTAAGAGTTTTACAGACACATGAAGAAACACTATTTTTATTGGCATAAAATTTATATTCAGTTCCGTGAGTCAAGGAACTAATTGTCTATACCTATGTAATCACCATCTCAACTAAGACGTAAAATATCATCATTACTCCAGCTAATTCTCATGTGCCCGTTTCCATCAGTTCCTTTACACCCCAAAGGTAACAGAGATTTTTATTTGAAGCATCAGTGTTTAATCTTGCCTTTTCTCAAATTTCATATGAATGGAATCATATAGTACAAATTTTTCCTGCCTGGCTTATTCCTTTCAGTATATGTTTGAGATTCATCAGTTTGTTATGCATGTTTCACTTGATAAATCTATATTATTGCAATGTAGTAGCCATTGTTTGATTATACCACAGTAGTCTATTCATTTCCTGGTTGATGGACATATTTTCATTGCGGAGTTGACCATTTTCAATGTGGAATTATATGATTAAAGCTGCAAAGTATAGTCTTGTCCTTTTATGGGCATATGTTTTAGCTTCTTTTGGGTAAACACTTGGTAGTGGAATTTCTATGCCAAGATGTGCGTGTACGTTTAACTAATTAAGAAACTGTTAAACTGTTTGGCAAAGTTGTTTTACAATTTTACACTTCCAACAGCAATAGCTTTATATTTTCCTCACCAGCATTTGGCATCAACAGCATTTTAAAATTGTAAGCATTTCTCCTGTGTATAGTGTTATCTCATCCTTTAAACTTGTATTTCTTTGATGACTAATGACAGTGAACAACTTTTCAAGAGTTTATTTGCCTTTTGTCTATCTTCTATTGTGAAAAGTCTGTTCAAATCTTTTATCCTTTTTATTGGAATACTAGCCATTGTATTTTTCTATTAAAAGATAATTTATATATTTATATATAAATTATTTCTATATTAATAGATATACTATATAATGCCTATCATGTAATAGGTATCTATTTTATATATATAATAGGCATTATATATCTATTAATAGGTATTATATAATACCTATTATACATATAACAGGTATATATATATGTATAATAGGTATTATATATGATAGGTTTTACATATATACTAGGTATATATAGATAATAGGTTTTATATATATAATAGGTATATATAAGTATCTTATATATGAATATAAGATAAAATTATATGTCAGAGATATCTATTTTAAATACTTTCTGCCTGTGACTTTATGTTTCATTTACTTAATGAGGTCTTTGTATGTACAGAAGTTTAAATTCTGATAAAGTCTTTTTTCGTACTAAGAAATCTTTTCCTAAGCTGAGGTCACTTTTTTTTCTAAAAGCTTTATGGCTTTATCTTTTAGGTTTGGGTCTATGATCCAAATTAAAGTAATTTTGTATATGGCATGAGGTGGGGGTTGGGGGTAGTTTTTACAAGGGAGCAGGCAATTGATCTAGCACCATTTGTTGTATAGACTTTTTTCTCATTGTGTTAACTTGATGCTTAAGGTGGTTACTCTGCAGTACATACAGATGATTATCTATATTTTGTTCAAATTTTAAAATTTTTTTTTGTTTATATGCATGTCTGATATATTTTTGTTGATAAGTGGACACTGTAAGTAATACATGATACTGGTTTTTGATTTCACGAATTCTTGGTTTTGTAATAGTAGAGAGCTAACGTACCTGGATTCAAACCGCAAGTGATCTTTTCCTTGATAGGCAGCTGCCGATACATTTGTTCTGTTCCCGTGCCTTCTAGATGGTGTTTTTTTTTCTCTTGGCTCCCTGTGATACTTCTCTATGCCAAAGATTTGAGCAGAGATGGGGCTTTGCTTCACTGTAGCTCTTTGCTTATGTGAATATCTCCTTAAATTCCAGTTGCTCTGCCAGCTATGTGCTCTATTCTCTCATGCCAAGCTGCCTAAACTGAGCATGGCTGAAGAATATGCTCAGATAAGAAAAGCATTTCGCTCACGTATCTGGCTCCATATATCCAATGTGAGTAAGGACTATAATATAAGTATAGCTAAGTATAAAACATTGGAAATTATGCAAATTGAAAGACATACCCTTAAAAAAGAATAGAATAATTTAAACTGTACCCAAGGAATTTCCAGAAATGAAAAAAAAAGTGGTTAATGAAATTAAAATGGATAAATTAGTAGTGGTTCAACTTCCTTTTTCCTCAATACATCTCAGCATTTTTAGGGAAAGTCTTTTAACATCTGCATATACGATTCTACATTCATAGTGTTTTCCTTCGCACTTTAATATTATTATTTGGATAGTCTATTTTCTGTCATGAGAAGATTTATCTCTGGTCTTTACCTGATTTTCTGCTATGCCTCTGGATTCTCCTTGTACTTGTATTTTTAAAATTTTTTATTTTATTTTATTTTATTTTTTACCTGTCAGCCAGGAGTTTGAGCAGTTTATCCTAAAATTTGAGTCTCACTCCTGAGATAATCGTGCTAGAAAGATTTCCCTTATCTATTCCCAGCTTTCTCCAATCTCTGAATTTCTGACTTCAAGTATCTCTAGCCAAACAAGCTGCCAGGGTTTCCTCTCATAATGTTTGCAGATTATTGCCATGAGGGTTGGGTCAGTGAGCCACAAAGTCACAGTTCTTAACTCCTTGTAATTGTAGTTTTTGAAACTAAACCCCTCTCTAGATTCTGTCAGCAGTTGAAGCATTTCATCTTTTTAAATAGTTTTTTTGGAAAATTTTCTACTTTTTATATTTGTTGTTTGCCAGTATTTTATGTAGAACATTTCTTCTTTCTTATGTCTGTTTTGCAGATGTGTATGTCTGTGTTTCCTGTCAATTACTAAATAAAATGTGCTAAAAATTCATTAATTTCTCACTTTAATTCTCTTAGGTGTTGCTTTGTTTATTCTTACAGTATTTTGTTAGGTGTTTATAGTCTCAAAATTGATACGTAATTTTGGTGAAATTGTATTATTTTTAGTTATAGTATGAAGTATCTTGCTTTGTAATGTACATATTGCAAATATCAAAATGCATTTTATATAGTTGTCCACACACAACAATTTTTTGTATCCAAATCAATCCATCTGCACTTGGCTTGACCCATCTTCCCCATTTTATGCCAATTTTCTGAATTCTAATCTTTTAAATTATGTTTCCTGCCATGTATGGGGTCAGCAACCTTCTGTGAGTCAACTCTCTCTTCCAATCAGCATTCAGTTGATCTGAGATTTTTAGTAGTTGTGTGCCCCCAGTTGCTAAAATAATCTGAATAACTGGCAAAAGCATCCACTATGAGGTTTTCAAAGGATACCCTTCAGTAATCCATTCATCCCCTTCTCAGCCAAGAGAACGTCCAGCCTAAGATATGGAATAACTACAACCTTATAGAATGTTGGCATCCCCCAAATATCACTAAAATCACATATTGAGAAGACAGAAAGGAGTTTATTCTCACTAGAGTAAGGGAGAGCATGGAGTTTTAGTAGTATCTCAGGGGGAAGGGCAAAATCAAGATATGTATGAGATTTTGAAGTTTAGTTTATAGTGGGTGTTTCAATTTCAGGGCTTTATTAAACTGAGAAAGGATCATAATACAATAGTTTAAGATTGGCGGACACAGCAAGATGGGGGTTTTGAGAAGTCAAGAGATTCAGAGTACTGGGAGATAAACATCATTTGATGAATTTAAAACAAGTTTATAGATTTTTCAGAAAGTGTCTGAAATAAATAATAAAGTTATTTTCAGTTTTGATCTTCCTGAGCAGGAGTATCCTGGAAGAGTAAAGTTAAATTTCCGAAGACAGTTCAAGAGTAAAGTCCTTTTAATGGAAATAGTAAGCTGTATGGGTGCATTTCCCATCTAGACTAATTTAATCTTGCTTTCTATATTTGTACATTTTGATCATGATAATAAGTGTGGCTAATTATTAAACATCATACTAACACCTCGTCTCTTGTGCCACATATAGCCCCAAAATTGACATCCACTTCCATTTCTCTCTGTTGTCCAAAACACTTATTCTGAGTCTTTGGCATGATGTTTATTTGCCAGATCTGACATACAAAGTACAAAAAACTGGAGGGGCTTAAATAACAGAAATGTATTTTCTGACAGCTTTGGAAGACAGACATCCAAGATCAAGGTGTCATCAGTGTGGTTGGTTCTTCTGAGACCTCTCCCCTTTGCTTAGAGATGGTGGTCATCTTCCTGTGTCTTCACATAATCTTTCCTCTGTGTGTCTTGTTCTAATCCTCTCTTCTTATAAAAACACCAGTCAGATCAATTCCTACCCTAATAATCTTATTGTAATTATCTCTTTAAAGGCCCTATTTCAGGATGCCATAATACTCTGAGGTATGGTAGGTTAAAACTTCAACTCTTCTTCAATAAGAATTTTTGGGAGACACAGCTCAGTCCATAATAGGCATCAGTGTTACAACAACCACAAACTCTCACACAACTTCTATGAACAGTACCTTTGCCTTCTTGCTGAAAATTAAAACAAACTGGCCTTAAGAACTCTACTTCCCCTGCATTACTCACAAGTGTAGGTTGGTTTGTTCTCCCACATTCCATGTGCTTGCTCAGTGTTTCTCATTCTAATTGGATGTCCTTCTTACTTTACTCCTTGAAAATATTTGTCAAACTTACCTAATGAGATTCAGGAAATATGATTAAGTATAGAGTTTATTTTAATGAAAAGCTTGAAAATTGTCCCCCAGGAAACATAAACTTCAAATGAATGGGATCAGTGTTCCGAAGTGGGGAAGTTGTTTCACTTATATAGGCCGTTAAGAGGGCTGCACCATTTTCCGTACAAAGTCAGTATATATTTTATATTGATTTGATTGGTTATAGCTTGCTACATTCCAAGGAAGATTGCTCTAACATTCCAGAGGGTTAATGATCTGAGAGTTTCTATCTCTGACACCTCAAGACCTTTCCTAATCATTTATGGGGAAAAGCAAAAGTTGTAGCTGTATGCTCTGTGACTCAGGCCATGTAGCCACATTTCTCTCTCAACGTTCAAATAATTTAAAGTTCTAGCACCTTTAAGGTTCAATTATTTAATTTCATACAATTTTTTTAAAGGTTTCCCACTATTAACTAATGTTGGCTAACTCTCCTGGCTACCCTGCCATACTCTCTCACACCCCCATTTATAGATAGCATCTGTCTTCAGCTCACTAGCTTTCTTTACCACTACTCCTCTCAGTGTAATCCCTCTCATCTGTTTGACCTTGGTGGCTACAAAAGCCTTTCACCTCAATTCACTTTATTGACTCACTTTCATTTGTCCTTGTCATTACGAATTCAATT
Source organism: Homo sapiens (assembly GCF_000001405.40). Lineage (NCBI taxonomy): Eukaryota > Metazoa > Chordata > Mammalia > Primates > Hominidae > Homo > Homo sapiens. The sequence goes on along the minus strand of NC_000017.11, from coordinate 53,085,223 downwards.
ATGACATCAGATTTCTCAAACATGTCCCTCTGTGATCATCTTCTTCCTTTAGTATTCTCCAATAATTCATGAGAATAAAAGTAAAGAAACCTCCAATCCACTGTACTGACTATATTTTCATTATCAATCAACTACTATGTGTTCTTATTTTCATGTTTACTCTGCCAAATTTCCACTGTTCAGCACTGTAATGTTTCCCTTACAAGCAACTTAGCAATCTTGTCTCTTTTTTTGGACAGCTAAACAAAATTCTAAGCCTGGTTAAAATAAACTATCTGCTTACTTTGTACTTTAAGGGATAAAGATTGCAATGTTATTTGAGAATGCTGGGTGTTGAAGTAAGACTGTGATTCACTTACATTTCTCCATTTCTGCATGGAATTATGTGCAAAACCTGAGTTAACTAACCCTATGAGCCTTATCTAATGCCATTATTTAACTTTTTAAAAATTTTAAATAGTTTTAATATATTGGTCCTCCAGGAAACCACCCAGTTGAACCATCCATTAATCGGACTCTGTTTTGGGAGCCCAAAGTAACATATAAATAGGGCTGAGTGGAGTAAATAGAAAAATTTATCTACTGAGACCTCATAAGCAAGAGTTCTCAAGCAAAATTTTATCTGAACAAGATTCAATTTTTTACCAACATATCCATCACTACTCAACCAAAGCATTCATGTCTATGTAGCATAAGCCCCGATATTAATTAGTTCCTTTAGTATATTTGAGAAAATGTTAAATCCATTTTTCATCTGGGGTTACAGTTGATTAATGATATTGAAAGTATTATGGCTTTAACATAAGGCAGACCTTCAATGACTATGGCCTGTAACAACTGGTTACTATTTACAAAATCAAATTTGTGAAGTACATAAAATTATCTTTTTCTCTCCAAAATAAATTTTGTTTGGAAAAATTTTATAAAGGTAAGAATATTTCCCAAATTATTTACAGAGAAGCATCATAGTTTTATCAATGATATAGCACATATGGAAGTATTTAAGCTTCCTGTTATCTGGAGTGACCAGGGATTGCAGTGTTTCAGTTAATCAAATAATATAATTAATAGAGTTGACAAACATATCCATAGGGATTACCAATTCTTAAAGAATGCCTCTGCCATTAAACAAAAGTCTTTCTGAATGTATACTAAATATAATTTAGCCTTCAGTAGGTGGTTTATTTATCAGTCCTCTGAAATTTCTGAGAAGGAGAATGAATCTCAATTTGATTTTCATGTGGTTCTGACCCACTGTGTCAGAATCCTTTAATTTTTCCCTATTATTGGAAAAATGATGGGAAAAATAAAATATTTTGAGAGTATAGACAGTCTTTCAAGACATTGATCCTAGAAACCATCATATAGGAGAGAAATTTATTTGTACCCAACTGGAAATTGTACGTAAGACAGATTTTAAAAGAGTTGAATTCTGTTTTATCCATCATTGTATCCCCAACACCCAAATAAATGGTTCTCATACTGAATGAGATGGGTATAGTTTTGTTTCAGAAAAAAAATTAGATGGGTATAGTTTTGTTTCAATGTAGAATCAAAGCCTCACTGTAAAACTATTGAAACAGACCTCCTGGGTGCAGGATCTCAGAATTTGTATTCTAAAGAGATTCTGATTTACATGTTCTCATATTCCACTTTCAGAATAAATTGAAACCCGCTTGTGCCTCTGAAGATTTAATGTGCATATTAATCACCTAAAGATCATATTAAAATACTGGTTCTAGTTTAGAATGGCTGAGGTTGGACCTGAGATTTTGTATTTTTTAAAATATTTCAGGGATGGTCAATGCTGCAAATGTGTGGACTGCATTGTGAGTAGCCAGAACCTAGCAACAATCCCTCATTTATAATAGAGCTCAATAAGTTGGTATTGATTGAAGGAGCATTCATATCACTGTGCCTATACTAGCCTTAAGGTGTTTACGACCTTTTACATTGCACAAATCTCTTATAGATGCTAAATCTTCTTATACAACACTATCTTACATAAAAGAAAGGATCTTGTTCTATATTTTTATCATCCACAAACCATCTAGAATAATATCTTAGAAATGAAATATTATTAGTGAATTTCTCCTGAATGAATGTATAAATCAGAAAAGAACTAAACTAATCAACAAATCAACTAACCAGAGAGTACAAGCTGAACTGGTTAGTACAAATTTTGGGGAACATACTTCTAAATGATGACTACCAAATATAAATTATGCTCATATTTTCCATCTCCAACTGCAATAGCACCATCACACTATTATTCATTTTTCTCTGTCAGATTTTACAAAGAAGTTGGTGATCTCTCTTTCTACTTCTCATCAGTCTTTTACCCTTCAACACAATTCAACCTAGCAACTGCACACTAAAAAGTGCCTTTGCTGAGGTAACTAATGACCCTCTAAATTCTAAGACTCCTAAAGGATTTTCAACTCTGACCTTAGTACATCTTTTTGCTGCATCTGATATTGTCTTGAAAATCTACTCTTTCTGCTCTTTCATGAGGAAGTGTAGGTTTTCCTCATCTTTTTGCTTCTTCTTTCATCCCACACTTTTCTAGTTTTTACCGAATTTCTTTAGAATTCTTTCCGGACACTTTCATTGGCTAGTTTTCCTCTATTCATCTCTGAAACACTCATACTATAGAGCTATCTCTTATTAATCCTCTACTCTTCTCATCCCACACACTCTCCCTAAAGAATACTTTGCATTTTAATGTTTTAAAGCCTCCTCAAGGCACTGATGACTCTGAAATCTCCACCTTCAAATTGTATATCTCTTCCAAACTATTGATATTTTATATCAAATTGCAAATTATTGAATTTTTGTATTCACTTACTTGCTGACCACCAACATTCAAATATACCACAGGTACCTCAAACTAAATATGCACATTTGGGATGCATTATTTTTTCCCTTCAAGAAATTCATTTTTTTGCCTCCATTAATTCTAATAATATCACCAATTAGCAGATTTTCCCCAACTAGGACCCAGAAAACAATCCTTTATGTCTTCTTTGTCCTTCACTCTTATCTCCAATTAGTCAAGTCATGTTTATTTATTCTCCTAAGTAGTTACCTAATCCAGTGCTTCTCAACCTTTATTAAGTATCATAATTACATAGGAGGCTTAGAAAAGATGCCTGTCCCTAATTCAGATATATTGGTGTAGAGCTGCTGTTACTTGGGCCTGAGTAGTGGAATATTTTCCCATGGATCTCTTTTTATGTGTATCTGATGCAATGTTTCCTACTCTCCCATTGTTTTCTAATAATCATTTCTTATACCTCAATTACTATACTAGCATACTCACTATACCTTGCCTCCTCTTCCATTTGCCTCAATATCTTCTTTCTCACAGCTACCAGTGAGATCTACCTAAAATATTCCTTGAAAAGATATTTAGTTTATATCTTAGTCTGTAAAAGCACAGTAGTTCTCCCTTAGTCATGAGGGATACATTCCAAGAACCCCAGTGGATTTTTGAAAACCACGTGTAATACTGAACACTATACATATACTATGTTTTTCCTATACATAGATACCTATGATTAAGTTTAATTTATAAATCAGGCACACTAAAAGTTTAATAACACCAACTAATAATTCATAGAATCACTAAGGACATCAAATATGTGGTCCCTGCCTTCCTCTCCTGCTTCATCGTTGACTGAGATTTTTCATGCTCAGCAAGGTATTTCTTATTTTTATGCCTTTATTTATTTCCCTTGTTTTTTCTTTCTTTTTAAAAAAATTGTTCTCTAATGCCTCCCTGTCAGCATTATTTGGCTTTATAATCTTACCAACGAGTCAAATTTCAATCAGCCCATCCCCTCTGAAAGGCCTCCCTAGGTAACCTTTCTTCTATACTTGGTAAGGTTTCTTCCATTAGGCCTACTTCTATAATTAAAGTTTCCTCAACATATTGTAAATATTCATATATGCGTTCATTTCTCCCACCAGAACTACTTGGGACCAGGGATTGAAGACATATTACTTTGTGAATCTCCAGCACCTACAACAGTGCTGTAGCCTCTGTAATATGTGAAAGACAGAATGAATTCCTCAGTCAATGAATGCACTGGATTAGAGGCCTATGGCTGTCAGTGGATAGGTGAATATGTCCTCTAGGGTTCCCATTCCCCAGGCCCTTCACATATTATAAGTTCATTGTTTTAAATCTTATTTCACAAAATATTTTCTTATTATTACATATATTTAGTAATCTATATTATATTTAAATTTATAAATGATTTATGTAAATATTTAATTTAAATATACCATTTTAATGCTTTAACTAAAAAAAAAAAAACTACGATATTATCACCATCAGTGAAATCTATTTCTGAAATTGAGAACAATTCTTGTTAAACAGTTGAGCTTAATATGACTTACACTTTCATCACTTTACTGCAAAGGTCATTGTATAGTGATATAAAAAAATTTGCATTTATATATAAAATGGAATTAGACTAGAGGCTCAGGTAAACATTTTCTGGAAATCTAGCAGGCCATTCAAAAGTCAGGAAAAGAATAGGCAACTCTTTGTTCCATTTGACAGCCCACATAGGAAGACACTTAGTATTCCTGTCCCATCCATTAAATGATATTACTGATACACAATCATTAGACAATAAAATTTACACACTGCCCCTAAATTTTCTAATTTTTCCCTTGGCAATGATACGTTTTCTGTCTAAATTATTACACGCCCCTCACCAACCCACTGTGATCTCCTGCCTTTACTTTACTTAGTTCCACATCTCATTTCATTTCATCCTCATTCTTTCCACATTTGATAAACCTATGCTAAGCTGTGGCTCATTAATAATGGTCCAGGCTGGAAATGTCAAACTCTGCAGAAGGCAAGAGAGGGAGGAAGTTTTATATTGGTAGTAAGAGGGCAGAGGGGGACATGTGGGTGGTTTTTCTGTTCCACACTTTACAGCATATAGCCACAATTAAGAAAGGTCTGAGCGCTACGAAGTCTACTTAAAGTTTTGAGTTGTACTGATTAGGGGATGGGAATGAATTTGTAAGTTTCTACCCCCGCTTTTGCCAACAACCTAACACAGCGTCATCAGCAATTAAGAGTTTTACATGGCAAATAATTGCAAAGATAAGCATGTGCAGAACAAACAAATATGAAAATTATAATCCCATAGTAACCATGTATGATCAAGAAATGGCACATTAAATTCTTGTTGTATTTTTCAGGTGGAGTTAACGCCAGAGCTTGATTTAGCTAAGAGTGCTTCTGAGCCTGTATAAGAATAAATAAATAATGTTGCAAATCTGTGGAATTAATTTTATCCTCTATCTAGAGCTTTGTAGTAGAGTTCTTTGGAGGGTTTAACTGTAATTAATACTATTTTCTTGCCGTGACCCATTTTCAACTGAAAGCTAGTCTTTCCTAGGCTTACCTGAGAAATAGAAGCCTAAAAGCTTTCCAAATCTCGGCTAAAACCCTACACATTTCTCAGCAATGAAATTTAAGAATGCCCTCATTCCGAAAATCCCAAGTTTCATTTCTCTCATGTAATAATTTAATCACTCCTCTTGTAATAAAGACCATTTTAAGCTGTTTAAGGTGTTCTACAAGTTCTCTCAGGTTTTTTTGTTGCTGTTGTTTCTGTTTCTCTTTGTGTGATTATGGTAAATCACCCTTACATTCCACCAGAGCCCTTCAATATTTCAAAAATCACTTACCCACTTCTGATTCTTCATCTAAACAAGTGTTTCTAGAAAACTGCATTTCTGTAGACAAAGGGTGCAAAGGGCAGGGAATGATGGTAGAAGGTGTAATAAACCGAACAGTGAATGACAAAAAGTAGAGTGCTCAAACACCTTTATAGCTTTATTCGTGGTAAATAAGATTGAAAAGAATTAATCAAGGTCTCCACCATCTAAAACCCTGTGATAGTCAACAAGATGAGGATTGATTTAAAGATTTAAATGCAAACCATTATTTTTGTTGGTGCTTCAAGAGGAGCTTTTCAAACCATAACACCATCTTTAATAGTTTGATCAATACTAGTTTAAGCAAAGATAAAACTAGCTGCACAAAATGTCGATTTGGTACACAAAGAGGTCAATTCAGAGGCTTCTAAACAATTTTTTTCTGCAACCAAAGTATTTCACTCTGCCACTTCAGGAGAGATCAATGTGCAGACACATGCCATCTGTTTTGCTGAAGCCTCAGCCAAAAGAAAATATACCTACTATGGGGTTTAAATCAAGATGAAATACAACAATCACAAACACTGGCAAGTATTAAATATCAATCACTTGGAAAAATATATTGATTGCATGCCTCCTGTGAACAGGTACCTGACCAAAGCAATCTGGATATGCAAAGGAACTGAAAGATACAGAAACTGGCATTGGGAAGTGCATAATAGAATGCAAAAGATACAGGAACATGCTGGCTGATGGGAAAATTGGGGAAGTGCATATTTTTAAACAGCCCAACAGATAGTGAAATTGTTAGGGGCGCAGTAAATGTGCAGTAAATTACAATTAAATTGAATGATAGGCCACTAACCATGTAAACGATCTTGGGCAATATAGGGTGTGAACAAGCTTTCAAAGAACATGTCACACAGAAATGATTAGGTTTTTACATTCAATAAATTTAGTTAGCATAGATTGGTTAAGAAAATACTAAACTTCTACTGGGTATGAGACTTTCTAGATGCACTGGACATATAGAGATGAGTAAGAACTGGTCACTCTCAGGAAGCTCTAGTCTATTCTGGGAGGCGAAAAGAAATGGAGAAAATATTTCTCAGAGCTCCATTTTGCTCTTCATAAATCAGTAAATATTAGGGAATGCAGGTTGTGAAACACTGATCTACAAATCCTTCAACCTCACAGTTCTCCAAGGGGTGCAAAAATTTCCAAAAACTATTGTTATGATAATAATCATTCATATCAATGTCTCTGCCTTCTAACCCCTCCTTGGCTTGTCCCAATAGAAACCAATGTGTAATTTTATTAATTGGAAGACTTGAGGAAATGAAACTACATGCTTTTATCTGTATGCTTTTATTTTTTTCCCTAAGATATACATTTGATAGTCAACCACATGGACAAATTTTTAGCTTCAAAGGTATAGTTTAAAAATTATTTTCAGTGTTCTATGATAAAAGAAATATGGAGAAGGAGCTGTACTTCATCAAAAATTTCTTTTAAAAATATTGTTTGGTAAAAGTAACAAATTCATTATCTTAAATGTTGTTTTAAAAATGTAGAGATATATGTAGAACCAATAGTGTTTATTCATGAAGAAATTTGATGCTCTTTTTCTTTTTTCAACATTCACAACTAGTTCTACAAAAAAAAACTCACAGTGGAGTTTAGGAGATAGTGGGGTTTCATGTTTTTGTTTTGTCCATAAATATTTTTGTGTTAGCATGTTTAGCTCTGTGAAAATCATTGTCACATTGTTTATCCTTAGCATTGTAAGACATGCATTATTGCTTTCACCCTGATAGTGAAGAAAGAGAATTGTGGGGTGTAGTTCTTAAATGGCAGGTCAAAGTACTGAATTCAGATCCTCTGACTTTTTAAATTCTAAATTGATTCCACCCCCTCACAATTTCCACAGTTTTTCAAAGATGTTATTGAGAACAAAGGCAAGTAATGAAACAAAACCGCTTTGGGTTCTCATGGGATCAGCAGACTACAGAGGTATAAAATACATAATGCCAAGCTAACTGCCTTTGAAATGAATACAATCTACTTAGTTTAGGTGTCTGGTGGGAATTATGTTACCCGAACTAGTTAAGTTATTTCTATGCCTATCTTAGTCAGAATTATCAGAAATGAGAACTGATTTTTATCAAATAAATTGAGCTATCAATTCTGATGATCATATATATATTGTTTTGTATATTATTTTGGTTGACATAATATAGTTACATTTTATTGAAATATTTATACATACATGTAAATGGTTTACAGTTAAATAGATCAGGTGTTTCATTCTTAGTTTTATTTTTAATATGGAAAATATCAATAAATAAGTACTACATACACAAACTTTAGGATCTTCAATATTTTTGAAGACAGTAAAAGGGCTCTGAGACCAAAATGTTTAAAAACTGCAACTCTAGAACTATTCTTGTTGCTAAGTTTTTAGAGCTAAAGTGTGAATATAGTCTTGCACAGTTGACAAATAGTTTGGTCTCAGGCTTAGGAAGCCTGAAACTCGGGACCAGTTCTCCAGCGCCAAGATAATTTGTCTCCCTCCTCAACCTATAAGAAGTTGAAAACACACACTGTTTCTTCCACCCTCCACCCAAGTGAGAAAAGGGAAGACTGAGTTTGGAAGAAGGTGAGCATGGAGAAGTTGAGCCATCAGTGCCACGTAGTTATGTTTCTGGTGTCAAAGGAGGAACTTCCAAAGTCACGCATTGAATCATCCTGTTGCTAACTGATGGAAAATATGTTTTATTTTATATAAAATTTTAATGTTTCTATTTCTTTACACAGTGCTTTGTTGCTATTTCTCTCTTCCCCAAGCTGAATTAATTACAATTTTCTTATGCTTTGGTATGTGTGCTGAGGTACTTGCTGGTCATCCAGGAATTATATGTCCTATGTCTAGTCTTTCTTGTGGTTACAATCTACAGAGTTTTTGAAAAGGTATAGAAATGACAAACTAGAAAATCTTGAAAACATTGATAAATTCCTGGACACATACACCCTCCCAAGACTGAGCCAGGAAGAAATTTATTCCCCGAACAGACAAATAACAAGGTCTGAAATTTAATCAGTAATAAATAGCCAATTAACAATAACAGCAACAACAAAAACCCAGAACCAGATGAATTCACAGCTGAATTCTATAAGATGAACAAAGAAGAGCTGGAACCATTTATACAGAAGCCATTCAAAAAAATTGAGGAGAAGGGAGTCCTCAACAACTCTTTATGAGGCCAACATCAACCTGATACCAAAATCTGACAGAGACACAACAAAGGAAAACTTCAAGCCAATATCCTTGAAGATTATTGATGCAAAAATACTTAAGAAAATGCTAGAAAATCAAATCCAGCAGCACATCAAAAAAACTAATCCACCACGATGAAGTAGGCTTTATCCCTGGGATGCAAGGTTGGTTCAATAATATGAAAATCAATAAATGTGATACATCACATAAACAGAACTGAAGACAAAAACCAGATGATTTTCTCAATAGATGCAGAAAAGGCTTTTGATAAAATTCAACCTGTCTTCATGTTAAAAACTCTTGATAAACTAGGTATTAAAGAACACTTCTCAAAATAATAAAAGCCATCTATGACAAACGCACAGCCAACATCATAATGAATAGGCAAAAGCTGAAAACGTTCCCCTTGAAAATTGGCAGAAGACAAGAATGTCCTCTCTCACCACTTCTATTCAACATAGTATTAAAAGTCCTAGCAATCAGGCAAGAGAAAAAAATAAAGGACATTGAAATAGGAAGAGAAGTCAAATTATCCCTGTTTACAGAAGACAGGATTTTACATCAAGAAAACCCCATAGTCTAAGCAGAAATGCTCCTTCAACTAATACACAACTTTAGCAGTTTCAGAATAAAAAAATCAATGTAAAAACTATTTCTGTACACCAACAACAGCCAAGTTGAGAGGCAAATCAGAAACACAATCTCATTCACAATTGCCACAAAAAGAATAAAATACCTAAAAATACAGTTAACTGGGGAGATGAAATATTTTTACAAGGAAAACTACAACACACTGCTCAAAGAAATCAGATTGACATAAGCAAATGGAAAACATACCATGCTCACGGATAGGAAGAATCAACATTGTTAAAATGGCCATACTGCCTAAAGCAATTTACACATTCAATGTTACTTCTATCATATTACCAATGGCATTCTTCACAGAACTAGAAAAAAACTACTTAAAATTTAAAATTCATATGGAGCCAAAAAAGAGTTGAAATAGCCCTAGGCAATCCTAACCAAAAAGAACAAAGCTGGAGGCATCACACTACCCAACTATACTACAGGGCTACAGTAACCAAGAGCATGGTACTGGTACAAAAACAGATGCATAAACTAATGAAACAGAATAAAGAGCCCAGAAATAAAACTGCATATCTACAACCACCTGACCTTCAACAAAATGACAAACACAAGCAATATTCAATAAATGGTGCAAATATATCTGGCTAGTCATATGCAAGAGATTGAAACTGGATTCCTTCCTTGTACTATATACAAAAGTCAACTCACAATGGATTAAAGACTTAAATGTAAAACACAAAACTTGAAAAGCCCTGGAAGGCAACCTAGGCAATACCATTCTGGGCACAGTCATGGGCAAACATTTCATGACAAAAATACCAAAGCAATCACAACAAAAGCAAACACTGACACTGACAAAAGAAATCTAATTAAACTATAGAGCTTCTGTACAGCAAAATAAACCATCAATAGAGTAAACAGACAACCTATAAAATGGGAGAAAATATTTACAAACTATGCATCTGACAAGGGTCTAATATCCAGCATCTATAAGGAACTCAAACAAATTTATAAGAAAATTAAAAAGTAGGAAAGCGATATTAGCAGACAATTTTAAAAGAAGACATACATGCAGCCAACAAGCCTATGAAAAAAAGCTCAACATCACTGATCATTAGAAAAATCCAAACAAAAACCACAATGAGATACTATCTCACATCAGTCAGAATGGCTATTATTGAAAAGTCAAAAATAACAGATGTTCACGAGGTTGAGGAAAAAAGGTAATGCTTATACACGGTTGGTGGAAATGTAAATTAGTTCAGCCATTGTAGAAAGCAGTGTGGGTATTTCTCAAAGACCTGAAATCAGAACTACCATTTGACCCAGCAATCCCATTACGGGGTATATACCCAAAGGAATATAAATCATTCTGTCATAAAGACACATTCACATGTATGTTCATCACAGCACTATTTGGTAAAGACATGGAATCATCCTAAATGCCCATAAATGGTAGGATGGATATAGAAAATGCGGTACACATACACTCTGTAATATTATAGTATTCAACCATAAAAGAGAATGAGTGCATGTCTTTGCAGCAACGTGGATGGAGTTAGAGGCCATTATCCATAGCAAACTAAAACAGGAACAGAAAACCAAATCCTGCATGTTTTCACTTATAAGTGGGAGCTAAATTATGAGAACACATGGGCACATAGAGGAGAACAACAGACACTGGGATCTTCTTGAGGGTGGAAGCTGACAGGAGGGAGATGATTAAAAAAATAACTATTGGGTATTAGGCCAAGTACCTGGATGACGAAATAATGTATGTAAGAAACCCCCCATGACACAAGTTTACCAATATAACAAACCTTCATATGCACTCCTGAACCTAAAATAAAAGTTAAAAAGATGAATATGAAAAAGTAGGCCCAGGCATGGGGGCTCATGCCTAAAATCCCAGCACTTTGACAGGTCAAGGCAGGCAGATTGTTTGAGCCCAAGAGTTTCAGACCAGGTTGGGCAACATGGGAAACCCCATCTCTACAAAAAATACAAAAATTAGCTGGGTGTGTTGGCAAGTGGCTATAGTCCTAGCTACCTGGGAGGCTGAGGTGGGAGGATCACTTGAGCCCAGGAAGCTGAGGTTATAATGAGCAGATATTGTGGCACTGAAATTCAGCCTGGGCAACAGAGTGAAACCCTATCTCAATAAAACTAAATAAAAATAAAAATAAATCAATAAACCAATAAAAAATAAAAAGGTCTAGAAATGAAATAACATATAGTTTGAATAATTACTTCCCAAATAACACAAGATACTTCGAACATTTTTAGTTGCTCACTTCCTCCTCCAAACTGCTATTTTGATAAGGCCTTCTTCAGTGTAATTCTCAGATTATTTTACATTTTGCCTCTTTCTTACCAATTACTTTTGACAATTACACTAATTTTCATGGCTGTCTTACTGATAATTATTTCTACCTACCTATAGTTTTACTGCTTTTCTATTCGGCACACTTTTCTCCATGTTAATTTTTCCAAAGTTTTAGAATTATTTTTCCCTAGAGAATATTTCTAAGTTATGCTCTCAGGCAGAATTCATGGATGGTAACATTTTGAAGAGTTTCTATATCAAAACTATATTTCTTCTGTCCTGTCCTGCACACCAGAATGATAGGCCTAAAGGGAAGATAGTACATATTTGTTTGGGATGGTGGTAGTACATTTCCATAGATTCTGTCATGTTCAGTATACTTTTTCCCTAGATTATAAATACACATTAACTCCAAACACTACCATATTGTCTATCCTATTGCAACTCTAGCTCCTTCTTATGATAGCCTAGTTTTTATACAGAAAAACAAACAAATGTGCAAATAAACAAAAGCAACTATACTCTTAGGTTGAGCATGAAGGCCAATATCAGAAGTAGCTGCTCTGAGATGGAGCAGCTAGTTTTTCTGTGTTGCAAACCCATCATTTACTGTATTTCATGGAACACAGAACTTAAGACATCAGCAGTTATGGGGTATATCAATTTCCTGAATCACTACAAAGAAAAATTGCTGACAATTAAAGTATGATATTGCATGGTTTTAAGACACATCAGAATTGTTAAATAATGTTAAAATGTGAAATTTTGCAAAGCTGAAAATTGATGGTATGTGGTAACTGTTTGACTGCTCATAGCCCTCTCCACTCTATCCCCAGATTTTGCTACAATATATTTTGGAGGATCTATTCCTAAAAATTTCTGGGGAAAGAACCTTTATTTTTTTAAGTCCTCCTTCTCTGTCTCCTTTCCTAATCCAGAAGTGGCAAAGTATTGCAATACTGTAGAATATTTTAATTCAAAGTGTAAACTAATTTGAATTTACAGTGTCAAAGAATGCAACACCTTTGAAATAAATCCATGGGAAGAACACAATAGAAACAAATCCACGATTTGCATTATATTTCCTGATCTCTGTTGATAAAATTCAAAGAAAAATAATACTGAGTTTAGCCAGCTTCCACTTAAGAGGATGTTTACATGTATCATTACAATTTTGGATCTCTCTGCAAAATAGTGTTGTTATATGAATTCTGTGAAATACATAATGAATTTTTATACATTTGACTTCAAGTTCAAGGTGAAATAAATGACTTGAATTCATGTAGTGGAGGGACATGAAAGGGAGTATAAAGCAAGATCTAAGAGAGGTGGAAGGTTTCCATTAACGTCAGTAGATTGTAGAGAATAAATAGAAAATGTAGGTACATGATTGAGGCATCATTGAAACACCTGAAAATGGCCCTGAAGTTCTTGCCAACAGGTAGTTGCCTTGTTTGGAAAATATTTCTTATCTAGATTACAGGACTCTCCCGATATTCAATTAGATCCCTTCCTTCCTTCCTTCCCTCCCTCCTCTTTCTCTTTTTCTTTCTTTCTTTCTGTCTTTCTTTCCCTCCTCCTCCTCCTCTTCCTCCTCCCTCCTTTTTCTTCTTCTCCTTCTTCCTTCTTCCTTCCTTAGAACTGGAAGAATTCATGTATTGATGAAAAACCAGGTTGATTGGTAGCAAAACAGTCCTTAATGGAAGTCTTATTAGTAAGACATACCCTCACTATGGAACCATTAAAATTTGATAAAACTTTCCTTATTATTTTGAATATATGGATTATAAATTTGTTCTGGCTTAGGACATTAGTGATACGCTCATAAGCTTTATTTTCTGTTATAATTCCATTTAATTCAGCATTCTTCTTTATTTAATGTTCTATATGATATAGATGGTGGTGAGCAGTATTCATTGATTCCACCTTTGGTCATATAGTTAAATGTAGGTGTACATACATGAGAAATCAGGCCACATACTAGAGATTTGGGGTTAATAAATGAAACATACTAAGTCACTGTTAGCTTAGATTTAGGAATAACCTCAATCTTAGACCAGTATTATTTTATGTGATAATGCTAGCACATTCACATTTAATATTATAAATATTATCTAACTCTGACTTGCTTTCAAGACTGATAGACACACTTTACCATTTAGTATTGTAGTTGCTTTACCAGATTCTGGAAAGAAACCAAAGATAAACAAGAACTGGTCCTTATTCTGGAGAAGTTCACATCTTTTACAGCCATAAGGTAAGTCCTCCATCTAAGAGCCCTGTTCCTACACCTTTGCAGTGTGCATTTGTGCTGCCTCTCATGCCACTCCCCTTCCACACCCCCCACCGGCAAAAATGGTCCTGGTACACAGCATAACAAAGTACTTGGAATTATATTCACAAATAATAAACTACAATAATGCATTGCTTTTCTCATATATCAGTTTCTTTGTAAATTTGACACAATAAGATCAACTGGTGCTTGTTTGAAAAGACAGTATGTTAATGGAAATACCAATTCCATAACTGATTTTGCTATTTTCTCTCTGCCTGCTAGCTATTGGAAAAGAAAAGCTACTCATGCTTAGACTGACAGAAAAAACAATATCTAGGGTTTATTCTGCATTCAAGTAGTCCAGTTTGGCCACAATTTTAATCTGGCCCAAGTAAAGAAACTATACAAGTTTGTGCGTCAGAGACTGCAGAAGGAAAATGGCATCTGACTACCAGAGCTCCATCTTCTGAGATCCCCTTCTTGGCTTTATTCCAGTGAAAAATGCAAGATCATAGTTGGCTGCTCAACACTGGCAAGAAGAAGGTGAACAAGGTAAAACACTGATAAATCTTCTGAAGCTTCCACTAGATAGGACCTAGCATTCATGACTAGTATGACATTCCTATGGGTGGATGGGTGGATAGATAGATAGATAGATAGATAGATAGATAGATAGATAGATAGATAGAGGCTTTTTCCTGATTATAATTAATGCACTTTTTTCTTGTTTAAGCTGGACCTGCTCCTTTTAATTTTGTAAACCTATAGGAACACAAGACCTGAAACTTTTAGTGAACATAAAAATCACCTAGAGGATTTGTGGAAAATGCCTATGCATGGGTCCTACCCACTGAGTTTTTAATTAGTAAATTTGGTCTAAGTCCCATGTCTCTCATGCAGGTATATTGAGTTTGACATTTTATGGAAAAAATGAGTACATTTTAAATAGAAATGATATAGACTGCTAGAAAAGAATGGCTTAGATACTATGATCTGAACTTACAGCTTTGCTGCTTCTTCACATGTAGTCATAATAGGTAGCTGGTGGCCGGGTGTGGTGGCTCATGCCTGTAATCCTAGCAGTTTGAGAGGCTGTGGTGGGTGGATCATGAGGTCAGGAATTCCAGACCAGCCTGACCAACATGGTGAAACCTCGTCTCTACTAAAAATGCAAAAATTAGCTGGGCGTGGTGGCACATGCCTGTAATCCCAGCTACTCAGGAGGCAGAGACAGGAGAATTACTTGAACTTATGTGTATCTCACTATTAAATAATTCCTACAATCTTATTTATCAGGCAGGCTTCCATAACATAAAAGGAGAGTTAAGAGTGACTCACATAATGTGGTCGTTGATAAGATATAAAAATATTGCTGGCAGTCATTATAGGTTTAAGAATAGACTGCAATTGGACCAGTGGATCTCAAATTTAGTTCATCCTTGGAATCATTTAGGAAAAAAATGATTTATAAATTATAACCCCCTCCCCCCAGAGATTCTGATTTTATTGGCCCAGGGTGTAGGTTGGTCAGCAAATTTTTTAAATTGTCTCAGGTGACTCTAACACATGAGCAAATTTGGGGACCACCGCATGGAACCAATGCCTTACCCCAACAAAAACGAATTACCAACAATAGACAGTAGTATTATTTCTTCACTGAATGCTTACAGTTGTTTTATCCTTTTAACTACTTTTAAACATATTACAAAAGTATGTGTTTCTTTGTTTTGTCTGGAATTAATCCATTGTTATTAAATTCAGCTGAAAGTTTTTTTTGTTTGTTTCTTTTTCATGTTTTTGACATCTAGTAAGAGTGAAATAAGGTTGAAAAGACCAGCCCTGATGAAGGACCAAGGACTAGAATACTGATTCTTTCGAGTAGACCAGGAGTTCTCAATTTCTGGGTTTCTCAATAAGATATTTTGAATAGAGAGAAGGAAAATGACATTTTAAACTTACACTTCTTGCTTCTTTCAGTTAGAGTGACCTCCTAAATGTGGTGATAAGGAAATAGATATCTTAGCAATTTTTGAAAACTCAGGCAAAACTGTTTTTTGCATATCATAAAATAAATTATAATGAAGAGGGTGTATTTTTAAATTAAAAATCTCTATTTGGGATTTTTGTGATATCATGTTGAAAATGATACATTTCAGGAAACTGAGATTTTTCTAAACACAGTTTCTTTTGTCATCATGTCTATTTATATTTCGATTCTTGGTTGTACTATCATTTTTTGTTTTCCAACATTTTATGGAAATTCCTTCAAACAAATTTTACATAAAGATATGTAAAATACACAACTTAATACGTCCAAAATTTTACATGTCTTCATCTATTGAAAATGTAATTCAACTTGAGAGGTGTTTTAGAAATGAATTCCTAACACAGAGTGAGATACATGTGAAATCAATGTTGGCAACTTTTAATCTGTCCAAAGTTCTGTTTCTAATTTTAAATAAGTAGTTTTTCTAAATAATTTCACTTAAACTTCAACATTTAGAAAATTACTTTACCTCTTTGTGTCTCAGTTGTCTCAATAATTGTTTCAGGATAATGATAAATTTGTAATGAGTGTTAATTGAGCTAATATTGAAAGATACCTTCTGATCTATTAGGTACAGTCTTTTATTTTTTTATACTTGGGGGATACAAGTGCAGTTCTGTTACATGGATATACTGTGTAGTGGTGAAGTCTAGGCTTTTAGTGAAGCCATCACCTGAAAAGAATATACATTGTATGCATTAGTTAATTTCTCACCCCTCCCCACTTCCTCTCACTCTATTGATTCTTCAGTGTTTATTATTCCACTATGTCCATGTGTACCCACTATTGCACTCTCACTTACAAGTGAGAACATGCTATTACCAATATTCCTTTAACCTGCCCACCATATTGGTCTTTAGAGGTATTAGAAAAGAAAGCTCTTGCTCTATAAATGACTCATAAGAAATCTCGGAAAAAAGGAATCTGGGCTTCATGTCTATCTGACAACAGACAAATATTGGTTGTAGATAACTAAATATCTTTATCTTGCAGAATATTTGCCCTATATGAATCCAATTAAAATTCAAAAGAGGCTAGAAGACTTTCATTCAGAAAATTTGAAAGGTAGCATTCTTTTTTACTCCTACAGAGGGATATGTACAATGACCAAGACCTACCAATACTTTAAACTTTTCACTCATTATCTGTAGATAAAAAGTGCTATCAAAGGTGTTAAGTTCATGAGTCAAGCTCGTCCCATCCACCAACCACACTGAATTTAGGGAAGGTCTCTTCACCTGACATTGCCCAGATAGTGATTTCATTTTATGTGAATTTTCTTGGAGCTAAATTATTTTATAAATCAATTGATACATTTCTTAACACAGGTGAGAAAATGTGTCATTAAATCCAAATGTGTTATTTAATATAAAAACACACAAATAATTACTTATTTATTCAATATTTAATATATAAAGATGTGTAAGACAATGTGAGTTTTATCCTAATAGAGGAAACACAGAAACAAACATATAAAAAAACTAATACAATATAGTAAATACTATACTTGAGATGAGCTCAAGGTTTATTAGTAATTCAGAAGAAAGAGAAAATATTTAGTATACAGTAGGCAGGAGGAGCATGAATAATTTATTTATTTGGTAATGTGGTAGACTGGAAAAGACCTCTCTACCCAGAGATTGCTTTTATCTCTTGAAAAAAAAAAAAAAGGCAATGTTTGAGATCTTAGCTAAAGGCTTAGACCATAAGTGACTATGATGAGCAGAGCTCCCTTGCTTCCAAAACATTTTTGAACTCCTAAGAATATAAGATTGTTTATTACTGCAGCATTGCTTAGCCCAAAGCATCTCAAACTTTTGTGTGTATATGAATCACCTGGGGACTTTGTAAATATATAGACCTCGACTCAGTAAATCTGAGTAAAAATTCTACATTTCCAACCAGCTCCCAGGTGATTCTGATGCTGCAGATTCAAGTACCACATCTAGCGTAGCAAGGCCTAGCCTAACTGGCTGTTAAGTGACAGTAATGGCATTGTATCCCAGTATTTCTACTCTACGTTTAGGGCTTATTTCCCAGATGTCATCACTGAATTACACTGATGTTTGAACTATAGGTAGCAATCTCCAAGTGAGTAATAAAATCATGTCATAATCAATAAAATCATAACCAACAGTTAAAAAGAGAAATCAGAAAAATTACAAGAATAAAATAGAATTAAGCAGAATATAAAGTTATCAGGTTGCATACAGGCAATAAGAATAAATATTGTTTTGGGAAAATTCACAAGCTATATATTCTTGAGCACTTTGTAAAATATAGGAAAGTTGAAATGTTTTAAATCGAATGATTTATTAGTTAATATTCAACAATGGTTAGAAATGTTAAAATAATCTTTGGGTAATTGTTCTTGGGCACACAGCTGAACACATTCCCTAACCTTCCTTGCAGTCAGATATGGCACTGTGATAAGGTTTTAGCCACTACGCTGGGTCATGAATAGTATGATATTTTTATTCTTGATTCACTGATACTTCCACAAGAGATCTTTCAATCTTTCATTTTTCTTCCAATTGTAGGATAAAACCTAGGTGATTTTGGAAGACATATTTTGATAATGATAGAGTCCCTGCAAACCTGAATCTCACCAACATGGAGACACTTTGAGCTTTACATTGAAGCAAAACATAATCTATTACTGGGGCCTACTTAGTACAGCAGTTAAAGTAGCTTAAACAACTCACATAAACATACCGAAATAAAAATCTGTAATGGTATAACTGCTCTCAGCTCTATGAACATTTCTCATTTTTTTTTTTTTTGCATAAAAACCAAAGTACTTACTCTAGATGACAACAGAGTGAGTGACATGGCCTCTAGCTAGGGCACAGACCTCATTTTATAACTCTCCAAATTCTCCTCAGCTGGATTCCAGTCACACTACCTTGCTATTCTTTAATGGATTCCCTTCCAAGGACTTTTGCACATTACATTTTATCTGCCTGGAAAACTATTTCACCAGGTATTTGCATTATACTTCTACATGCTTACAGCCCAGATGTTTCTCACATGCTATGAATGCTTCTCTAATAATTTTTTTCTTATTTTTAGAAGATTTATAGCCCTTTTTGTAGATAACGTGACTTTATCATTGACTTTGGTGGTGTGTAGTTATACTGCAATCTGGATGTGGAAATATTTATTTATTTTGATTGGTTGGTATCTACGAGACTTCTTGAATCTACATATTTATGTGTATCATCAATTGTGGTAAACAATCAGCAAATATCTCTTCAAGTGTTGTGCCTTTCCTTTCTCTCATCTGGAAACCCAGTTTGAATTTCATGTATTTTTATTCTACCATTTGGAATTCGTTATTTCTCTTTAATATTTTAAATTTCATTTCTCTTTGCTATATTCAGAATTAGCTTTTTTCTATATATACTGGTTTACTAATTATTTTTGACTTTGTCAAACTTCCTCTTTAATACTTCAACTGAGTTCCTGAATTCTATTATAGTTTGTCTTCATTTCTAGAAGGTTAATTTTTTTTCCAAATCTGTAGACTTTTTGAAATCATTTATTTCTTATACATATTTTGATGTACTCTCTTATTTCTTTGGACATATCAAACATTTAATATTTTCTTTCACAAAATTTTAATATCTACACAAGTCTGATTCTGCCATTATGTTTGATGACTCTTAGTCACATTGGCTAGTTTGCTTATGTGTTTTGTGATTTTGAATGGCAAGCTCAAAGCCTATTAAATTTATCTGTGCAAAATATTTTAGCCTAGTTAACAAATATTAGATGTACATCTTTGGGGGTACATAAAATGAATGAATGCATTAATATAATCAAATTAGGGTACTTGGGATATCCATCACTTTAACTACTTATCTTTTCTTTATGCTGGGAACGTTTGAATTATTTTCTTCTAGATATTTTGAAATGTGCAATAGATTAATGTTAACTATAGTCACCCTAGTGATATAGATAACAGCAGGTATTATTTGTCCTAACTTTATATTTCTAACCATTGATCAAATTCTCTTCATTCTCCCCTCCCACCTCCACCTGCTGTCATCTGGTACCTACCAATCTACTCTGTATGTTAATGAGATTCATGTCTTTAGCTTCTACATATGAGTGAAAACATGTGACTTCCTTTTTCTTTTCTTGGTTTATTTTGCTTAACCTAATGACCTCTTGTTCCATCCATCCATCACCACCCCATGATTAAAAGACATCATTTCAATTGTTGCAACTGAATAAGATTTTGTGTGTGTGTGTGTGTGTGTGTGTGTGTGTATCACAAGCCTGTCCAACCCAAAGCCCACAGGCTTCATGTGGCCAAGGATGGCTTTGAATGCAGCTCAACACAAATTTGAGCTTTCTTAATATACTATGAGATTTTTCTCAATTTTTTTTTTAGCTCATCATCTATCATTACTGTCAGTGTATATTATGTGTGGCCCAAGACAATTTTTATTCCAATGTGGTCCATGAAAGCCAAAAGATTGGACTCTCCTGGTGTATCACATATATGTGTCTGTGTCTGTGTGTGTGTGTTTATAAATGTGGAATATATATGTGTGTGTGTGTGTGTGTGTGTGTGTGTGTGTGTGTGTGTGTGTGTATAAGCATTAGTTCATTCTCACACTGCTGATAAAGACATACCCAAGACTATTTATAAAGGAAAGAGGTTTAATTGACTCACAGGTCAGCATGGATGTGGAGGCTTCAGCAAACTTATAATCATGGTGGAAGGGGAAGAAAACATGCCCTTTTTCACATGGTGGCAGGAAGGAGAACTGCCAAGCAAAAGGTGAAAAAGCCCCTTCTGAAACCATCAGAACTCATGAGAACGCATTCACTATCACAAGAACAGCATGAAGGTAATTGACCCCATGATTAAATTACCTCCCACCAGGTCCCTCCACAACACATGGAGATTATATGACACATACAATTCATATATGAATTCATTTTTAGGTGGGGACACAGAGTCAAACCATATCACTTCACCCCAGCTCCTCCCAAATCTCATGTCCTCACATTTCAAAACACAGTAATGCTCTTCCAGCAGTCCCCCAACAATCCCCCAAAGTCTTAACTGATTTCAGCATTAACTCAAAATTCCAAGTTAACTCAACATTCCAAATTAACTCAAAAGTCCACGTCTAAAATCTCATCTGAGACAAGGCAAGTCCCTTTGCCTATGAGCCCATAAAATCGAAAGCAAGTTAGTTACTTCCTAGGTACAATGGGGGTACAGGCATTGAGTAAATACACCTGTTCCAAATGGGGGACATTGGCCAAAACAAAGGGGCTACAGGCCCCATGCAAGACTGAAATCCAATAGGGCAGTCATCAAACCTTAAAGTTACAAAATGATCTCCTTTGACTCTAACTCTCACAGCCAGAGCATGCTGATGCAAGAGGTGGGCTCCCAAAGCCTTGGGCAGCTCTGCTACTGTGCCTTTACAGGGCGCAGCCTCCTATCAGCTGCTTTCATGGGCTGGCATTGAGTGTCTGTGGCTTTTTCAGGTGCACAGTGCAAGCTGTTGATCAATCTATTATTCTAGGGCCTGGAGGACAGTGGCTCCCTTCTCATAGCTCCACTAGGCAGTGCCCCAATGGGGACTCTGTGTCGGGGCTCCAACTCCACATTTCATTTCTGCACTGCCCTAGCAGATGTTCTCCATAAGGCTCTGCCCCTGCAGCAAACTTCTGCCTGAACATCCAGGCATTTCCATACATCCTCTGAAATCTAGTGGAGCTTCTCAAACATCAATTCTTGACTTCTGTGCACCTGCAAGCCCAACACCTCATGTAAGCCACCAAGGCTTGGGGCTTGCACCCTCTGAAGCAACATTCTGAGTTATATGTTGGCTCCTTTAAGCCACCTCTGGAGCTGGAGCAGCTGGGATGAAGGGCACTATGTTCCAAGGCTGCATAAAGCAGAGGGATCCTGGGCCCAGCGCATGAAAACATTTTTTCCCTCCTAGGCCTCCAGACCTGTGATGGGAGGGGCTGCTGTGCTGTGGTGTGAGGGACTTGTGATGAGAGGGGCCGCACAGGTGATTAACATTCTGCTCCGCATTACTTATGCAAATTTCTGCAGCTGGTGTGAATTTCTCCCCAGAATATAAAGTTTTCTTTTTTATTACATCATCAGGCTGCAAATTTTCCAAAATTTTATGCTCTGCTTCCTCTTGAACACTTTGCTGCTTAAAAATTTATTCTGCCAGGCAGGGCACTATGGCTCAGGCCTATAATCCTAGCACTTTGGGACACCGAGGCAGACAGGTCACTTGAGGTAAAGAGTTTCGAGACCAGCCTGGCCACAGTAGTGAAACTCTGTCTCTACAAAAAATAGAAAAATCAGCTGGGCTTGGTGGCTTACACCTGTGGTCCCAGCTTCTTGGGAGGCTGAGGCAGGAGAATCACTTGAACCCGGGAGGCGGAGGCGCAGTGAGCCGAGATTGCACCATTGCACTCCAACGTGGGTGACAGAGTCAGACTCTGTCTAAAAAGAAAAAAAAAAAAAGAAAGAATTTTTTTTCTGCCAGATACCCTAAATCATCTCTCTCAAGCTCAAAGTTCCACAGCTCTCTAGGGCAGGAGCAAAATACCACCACTCTCTTTGCTAAAGCATTAACAAGAGTCACCTTTGCTCCAGTTCCTAACAAGTTCCTCATCTCCATCTGAGACTACCTCAGCCTGGATTTTATTCTCCATATCACTATCAGCATTTTGGTCAAAGCCATTTAACAAGTCTCTAGGAAGTTCCAAACTTCCCCACATTTTCCTGTCTTCTTCTGAGCCGTCCAAACTGTTCCAACCTCTGCATGTTACTCAGTTCCAACGTCACTTCCCCATTTTTGGGTATCTTTACAGCAGCACCCCACTACCTGGTACCAATTTACTGTATTAGTCCATTCTCACACTGCTAATAAAGACATATCTCAGACTGGGTAATTTTTAAAGGAAAGAGGTTTAACTGACTTACAGTTCATCATGGCTGGGGAGGCCTCAGGAAACTTACAATCATGGCGGAAGGGGAAGCAAACGTGTCCTTCTTCACACGGTGGGAGCAAGGAGAAGTGTCGAGCAAAACAGGGAAAAGAACCTCATGAAACTGTCAGTCAGGGGTCCGTCCCGCAGACTCTGACCGAACCACAGATGAATAATGTACACTGACACAGATATTCTGCCTGTCAGTCTGGCTAAGAGTCCAGGCCCCTCACAAACACCGAGGAAGGTGCTGTAAAGAGTAGCAGTCGCAGTCCTGACTAGCTGACCCTGCCGGCATTTATTCAGCACACTTTAAATGATAAAGGCTTTGAGTCAGCACACCTGTGGGTAACTAATTTTGTTGCCCTCCCCCTGAGAGAGCCATCCTGCCCATGAATAATCAAAGGTTAGTCTTAGGGCCACATGAGTAGGCAAGCTATTTAGATAAACTCCCTTACATTCCTTTGTACCTGCCTTAAACTATTTACTCAAGTTACCGGTTAGGCTGCCTTCAGCCAGATCTATTACTGGAGCTTATGCAAACCCTCTGGCCTTCCAAGATTTATGTGTATTTCTCTAACTATCTTTAAAATGTTTCCCACCAGACTGACTGAACTCCCACACCTCAGAACTCA
Organism: Homo sapiens; assembly: GCF_000001405.40. Lineage (NCBI taxonomy): Eukaryota > Metazoa > Chordata > Mammalia > Primates > Hominidae > Homo > Homo sapiens. The sequence continues at coordinate 53,061,403 of NC_000017.11, read as the reverse complement.
TGCGAACTCACTCACTATCACAAGAACAGCATGAGGATAACCAACCCCATGATTAAATTACCTCCCAACAGGTCCCTCCCATGACACGTGGGAATTATGGAAACTACAATTTAAGGTGAGATTTAGGTGGGGACACAGAGCCAATTCATATCAGTATGTAAATGTGGTATACCTGTATGAAGAAATATAAATATTTCATAGATATCTATGAAGAAATGTGATATTTATATGTACACAAACAAATACATAAATCACTTTTTTATTTATTCATCTATTCATGGGCATTTAGGTTGATTTCATATTTTTGCTATTGTGAATAAAGTTGAAATATACATAGGGGGACAGATATCTCTTTAATATTGATTTTATTTTAAATACATCCAGCAATGTGACTGCTGGATCTTATGGCAGTTCTATTTTTAGTTTTTTGAAGAACTTATGTAGTGTTTTCCATAGTGGCTGTCCTAATTTAGATATCTTCCAACAGTGTATGAGAATTTCCCTTTCTCCACATCCTTACCAGCATTCATTAATTTTTTTTGTATTTTGGATAAAAGCTACTCTAACTAGGATGAAATAATATCTTATTGTTATTTTGATTTGCATTTTTCAAATTATTAATGATGTTGAGTATTTCTTTCATATATCTGTTGACCACTTACATGAGAAATGTCCATTCAGATTTTTTGCCCATTTTAATCAGACTATATTTTTGCTATTAAGTTGTATGAGCTTCTTATATATTCCCCTTATTAATCCCTTGTCAGATAGATATGTTGAAACTATTTTCTCCAATTCTGTGAATAGCTGCTTCACTTTCTTGTTTCCTTTGTTGTGCAGCAACTTTTTATTTTGATGTGACCATATTTGTCTATATTTGCTTCTGTGTCTGTGTTTTGAGGTTCTAAAAGTAATTATTTGCCAAAATCAATGTCCTGGAATGTCCCCAATGTTCTCTTCTAGTAGTTACATAGTTTCAAGTCTTATACTGAAGTATATAATCCATTTTTGATTTTTGTATATCGTGAGATGTAGGGGTCTGCTGCATGTAGTTATTCAGTTTCCATAGCACTATTTATTCAAGAGTGTGTCCCTTGCCCAACATATGTTCATGGCACCTTTGTCAAAAATGAGTTGACTATAAATGTGTGGATTTATATCTTGGTTCTCTATTCTGTTACATTAACTTATGTGTCCATTTTTATGCCAGGGCCACACTGATTTGGTTACTATAGCTTTGTAGTATATTTTGAAGTCGGGTAATGTGATGTTTCCAGTTCTATTTGTTTGACTCAGGATTGCTTTTGCTGTTCCAGGTCTTTTGTGGTTCCACACAAATTTCACAATTTTTTTCAATTTTTCTGAAAAATTTTATTAGTATTTTGATAGATATTGCATTAAATCTACAAATTGTTTGGGTAGTATTGCCAATTTCAAAATATTAATTTTTCTAATCCATAAGCATGAAACACTTTTTTCCCCTGTCTTTTCAAGTGTGTTTTGAATTTTATTTTTATAGACATTTTATGTTTTGGTTAAATTGATTTTAGGTTATTTTATACTCCCTGTAGCTTTTATAAATGGGATTGTTTTCTTGATTTTTTTTTGTGGGGAGGATCATTGGCTATTGGTGTATATAAATGTTACTGATTGTTGTATGTTAGGTTTGTGTCCTGCCACTTTACTGAGTTCATTTCAGTTCTCACCATTTTTTGGTGGAGTCTTTAGGCTTTTCTAAATGTAAGATTATGTCATCTCTAAACAAGGTTAATTTGACTTCTTCTTTGCAATTTGCATGCCTTTTACTTCTTTCTCTTGCCTAATTGCTCTGGCCACAATATCCAGTAGTTTGTTGAATTAAAGTGATAAAACTGGGCATCCTGTCTCATTACAGATTGTAGAGAAAATTATTTTAATTTTTGCCCATTCAGTATTATATTCGGTGTGAGTTTGACGTAGGTAGTCTTTATTATTTTGCTGTATTTTCATTCTATATTCAGATTATAGAGGATTTTTATCGTAAAGAGATGTTAAATTTTATTAAATACTTATTTCATCATCTATTAACATGATCATGTGTTTTTTTTTCCATATATTTGTTCATATGTTTGGTTCTCCATTTTGTTTTGTTCTGTTAGTGTCATATATCACTTAGATTGATTTGTTTATGTTGAACCATTCTTGCATCCCAGGCATAAATTCCACTTCATCATGGCAAATGATCTTTTGATCTTTTTAATGTGTTTTGAATTCAGTTTGAGGATCATTTGTTGAGGATTTTTGCATCTATGTTCATTAGGGACCACTGGCTGTAGTTTTTGTGTGTGTGTTATGTCCTTATCTGCTTTTGGACCAGGGCAATGTGAGCCTCACAGGATAGATTTGACAGTGCTCTCTCCTCCTGAATTTCTTTTTAAGAATTAGAGAAGAATTGGTATCAGTTCTTCTTTAAATGTTTGGTAGAATTTAGCAGTAAAACCCTCAGGTCCTAGAATTTTCTTTGACAGGAGTGTATGTGTCCAGAAATGTATCCACTCCTTCTAGGTTTTCCGATTTGTTGTCATACTGTTAATTATAGTCTCCAGTGATTCTTTGTACTTCTCAGTTGTTATGTCTGTTTTCTCATTTCTGATTTTATTTATTTGAGTTTTCCCTTTTTTTCTTAGTCTAGCTTTCATTTTCATTATATGTGTGTCCTTAAAGCTAAAGTAGGTCTCTTTCAGTCAGCATACAATTGGATGTTTTTAAAAAGAATTCATTCTCCGCTTGTATGTCTTTTGATTGGAGAAGTTAGTAAATTTATATTTAAAGTAATTGTTAGTATATTTAAAGTAATTAAAGTAAAAGTAATTATTATTAAGACTTACTATTGCCATTTGATTAATTCTTTTACATCTATTTTGTAGTCCCTTTTTTTCTTTCTCATTTACCATCTTGCTTTGTAATTGGATGCTTTTTCATAGTGATATGCTTTGGGTTTTTGTTGTTTGTCTTTTATTATTATTATTTTTTTGAGAGAGAGAGTCTCGTTCTGTCGCCCAGGCTTGAGTATGCTGCAACATCCACCTCCCAGGTTCATGAGATTCTCATGCCTCAGCCTCCAGAGTAGCTGAACTACAGGCATGTGCCATCACGCCTCACTAATTTTTTGTATTTTTAGTAGAGATGGGGTTTGGGCATCTTGCCCAGGCTGGTTTCAAATTCCTGAGCTCAAGCAATCCAACTTCCTTGACCTCCCAAAGTGCTAGGATTACACGTGAGCCACCATGCTGGGCCAGTTTTTCATAGTAAGATGCTTTGATTCCTTACTCTTTATCTTTTGTTTGTCTACTGTAGGTTTTTTTCTTTGGAATTATCTTGGGGCTATATGCAATATTTTACAGATATAACACTTTATTGTAAACTCATTGACACTTAAATTCAATTACATCAACAATTATATTATTTAAGTTAGCCCCCTCCACAATTGGTTTTTGAAGTAATATTGAGTATTCATATAAAGATTTTTGTAGTTATAGCTATGTTTATTTTTTTCTTTTAACCTTTTATACTAGAGTTATAAATTGTTTGTACACCATGATTACCATATTGAAGTATTCTGAATTTGATTATATACTTACCTTTACCAGTGAGTTTCAATTTCATATATTTTCATGTTATTAATTAGCATCCTTTAAACCAATCTTGAAGAACTCCCTTTAGCATTAGCATTTTGTTAAGGTAAGTCTAGTGGTGGTATACTTTCTCGGTTTTTGTTTGTCTGAGGATGTGTTTATCTCTCCTTCATTTTTGAAGGACAATTTTGCTAGGGATATTTTCTTGGTTACCAGTTGTTGTTATTGTTTTCTTTTAGTGCTTTTAACATATTGTCCTACTGTCTCATGGTCTGCAAGGTTTCTGCTGAGAAATCTCTTAATAGCCTATTGAGATTTACCTCATATGTGGCAAGTTCCTATTCTCTTGTTGCATTCGAAAACCTTCTATTTCTTCTGATTTTTGCAGTTTGATGATAAGGGGAAACAGTGAAGTCCTCTTTGGTTTCAAACTTTTTGAGAACCTTTGATCCACCTCTTCCAAGATGTTGATATCTTTCCCAGGATTTGAGTAGTTTTCAACCATTATTTCTTTAAATATGCTTTCTATCTCTTTCTCTCTCCTCTTTCTGATACTTCCAAATCCATATATTATTTTTCATAATATAATATCCTCAATCCTGTAATCTTTCTTCATCCATTCCTTTTTCTCCTCTGAATGGATAATTTTAAGTGACGTATCTTTGAGTTCATAAATACTTTTGTTCTGTTTTATCAAGTCTGCTTTTGAAGCTCTCTATTGCAATTTTCATTTCATTTATTGTGTTATTCAATTTTAACATTCTGCTTTGTTCTATTTTTTTTGATTTATCTATGATGAACTTCTCAATTTTTTGTATACTATTTTCTTGATTTCACTGAGTTGTCTACGTTCTCAGGCAGCTCACTGAACTTTCTTAAGGCAATTATTTCAATTTTTGGTCAGGTAATTTGTAAATTTCCATTTTTGGGAGATCAGTTACTAAAAACATTGTGTTCCTTTGGTTTTCTCATGTTTTCTTCATTGTTTGGGGGAATTTTTTTGTTTTTTAGTTTCTTTTAATTTTATTTGTAGGTGTGTTGTTTGAAGTCTTACATTAGCATCTTTACATTTGAAGAAAGAGTCATCTTCTCCAGTCTTTACAGACTGAATTATTCAATGCATCAATTCTTGGATTTTTTTTTTTGCTCTAATCGTGTGCTGGAAAATTTTCACTGAATTCCCAGACTCGCACATAAATACTCTTACCCATGGGTGGTTGTCAAAATTGATGCACGATGGGCAGATGATCATAGAAAATTTTATTTCTGCCATCTGACTGAGGTCACTAAGATTAAAAAATTATTATATAGTAATTATAACATTCTTAGCATTTTCAGTTGAAATGCTTCTTACTCAAAATTAGTTTATTTTAGAAATATTTTGCCATGGTAGAAGGTGAGGCAGCATGCTGTTAATTTTTCTATAAATGTCTTATGGTGAAATATATAACAATAATTGGTAGGAATGGTGTTTATTGTGATTAATGATATAATCATATATGCTGTTTTACTATCCAACAAATCATGTGGCAATTTACATTTATTTTAAACCATTTTATTTCAGTCAGCCAAGTTTACTTGCTGTATTAGTTCATTTTCAGCTGCAGATAAAGACATACCCAAGACTGGGCAATTTACAAAAGAAATAGGTTTCTTGAACTTACAATTCCACGTGGCTGGGGAGACCTCACAATCATGGGGAGAGGCAAGAAGGAGGAAGTCACATCTTATGTGGATGGCAGCAGGCAAAGAGAGCTTGTGCAGAGAAACTCCCCTTTTTAAAACCATCAGATCTCATGAGACTTATTCACTATCAGGAGAACAGCAAGGGAAAAACTCACTCCCATGATTCAATTACCTTCCACTTGATCCCTCCCATGACACGTAGGAATTGTGGGAGTTACAGTTTAAGATGAGATTTAGGTGGGGATGCAGCCAAACCATATCACTTGCTTTTTCAAGGAAAGACAGAATAAAATTCTTAGATATCACTGGAGTCAAAATAATGGCATAAAACCTGTGGGTATTTATGTCTTACATTACTAGAGATATTCTATGTAGGACTTCAGAAAGCAGGTTTTTGTCAGTTTTTTTTGTACAACCCTTTCTGATTATGTATTTTTGCTTCTCTTCATAAAATGTAATTAAAAGAATTTTTTTAATTTTAAAGAAATTACCTTCAGTATATCTGTATGTTTTTCTACATGTTTTTATTAAACTATCTATTACATGCTGAATAATACCCTTGAATAAATCAGTATTAAAGGAGTCAGGAATATGAACCTAATTTTTTCTAAACATGCAAAAGCAAAGACTGTTTGTTTCTCTAGGTTTATAAGTCAAAGATTAGGCAGTTTCACTGTTTAATTTGGCAAGTTGAACATCTGGCTTTAGGAAACTTCAATATATCTACTGAAGAAAATTAGTCAAGGATGCTAGGATTACTATTTCATCTAGTTACTATAATAGCATCTTGCTGCCTTCAAAAAATGCATTACTGTGTCCTCAGGAATACATATCTGGACAGATGTGGGCAGAATGTCTCATTGCGGAAGCTATAGACCTAATTGAGCTGAAGGATTTCCAACTTTCATTTACCCTTGTTCACATATGAAAAGAAGTTATGTTCCCCCAAATAACTGATATTTGAGGATTTTATTATCTTCATTTGGGAAGAACATAACATTATTTTCCCTCCACAATGTAGTTTAAAGTAAACAGCAAAAGCCATTTGAATGAAAACATCACAGAGCTCTTCTATATTTTTGGTTTTAGTGGACAGATTCAATTTTATATTATGATCTTCCTTGCCTTTCAGAACCACATTATTCCCAAGTATTAGTGGTTGAAAAGAATCCAGCTTTCTTGCTTCATTTTTGATAGTTTCCCAAATGTAATCTCAGAAATGTTTTCACTTTATAGATGACAAAATAGAAATCTAAACTGATTCATTGATTCATTCAACAAATACTTATTTAGTGCTTAATGTTTGCCAAGTACTGCCACTAGGTCTATAGCAGTGAGAATAAAACATCCATCTGTTTACCTGGAATTTTCATTCTAAGGTTTGGTGAAGGCATCTCTAGTAAACAGTTAAATAAATATATATGAGGTATAATTTTAGATAGATATCAATGCCTTGAAAAAAATACGATGGCAATGGTGGAAGAATAAGTGGAATTAAGAAGGAATAGGCAGCCGGGCGCGGTGGCTCATGCCTATAATCCCAGCACTTTGGGAGGCCGAGGCGGACAGATCACAAGGTCAAGAGATTGAGACCATCCTGGCCAACATGGTGAAACCCTATCTCTACTAAAAATACAAAAATTATCCAGACATGGTGGCATGCGCCTGTAGTCCCAGCTACTCTGGAGGCTGAGGCAGGAGAATCGCTTGAACCTGGGAGACAGAGGTTTCAGTGAGCCGAGATTGCACCATTGCACTCCAGCCTGGCGACAGAGCAAGACTCCGTCTCAACAACAACAGCAACAACAAAAGAAGAAGAAGAAGAAATAGACAAGAAAGACCACCTTGAAGAGGGGATGTTTGAGCTCCAATCAGAAAGACCAATGGAAATCAGTAAATAGAGGAAAAGCTTGAGAATTTACGAACAGACTGGATTTGCCATTAAAGAGATAGAGGATACAGCAAAATATAAAACAAAATAAAACAAGCAATAACATAAAATAAAAAAGCAAAGATGTAAACAGGCATAAGTAGTGGTTTTTGCCTACATTTTTCTACTATCCATCTCAATACATCCTTGTTGCAAGAGCTTAAAAAGATGAATGGAAAAGGCCCTACTTTTAGCCCTCCATACCTCTACTTTTTCCCCAAATTAACTGCTCCTAATAGAATTTTTTAAGCATTTGTCAAAAAATTTTCTGCAGATGTGTACACACAAACACATACACATATTTCTAAATGTTTTCAACAAACTGGATCAAATTCTATATTTTGTTCCAGAATTTTCCTGTTTCTGCTAAAGTGCCCTTAAGGCTTAGCAACTAATGTATATCAGGAGATCTTAGACTATATTAGTCCTCTTAATAATTACATAATATTCTACAGTCTGAGTATATTATTAAACTTAAATATTCTTCTATTGATTAGCATTCAAATGGTTTCCCATGTTAACTATTTAAAGTGATGCTGCAGTTGATATTCCTGAATGTATATCTTTATTCCCATTTGCAAGCATTCCTTAAGAATAGAATAAAAGACATAGGATTTTTGAATTAAAATATGAGTAAAATTTTGATTTGGGTATAGATATTGTCAGTTTTCTATCAGTAAAAACCCACAATTTTAATTTTTAACTATCTTGGGGAAAAAATGCCAGTCTCTCCACAGCCTTTCCATGGCTGTTATCAATTATATATGTTTGACCCAATCGAAAGCTAACACATAGTAAATCGTTGTTTTTATTAGCATTTTCCTAGTACAGTTGAGCCTCTTTTTGTGCATTGATGATTTTTTATATATATTGTCCTCTGTTAATTATGCATTTGTTTTATTTTTTATTTGTTCATTGGAAAGTAAGGTTTTTATGTATTTACTTATAAAAAAATTAACACTATATGGCACTTTATATCAGTCTGCTATTAACAAGAATATACAGTTTACATGTACAAGTATCTAAACTTAAACATTTACTGATTTTTCTTGCTCACAATTATCTCTTATGCTTTTATCTTTCCTCTTTTTTTGTGGAATCATAATGTATCTTTTGAAAATGTACCTCAAGTAATTCTTCCAGAAATGTGTCCGTGGTCATAAAACTTCTGAGTCTTTACATATGTGAATATATAATTTTGCTCTCCCTTTTGAATGGTGTTATTGCCTAGTATAGAATTCTATGCTTAAAAGCATTTTTCCATAGAACTTAGCAAATATTTTTTCCACTGTTTTCCAGTATTTGATGTTATTTTGTTGTTCATTCTTTTGTAGATAACTTGGGTTCTTTTTCTTTCTGGATATGTTTTGGGTGCCTTTATTGTTGGCATAATGAAATTTAATCACAATGTATATAACTAGATGTTTAGAAACCAGTTTAGAAGTAGATATTTTTATGTAAGTCTGTGGTCATTTTGTGGGCTCTTATGGAATGAATACTCATGTGTTTCTTCAGTTATCCGAAGTCTTTTATTAAGTATTTGATCTTTCTTTACCCAATTTTTTATACTATCTTTTTTAACAAGTTCTGTAAGATCCTGGAGGATACACTCTCTCAAAATTACCTTTGAACTTTATTCTCATATCTTACACGGTTTTGATTTTTTTGTGTTTAATTCTTGGTCTTGACTTGATTATTTAGCAGACAAATTTGTCGTTTAAAATAGTTTCATGTTATTCATTCCTGATTTTTTAAAATTTTTATTTCAAATGTAAGGGGTACATGTGCAGGTTTATTATCTAGGTATATTGTGTGATGCTGAGGTTTGGGGTACAAATAATCCCATCACCAGGGTACTGAGCATAGTACCCAATAGGTAGTTTCCAATCTTTGTACTTCCCTTTCTACTCTAGTAATCCCCAGTTTCTATTATTGCCATCTTTATGTCCATGAGTATCCAATATTAGCTCCCACTTACAAGTGAAAATATTCAGAATTTTGGTTTTATTTTCCTGCGTTAATTCACTTAAAGTGATGGCCTCTAGGTGCATCCATGTTGCTGCAAAGGATATTATTTCATACATTTTTATGGCTGTATAGTATTCCATGATGTATATGTACCACATTTTCTTTATTCCATACACCATTGATGAGCACCTAGGTTGGATTCCAATATTCACAATATTGCTATTGTAAATACTGCTGCAATAAACATATGAGTGCATTTGTCTTTTTGGTAGAACAATTTATTTTCTTTTGAACATATACCCAGTATTGAGATAGCTAGGTTAAATGGTAGTTCTGTTTTAAGGTCTTTGAGAAACCTCCATAGTGCTTTCCACAGTGACTGAACTAATTTACATTCCCACCAACAGCACATAAGCATTCCCTTTTCTCTGTAGCCTTGCCAGCTGTTGTTTTTTGACTTTTTAGTAATAGCCATGCTTGCTGGTATGAGATGGTATATCATTTGCATTTCTCTGGTAAGTAATGTAGAACGTTTTTTCATGTTTTTTGAGGGTTTTTATATCTTCATTTCAAAAGTGTCTGCTTATGTCTTTTGCCCATTTTAATGTTTTTTTTTTCTGCTTATTCAATTGTTTCAGTTTCTTATAAATTTGAGATATCAGACCTCTGTTGGAAGTGTAGTTTGCAAATATTTTCTCCTATTCTGTAGGTTATCTGTTGACCCTGTTGATAGTGTCTTTTACTGTACAGAAGTGCATTAGTTTAATTAGGTCTCACTTGTCAATTTTTGTTTTTGTTGTAATTGCTTGTGAGCATTTAGTCATAAAAGATTTCCCAATGCCAATGTCTAGAATAGTGTTACCTAGGTTTTTTTCTAAGATTTTTATATTTGGGTCTTATATTTAAACTTTTAATGCATCTTGAGTAAATTTTTGTATATGATGAAAGGTAATGGTCCAGTTTCATTCTTCTGCACATGACTAGCCAGTTAGCCCTGAAGCATTTATTGAATACAGAGTCCTTTCCTTGTTGCTTATTTTTGTTGAATTTGTCAAAGATTAGGTGGCTGTTGGTGGGCAGCTTTATTTCTTGTTTCTCTATTGTATTTCCTTAGTCTATGTGTCTATTTTTGTACCTTACCATGCAGTTTTGGTAACTGTAGCCTTATAGTATAGTTTGAAGTTAGGTAATATAATGCCTCTGGCTTTGTTCTTTTGTTTAGGATTGCTATGTCTACTTGGGCTCCTTTTTGGTTCCATCTGAATGTTTAAATAGATTTTTTTTCTATTAATAGTTCTGTGGAATTGATGTTGGTGTTGTGAGAGGAATAGGCTTGGATCTGTAGATTACTATCAGCTGTATGGCAATTTAACAACATTGATTCTTCTAATCTGTGAACACACAATGTTTTTCTACTTGTTTGTATTATCTATGATTTCTTTTAGCAGTGTTTTTTAGTTCTCCATGTAGAAATCATTCAGTTATTTGATTAGGTGTATTCCTAGGTATTAGAGTAGGAAGGGGAGAAGGAACAGAATAGAGGATGCTCTATGGCAACAAGGTTTATTGAGCAAAGACTTGCAGAAGGGGACACCAGCTAGCACCAGAGCTTGCCCCTGCTTACCAACGGGATAGTTATAGGCATGGGCAGGAGAGTCCTGGGATTGTTACACAAAGGGATGGGGCAGTGTGGTTATCTGCTGATAAGTGAGGAATTTTCTGTGGACAGGCAGCTAGGCCTGGGACTTCTCCAACAGGACGTTTCTCATGGCCCGAGCCCTAGTGGAATTGTTTACTCTGACCAGGGTTTGCAAAATGATGAGAATTTACAAAATAGTGCAGCTTAGGGTAACACTAGTTATGTTTTTGTTTGTGTGGCTATTGTGAATGGGATTGCATTCTTGATTTGGTTCTCAGCTTGGACATCATTGGTGTATAGAAATGTTACTAATTTGTGTACAATGATTTGGATGATTTGGTATCTTGAAACTTTACTGAAGTTTTTTTTTTTAAATAAGTTCCAGGAGCCTGTTGGCAGGAAGTTTAGGGTTTTCTAGGTTTAGAATCATATCATCTGTGAAGAGAAATAGTTTGATGTCTTCTTTTCCTATTTGGATGCCTTTCATTTCTTTCTCTTGACTGATTGTTCTCACTAGCACTTCCAGTACTATGTTGAATAGTAGTGGTGAGAGTGGGCATCTTTGTCTAGTTCCAGTGTTCAAAGGGGAATGCTTCCAGTTTTTGCATGATATGGTTTGCCTCTGTCACCATTGAAATCTCATCTTGAAATGTAGTTTCCATAATCCCCACATGTCATGGGAGGGACCTGGTGGGAGGTAATTGAATAATGGGGGCTGTTACCTCCATGCTGTTTTCACTATAGTGAGTGAATTCTCATGAGATCTGATGGTTTTATAAAGAGCTTTTCCCCCACTTCACTCTGCATTTCTCCTGGCTATTGCCATGTGAAGAAGGATGTGTTTGCTTTCTCTTCTGCCATGGTTGTAAGTTTCCTGAGGCCTCCCCAGTCATGCAGAACCGTAAGTCAATTAAACCTTTTTCCTTTATAAATTACTCAGTCTCTGGTATTCCCTCATAGTGGTGTAAGAATGGAATAATACAGTAAATTGGTACCAGTACAGTGGGGTGCTGCTGTAAAGATACCCAAAAATGTGGAAGTGACTTTAGAAATGACTAACAGACAGAGGTTGGGACAGTTTGGAGGGCTAAGAAGATGATAGAAAAATGTGGCAAAGTTTGGAACTTCCTAGAGACTTGTTGAATGGCTTTGACCAAAATGCTGAATAGTGATATGAACAGTAAAGTCCAGGCTGAGGTGGCCTCAGATGAAGATAAGAAACTTCTTGGGAGCTGGAGTAACGGTCACTCTTGCTATGCAAAGAGGCTGGCGGCCTTTTGCTCCTGCCCGAGATCTGAGGATCTTTGAACTTCAAAGAAATGATTTTGAGTATCTGGCAGAAGACATTTCTAAGCGCCAAAGCTTTCAAGTGGAAGTAGAGAATAAAAATTTAGAAAATTTGCAGCCTGACAATGCAATAGAAAATAAAAACCAATTTTCTGGGGTAAAACTCATGTCATCTCCAGAAATTCACATAAGTAATGTGGAGTGGAATGTTAATCACCAAGACAATGGGGAAAATGTCTACAGGGCCTGCCAAGGACTTTCATGGCAGCCCCAACCATCTTAGGCTCGGAGGCCTAAAAGGAAAAAAATGGTTTCCTGGGCCAGGCCCAGGGCCATCCTGCTGTGTGCAGCCTAGGGACTTGGTGTCCTACACCCTAGCTGCTCCAGCCATGGCTAAAAGGGGCCAAGCTACAGATCACGCTGTTGCTTCAGAGAGTGTAAGCCACAAGGCTTGGTGGCATACACATGGCATTGAGCCTATGGGTGCACAGAAGTCAAGAATTAAGGTTCGGGAATCTCTGCCTAGATTTCTGATGTGTGAAAAGCCTGGATGTTCAGACAGAAACTTGCTGCAGGGGTGGAGCCTTCATTGAGATCCTCTGCTAGGGCAGTGTGGAAGGGAAATGTGAAGTTGAAACCTCCACTCAGGGTCCCCACTGGGGTACTGCCTAGTGAAGCTGTGAGAAGAGGGCCAACATTCTCCAGACCCCAGAATGGTAGATCCACCAACAGATTATAACTTTTCCAGGCACACAACACCAGCCTGTGAAGGCAGCCAGTAGCGGGGCTGTACCCTGCAAAGCCACAGGGGCAGAGATGCTAAAGGCTGTGGGGGCCCACCTCTTGCATCAGCATTACCTGGATATGAGACATGCAGTCAAAGGACATCATTTTGGAACTTTAAGGTTTAATGGCTGTCTTACTGAATTTTGAACTTCCATAAGCCTGTAGTCCCTTTGCTTTGGCCAATTTCTCCCATTTAGAATGGATGTATTTACCCAATGCCTGTACTCCTATTGTCTCTAGGAAGTAATTTACACTTGCTTTTGACTTTATAGGCTCATAAGTGGAAGGGACTTGCCTTGTCTCAGATGAGACTTTGGACTTGGATTTCTGAGTTAATGTTGGAATTAGTTAATACTTTGGGGGACTGTTGGAAAGGTATGACTATGTTTTAAAATGTGAAGACATGAGATTCGGGAGATGCAAGGGCTAAAATGATATGGTTTGGCTGAGTCCCCACCCAAATCTCATCTTTAATTGTTGTTTCCATAATTCTCTCTATTTTCATTACACTGTGGTCTGAAGAGTATGGTTGCTATGATTTTGATTTTTTTCAATTTATTGAGACTTGGTTTATGACCATGCATTTTCTTGATCTTGAAGTATGTCTATGTGCAGACAAAAAGAATGTATACTCTGCACTCTGTAGTTGATGGGTGAGATGTTCTCTAGATGTTCAATTGGTCAAGTGTTGAAATTAAATCAGAATTTCTTTGTTAGTTTTCTGCCTTTATGATTTGTCTAATGCTGTTAATAGTATGTAGAAGTCCCCCATTATTATTTTGGGTCTTGTTTTTTTTTTTATGCAACTTGCCACTCTGTGTCTTTTAAGTGCAGCAGTTAGACCATTTACATTCAAGTTCAATACTGATATGTGAGCTTTTGATCCTGTCATGAAGTTGTTAGCTGGTTGCTTTGTAGTTTCTATTGTGTGGCTGATGTATGGGGTCTGGTAGGCTAGGTACTTAAGTGAGTTAAGGCAGGAGAATTGCTGGAACCCAGGAGGCAGAGACTACAGTGAGCCGAGATTGTGCCACTGCACTCCAGCCTGGGTGACAAAGTGAGACTTCATCTCAAAAAAAAAAAAAAAAAAAAGAAATGTCTTTGTATTAATTTTTAATCTTTTCTGGATCTCATTGAACTTTCTTACAATTCATGCTTTGCAGTTTTTAATATTTTTTCTGTCATTTCTGAGTTTCCATTTTGACTAGTGACCACTGCTGGAGAGATAGCATGAACCTTTGATAGTTTCACCACATTTGGACTTTTTATGGTACCTGAATTCTTGCACTGGTTTCTTTGCATCTGGAAATGCTGGCATTTTTAATTATTGCAATTGATTCATGGAGGTGAATTTTTCTTTTTCCTTCTTTTGCTATAATATTATTGTGCTTTTTCATTTCTTTTCTCTTTCCTGTTTTCCCTAGGGTATGCAACTGTAACATATGCTGGGTAGGGTCTTTTGGCTTTGATTCTGTAGCCATATGCCCTCCTGTTGGCAGGTTTTATATCAGGCTGTACAGTAAGATCTACCAGCCAGTGGATGGCAGTTATCATTAAGAGCTGGCTGCAACCCACGAGGCTGGGTATATACTTTATTCTTGTTCACTGAAAGCTCTCTGTTGCCTCAGTCAGTCGGCTGATTTGTGGAATGCTCCCTCCTCAGCCCCAGGGAAGCTGGGGCCATCCTGGCAAGAGCTAGATCAAGCAAGTCCATCTACAGGTCCTCCATTGGCAGACACAAACTCCAGTAGCTAAGAAGAATCCAGTGGGTGGCCATCAATTGCCCAGACCATTGCCTGGGCATGGAGCTGAGAAACCTCTCTAGCCCCAGGTTCTCTCCAGGGATAGGAGAGCAGCCTAAACTCCTTATCCAGGAGAGCACGCGCTCCAGATGCCTGGAGATCTACCTGGATGTGGAGCAATAAGGGTTCCCTGCTCCACACACACACACAGGAGGGGTGGAGTTACTCAGACTGCTGACCCAGGTCAGCTGGTGCTATGAATCCCTGGTGATCTGCCTGGGCATGAAGCAGAGAAGGCCTTCCTGCACCAGAATCTCTGCACAAGAACTGTGTGGCATATCAGGCTCCTGATTCAGGTGATTGGATGCTCCAAATGCCTGGAAATCTGCCTGGGGGTGGAGTAGAGAGGGCCCTGCTGTAGCAGGATCTCAGCAGTAAGGCTAGGGCATACTGTACTGGCACACATAGATGGGTTATAGGTCACCAAGCTGGCCCTGGCTGCAAGTCTTCCAGCCCAGGAGAAACTGCATCTGTAGCAGCTCTCCTCCCTGCCCTACACTTGCAACAGGGGAAAGCACAATTGCAGCATCTATCTCTGAGGTGCTTTCCAGAGTTCCCACTGTGGAGGCCTCTACTCCACTCCAGAGCAGGTGCTCCAGTATTTGACCCAAGACTGAAATGCCTGAGCAGCCACAGTGCCGGGTCACCAAAGAGGGGCTGACTTTGCATGTGCCCAAATTAAAAATGGCACCCTGCTCTTAGTCCCGGATCAGGGAAAATGTCTGCAAATTTTTCCCATGTCTTTCCCTCATAGCATCTTCAAGCCTCTTACAATATTAGCTCTAGGTCTTGGGAGAAACAAAGTGCTCTCCCTTGGTGTATGTTGCTTGGATCCACAGTGGAAAGGTGAGTCATAGAGTTGGTGGAGGGGGGTCTCCTCTCTCAGGTACTGGGGCTTCACTCAATTTTATCAGCTAGACAATGTCACAGGGGCTGTTTGCTGCATCCTCCTCCCTGGGGTTGGCATATACTTCCTAATTCCAGTGGATTCCTATTTTTCTTTTTGAATTCAATTTCACAGAGTTGATTTTTATGCACTGTCTTGCTATTTCCAAGTGGCTGAAGCATGCTGAAAACCTCTAAACCACCATTTTGGAGTAAAAAATGCTAGATTTATTCTTTTCATTATACTTGTTTGTTGTCCTCAAATTTTTGATAATTATACATTTTGTAATTTTTTTGGTCATAAATCCTATTTACCTCCATATTTTCTCTGTGACTTACAAAAGCTTATGACTTACAAAGAACTTATGGTGATTTTAGAGGGAAAGGTAAATATTGTGTTGGTAGCTTTTCATCTAGATGTCAAAAATTATACTCCCTTCTCAAGGTCAGTAGATAGACTTCATCTCCAATGTCAACACCCATTCTATTTTAGCTTGGTGACAAACAGCACTCCTTAACACAATTGGTGGTTGTGGAAAAGGAAGGAGAATAGGCTTAGCTGTTGCATCTTAATATGTTAAAGTACGTAATCATTTTGATGAGTTAATTAGTGGAATATGGACCTTAAACTCCCGTGAATTATATCTTTTTTTGTTTGTTTGTTTGTTTGTTTTTGAGATGGAGTTTCTCTCTGTCACCCAGGCTGGAGTGCAGTGGCACAATCTCGGCTCACTGCAACCTCTGTCTCCCGGTGTCAACCATATTTTTAGTCATTCAATCACAGCTGTTACTTTCTTTGGCTTATTTTATTCATACATCTGATCCTGTTTGATTTCTGTTGTTCAAAGACTCCTTAATATTTCTGATCCATTGATGTAATTATTCCTACTTCTTCTAGAATTTTATAGTTTTTTTACTGGCATCCCACTGAAGTTCAGAAATGAGAGCATATAGACATAAAAGCTCACTTTATTATAGGATCCATTTTTCCACAAAGGATCATTTTACTGAATAAAAGCATACACACAGAAATATATGTCATAGGTAAACATCATAATAAATATTCATAACATGAAACTGCTAGATCAGCAACACCTTGATTAAAAGTGGAACATTACCAGTATTTCAGAAGTCTCCCTGTGCCTTTTCTCATTGATTATCCTTCTCAATGTAAATAGTCTCCTGACTTATAATATGACAGAAAAGCTCTGATAGATGTGAGTTTTGTGTAAATGAAATCATCTACTATAAAATATTCTATTTTCTTGGCTTCTTTTGCTCAACACTATGCTGTGAGATTATGTTATTCATTGTATCAATAGTTAATTCTCATTGCAAAATATACATTCATTCATAAAAATATATAATACATAAACATATTGCATGTTGAAGTCCAATACTTTATCCATTTTTTTAATGGCCATTTGGATTTATGCTCTTTGGGCTTGTATCATTAGTACAACCATGCATATCCTTGTACATGTCTTCATTGAGAATGTACATTTATTTCTCTTAGTTATATATGTAAGAGTGAATTTGCTTCTATGTAATCTTATGTTCAGCTTTAGTAAATACTCCCAGTCTTCTAAAATATCTACCACACGTTAAATCACTCCCTCAATATATGAAGTTGCAAATATTCTATATCCTTGCTACTGCCTAGTATTTTCTATCTTATTTTAAAATTTTAGCCATTATTTTCTGATGAAGTAGAGGCATTGAATCATTTTTAGATTTTTATATATAATGCGATTTGTCTTCAATAAATATGATGTCACCACCAGTAGGATTTACCTTATACTCAATACAAAATGGTAACCCTATCATTGTTTTCATTTGTTTTTCTTGATAATTAATATAGGTGAACATTTTTGTGTTTGTGCTCTTTAGATATTGTCTTTTTTTAAAGTATCACATGCAATTTTTTATACATTTAATCTTTTTATTTTAAATTATTATGAATATATAGTTGTGCATATTTATGGAGCACATGTGCTCCATAAAATAAAAAAAAATAAGATGAATAAATAAAAAACAAAGTATTATTTGGTTAATGATTATTTATTGTATATATAAATATTATTCCAATAAGTCCTTTTATTGAAATTTTATTTATTGTGCCATAGTGGTTAGCAAATATTTTGCAAAAAATTCAATTCAGGAAAAATATGTACTGTTGTTATGAAAACTCACCATGTAAAAAATTATACTTCTTCCATTACTGAAATAAATATTCATGAGCACATTTAAGTATTATTTTCTCTGATTAAAGATGGGTTTTATTTTGTGCTACAACTGGAGAAACTACATAACTTGCACTAACTACAGTGGCATATAATTCCAATGACAGCCCTTAGACAAGTTTTCTGAGCAGTATTTCTTTGAAGCTTCCCATTCAGGGACACTTGTCAGTCTTTAATTGACCAATATTATGAACCAGTAAATTGTTAAATATGGTTTGTCTCATACAGCGTCTAGAATTTAACATAATGAACTTTTTTCATGTCAAATGAATTAAACTAATGCACACTATGCAGAGAAATAATCCTCAGCTTATTTAAAATAAAACATAAATATTTTATTGCTTTTTTTAAATGTAGCTTAAATTTTGCTTTGAAAATTGTTACTTCAACTGATGAGAAAAATGAATCTCCAATGTGATAATTTATGAGTCATCTTTTCAATCAAGTTTCTGGGTTACTTGGATATTCCAATGGGAAAAGAATGACTCACGACATTCTGTAAATAAAAATCATTCTGTAAGTAAAAGTCATTCTATAAACAAAAATCAATTGTGAATGGACCATAATATTAAGTATAAAAAGTTAAGCGCACACACACACACACACACACATATCACATATATGACATACAGAGTAATATTCTGGGGAAAAAACTGGAAAGCATCTTTATGATCTACTATACAATAGTACTACCCATTAAAAATACTTGATAAATAATACTGCATGAAAATTCAGACCCCTGTCTATTAAAAACACATTAAACACTATAAAAGCAAATGATAAGGTGGGTAGAAAAATTAACATCATGTATAAAGTAAAATATCCAGAATATAGTAATAACTCCTTCAACTTAAGTTTTAAAATATACAAGTCAATACAAAAGAAGGCAAAAGTGAGGAGAGAGGATAAAAAGGGTAGATAACAGGCACAAACATACAATTTGAGAGAGAGAATAAGATGTAGTGTTCAGTAGCACAACGGGACAACTCTACTTAAAAATAATGTATATTTCAAAATAATTAAGAGTGGAAGCAATCCTGAGAAAAATGAACAAAGCTAGAGGTATCACATTACCTGACTTTAAATTATACTACAAGACTATAGTAACCAAAACAGCATGGTACTGGTATAAAAACAGACACATAGATCAATGGATCAGAATAAAGAACTCAGAAATAAAGCCACATGGTTACAGTCAACCTATATTTGTCAAAGCTGACAAAACACACACTGGGGAAAGGACACCCTATTCAATAAATCGACATGAAAAAATTGGATTGCCATATGCAGAAGAATGAAGCTGGACCTATATTTCTCACCATATACAAGAATAAACTCAAGGTGGGTTAACAAGACATGAAACTGTATACTAGAAGAATATCTAAGAAAAACTCCTCTGGGCATTGGCCTAGGCAAAGAATTCATGACTAAGACTTCAAAAGCACAAATAACAAAAACAAAAATAGACAAACAAAATTTAATTAAACTGGAAAGATCTTGCACAAAGGAACTATCAGAAGAATGAACAGACAGCTTTTAGAATGGAAAAAAATAACTGCAAACTATGCATGCCACAAGGGACTAATATCCAGATTCTACAAGAAACTCACACAATTCAACAACAAAAATACAAGACCATTAAAAACTGGGCAAAGGATTTGAACAGACATTTTTCAAAAGAAGACATACAAATGGCCAATAAAAATATGAAAAAATATTCAACCTCACTAATCAGAAAAATGAAAATAAAACAACGAGATACCATCTTACACAGTCAGAATGGCTATTATTATAAAGTTAAAAAAACATGTTGGCAAGGTAAGGAGAAAAGGGAATGCACATAGTTTGTTGGTGGGAATGTAAATTAGTGAAATATCAATAGAAAACAGCATGGAGATTTCTCGAAGAACTAAAAATAAAGCTACCATTCAATCCAGCAATTCCACAACTGAATATCTACCCAAAATAAAGGAAATCATTACATAAAATGGATACCTGCATTCATATGTTTATAGCAGCACTATTCACAATAGCAAAGATATAAAATCAAACTAAGTGCTTATCAAAGGATGACTGCATAAAGAAAATGTGATATATGTCTGTAGATAGATACAGATACATATATCTATATCTAGATATTGATATATGTATATCTGTATCTAGATAGACATATCTATATATATATCACATATATATATCTAGATTTAGATATATATATCTCTATCTCCCATTTTCTTCATGTAGTCATCCATATACATATAGCTAGGATATATGTACTAATTTATATATATATGTATCTCTGTATCTATCACATTATTTTTATGGCTGAGTAATATTCCATTGTGGTGTAATACAGCCATTAAAAGGAATGTCGTAAAAAAAAATGAAATCTGGTCTTCTGCAGTAACATGCATGGAATTCGAGGCACACTCTTAAGCGAAGTAACACAGAAAATTACAGACTGGAGGTCATTAACTTAAGTGAAGTAGCTCAGAAAATCAAAGTTAAATACCACATGTTCTTACTTGTAAGTTGGAACTGAATAATGTACACATAGACATAGAGTGATACAGTGTAGAATAATAGGCATTGGATACTTGGAGACTTGGAGGCAGCCAGGAAAGGGAGGGTAAGGGAGGAGAAATTACTTAACAGGTACAATGTACAATGTTTGGTTAGGGTTACACTAAAACCACACACTTCACCACTATGCAATATATCCATGAACAAAACTGCACTTATACACCTAAATTTATATGAATCATTTTTTTAAAGCATGTAATTGGAATGTTCATAACGTAAAGAAATGATAAATGCTTGAGGTGACAGATACTCCAATTTTACTGATTTGATCATTACACATTGTAAGCTTGTATCCAAATATCACATGCGCTCCATAAATATGCACAACTACGTATTCATAATTTCAAATAAAAAGATTAAATGTAAAAAATTGTACGTGATATTTTAGAAAAGGCAATATCCAAAGACAACAAACACAAAAATGTTCACCTATACTAATTATTAAGAAAGCAAATTAAACCCAGGAAGACACAGGGATAGACTTTAATTCTCATCTAGAATTCCCTCCTTCTAAACATTCTGTTCATGTTGTATGTACTCGATGGTATCTTCTCCCATGGTATCATGACATGGGATTTTACTTTCTCACAAGACACATTAATAACTACACATAGTTTTTGGCTGTGCATGTGTAGATGCCCAATTGTATTCCTCACTATGAATTTGTTTCTCTATCATATATTTCAAAATATACAACTTCCTGATTTTGTCACTTATGGGACTGGCTGGGAGATGTTAGTGCTGACTCTTTGTCTAGTTGACTCTGTGTCTGTATTACTGCAGTTATGATTAACAATCTACAATAACAGGCATAGGAAATACCTTGGAGAAAAAATCCTTTCCTCCTGAGGCCCTAAACAATAACCAAGAACACTTAGGAATTTCCTGTAGCTTATGTGGCATTATTGAATATGTTTTTCAATATTGTGTTGATACTATAGGCATCTAGTAGAATTTCACATTTTAAATGGAGTAAAATTTAATTGTTTCTGCTTTGGTCTATAAATTAGTACCAAGTCAACTGGTGAAATATGCCTCAACATTCTTTAATTCAACAAATATGATCGAGTATCTAGGTTTATATAGCCCTTAATATAAACAAGAATTATCTTGATATCATTATTGAATAGAATTTTGCTATCAATATTTCTCTTATATCTGAAATGAATTATGTAGTTGAATGAATCTGAACTTTGAAATCAGACAGACATGACTGTCATTCTCAGCTTCATCCAAAAGCTGAGTGACTTTGACTATGTAATAACCACTCAATCTTTCTGGTCTTTATTACCCTTAAAACCATTTGACATTCATACCCTTCGATTTTAAGTGAATGTTAAGTGAGATCATGTATACAGTAATTAGCAGAGTGTCTAGTGTATAAAATGGGAGTGAACGTACTAGATCTTTTTAAAAAACTTTTTTATTCTGAAGTAAATATTTTAGTGTTAGAATGTTGAAAGGATCCAGTGAGGTTTGAGGATTAAGCAAATATTCCTGATTTCCTCTTCTCACTCTCAGTTAAGACAAATAATATAGAAGGGTCTCCCAAGGAGGTACAAGTTGTGACAAAGTATGGATGATGTTATATCAGGTTCACTAGAAATTCATATCATGAAAGTTAACTGATTGCCCCTTTTGCTAGATACAGAAAATCCTCATGAAGACCAGCTAGATGAGAGCTGCAGGTGTCCGTAGTCTTTATACAGGTAGTAATTATTCCTCTAAAAATAATTTAGAACTTCTCTGAGACAAAAATCACAAATCAAACACATTTTAAGCTATCAATAAATGAGAAATAAAGAAAGAATGTTAAAAGATTAATAGTGTAAAAGCTTAATCTAATTTTTTTCTTACATTCAAAGTACTAAAGAGATAAAGGAAGAAATCACATCTAGGATCAGGTTTTGTACTTTGTTAATATAATGTGTTGCACTAAGAGATGTACTAATATTAAACTATCTTCCTTTATCCAATTTATGTGCTATTATTTATTTTAACATACTCTTGGATTTTAATCGTGCATAACATTGTTGTGTTCATATTTATTAGCAAAATTAACCTATACTTTTCTTTTTTGGAGTTGTCTTTGTTCACTTAAGTTTTCAAGTATTGTAACAGGAAGGTTGCTAGATACAAGAGCAGTATCTAAAATAAATAGCATTTATCTCAACCAGAAATCAATTCTTCATTCTTAATATATTAGGACTAAAACTAAGCAAATATATGTAAAATTCTGTAGAGCGAATTATCAAACTGCATTTTTTTAAAAAGAGGTATAGAAGAGGACATAATAGAGAACCATGCCAACTTCACGTTTGGGATTGTTCAATATTACAGGGATGTATTATATAATTTCTCTGTAAATTAATCTACAGGTTTTAGGAATGTTCATTTAAAATGCCTAAAATTGTTGGAGAGTGCTATTCAAAATGATTATAAAAATATGTGTGGAAGAGTAAAGCTAAGGCCATATTGAAAAAATAAAATAAAAAAGGGAGTTTTTTTAATCTTGTGATAGCCACATTTACTATAACACTATATTAATTTAAACTATGTGATATGACTATAGAAAAAGGCAATGAAACAGAATAGAGAAACCAAAAATGAAACCATAAGTAATGTGTTTGTAAGATAGAACAAGTTTTCTTGAAGAAGAAAAACATCGACACAAAGGAAAAGAGGTAAATTAGACTAAATAAAAACAAAGCTTGTCTTCAACAAAAGACAATATAATTAAAAATGCAAATAAGGAAGGAGTGTTGTATATAATCTCTGAAGGATTAGCATTTCATCACACCAGCAAGAAAGTAGCCTTCCAGCTACTCAGGAGGCTGAGGCAAGAGAATCACTTGAACCCGGAAGACAGAGGTTGCAGTGAGCCAAGACTCTGCCATTGCACTCCAGCCTGGGGGACAAGAGCGAGACACTGTCTCAAAAAAAAAAAGAAAAGAAAAAAGAAAGTGACAAACTCTCTAATAGAAATATAGGCTAACGATATAGACAAGTTGTAGATTTTTTAAATAAACAATGAAAATTTATTTCTGACAGTTTCGGAGGCTGAAAGTCCAAGGTCAGGGGTCTAGCAAGATTGGATATTCATTTGCCTGTTTCCTTCCTGACATGCTGCAGTTAGCAGTTGCTGTGTTTCCTCAGCTAAAGCCCAGTTCCTTCAGAATAGTGGATTTCACATGCCTACAACTCTTCCTTTTTCAATTGAAAGATGGCAATTGGCAATGCTTCTCCATTTTTTATTATTCTCTCTTCATTGAGCTTTCTTCATCCTCTGCATTGAGTGAATTCTGAGTTTCCTGTTGGTATCCTCAATGAAACAACCAATAATGATCATCTTCTAGATACAGAAAATTGTGCCAGGTATATTTTATCTCATTTAATTACTTTAGCAACACTTTGGAGCATGCAGTCATACATCTATTATAGAGGTTACAAAACAAACAAACAATTCAGATCCTATAGCTAAGGATTTGAGTTTTAACCCAGTTTAAATTGTCACTAAATCTTTCCGCTAAACCAAACTGCTTATTAAGTAAAACTGGCGTATATGGATTTGGAATAGATACAGCTAACTCTTGGTAAACAGACACCTTAATGTACATTTTCCCAAAGCATCATAGTCTTTGGTCCTCTACTCCAAGTCTGCTCTGTAGATAAATTTAATGTTTTCTTTGCTTGCAACAATGGGAAAGTTTTTGTCATTCCATTTTATTCTTTCAGAACTTTTAGAAATTATGATCCCACCTCCTTAAACTATATTTTCACCAAGTGCTTTTTAATTTCACTGCTCTCTGACAATATTTTCTACCATGCATCTTTCTTGGCTAATTTCTACTTCTCTTTTGTTCACTTATTCTTCCTCTCTGTCCAGTATATTGTGGTATAAATCTAATCTAACTTGTATGGGAGTGAGGCTTCTCTTGAATGGGAGATCATTCACTTATGACTGATGATGGTGTGTCAGGAAGGATATTCAGGCTGATGTGCTGTGACCTTCCTTTGATTATCCAGGGCTACTTCTATAATAATTCCACCAAGTCATGCCAGAATGTACTGCAGATACAGGCATTTAATCTCCAGCACCATGTCTCTATCCTATGTTGAACAGAAATTCCCCATTTCAGTTAATTGCCTGTAAAGGCCATGGTGGCATTTGATGAGAACATCCATAGTCACTGTCACAGTATAGTACTGCAGATAATGTTTTTTTCTTCCCTTTAAATCCTTCTGGAAACTGAAGAAAGATGAACTTGAACTTACTGGGGCAGTGGCTGAACAAAATATATTTTCTTGAATAGTTTCATATAGAAATATACCATTTTTGTATGATTGCTCAGATTTTACTAGCTATAGATTATGAGGTGAGGTAGCTTTTATATAGTGAAAGAAAACCAATCTTCAAATAAAAAGACCAAGGACTCAAGTTTTGGTTAAGTCATTTGTATACATTTATAAAACTCCTTGAATTGAAGTTTATTCACCTATAAAACTGTTCTGGAAATTATATTCACCCAATATTCAATGAGTATCTACTATTAACCAGACCCAGTGTTAATGCTGATAATAAAGCAAGAAAAGATTTTCAATAAAGGGCCCTGCTTTTAGAGTAAAATAGGCAATAAACAAAAAGTATTTCTAGAACATGTGGTGGAATCACTCCTCTGAAGAAAAATAAAATGAGTTATAGAGTGGATAGTTAGTGCTACGTGGAGTGGTGAGGAATGCGCTCATATAGAGTATTAAGAACCTCTTTGCTGCAGTCACATTTAACAGTATGTTAGTTTCCTACTGGTGCTGTAACAAATTAACACAAAATGTATAGCTTTAGAAAACACAAGTGCATTATTTTCCAGTTTCTCAGATGATCAGAAGTTCCAAAACGGTCAGCAGGTTCTAGGGGAAAATCCGCTTCCTTATCTTTTCTACCTTCTAAAGGCCACCTGCATCCCTTTGCTTGCAGACCCAACCTTCATTTTCCAAAGCCAACAATGGCATCTTGCAGTCTCCCTATCGGTCTGCTTCAGTAGTCACATAGCCTTATGTGACTTTCCTGTCTCCCTCTAATAAGAACCTTGTCATTACCACTGAGCTTACCTTGATAAAAGTGGCAGAGCCACTTTTACCATAGAAATTATATGCAAGTTCTGGGGATTAGTATTGGATATTTCCGTGGGGATGATGGGGGTTATTTATCCTGCCTTAAATGATAACCTAAAAAAATAAGTAAACATACCTAGCAATATCTGGGGAAAAGCATTTCAATCAGACAAAACAATAAAACAGACTTAAAGGTCAGCTCACACTTGAGAACTTGAGCAATAAATAGATACTGGTGCATCTGGAAAAGAACAAGTGAAAAAGAGGTGGGTAAGAGACATGTTTGGTAGGGCAGAGAGGTGGATAGGATGGAAAATAATGTAGGGACTTAGAGAAATTTACTCAGATATATGATATGGTTTTGAACAGAGGAAAGCTGTGTTTCGACATGTTTAACAATGATGTCTTATTTCTTGATGGAAAAATAGAGGGCAAGAGTAGAAATGGGGAGATTAGTTAGAAGGCTGTCGCAATAATCCAGGGAAAAGATGATGGTGGCTTGTATCATTGAGGGATTGTCACAGTGAGGGCGAGATAAAATGTTCACATGCTAAAAATATTTTGAAGATAGAGAACAAAGAGGTGATGATCGATTAGAGATTATAATATAATATAATACTTTACATCATTACTTTACAATGTCAAACTTAAAATTCTGAGCAATGGGAGAGTCATGTGTAATATAATAACTATTGAAGGAAAACTTACATTAATATTTTCAGGACATCTTTTACTTAATTCCTATGAAATAGGTTTACTGAATTCTTACGATTGGCAGAATAGTCTTTAGAACTAAATTTTCTTTTCTGTCAGTGAAGTTGTATGTTTGTCAAGAGTCAGTTTGGGTTTATTCTTACATCTGTGTATATGAGTTTTGTTTAATAAAATGAAATATGAGTGCAAAAGAGAATTATTTTATATATATAATTCAGTGACTTATACAAAAAAGTAACTAAATGAAACTTTTAAAAACGACAATATAAAATACTAAGATACATATTTTAAAGGCTTAGAAATCTATACTTGATTACTTCACAATATTCATTAGATTCCTTTCCCTCTATCAAGAAGGCAAGTGTGCAAATTAAAAAGGATACATTTTGGGTGTGATTTATGCAAGAAGGACAATAGGGAACCCCAAACAGTGGACTCAGACTCAAAGCAAAGATATTAACTCTAGTACAAAAGTTTTGCAAATAAATATGCAATTATATGTTATAAATTAAAATATTTATAGACTTGGTTTTTATCACAGACTCGGTTGATATCCAATCTTGCTAATGTCTAATTTGAGTACTTCCATTCTGCTTTTTCAGTTTATTGAAAAGGAAAGTAATGTTAGTCCAAGAAAGACCTGATAAAAGGTCCAAAATGGCTTTAGCTACATAAAATTTGTATATTTTTATTAAAAATATATACATGCCAGGAAAATTGTTTTTCAAAAAATATCAAAAGTGCTTAGTCCTCTTTATTTAGAAAGATTTACTGAGACATTAGAAAATTCTATCACTCTGTAGTCAAATAGGTAAAGAAACCACAGAGGAAATGCAAATTTATATATATATATATATGAAAATTTCAGCTTCACTGGTAATCAACAAAATGCAAATTAAAACAATAAGATTAAATTTTAACTATGATATCAGCAAAGCCTAGCCAAATTATATTATGGAAATTGATTGCATGTAGATAAAAATAAAACACTGGTAGGGATGCTATGTTTTCTAGCCTTTCCAAAATACTACATAAAATATTCATACCATTTCACATAATGTATCATTTTGTGGAATCTATCTTAAGGGGATATTCATAAACTGACAATAATATTTATGCACTATAATGTTTGTTGCATAATTTTATATAAATAAAAAATGTTGGAAATAATGTGACAGTTCAAAATTAGAATTATTGAATAAATCATATCAAATAAATATGGCTTATTGTCCAGGAATTAAAAATGTAAGATACAAATGATTTTAAGTGAAAAAAGAGAAAATGGAGACAGGGCAGAGCAAGATGACTGAAAAATCCTCCAGTGAGTGCCCACCCACCCCCCACAGGAACACCAAATTGAATAAAAATTCACACAAAAAGCGTCTTCATAAGAACCAAAACTCAGCTTGACTATCAGTTCAGCCACAGTGGGGTAGAGCACCAAGCACGCTCTTGGAGTCCTCAATTCCAGGCTTTGGTTCCTGCATGAAATTTTGTGACCTGCCCTTGGCCAGAAGAGAGTCTACTACCCTTCAGGGAGAGATTCAGGAATGGTAGCATGTACCACAAGCTGACTGAAGAGCCCATGGGCCTTGAGTAAACATTGGTGGTAGCCAACCATTATTTACATTGGGCTAGGGGCTGTAGTGACCATGGGGAGAAACCTCATTGTTTGAATAAATAGGAGATAAGAGTGGGAAGGACTTTGTCTTGTGGCTTTTGTGCCAGTTCTGCTACAGTAGAATAAAGCACCAGGTAGATTCCTAAAGTTCCCAATTCTAGGCCCTGGCTTTTGGATAGTGTCTCTAGACACACTTGGGACCAGAGGAAACTCACCATCCTAAAGGGAAAGACATAAACCTGCCTGGATTTGCCACCTGCTGATTGTAGGCCCCTTGTGCCTTAAGTGAACATAGGTGGTAGCTGGCAGTGTTCACTGTGAGCCTTGGGAGAGACCAAATGATGAGCTGGCTTTAGCTCTGACCCAGAACAACACCAGTGGTGGTGGCCACGGGGGTGCTTGTGTCATCCTTCCCCCACCTCCAGGCAGCTCAGCACAGAGAGAGAGACTTCATTTGTTTGACGGAAAGAAAGGGAAGAGAACAAGACTCTGCCTGATAATCCAGGAAATTCTGGATCTTATCCAAGACCACTTAAGGCAATACGTCTGTGAGTCTGCAAGAGCCACAGCATTACTGGGGTTGGAGTGCCATCTAAAGGTGATACAGTGCCAATGGCCAAAGACTTAGGTCACAACACCTAAGTTCCTTTGAATACATGGAAAGTCTTCCCAAGAAGGATGAGTACAAACAAGCACAGACATTTATAACTACAATAAATACCCAATTCTTCAATACCCAGACACAGAAGAACATCAATAAGTATTAAGACAATCCGGGGAAATACGACCTCTCAAAATGAACTAAATAAGGTATAAGGGACCAATCCTGGAGAAACAGAGATATGTGACTTTTCAGGGAGGTAATTCAAAATAGCTGTTTTGAGGAAGCTCAAAGAAATTTAAGATAACACAAAGAAGAAATTCAGAATTCTATCACACAGTTTTAATAAGGAGATTGAAATAAACAGAATTAAGCAGAAATTCTGGAGCTGAAAATGCTATTGACAAAATGAAGAATGTATCAGAGTCTCTTAGCAGACATGATCGAGTGGAAGAAATAACTAGTGAGTTTGAAGACAGGCTATTTAAATATACAAAGTGAGAGGAGACAAAAAAAGAATTAAAACAATTAAGCACACCTATACAACTAGAGTTGAGTAGTGTTGTGTAATGTTGTATAGTCCTATCAACAACTAGAGTTGTATAGCATTGTATAGTCCTGAAAAAGGGAAATCTAAGTGTTATTGGCCTTTAAGAGGAGCTAGAGATCAGGGTAAAAAAATTATTCAAATGTTATGACAGAGAATTTCCTATACCTAGAGATCGATATCAATATTTAAAGACAAGAAGGTTACAGACCACCAAGCAGATTTAACCCAAGTAAGACCACCTCAAGGAATTTAATAATCACATTCCAAAGATCAAGGATAAAGAAAGGATCCTAAAAGCAGCAAAAGAAAATAAAGGAATAACAGACAAATGAGCTACAATACATCTGGAAGCACACTTCTCAACGGAAACCTTACAGGCCAAGAGAGTGGCATGACATATTTAAAGTCCTGAAGGGGCAAAACCTTTTATCCTAGAATAGTCTATCCAGCAAAAACATGCTTCAAACGTGAAGGTGAGGTATAGATTTTCCCAGATAAACAAAAGCTGAGGGATTTCCTCAACTTCAAATCTGTCCTACAAGAAATGGTATACGGGGTTCTTCAGACTGAAAGAAAAGGACGTTCATATAAAATGAGATATAATATGAAGGTACAAAATTACTGGTAATAGTAAGTACACACAGACAAAAATCCCACAGAATATTATAACATTGTAATTTTGGTGTGTAAATTCTTCATACCTTGAGTAGAAAAACTAGAAGATCAATCTATCAAAAATAATAACTAAAACAACTTTTCAAGATATAGACAGTATAAGACATCAATAGAAACAACAAACAGTTAAAAAGCATTGCAATTAAGTGAAAGTGCAGAATTTTGATTAATTTTCTCTTTGTTTTTGCAGTCACTGTTAAGTTGTTATCCGTTTAAAATAATGAGATAGAAGGTTTTTTTTGGTTGTTTTGTTTTGTTTTGTTTTGTTTGAAACGGAGTTTCACTCTTGTTGCCCAGGCTGGAGTGTAATGGTGCAATCTTGGCTCACCGCAACCTCTGCCTCCCAGGTTCAAGCGATTCTTCTGCCTCAGCCTCCCAAGTAGCTGGGATTACAGGCATGCACCACCATGCCCAGCTAATTTTGTATTTTTAGTACAGACGGGGTTTCTCCACGTTGGTCAGGCTGGTCTCGAACCCCTGACGTCAGGTGATCTGCCCACCTCTGTCTCCCAAAGTGCTGGCATTGAGATATAAGATTTTACTTGTATTATAAGTCTCATGGTAACCTCAGATGAAAAAACCTACAAGAGATACACAAAAAGTAAAACACACACACACACACACACACAATAAATTAAAGCAGACCACCAGAAAAAAATCAACTTCACGAAAAGGAAGACAGAAAGGAGGAGAAGACTACATTATGACCAGAAAACAAATAACAAAATGGCAACAGTAAGTCCTTACTTATCAATAATAAGGCTGAATGTAAATGAACTAAACTCTCCAATCAAAAGACAGAGAGTGGTTGTTGAGTGAATTACAAAAAAAGACTCAATGATCTGTTACCTACAAGAAACACACTTCACCCATAAGGACATATATAGACTGAAAATAAATGGATGCCATGCAAATGGAAACTAATAAAGTGCAGGAGTAGCTATACTTTATTATAGACAAAATAGATTTTAAGACAAAAACCATAAAAAGCAACAAAGAAGGTCATTATATAAAGAGTCAACTCAGTAAGAGGACATAATAATTGTAAACATATATGCACCCAATACTGGACCTCCCAGATATAAAAAGCAAATATTTTTAGTGCTAAAGAGAGAGCTATACTCCAATACAATAATAACTGAGGACTTCTATACTCCACTTTCTGCACTGAACAGGACATTCAGACAGATTGAACCATGAGGAAATCCAAACCCTGAACAGACCACTAGGAAGTAATGAGATTGAAGCTGGAAAAAAAAAAAAAAAAAAAAAAAGCTTCCCAGCAAATAAAACCCGAGGACCCAATGACTTCACTGCTGAACTTTACCAAACATTTAAAGAACAAATATCAATCCTACGCAAACCATTCTGAAACACAGAGATGGAGGATATACTGCGAAACTCATTCTACATGGCCAGTAGATACCAAAACCAGTCAAAGATACATAAAATAAAGAATGCTACAGGCCAATATCCCTGATTAACACTGTTGCAAAAATCCTCAAACCAAACCAACTTCAACAATACTTTAAGAAACCATTCATCTTCACCAAGTAAGGTTTATTCCAGGAATGCAAGTGTGGTTTGACATATGCAAATCAATTAATGTGATACATCATACCAACAGAATGAAGGACAAAATCTTATGATCATTTCAATTTATGTTGAAAAAGCACTGATAACATTCAACATGACTTCATGATGAAATCCCTCAATAAATTGGTTATAGAAGGAACATACCTCAACACAGTTTTCAGGAAAAACTGAAAAGCTGTCCTCTATGATCTGGAGCAAGGATAACTACTTTCAGCACTGTTATTCAACACTGTACTGAAGGTCGTAACTATAGCACTCAGACAAGAGAAATAACTAAAGGACATCCAGATTGGAAATGAAGAAAAATTATCTTTCTTTGTAGATGATAAGATCTTATATTTGGAAAACCCTAAAGTCTTCATGAAAAAACTATTAGAACTGATAAATTCAGTTTATTTGCAGGATACAAAGTCAACATACAAAAATTAGTAGCATTTCTACATGCGAGCAGTGAACAATCTGAAAAAGAAATCAAGAAACTAATTCCATTTACAGTAGCTATGAATAGAATAAAATTACTTACAAATAAACTTAACCAAATAAGTGAAAGATTTCTACAACGAAAACTACAAAATATTGATGCCAGAAATTGAAAAGGATATGACAAATTAAAATATATTTCATGTTCATGAATTGGAAGAATCAATATTGCTAAAGTATTTCTAAAAATTGAAAGATATTTTAGGTTCATGAATTGGAAGAATCAGTATTGCTAAAATTTTATGCAATCTACAGATTCAATGTAACCCCTATCAAAACACCATTTGCATTCTTCACAGTAATGAGAAAAATAATTCTAAAGTTTATAAAGAACCACAAAAGACCCAGAATAGCCAAAGCCATCTTGAACAAAAAACACAAATTGGTAATCACGTTATCCAAATTTAAATAATACTTCTATAGTAACCAAAACAGCATGTAACTGACATAAAAACCGACACATAGACAAATGGAATGAAATATGGCTCCCAGAAACAAATCCACACAACCTACAGTGAATTCATTTTTGAAGAAAGGTGCCAAAAACATACATTGGAAAAAAGAACAGTCTTGCCAATAAATTGTGCTGGGAAAACTGGATATCTGTATGCTGAAAAATGAAACCAGATCTCTATCTTTTGCCATATACAAAAATCAAATCAAAGTATCTTTGATTTAAATCTAAGACCTAAAACTATGAAAATTCTAAAAGAAAATATTGGGGATACTGTCTAGGACATTTGACTGGGCAAAGATTTCTTGAGTGATACCCCATAAGTGCAGGCAACTAGAGCATAAATGGACAAATGGAATCACATAACATTAAAAAGCTTCTGCCCAGGAAAAAAAAAAATCAGCTAAGTGAAGAGACAACCCACAGAATGGGAGAAAATATTTGTAAACTATCAATCTGATAGGGAATTGATAACCAAAATATATAATAAATTCAAACAACTCATAGGAAAAAAATCTAGTAATCTGATTTTAAAATGTGCAAAAGATCTGAATAGCTATTTCTCAAAAGAAGACATACAGATGGTAAACAGATATATGAAAAAATGCTCAATGTCATTGGTCATCAGAGAAATGCATATCAAAACTACAATGAGATATCATCTTACCCCAGTGAAAATAGCTGTTATCCAAATGACAGGTAATAACTAATGCTGGTGAGGATGTGAAGAGAAGAGAATTTTCATACACTGTTGGAGGGAATGTAAATTAGTACAATCACTATGGAGAAGTTTGGCAGTTCCTCAAAAAACTAAAGAACTACCTTATGATCCAGCAATCCCACTGCTGGGTATACACCCAAAAGAAAGGAAATCAGTATATCAAAGAGATTTCTGCACTCCCATGTTTATTGCAGTCCTATTCACAATAGCCGAGATTTGGAAGCAACCTAAGTGTCCATCAACAGATGAACAGATAGAACATGTGGCACATACCTACACAATGGTGTATAATTTAGCCATGAAAAAGAATGAGATCCTGTCATTTGCAAACTGGTGGAACTTACGGTCATGATGTTAAATAAAATTTGCGAAAGACAAACTTTGCACATTCTTACTTATTTGTGGGAGCTAAGAAAATTAAAACTGAACTCATGGAGATAGACAGTGGAATAATGGTCACCAAAGCTTGGGAAGCACAGTCGGTGGTAGTGGTGTGAGAAGGGGAAGTGGGAATGGTTAATCGGTACAAATATATACTGAGATAGAATGAGTAAGATTTAGTATTTGATAGCACAACAGGGTGACTACAGTAAATAATATTGTACATTTTAAAATAACTAAAAGAGTATAATTGGATTGTTTGTAACACAAAAAAAGATAAATGATTGAGGTGATGAATACCCCATTTACCCTGAGGTGATTATTACACATTGTATATATGTATCAAAATATCTCATGTAACCCATAAATATATATACCTACTATATACCCACACAAATTAAAAATTAAAAAAAGAGAAAAAGAACATGCATATAAAAGATGGAAAGACATATTCCAGCACTTTGTCTTAGATGCAATTATTTGACATTTTAATTGCTTCTTTAATATTTACTGAGCTCCACATTCTCAAAAACAGTCATATATGAGTTGATGTCAGAATAAAAGCAAAAACAAAAATACATTTAGAGAATAATGTTTTCCCATCTTACCTCTGCACTTGTTATAAAGATTAACTGTAGAAATAAGTTGCAAAGAATATTGACCTATATAAGATTTTGTATTTTATAAGCATAAATTATTTAGAACACTTACACAATATGATTTACTAAACACATGTTGGCATCTCATCAACCAGCTTGCCTACAGGGACAAAGTTTGTCACTGTTAACATTTTTTTTTTTTTTTTTGAGACAAGAGTCTCTCACTGTTGCCCAGGCTGGAGTGCAGTGGTGCAATCTCAGCTCACTGCAACCTCCGCCTCCCGGGTTCAAGCAATTCTCCCGCCTCAGCCTCCCGAGTAGCTGGGACTACAGGCGCACGCCACCACGCCCAGCTAATTTTTGTATTTTTAGTAGAGACGGGGTTTCACGGTGTTGGCTAAGATGGTCTCTATCTCTTGACCTCATGATCCACCCACCTTGGCCTCCCAAAGTGCTGGGATTACAGGCATAAGCCACTGGCACTTGGCCTTTTTTTTTTTTTTTAGGAATACAAGCACTGAAGGCCTTGGTAAAATATGAAAATGGTATTGTAAAGGTAAGCCTGTTAATATGGCTTACCCGGTGTTAAATCATAGTAGTATTGAAGTAAAACAATTATATTATTACTTTTAAATTGTTTTCAATCTAAACATAAGACAAATAATTTCAAAGCCAAATTAAATGTTGCTACAGATACGATGAATTGTATACTAAGCAAATGAAACTCATGGGGAGAAACACCTAAATTTGCTTTGAGGGTGACAGAAAAGACTTACAAAGGAAATGATAATAGTGCTTTTTGAGTGAAGGATACTTATTTGCCAGTAGAAAAAATATAGAAAGAGGTAGAGAGGCCAAGGATACCTAAATAGGAAGTTTCAAGCATTCTGTCTTTCTGGAATATGTAAATGTCTACTCGTTCTCCAACTCCATTAAACGCTTCTTCCTAAATATTTTAAATTCATTTAATGCTTGTCGAAATTCAACCAATGTAAAAATTATTTGTTCATTACAAACTACACAGTTAATAATAATGTTATCTGTTTTAGTTATCTATTGCTCTACAACAAATTAACCTGATTTTTAATGGCTTAAAACAATTTATTATCTCATAGCTTCTATGTGTTAGGAAGCTGAGTATAACTTAAATGGGTGCCTCTGTGTAAAAGTCTAACAAGCTGTAGTCAGTGCTACAGTCTCATCTAAATGCTCAGTTGCTGAGGGATCCACCTCCAAGCTCACTCATGTAGTTTTTAGTCCTTGCCATGTTTAGCTGTCCACAGGGTTTCCTTAAGGCATGGCAGACAGCTTCTCTTACGCTGAGTGACGTAGGAGAGTGAGAGAGAAGTGAGAACACTGAGGACAGAAGCCTTAAGTTTTTGTATAAGCTACTCTTGCAAGTGAAATCCCAGCATTGCTGCTTTATGCTATTTGTTAGAAGAGAATGAACGAGTTCATCCACATTCAAGGAGAAGGGAGCTAGTATACAATTCTCACATTTCTGTTTGTTCTAGGTGATCATTTCAAATATGTTTATATAGCAAACAGCCTTGGAAGACAGAGATAGTGTCTCTCTCTAGAGCAAAGGATAGGTGTGTTCACTGTCTAATCTAATAAAAATGATGTTACCCTCAGGGTCAAAGTTTCA
Organism: Homo sapiens; assembly: GCF_000001405.40. NCBI lineage: Eukaryota > Metazoa > Chordata > Mammalia > Primates > Hominidae > Homo > Homo sapiens. Next base: position 53,025,828 of record NC_000017.11, on the reverse strand, counting down.
GCAGGCTTACTGCCAATTTTTAAAAGATCTAATTGTCTTGAGGTTGGCGTTCCTCTCCTTTAACAAAATCTATTGTGTGTGCAGGTACTTCCCTGGAAAAAAATGGATCTTAGGAAGTAAGTGCAAAAATGCTCTGCCTAATGCTCTTACCGTAAGTAAGAAACTGTGCTTTGTCTCTGACATTGGAGTCTCATGTCATCTCCAAGAATCCATGACACTGTGACAAGCTAACTTGCAAGTAGGGTAAAAATCTCGGACCATTCAAATTCTTAGCACAAAGATTACATAAAGGCATGAATACCTGGAGTGCGGGATCACTGGAGACAATCTTAAGGGTTGCCTACCACAATAGCCATCTCTTTATTTTCTTACAATGGAAGAAGAGAAGGACAGAAGAAAGAGAAGAAATGGGGGAAAAATCAATCATTTACTGAGTTTATTTCATGCTCCAGGAATTTAAACACAAATTAATTTCCTTGACGCTTAGCAGAGCAACAAGAATACAATAAGACTACACACAAAAAAAAAGAAAGAAAGAATAGAAAGAAAAGGAAAGGAAGGAAGAAAGAGAGACAGAGAAAGAAAGAAAGAGAAAGAAAGAAAGAAAGAAAGAAAGAGAAAGAAAGAAAGAAAGAAAGAAAGAAAGAAAGAAAAGAAAGAAAAGAAAGAAAGAAAGAAAGAAAGAAAGAAAGAAAGAAAGAAAGAAAGAAAGAAAGGAAAAGAAAAGAAAAGAAAGAGAAAGAAAGAAAGAAAAAAGCATACACTTCCCAAAGGTTACTCAGCTGGTTGATGAAGGACTTACACTCAAAAGGAGGTGTTCTGGGTCAAGATGACAATTTTTGTTTGTTTTTAATGCAAGAGACACAAATTTTCAAAAGTTTATATTGCTGGTATCTGATCACTACTGGTGTTAGCAAATCACAACAGTGCATTTTTTTTCTAGAATGTTACAGGTATGGATCATGTAATCTTATTTGAATATTCCAGTAAGAGAGTAAAGATAATCATTGAAATGACTGCTCCTGATAGGTCTTTGTCTCATATATTTATCTCTAAGTAACAGCTCAAAAATCTATATCAAAGTTTTACATGCCTATCTATTACTTTGGTATTGAAATCTTCTTTCTAATGGAATATTTAAGTGAAACACAAGGCTAAACTTCAGGACTTTTATTAACTTCTAGTATAAAATAATATTATATTAGATGAACTGTACACAGATAATTTATATTTTAGAGGATTTCTCAGTCTATCAAGTTTGTTATCAAGGAAATTACATTTATATTTTTGAAATTGTTATTTAGTGCTTTGCTGTCTCCAGTACTTGGGTTTGACTACAATCAATGAAGTTTAGTCATTTTTCTGTTTTATCCTATCTTTTAAAAAGTGTTCAACACACAGTCTGATCTGTTGTGTCATCCAAGCATTACTTATTCAATTCTGTTGGGATTAAGTGGATCTTTATATTTTAAATCTATTAAGTTTAATTCAAACAAACTTTTATCACTACAAGTCCTATCCTTCATAATGAAATGAGCTGTCATACTGTGTACAATTTTTAGAAGGTTGTTATATTTAGCTTAGTGAACCATCCTGGTTTCTACTGATTGACTTATATTTAAATTTTAAAGAACCAGTCATAATGATAGATTTTAAAACTCTGCTCCCTATTAAGTCCAGTTCATTTTACATACCCCAAATTCATTTTCCATACCCATGGGCTCTATCTTTTATCCATATTTTACATGTTTGAGCTCCTTATTTTTTATTTTTTAAATGTTTGAATCTTACCATTGTAGTCTTAAAACACCTCTTCAATTTTAGTGATCATTTCACATTCTTTGGATTCCTTGTGATTTAGTGTGCCCAGAACAGTTGACAAACTCTTTTAATGCAACAAGGTGCTGTCTTATCATTTCTTCTAAGTTTCAGTTTAAGTTTCTTTATTCCAAATGTTTATTTTACCCTCTTAATAAGATAATTATTCTCCTTGACAGTAAAGTCAGAAGCAAATGGGGAGCTAAATAACTGTGTATTCCCACCTACATTTAACATTACACCACCTGTTCAAATCAGCCCGACTATGTCCTTCTTGCTTTTTGTTTTATTTTTTAGCATAACTTTTATGAATAAAAATTCAAGTATGGCTTTGTTTATAATTGTTCCCACTCATTTGAAGCTTATGTAGTTCCATTTAGCCATATTAATATTCATCAAATGTAATTTTTCTCCATCATATTTTCATTCATCTTTGAAATGACACAACTAATCTAATTACTCTAATTTCTTATAAAATTGCTAATACTGGAGAACACATACTATAAACAAGAACTACTTTCACCTGATTCATCCCTGACGTCTGTCCTTTCCTTAAGGTAATCTAGGTGACGGCTTATTACCTGTTGACTCAGACCCTTCTCTTTGTGTATTTCATATATTATACACACACACACACGCAATTACACACATGTGTACACATGTCTATATGTTTTATGTATACATATTACATATTGCTTAGCAATCCGGCTTTATTACTTGACAATATATTACAAATTTCTTTCCATTTTAATAATAATAATTCTTATTTTGTTTTAGAGCTGTTATCTCTATAATCAATGTACCATAATTTATTTAACTGTTTTCTACCAATTTATTACCAATTTTTAATTTTTTAAGATAATAACTATTAGCTATTCTTGGGCATGAAGGAGTTGGGTCAGTGGAAATCTGAGAATTGGGGAGAGAACTGATAGAAACCCACAAGAACCTCAGCATTCACACTGAAGACCAGACAATGGAGATGGGATGGGCAGGAAACTTAAAGGAGACCTCCAGAGGTGCAGATACTCAGGACCTGCTGATGTCTGAGGGCAGAAAAAGAGAACTAAGAGAAATGGCACTAGTGTTTAGAACTTATATCAAGTACCAAGCAGTAGGCATCTATGGCTAAAGATGGAGTGACAAACCTGGGAGAAACACCCTTGAGGCACCAGTGAATTGGGTGGGCTGATGTCTGACATCAGGGCAGATCACAGATTAAGCCTTGTTAAAGAGAAAATTTTGAGCCTATCCTCAATTAACGTGGAACCTGCAGTGAATATACCATAAGGATCAATACATCCTAAGCCCCATTCAATCACAGACTACATTGAAACATCTCTGTACATTCACTTCTTGCCAGAAGAAGGGGTATATTCTTTTTAGGGTATAAATAATATTTACAATAGTCTCTACCGTCTTTTATAGACAATGACTGGCATTCAATCATAGATTATGAAGTATTTATAAAAGTAAGAAAATGTGACCCACAACCACTAAACAATCAATAGAACCAAATTCAGAAATGGCCCATATATTTAAATTATTAGTAAGAATATTTATAATGGCTACAATAAATAGATAAAAGGATCTACCATATGATCAAGTAATTCTACTCCCTTTCACTCAAGATAAACAAAAGTATATGTGTACAAAAAGGAATTATACATGAATGTTCACAATAGCTCTAAAAAAACCCAAATACTCATTTCTTTAGATAGAACCCAAATCCAGAGAAACAGATTTACAAGTTGTCATATATATGTATTGGAATATTTCTCTTCAGTAAAAATGAAAAAGGTATTGATAATCATTAGCCATAAGGGTAATGGAAATTAAAACCACAGGGAGATACTACTACACATTCATTGTAATAGCCACAATCAAAAAAATGTTGAGGATGCCGAATGTTGGGAAGGTTGTGGAACACCCAGAACACTGTTCTGATAAAAGCTCAAAATGGTACAACAGTAGGAAAACTGTTTGGTAGTTTCTTTAAAAAAAAAGTGTACATGCATCCTCTGCATGACCCAGAAATTCCATTCCTAGATATTTAACCAGATAAAGGAAAATACGTTCACAAAAGCTTGGAAGCAAATGTCCAAAGCAGCTTTATCTATAAGTGCCAAAGACTGAAAAAGTTGCCATCAGTCCAGCAACAAGAGAATAATTAACCACACAACAGTAGTCAGTAATAAAAAGGAAAGGAAATAATTGTTTATACACATCTAGCAAGGGGGAATCTCAAAAACATCATTCTGAATTAAATTATATACACACAAAATAATTTTCATTTATATGACTTTTAGAATACGGAAAACAAATTTTTGGTGATAGAACTGAGATAAGTGTTTACTTCAAAAATGGGGGAAAAGGATTGTCAGAAGGCATAAATAATGATGGAATTATTTTATTCCAGATTGTATTAGTACAGGATAAATAGTGCATGTGTTTGTGAAACTGATGAGACAATACCCTTAATTTCTATGTAGTTCACTATATGTAAGTTCTATTTCAAATTTTAACAATATTTCAGGCCAAATATAAGTGTTTAAGTAATTGTTTTGGTTGTTAAACTGTCTCTGAAGTTTGAAAGATTAACTTGTGTTTTATACTTCATTTGTCTTAAGTGTGTATTTTTGGCTTTTCTATCATGATGTATTTTTAAGACATGATTCCTCAAATTAAACTCTGTTATTTTACACAGTTCACAGAATCTGATTCTATCATTAAATTATCACTTAAGTTTCAACGTCACAGCCTCTTCATTTAATGTGACTTGATAAAGACTACTCATTATGAATCATGTCCAAATACTGATAAATTATCTGATAGGTTCACATTCACCACAGCATGAACATAAATAGACACACTTGTTCCTCATTTATTAAAACAAAAAATAAAAAGTAAAAATTCACAGTTCATACTCCTAGAAAAAAAAACACTAGGTGACAGAAGCAAAGGTGTTTTTTCTTATTTTTTTAATCTGAATATTTTGTTTCTTTCAATGAATATGCAGAAGTTTTGTAGTAAAAAATTCACAATATGTTTTTAATTATTTAAAATGAATTTATTCTTTCAAATAGCTCAACAAATTATAAAATTGGTCAAGATATGGGGAAATTCTAGATGCATAGGAGAATCTGCTTAAGTGAGCTCTTACTGCAGACCCAAGCAAAATAACTATGGAGAGCATAGCACATGCTCCCACCAGTACTCCCTCACCTATTCATCTTCAAACCTGCTAAGCAAGAAGCTTAGAATAACCAACATGAAAACACGTTGCACCAAGGAACAACTTCTGTGCAATTTTATTAATTGTTGCAAAGAGTTAGAATCTCCACACCCAGGACTTAACTCTTCTTGGACCTACCCTTGAAATACTAATTACACAAACAACATTACTGATATGGTTCAGCTGTGTCCACATTCAAATCTCAACTGAATTGTATCTCCCAGAATTCTCACAGGTTGTGGGAGGGACCTAGGGGGAGGCAGTTGAATCATGGGGGCCAGTCTTTCCTGTGCTATTCTCATGATAGTGAATAAGTCTCATGAGATCTGATGGGTTTATCAGGGGTTTCCACTTTTGCTTCCTCATTTTCTCTTGCCACCGCCATGTAAGAAGTGCCTTTCACCTCCTACCATGATTCTGAAGTCTTCCCCAGCAATGTGGAACTGTAAGTCCAATTAAGCCTTCTTCTCTTCCCAGTCTCAGGTATGTCTTTATCAGCAGCATGAAAATGGACTAATACAGTAAATTGGTACCAGTAGAGTGGGGTGTTGCTGAAAAGACACCCGAAAATGTGGAAGTGACTTTGGAACTGGCCAAGACGCAGAGGTTAGAACAGTTTGGAGGGCTCAGAAGACGACAGAAAAATGTTGGAAATTTGGAACCTACTAGAGATTTGTTGAATGGCTTTGACAACATTGCTGATAGTGACATGAACAATAAGGTCCAGGCTGAGGTGGTCTCAGATGGAGATGAGGAACTTGTTGGGAACTGGAGCAAAAGTGACTCTCATAATGTTTTAGCAAAAAGACTGGCAGCATTTTGCCCCTGCCATAGAGATCTGTGGAACTTTGAACTTGAGACGAATGATTTCAGGTATCTGGTGGAAGAAATTTCTAAGCAGGAAAGCATTCAATAGGTGACTTGGGTACTGTTGAAAGCGTTCCATATTAAAAGGGAAACAGAGAATAAAAGTTTGGAAAACTTGCAACCTGATGATGCAGTAGAAAAGAAAAACCCATTTCTTGACAAGAAATTTAAGCCAACTGCACTAATTTGCGTAAGTAGCAAGGAGCCTAATGTTAATCCCCAAGACCATGGGGAAAATGTCTCCAGGCCATGTCAGAGACCTTCATGGAAGCCCCTCCCATCACAAGCCCAGAGGCCCAGGAGGAAAAAGTGATTTCATGGGCCAGGCCCAGGGTCCCTGAACTATGTGCAGCCTAGGGACTTGGTGTCGTGTGTCCCAGCTGCTCTACCTGTGGCTGAGAGGCCAACATACAGCTTGGGCTGTGGCTTCAGAGCGTAGAAGCTTCAAGCCTTGGCACCTTCCACGTGGTACTGAGCCTGTGGGTGCACAGAAGTCAACAACTGAGGTTTGGGAACCTCTCCCTAGATTTCAGAAGATGTATGGAAATGCCTGGATGCCCAGATAGAAGTTTGCCTCAGGGATGGGGCCCTCATGGAGAACCTCTACTAGGGCAGTGTGGAAGGGAAATGTGGGGTTGGAGCCTCCACACAGAGTCCCTACTGGGACACTGCCTAGTGGAGTTGTGAGAAGAGGGGCTCCATCCTCCAGACCCCAGAATGAAAGATCCACTGACAACTTACACTGTTCACCTGGAAAAGCCCTAGACATTCAATGCCAGCCCATGAAAGCAGCTGAGAGGGAGGCTGTACCCTGCAAAGCTACAGAAGCAGAGCTGCCCAAGACCATGGGAACACACCTGTTCCATCAGCATGACCTGGATTTGAGACCTGGAGTCAAAGTAGATCATTTTGGAGCTTTAAAATTTGACTGCTCTGCTGGATTTTGGACTTGCACGGTCCCTATCACCCCTTTGTTTTGGCCAATTTCTCCCATTTGGAAAGGCTGTATTTCCCTAATACCTGCAATCCCATTGTATCTAGGAAGTAACTAGTTTGTTTTCCTTTATTTTACAGGCTGATAGGCAGGAGGGACTTGCCTTGTCTCAGATGAGACTTTAGACTGTGGATTTTGGATTAATTATGAAATGAGTTAGACTTTTGGGACTGTTGGGAAGGCATGACTGGTTTTGAAATGTGAGGACATGAGATGTGGAGGGGCCAGGGGCGGAATGATATGGTTTGGCTGTGTCTCCATTCAAATCTCAACTGAATTGTATCTCCCAAAATAAACACATGTTGTGGGAAGGACCTAGGGGGAGGTAATGGAATCATGGAAGCCAGTCTTTCCTGTGCTATTCCTGTGATAGTTAATAAGTCTCACGAGATCTGATGAGTTTATCAGGAGTTTCTGATTTTGCTTCTTCCTCATTTTCTCTTGCGACCGCCATGTAAGAAATGCCTTTTGCCTCCTGCCATGATTCTGAGGCCTTCCCCAACCATGTGAAACTGTAAGTCCAATTAACCCTCTTTTTCTCCCCAGTCTCAGGTATGTCTTTATCATCAGGATGAAAACAGAGTAATACAATTACCATGCAATGTCATGTTTTCTTCCTAGTATGTATATGATGAATTTGATTGGATATTATGAAGTTATAAGAAATCATTTTCCTTACACAAGAGGAAAGCCTTTTACAGATAAATATGTTTTTTTTAAAGTAGAATTAGCAGGCCCCTCAGACCCATTCCCTCAAGCTAGCAACCTAACCTTTTCTTCTTGAATTTTTCCACTTCAGTGATTAAAAGAGGAGGCTATGAAAAATGAATTCAAGAAGAAAATCATTTTTTCCTAATGCCTATATCAGTTTCTCATGCCTGGCCTTCCCAGGGTACAGTCTTTTTCTATATGGAAAAAAAAATCTCAGACTTATTTTCCCATACCAGAAACAAGAAAAGGTAATTGCTATCAAAGGGAGAAAAATTCAAAATGACTAATTCCCTATAACAATTTACAGTTTGTACTTTTATATTTTTGAAAACCCCACATTATAGCACTGTACTTTGTAACCTAATAAATGCACTGTTCTTAATTCTGACACAATCTTGGGAGACATGCAAGGGGTAAAGGGAGGCTTTCATCTATTCTGGACCTTTTTTTGGCCTGAGGGTATCAGTGTACTATCAGTGTAAGACATGGCTGAGAACTACTGCCACAGGCAACTAGGTCAAAATTCCGCATCATCAGTATCATAAGCTGCTTTAACCACTTCTTCAAATGAGCAGGATACATGTTACAGTTTGAGGACTATTAGGAATACATCTTAAAATGTGTAAGAAAATGGGAGAAGGGAAGAGAAACTCTTATTTATTGGGTATCTTCCCTATTCTAGCATCTATACTAAGTGACTTAGGCTCATTATATCATTTGTTACTGACTGTCAGTTCTGGGGAGTGCTTGGTATGTTTCCTCCCTCTCCATGTCAAAATATAATGACTTCTTGTCACCAGGTGAGAAAAATCCTTGAGATATGTGTTGGGCTGCAGGACAAGTTTAATGATACCACCATAATAGCACTTTCAATTTGCCCATGGTGCTAAGTCACAGGTATGTGATAGAGATCAAAGACAAATTCTACATTCCCTGAGTAAACCACCCAGGACCACAAACTATAAAGAAATTATATATTAAAAATATTTATTTGTTTTGGTAATAAACATTTAGCATCAGGTAAATTTCCTGGTCCAGATAACTGTCCTGGTGTCAGGAAGTAAAACGTGCTTTTTTTTTTTTCTTTTTAGCAGGAGTGAGGTTAGGAAGGGATGGTTATTGCTTTACCAAGTACCAATGGTGGTCATGGCACCCAACTACCTTTACTGTTTCTGAAGAAAGTGATTAGTATTGTATTAGATCCTCAAAACTCATAATATTCAAAATCGTAAACTTCAAACCAGTATTTTTCACAGACTGTAATTCCTGTTTTGAATGCAAAGCTTGTATTACTTTATATATTTCTTACTTCTTGAAATTTTTATTAAAAACATATGTTATTTTTATCATTAGAGAAAATGAATGCTTTTGAGTTACTATAGTCTAATCAGGGAACAGACATATAAATACATTTAGTTTATTGCTATGTTTTATTCTGGTGAATTCCCTATATTGACAGAGAAGTCACTAAGGTTAATGGGCTTTCTATAACACAAAGTAGAATAACACATTAAAATTGTCAATAAGCTTTATGAAAGTATCATATACTTTCATGAAGACGTATTTTATGCCTGTTATTTTGCTTAGAAAATTACAGAGAGAAAGTTGAAAACAAATATGAAGTCCCAGCCTTCTGTTTGATGATATAGCTCTAAATGCCAGGCCTTCTAGTCTCAAGATATAAATGTTTGACTTTATGAATTGACATCTGTAGAATGTGTGATATTAAAATTCTGATGAAAGATTCTTCTGTAATATATGCATTGTCTCCTGTCCAATAAAATCAAACATCACACTATACTATCAAATGTACTTAGCATTAAGGCACACACAGTTGCTCCTTTTTTACCATAAATTTACTTCCTTGTTTTATGCTCACATGATGTGCTTGAACTGTATGGATAATTTATTCTCAATTTACTGTGAGGCATAGCATTCCTGGGCTGAATCTTTGCTTGAATATTCTACAGTGTGTAAAATGTTGATGTGAATATATTTTAAATGGGGTGTGGATTTAGAGGGGAGAGGGAATATTCTTCTAAATGGAGTTAAGGTAATAAAGAAACCAGGTTACAAAGTGAATATCTTAACTAACCCTTAGGCAAAATGTCAAGATTGTAAAACCATGGAAGTTTTATGTGGATGTGTGTCCTTGCAAAGGTTACTGTAATATACATACACATATATGCACACACACATATACATAGGTGTGTCCATATTCACATGCATGTAGGTAGACATAAATTTAATTTATAGAATCTTTTGAAAGTTCACATAATTTTTGTCACTTATGCGCTCAATTCTATGGTTCTGGTGTGTTTGGGTTTTTTGTTTTTTGTTTTTTGTTTTTGTTTTCATTTTTAATGTGCTCTAGTAAATATGGGCCTTTTGTTAGGATTTAGTAAAAGTCTACTGCTAATGATTCTGACTAACTGGTTAACTGAAAACCTATTCTTTTCTATTTTAATTTTTAAGTTTTGGGGTACATGTGCAGGATGTGCATGTTTGTTATATAGGTAAATGTGTGCCATGCTGGTTTGCTGCCCTTATCCACCCATCAAATAGGTATTAAGCCCAGCATGCATTAGCTATTTTTCATAATGCTCTCCTTCCCCCCACCCCACCCCCTTACAGGCCCCAGTGTGTGTTGTTACCCTCCCTGTGTCCATGTGCTCTCATCATTCAGCTCCCACTGAAAACCCATCCTTTAATTCAGCTTAGTTAATTTTTAAAAAGTGTAAAGCAAGTTTTATGTCACTGAGCACCTCTGAAATTGGGAATCACTCTGCCCACAAAGAAGAAAGTGAATGCGTCAAATAGTATGTATATGTTTCACACCTACAGTGGCATTGACCTATGGTCAATTATTTCATAATTAATTTGCTACAACGGAGCAGCTATTGATAAATTCATAAGGGTAGTGCTTTCTGTTTGCAAAAATATTCCTCACAACTGCTGCTTTCCTTAGTCTGCCTTTTTCCTGTAGTCTCCTCATCTAAAATAGCCTCTACCCACCATGCCTACTCTCTCTAATACTTTCTGAAAATTTACTTTGTCTTTAAAGAGAATGATTTTATTCCCTATTCTGTTTACTGAACAAAGTTTTACTTTGAATTGAAAGTGTATCAATGTATAAAACATCAATCCTGAAAATAAATTCAGTGTTTTAAAGGATCTTAAATCATTGTTTTCCAAGTTGTTTCTCCAATTCTGTTACAAAATCTTTAGTAGAAAAGACTGAGCTCTTTTTGTGTAAATTTTCTTAACATAAGAACCTACGAAGAGTTGAGACTCAGTAGATTTTATTAAGAAATGAAGGAAAATGAAGAAACAAAAGATGCCTGCTAAGCAATGGGATTTAAGAGAAATAACAATGAATGTTTATGAATGTTTATTACCTATGAAGTACTGTTTCAAATATTTTAAAATAATGAATTTATTCAGTCTTCACAACAAACTTTTGAGTTAATTTCTGTTATTATCCCCATTTTAGAAATGTGGTCCAGGAGACATAAAGAGGTTAAAGAACTTGCTTCTGGGACTAGCAAGAGGTACAACTGGGATTTGAACCTAGATAGGCTGCTCCAGTAAATGTGTCATGGATAATGATCTCCTTCCTTTCCCATGCTAAGAATCATGGATTCATGGCAACATGCCTTTCACATGTTATGATGGATCTAGTGTTAGGAACCTGAACCATGCAGTTAGGAGAAATGAATTCCAGTTCTCTTCTCACCACACATTCACTTTCTCCCATCAATCCTCAATATCCGCCCCTGTAAAATCAGGTATTGGTACTACATGGTTTTTAAAGATCCTTCCTGTTCTAACATTTTTTCATATAACAAAAATCATAATGAATGATACTAACTGTGAAAACAAACACTATTACCACTTACTCATTTCTGTTGGAGCTAGGCACTATGCTAGCTAGTTTTTCACGTCTAAGGTTTTTAACCTATAAATGAAACTTTCTTTTAAATATGATTTTCACCCCTTTGTTTCAGAGGAGAAAACTGAAGCTCAGAAAATATAAGTAACTTGCCTAAGGTCGTAGGATTTCTAATGGCTGAACTGAAATTGAAAACCATGTCTAACTATCTGTGCTTATTATAAAAGCCATTCTGTTTCTCAGGTGGAAACATATACATTTTTTATTCATTATCTCCATAAACATTTACTGAGTACTGGAACTTCTATATGAGCAAATCCATCTTTATTAAAAATGTTCTTCCTTGAAATGAATATATATTACTGTTTAAATTGAATACATACTATGATTTTTTTTCTAAGTATATATTGTCCAGGATAGCAAGCTATACTGATTATGTAAATTAACCATAATGAATCCATTTTAAAGACCAGGAATTCTCTTTTTTGTCCTCTTTTATCATTTTAAGATTGTTCTGAGATCAAAGCAAAACGACTCCTAAATTACCTAGACTTGCTTTTTGTCCCTATGTATTTCAGATTATAAGAAAATACCTGATTCCACAAAACTGGCATACTGTGTAAAAACACAGGTTTTAATTTTTAATATGTATATATAATTAAATGTAATTATATGTGTACAATTTCTAAAGGAATAAACAAAAAAGCAAAGAAAGTCATAAAAAATTGGAATATTTCATTCTACTGTAAAAGTTCATTGGCTCTCTACTAAAAATACAAAAAAAATTAGCCGGGCATAGTGGCGCACGCCTGTAGTCCCAGCTACTCGGCAGGCTGAGGCAGGAGAATGGCATGAACCCAGGAGGCGGAGCTTGCAGTGAGCCAAGATCGTGCCACTGCACTCCAGCCTGGGCGACAGAGCGAGACTCCGTCTCAAAAAATAAATAAATAAATAAATAAAAATAAAAAAATTCACTGGTAAAATAGGCAACTGTCAAGAAATGTTGAAATCAAGTTTTAAACCTAGGTCCTTCTGCTTTCAATAACTCATCTTAAATTAGCCTTTGGATTCTAGCTCTTATTTTCTCCCTGTTGGGAGTTTACTCTAGCACTTCCCTTCCTAATCTTGGTGGCAGAGTCATGCATGTTATTTACTGTATTTACATGCTGCATTTGTTATAAGGCCAAAAGCAACCCAGGAAGTTTTGTAAATTGACTAGTCTGAACATTGGAATTAGTTTGGAAATAGTGACATGAGAATTATTTTTTGGAAAAGGAGGACCCAAACTATCTTTCTGACCTCTTCAGTAGTGACTTTCTCTGGTCATTTTAGAAAGATCTAGCCTGCCTATCAAAAGTTCTCAGAAGTAGTAGTGGAGCAAAGTCAGTTCACAGCTTTTTATCCTACCACAGGCCTGTTCCAAGTGGTGCCAGCTAAGCATCCTGCTCCTCCAGTATAAAAGCCAAGTACAGTCTTTTATGGGTTGCACTTCACTAAATTCAAAAAGACTGTCTAAATCATGCTTTTATAGTTAAAAATAACAGAGTACAACCCCCTTTTAAACCACACTTAAGCAAAGGGAGAATTGGATTATTTGTTATAAAAAGACCATTTGGGTATGGAAAATATTTAGGAGTCAGAAGACTGGGAAATAGAGAACCACAGGGGTCAATATTAAATCCAATTTTTTTCCACTTTATATGTTAATGACCTGAAAGCAGGAACATGCTGCAAAGTGGCAAGAATTGCTGAGAGGGCAAAACAGGGGTGAGAGGTGTTGAAGACAGAAAGCGAATAACAATATAGAGAGAGGTAATTCAGTATGGAATGAGCTAGACATAAAGTCCCTGCTTTAGCAGTTTAACATAAAGGACTGTGAGGTAACGAGGCCAGAGACAAAAACAAGGCAAGTTAATAAAAAGCTTAATGGAGGCATGCTACATCCACACCAGTGAGTGAAAACAAAGACAGGGCTGATCTGGGTATACATTCAAACTCAGAATTCAGGATTAAAATAAAATTAACAGGAATTTGAAATGGTATCTGGGGAGAGCCCTGGATGTAAAGCTGCAAGTGACATGGCTAATTCATCAAAGTGTAAATGCTGGGCTCCAAAGTTAGGCAGAGGCAAGCGAAGCCAGGATGAAATGAATTGGAAATATACTATTCACAGTAATTCCTGTGTTTGGTCTTTCTTGATAGGAAAGAAGACAAATCACCTCCCACATAAGATAGTAGATTCAGGTTCCGTTTATATTTTTTTCTAATTACTGAAGATTAGAAAATAACACTTAAATGAGATGACCTTCTTAGATTCAGAAAAGAGAGGCAAGTGGTTGACAGTAGGGGTTCTCAATATTTATCATGTACATAAATTCTGTATCTTAATAAGCAGCATTTTCTCATCCAGTGTCTGTAGTTAGGGAAGATGCTAAAATTCTGTATTTCAAATATCTTGCACATGACTACTAGTCCAAGAACCATGATTTAACTAGCACAGTATTAATTCCCTGAAAATTTTCAAGGCTCCCAAATTTTTATTTTTCCTCACCACCACATTCCCAAGAAAATCTGAATAGAAAAGTCCACATTATCTACTACTTTAAAATACTAAAATATGCTATTTATTTTTTTCTTTCCTATTGAGTCACATATACAAATTTAGGATTTATAGAATTGTAATATATATGTGTATGTGATGGGTAATTTGTAGACTTATATGTATGTAGGTAAATGGTATGACCGATTTTTCTACAAATTTCCTGAGTAATATATGTTTAACATTTCAACTATCTGAAAACAGTTACAATATAAGATCATTTCTTCTATATGTCATAGCTGAATTCTTTTTGGTGCATTGTTTCTTAAGAATTCACTAGCTCTTTGGATCACTACAACCTCATTTAAATAAAATTCAGTAACAGTAGTTTAATATATGATAAATCAGAATTTTATCATTCACATTTAAGTAACTGTGAGCAATTAAAAGGAAACTGACACTTTCCAAGGGCTTCGTAGAACTAAATTTAACTCTCTTTAACAATTGCTAAGAGAATATTATATGCTGCACAGTATATATAAAATCCTCAACATTATTATCCATCAAAGAAAAATTAAAACTACAATCAATACTATTACACAGATAATAAAATGGCTAAAATTGTAAAGAGAGGAAATATCAATTATTGGCAAGGATGTGGAGTAACTGAAAATCTTATACACAGATGGTAGGAATGTGGGTTGGTACATTCACTTTGGAAAATGACTTGGCAGTTTCATAAAAAGCTATACATACATCTACATATGATCTATATTTATCCAAGAAAAATAAGAACATAAGTTCATATGAAGACTTATACAAAAATGTCATAACAGTTTTATTTTTAATATCCACAAACAACAAAAACTCCAAATGCCCATCAATGTATCAATAAATTGTGGTATACATTCCATTCAGTGATACAAATAATTACAGAGACATGTAATACCATGAATAAATATTAAAATTATTCTGCAGAGTGAAAGAAGCCAGACACAAAGAGTACATGTTGTTTGTTTCTAGTTATATAAATTTCTAGAAAGTACAAACCAATTTATAATGACAAAAGAGACTAGTTGACATCAAGTGATGTGAGTAGAGTAAGGATGAATAACAAAGGAGCAAAAGGAAACATCTGTGGGTGATGAAAATGTTTAGTGTCTTTTGTTTTTTTTTTTCTCCTGGGTTCAAGTGATTCTCCTGCCTCAGCCTCCCGAGTAGCTGGTATTACAGGTGTGAGCCACCACGCCCAGCTACTTTTTGTATTTTTATTAGAGACGCAGTTTCACCATGTTGGCCAGGATGGTCTTGATCTCTTGACCTCATGATCTGACCGCCTCAACTTCCCAAAATGCTGGGATCACAGGCATGAGCCACCGCACACAGCCGAAAATGTTTAGTGACTTGACTGTGGTGGTGGCTTCGTAAGTTTTCCAATTGCACACATTATATATGTACAGTGTATTGTACATAAAGTATAAACCAATAAAGTTGTAATTTTTTTCTGCACTATGATAATAACAAAACGATAAAGAATAGCATCACAGAAATAAAAAACTTACCATTAAATGAAGGATCAGAGAATAACTCACAGGGTAGTGTAGGCAGGGAATTAGGATGAGTTTTTTTTTTTTTTTTTTCTGGTGAATTGAACCTACTGTTGTTATTAAAGTTAATAAGCATTGGCCTACTCAAAGACATCTAAAAAGTGTACCAAAGACATATAAAAAGTACACATAAATCAAACTTAGAGCTACAGCACTGCATCTTTTTACTTTGGACTGTAAAATTTCATCCCTGTTGACTTTTAAATGATGCTAAAATATTTTACAATGAGTTGATTTGTGTGAACTAAATAAGAGTATAATTGTGTTTGTGAGATGCTAAGCTCAATGTAGTAAAGGCAAACTTCCCAGCATATTCAGCAATAGAACCCTATCCATTTAATGACCAGTCCCTCTCCAAAGTGCTTTTTGCAGTTCTTTTCTTTTTCTTTTTTCTCCCCAGATTGACTAAGGGGTAGCTGTGCTTTTATTCTTATTTAATTCTCACCATCATACAAAGGGTTTTACTGATGAAGGATTTTACTGAAGTGACTTGTCCAACATAACATCCCTAATGATAGATAAACATGCACTTTAAAATTAGGCCATGTGAACCATTATATTGTAATAATAATAAAACTGAAGTCCAGAAATGACAACTTTCTTTAGCCCTTGAAACATTCAGTGGTAGAATAGAGAGAATTAACACTAGGTTTATTGGGCTCCAAAATCCATTCTTTACAAAAAACTTCCCAAAAAATGCCTGTGAGATGATACATTTCAAAATGTATTCATTTGCCACAATCTTAGAATTGAGTTTGGTAGATTGCTCACAACTGTAGGACCAAATATATTGGTTCCATGGACAAGTATCTTCCCTCCTCATCAGTCAAACCATAAATTGGCAACAGAAACAGAAAGTTTGAGTCACGACATCAACTTTTAACTTTAAAAATAGTATGCATTTTTGGTATAATAAATAAATTCTTTTTGTGATACAGCATAACATTTTAAATAGTGACATACTTTACTTTCTCAAAATACTTTACCAATTCAAGACCTTCTCCAGAAGTATCTTGCCTCTTCTAACAATGCCTGCTTACTCCTATGTGAACAGGGGGGTATAAATTGCATTATAAATTTCAGGTTAGTATTAAGAAATTTTAGATATGCAGATTTCGATTAAACTTGAACTTTTTCATTCCTCAATATACTGTGGCAGATACTGATATAGCTCAAGAAATGTTGATGTCATCCTTCACAATATGGTTCATTTGGGTTATATGACTGGATTCTGGCCCAAGGGATGTTCCTGGCAGTAACGTACACCTTTTCTAGGCTTAGCCATTTGAACCACTCCACAGGGCCCTCTATTCCTTTCAACTCCTGAAGCAATTATATTAAATTCCAAGAGCTACAGATATTAAAGATGGAGGAGAACTACTTTTACCCATTATATCTTGTGTGATCAGAAACAAACTTGTACGAAATTGAGCACAGTCTGAACTATACCGGGGTGTGTGATACAGTTTGGCTGTGTCCCCCGCCCAAATCTCATCTTGTAACTGTAGTTCTCATAATCCCCACGTGTCATGAGAGGGACCCAGTGGGAGGTAATTTAATCTTGGGGGCTGTTACCTCCATGCTGTTCTCGTGATAGTAAATGAGTTCTCGTGAGATCTGATGGTTTTATAAAGGGCTTTCCCCCGTCCTTCACTCTGCATTTCTCTGGCTGCCACCATGTGAAGAAGGATGTGTTTGCTTCCCCTTTCACCATGATTGTAAGTTTCCTGAGGCCTCTCCCGTCATGTTGAACTGTGAGCCAATTAAACCTCTTTCCTTCATAAATTATGCCGTCCTGGGTATGTCTTTATTAGCAGCATGAGAATAGACTAATACAGTGTGTGTGTGTGTGTGTGTGTGTGTGTGTGTGTGTGTGTGTGCATGCGTGTATTTATCTTATAAAGCATCTACCAGTTTTAGAGTAACTTCTGCTATTCCAACAAAGAAACATAGAAAACATTCTTTGAACTAATGAGGTCTCTATTGCATTCTTTTATTTCAAACTAGTGTAGTAGATAATTGTGAAATAATGTAGTAGATAACTGCTAGAAAATCACGTTGAATAATATTGAATAATAATGTCTAATAAGAACTTCTATTTATTAAGAATATCTTGCATACAGATACCCATAGAAGCATTTTATATCCTTTGACTCAACAATACTTTGAATGATTTAAGCATTACATCAAATTGATTTAATGCATGAATTTTCTAATTTATGAATACCTGGCCACAAGGATAGGGAGGATACGTTTTGAAGTCAGACCAACATAAGTTTGTATGCCAGTTCCACCACTTACTAGGTGTGTAGATTTCCACAGTAATGACTCCCAATGACTCATGCCTGCCTGCATCCTTGTCCTTTCATAGTCCCCTCTCTCATTGACTCTGGGATTGGTTATGAGACTTGCTTTATTCAACTGGCCTTAGCATAAGGAGACTCTAAGCCTGTAGGAAACAAATGGCCTCACCTACTGTCATCACCAACTGCTAGACATATGGGTGAGGCCATCTCAGACCATCCTCCCCCACCAGATGACAATAACCACATGACTGGCCAAAGGGAGACAAGGTGAAGAAACAAGACTGAACATCCATACACATCCTTCACAATGTGAAGGATGTAAACATTCCATACAATCATGAGGGAGGAAAATAGTTGTTTTAAGCCACTAACTTTTGTGATAGTCATTCAGAGACAGATAACTGATTATCTAGCTTAAGTAATTTAAACTTTGTTAGTTTCCATACCTTTACAAAGGAGATATAATGTTTATATCGATGAGCTGTTGCAAGGATTATAAGCAATAATATAGGTAAATACATGAATTACACGGTCTGGCACATGTAATTAATTACTGAAATCAACTTTTTGCTTTATACCTTCCCCATGCCAGTCTTCAACAGAAGAGCTTGTTTTTCACCATATTTTTTAATGAATAGAAAAGTAATTTTCATAAAAGAGTTGATGAAATTTGCCTCGTATGATGTGATTCCCTGTTGGCTGGTATGGGAGAAGCTGCAGCATAGGGAAGTAGTTGTAATTACCCTGGTCAACTAGGAGATCACTTGCTCCAACATTTACAGTTCTATAAAGCATGTCATTTCTAGTACTCTAAATAAGTGAACTAAAGCAAACTCGTAATGTTCAAGGTTGTTTAAGGAGTTGTAGCCCAAATACTCATGAAGGAATAAAAAGAAGGAAGTTAATAAGAAAACTATTATCATCAACAACCTAAGTATTACGCAAAAGCATGGATTAACTCCTAATACCTTTCTTTCCTTAATGACAACTGACACTATAGCAGTACTTCTGGCAGAAGTGTGTTTCCCTACTCATTATGTTCTACTTTTCCCTACTTTATGGTATATTTCGAGCTGTAGCTAGTGGTGCATTTCTTGTTGCTGTTGTTGTTGTTGTTGTTGTTTCAGCAAGACACTCAGCATCTTCTGGGGGCCTCCATATAAACCTCTGCCCATTTCAGAAACTCAAATGAGAATAGTAAAAGACCACCATCTCTTTGCTCTTTCAAAATGAATGCCCTTTATGTGTCAAACACTGTGCTATCTGGTTTGGGACATAGATGGAAATAAAACAAGAGTCTCACTCTTGATTATTTCTAGTGAGTGTAATATCCATAAGAATAATTACAATGATATGCTATAATGAAAAGTTTGAAGTTTGCACACCTTGTAATGGGAATATAAAGAAGGAATACCTAGCACAGCAGGTAAATGCAGAGAGGTTCTTCAGGGAAAACTGAAACAAAGGCTTACAATATAAAGACAAGTTAGACAACCTACCCAAAGAAAGAGAAAGATATCACTCCAGGCAGAAGGTACTAGGTGAGCACAGAAACAGAATGGTGTTTATGGGAAAGCAGGAGAAGGTGAGCTACTAATACCTAAAATGCAAGTGGCCAGTTTAAGTAATTATGTTAAAACAGAAAGTGAAACGATTTGAAGTCTTGTGTATAGTATGTAAAGTTCCATGACAATTTAAGTAGCACTGTGCCATGGTCTATGTGACATGAGAGTGAATTAGCTGGCATGGAGAGGACAGATATAAGAGGACAGTTAGGAGTCTATTGCCTTCCTTCATAGGGCTTCAAGTTTGTGGATTTATCTGATTTCCTTTTCTCTTTTTTTGACAGAGGGAAAACTTTCAAAATAAAGCTGTATCCTACAGGTACCAAGCCTGCCTCATTCTTAAACATGTGTTTGTTTTTGTAACTTCTTTGGAGCAGGAAGAAAATTATAGTTTTTTTTCCAAACACTGCCATACATCCATCTCCCTTCTCCCTTCCAACTCCACTGTTCAATCTGTTTCCATAACACTTCTTCACAACAAACTTTAATAGAGGACACCCTCTCTTAAATTGGGCTCTGCTATATTGTTTCATTCAAGAACATCTAATGTGTATCTTTAAGTGTAACTCAAACATTCAGCTTTTTTAGAAATGAGTCTTTTATTCTTGAAATTTCATGCATGATCTTAGAATTATTAAATGATAATCAACAATGACTTGCATTTGGTAAACACTACTTATTGTTTAAAAACATTTACATGTCTTCCATATTTAGTTTTTAATTTTAATTATTGGTATGTCCAAAACCAGCCTTGCTACTCCCCCTCAGGTTTCTCAGTAGCAGCTGGGTAGTACCCATTTCAGAGACCAAAGTAGCATTTTCATAAGGCTACTTGTGCTTCTCAACTCTATATGGCCTCATCTACAAGCTACTAGGTTGTTATAATATCAACTGTTTTTCTTTATTTTATCTAACATGGTAAAGGTAGGTAGTGGGGCAGGATGCAGCTACCTAACATAAACAGCAGTTACTATTTATAATAGTGTTTACTTTTTACTTTTCCAATTTCCACACTCATTTACCAATCTCTTGTATTAAATTATCTATGTTGAAATATCTAATTTTTCTATTTTTCTTTATGAACTCTAATACACTACATGATTTAGTCTAAGCCCAAAGTTTTTTCTTACCCAAGTGTCATGGAGACAACCATGCAGTCTTTCAAATTTGAAACTGAGAAAAAGAATCATAGCTGAAAACTCATAGCTTCATTGAAACTCTCTCAGGTTGCAGGACTCCTATAAATAGCATGTTAATTCTTGATCCTATCATTTATATCTTACTATGTGCTGGCCACTGTTCTTATACTTTATATATATTATTAGTTTATTTAATTTTTGCAGTAAATCTATCTTTTTGATAGGATTATTTTTATCCTCATTTCAAAGATGAAGAAACTGAGGAACAAATAAAATAAATATCTTGGGTTATCCATCAGAGCTGGGATTTGAATCCATCCAGATTGACTGTTAAACTCACCTAACACCAAAGATTGCCATAGTTTTTCTGTAAGAGACCATATCATAAATATTTTTGGTTTTATGTTCAATACAATCTCTGCTGCGGCTACTTGACTATGCTTTTGTAGCCGAAAGATAGCCATAGACAAAATATAAAAGAATGGGCATAATTAGCTTCCAATGAAACTTTACTAAAATAGATGGTAGGTAGGATTTGTTCTACAGATCATAGTTTGCTGACCCTAAACTACTATGTTGTCTTGATCAACAGAAATTTCCAGACTGTCATTCGACACAGTTGTTTATTACAATAGCAGTCCAGTAAGGTAAGGTTATATTCCCTTTGATTGATAAGGTTTTATTTTCTTTTTTCCTAAAATTACTTTATATCTGTTAGGACTCCTTTTTCTCTGTACATACAAACATCCAGAGATATCCCAGATATACCTTGGGTGTTGCTGCCAATGTTTGCATTTTCAAAATCTGTATCTTATTAAATACATCTAGAAACGATATTTTCATAGATAATTTTTTGTTGTTGTTTTCCTTTGAAGCATTTATCCTTTCAGTTACAAACAATCCAATTATACTCTTTTTTGTTATTTTAAAACGTACAATTAAGTTCTTATTGACTATAGTCACCTATTGTGCTATCAAATAGTAGGTCTTACTCATTCTTTCTACTTTTTGGGACCCAGTAAGCATACTCACCTCCACGTCAGCCACCCCACTACCCTTGCCAACCTCTGGTAACAATCCTTCTACTCCCTATGTTAATGAGTTCAATTGTTTTGATTTTTAGATCCCAAAAACAACTGACAACATGTGATGCTCATCTTTCTGTGCCTGGCTTACTTCACTTAAGATAATGATCTCCATTTCCATCCACGTTGTTGCAAATGACTGGATTTCATTCTTTTCTGTGTCTGAATAGAAATGTATATACGTACCACGTCTTCTGTATTTATTCATCTGTTGATGGACACTTAGGCTGCTTCCAAATCGTGGCTATTGTAAACAGTGCTGCAACAAACATAGGAGTGCAAATATCTTTTTGATATATTGATTTCCTTTCCATTAGGTATATAGCCAGAAGTGGGATTGCTATATCATAAGGTACCTCAATTTTTAGGTTTTTAAGGAACCTCCAAGTTGTTCACCATACTGGTTGTACTAATTTACATTCCTACCAACAATGTACAAGGAGTTCCCTTCTGCACATCCTCACCAGCATTTGTGATAGCCTATCTTTTGGATATAAGACATTTCAACTGGGATGAGATGATATCTCATTGTAGTTTTTATTTACACCTCTCTGATGATCAATCATGTTGAGCACATTTTCATATGCCTGTTTGCCATTTGTATGTCTTCTTTTGAGAAATGTCTATTGAAATAATTTGCCAATTTTTGGAATGGATTATTACATTTTTTTCCTATAGAGTTGTCTGAACTCTTTATATATTGTGATTATTAATCCTTTGTCAGATGGGTAGCTTGCAAATATTTTCTCCCATTCTGTGGGCTCTTCACTTTTGATTGTATCCCAGTATGCAGAAGCTTTTTAACTCGATGTTAAAAACAGCTATATGCCCATTCTTTTTTAATTTGATGTGATCCCATTTGTCCATGTTAGCTTTGGTTGCCTGTGCTTGTGGATTATTGCTCAAGAAATCTTTGCCCAGACCAATGTCCTGAAGATGTTGTCTGAATGGTTTCTTGTAGTAGTTTCATAGTTAGAGCTCTTAGATTTATGACTTTAATCAATTTTTATTTGATTTTTGTATATGATGAGAGATAGGGGTCCAGTTTCATTCTTCTGCATGTACATCCAGTTTCCCCAGCACTATCTATTGAAGAGACTGTCTTTTCCCCAGTGTATGTTCTTGGCATTTTGTCAAAAACGAATTTACTGTGGGTGTATGGATTTGTTTCTAGGTTCTCTATTCTGTTTCATTTGTCTGTGTGTCTTTTTTTTTTTTGCTTGCATAATGTTTTGGTTACAATAGCTCTGTAGTATAATTTGAAGTCAGGTAAAACGATTCCTCCAGTTTTGTTATTTTGCTTAGTACAGCTTTGGCTATTCTTGGTCTTTTGTAGTTCCGTATCAATTTTAGAATTGTTTTTTCTATTTCTGTGAAGAATATCATTGGTATTTTGATAGAGGTTGCTTTGAATCTGTAGATTTGTTTGGGTGGTGTGGACGTTTTATCAATATGAATGCTTCTAGTACATGAACATGAAATACTTTTTCATTTTTGGGGTGTCTCTTCAATTTCTTTTATCAGTGTTTTATAGTTTTTATTATAGAGATCTTTTACTTCTTTGGTTAATTCCCAGATACATTATTTTATTTGTAGATATTATAAATAGGGTTATTTTCTTGCTTTATTTTTCAGATTGTTAACTGCTGGCATATATAAATGCTATGATTTTTGTATGTTGATTTGTATTCTGCAACTTTACTGAATTTTTTTATCAATTTCAAAAGTTTTATTGTGGAGACTTTAGGCTTTTCCAAATATAAGATCTCATCATCCGCAAACAAGGGTAGTTTGACTTTTCTTTTCTAATTTGAATGCCTATTATATTTTTCCCTTTTCCAATTGTTATGCTGTATCACATTGATTGATTTCCATGTGTTGAACCATTGTTGCATCCCAGGGGTAAAGCCCACTTGGTCATGATGAGTGATCTTTCTAATGTATTACTAAATTTGGTTTGTTGATATTTCGTTGAAAATTTTTGCATCAATATTCATCAGAGATATTGGCGTGTAGTTTCTGTTTTGTTTTGATGTGCCTTTGTCTGGTTTTGGTATCAGGGTAATACTTGCCTCATAGAATATGTTTGGAAGTGAAGTATTTCCTCCATGTCTATTTTTCAGAATAGTTTGAATAAGATTAATATTAGTTCTTTAAACATTGGGTAGAATTCAGCAGTGAAACCATTATGTCCTGGGCCTTTCTTTACTGGGAGGCTTTTTTTAATCACTTTGATCTCATTACTTGTTATCAGTCTGTTCAGGTTTTTGGATTTCTTCCTGGTACGATCTTGGTACGTTGTATATATCTTGGAATTTGTTCATTTATTCTAGATTTTCCAATTTATTGGCATATAGTTGTTCATAGTAGCCACTCATGATCCTTTGGTTTTCTGCAGTATCAGCTGTAATGTATCCTTTTTCATTTCTGATTTTATTCATTTAGATCATCTCTTTTTTTTCTGTTATTCTGGCTAGGGGTTTGTCAATTTTATCTTTTCAAAAAAGCCAAATTTTTATTTCATTTATCTTTTGTGCTTTTTTCATTTCAATTTCATTTATATTTACTCTGATCTTTATTTTTCCTTTCTTCTACTAATTTTGGGTTTCATTTGTTCTTGCTTTTCTAGTTCTTTAAGCTGCATCATTAGATTGTTCATTTGAAGTTTTTCTTCTTTCTTGATGTAGGCCCTTATAGCCTACACTTATAAACTTCCCTGTTAGTGCTGCTTTTGCTGTATCCCACAGGTTTGGTATGCTGTGCTTCCATTTGTTCCAAGAAATTTTTAAATTTCATTCTTAATTTCTTCAGGTCTTGACCCAATGGTCTTTTAGTAAGATAGTGTTTAATTTCCATGTATTAGTATAGTTTCCAAAATTCCTCTTGTTATTAATTTCTAGTTTTAATTGTAGTCAGAGAAGATGCTTGATATTATTTCAATATTTTTGGAATATTTTAAGACATATTTTGTGACCTAACATATGGTCTATCCTTGAGACTAATCCATGTACTGAGGATTGGAATTTGTATTCTTCAGCTCTTGGATAAAATGTCCTGTAAATACCCATTAGACTCATTTGTTCTATAGCGCAAATTAAGTCTGTTGTTTCTTTGTTAATTTTCTGTCTGGAAGATTGGTTCATTGCTGAAAGTGGGGTGTTGAAGTCACCAGCTATTATTGAATTGGACCCTGTCCCTCTCTTTAGCTCTAATAATATTTATTTTAAATTTCTGGGTCCTCCAGTGTTGGTTGCATATATATTTAAAATTGTTAGATCTTCTTGTTGAATTGATCCCTTTATCATTATACAGTGACCTTTGTCTCTCCTTACAGTTTTTGTCTTCAAAACTATTTTGTCTGATATAAGTACAGCAATTCCTGCTATTTTTTGGTTTCCATTAGCATGGAATATCTTCTTTCATCCTTTTATTTTCAGTTTATATGTGTCTTTATAGGTGAAGTGTGCTTCTTGTATGCAACAAATCAATGGGTCTTGCTTTTTCATTCATTAGGCGAGTCTATGACTTTTGGTTGGACAGTTTAGTTCATCTACCTTCAATGTTATTACTGATAAGTAAGGAATTACTCCTGCCTTTTTGTTATTTGTTTTGTGGTTGTTTTATGGTCTTTTTTTCTTTCCTTTCTTCCTCTATTGAAGGTATTTTTTCTGGTGATATAATTTAACTTTTTCCTTTTAATTTTTTTTCCATCCATTATATGATTTTTTTGGTTTGAGGTTACCCTGAGGCTTGCAAATACTGTCTTATAACCCATTATTTTAACCAGATAACAACTTAACACTTTTTGCAGAGACAAACACACAAGCAAAAGGAAAACTAATAAAAACAATATTCCTTAATATTGTCCCACCACTTTTTAACTTTTTGTTGTTTCTATTTATGTTTTATTGTACTGTCTGTGTCTTGAAAAGTTGTTGTACTTATTATTTTTGATTGGTTCATCTTTTAGTCTTTGTACTTAAGTGTAGTTTAAATACCATGATATGGTTTGGCTGTGGCCCCTCCCAAATCTCATCTTAAACTGTAGTTCCCATAATCTCCATGTGTCCTAGGAGGGACCCAGTGGGAGGTAATTGAATCATAGAAGCATTTACTCACATGCTGTTCTCGTGATATTGAGTGACTTCTCATGAGATTTGATGGTCTTATCGAGGACTTTTCTCCCTTTGGCACTTCTCCTTCCTGCCACATTGTAAAGATGTCTTTCTTCTCCTTTGCCTTCTGCCATGATTGTAAGTTTCCTGAGGCCTTTTCCAGCCATGCAGAACTGTGAGTCAATTAAACCTCTTTCCTTTATAAGTTATTCAGTCTTGAGTATTCCTTCATAGCAGCATGAGAATGCACTAATACACACCACAATCATATTGTTATAATATTCTGTGATTTTCTGTGACTTACTATTACCAGTGACTTTTCTATAATCAGATGATTTCTTGCTGCTCATTAATGTCTTTTTCTTTCTGATGGAAGAACTCCCTTCAGGATTTTTTTATAGAATGGGTCTAGTGTTGGTGAACTCGCTCAGATTTTGCTTCTCTGAGAAAGTTTTTATTTTCTTTTTATGCTTGAAGGATATTTTTGCTGAACAGACTATTCTAGAATATAAGGTTTTTGTCTCTTTTTTTTTCCTTCAGCACTTTAAGTATGTCATGTTACTCTCCCCTGGCCTGTAAGGTTTCCAGTGAAATGTCTGCCCCCAGATGTATTGGATCTCCATTGTATGTTATGTTTTTATTTTCTCTTGGTGCTTTTAGAAGCCTTTCTTTATCCTTGACCTTTGGAAGTTTGATTATTAAATGCCTTGAGGTAGCTGTCTTTGGATTAAATCTGCTTGGTGTTTATAACCTTCTTGTACTTAGTTGTTGATCTTTTCTTAGGTTTGGGGAGTTCTTGGCTGCTATCTTTCTGAATAAACCTTCTACTCCTATCTCTTATTCTACAACTTCTTTAAGGACATTAACTCTTAGATTTGCCCTTTTGAGGCTATTTTCTGGATCCTGCAGACATGTTTCATTTGTTTTATTCTTTATTTTTTTGTCTCCTTTCACTGTGTCTTTTCAAAGAGTCAGTCTTCAAACTTGCTAATTCTTCTGTTTGACCAATTCATCTGTTAAAGAACTCTGATGCATTCTTCAGTATGTCAATTCCATTTTTCAACTTTAGAATTTCTGCTTAATTCTTTTTTACTATTTCAATGTCTTTGTTAAATTTACCTGATAGAATGCTGAATTCCTTCTCTTTGTTCCCTTAAATTTCACTGAGTTTCCGCAACACAGCTATTTTGAATTCACTCTCTATGAAAGGTCAAATACCTCTGTTGCTTCAGGATTTGTCCCTAGTGCCTTACTTAGTTCTTTGGCGAGGTCATGTTTTCCTGGGTGATGTCGACGGTACTAGATGTTTTTCAGTGCCTGGGCATTGAAAGGTTAGCCACTGACTTGGCTTATTCATAGCCATTCTCCTTGAGAAGGCTTTCTAGATATTTCCAAGGACTTGGGTAAATGATCTAAGCTGTTTCTGCTTTAGAGGGAACCCCAAACACAGTAACACTGTGGTTTTTACAGACTCATAGACGTACTGCCTTGATGGTCTTGGACAAGATCAAGGACAATTCTCTGGATCACCAGGCAGAGACCCTTGTTCCCTTCCCTTATTTTCTCCCAAGCATACAGTCTCTCTCTCTGTTCTGAACAACCTAAACCTGGGTATGGAGTGATACAAGCACCCTGTGACCACCACCACTATGACTGCACTGGTTCATACCTGAGCAAGCACAGAGCTGAGTCTCGCCCAAGGCCTGCTGTAACCTCTCCCTGGCTACTGCCTATGTTTCCTCAAGTCTCTGGGGCTCTACAATTATTAGGTGGCAAAGCCAGCCAGGCCCGTGTAACTCTCTTCAGAGTGGCAAAATCCCCCAAGCTCCAGATGGGTACAGAAGTGTCATCTGGGAGTCAAGGACTAGAGTAAAAAACTATAGAATTCTACCTGGTGTTCTACTGTATTGCAGCTGAGCTGCCACTCAAACCACAAGACACAGTTCTTCTCTCCCATTTCCAAAAGCAGAGAAGCCTCACCCTGTAGCCACCACCACCCCAGGCTGCAAGGAGTACTGCCAGACTACCACTGATATTCCCTTAAGGCCCAGGGTCTCTTAAGTCAGCTTGT
Organism: Homo sapiens; assembly: GCF_000001405.40. Lineage (NCBI taxonomy): Eukaryota > Metazoa > Chordata > Mammalia > Primates > Hominidae > Homo > Homo sapiens. Next base: position 52,997,884 of record NC_000017.11, on the reverse strand, counting down.
CGTGCCTGGGACTCATGCTTCAGGGCAGTGGGCTTCCTTCTGGCCCAGGGTAGGTCCACAAATGCTGCCCAAGAGTCTAGTTCTGGAATCATGGACCCCAAGAGCCTGTTTGGTGATCTACCCCACTGTGGCTGTGCTGGCACCTAAGGTGCAAGACAAAGTCCCCTTTACTTTTCCCTCTGCTCTTCTCAAGCAGAAGGAGTTGTGCCCAGCTGGTAATGTGCTGAGTCTCACCTGAAGCCAGCATTTCTCAGAGGCTCACCCAAGACCCTCGATGTAGTGCCTGGGTATCGCTGCTGGGTATTCAAAGAGCCCAAGGGCTCTGTGGTTAGCAAGTTATGTATCCTGGCAGAACTGGGTTCCTTCTTTCAAGGCATGGGGTTCTCTTCTGGCCCAGGGTGTGCCTAGAAATGTCATCTGGGAGCTAGAGCCTGGAATGAGGGCCTCATAAATCTGACCAGTGCCTTATCCTCCTGTGGCTGAGCTTGTATCCTAAATACAAAACAAAGTCATCCTCCCCATTCTTCCCTCTCCACTCCTCAGGTGGATAGAACGGGTCTCTTTTGAAACCGGAGCTGTGCAGCTTGGGGTTAGGGAGGGGTGATGCCTGAACTGCCTTGGCTTCCCCAGCTCGTGTCTCAGTATGTCGCATGCCCCACAAACCACTGTCTCTAGGCTTCATGTCAGCACTAAGACTCACCTAAGAGTTGCGGCCCTTATAGCTTAGATTGCCTTTCAAGTTTACTTGAAGACACAGAGTGCCGTAGCCCTGGATGGTGAGGTTTGCAGACACTCAAGTTCTGACCACTGGGATAGGTGATCCCCCTTTGGATAGGGCTGGTTTAAAAGATCCCTCCATGGGCGGGTGTCAGCTGAGTATTGTCCAGTTTTCGTTTCTGCTGTAATAGTATGGCACTGATCTCCCTCCCCCAGAGTCCAGAAATGCATTCCACACCAGATCTCAATTCCAGGGCATGGTGGAAGTGGGGGCTTTGGTGATTCAGAACTGTTTCTATCTCTTCACTGCCTCTTTCAGCAATATGAAATTAAAACCTGGTATTATGAGTGCTCATCTTATTTTTAGTTCTTATGAAGGTGTTTTTTTCTCTGTGTAGATAGTTGTTAATTTGGTGGCCTTGAGTGGGGTGGCGATCAGTAAAGCTTTCTATTTGGCCATCATGCTTCACCTTCTCCTCCCATAGATAATTTATCTACCTATTTGTAACATAGCTTCACATTGGCTACAGACACCTAATGGCTATCTATAAATCTATGCTTGCATGTTTGTGTAGATCCTATGCTATGTTTAATTTTTATATGCATGGCATTGTCTTAATCGCAAGCCATTTAGGTCACGAAATGTTTTTTGTTTGAAATCCCTAACCCATGTTTCAAATGTCACTTTCCATAATGACAGGAGAATTCTCCCCAGACTCTGAAGGGAGCAGATATTAGTATTCTCTCTATAAATAATGATGATTTTTTTCTTTTTTCTATTTTACCTATTTTTTTTCCCACTGGACTTCAGGAACTGTGCTTTGTTTGTTTGTTTCTGCATTTTTTAAAACAAATTATGCACTAAAGTAGGAACCTATTATCTTCTTTTTCGGTAAAATACATCCACCGCATATTTAATCTTCAAAAGCATGTATTTATAATTCCAGACAAGCTAGCTTTTCTATGTAGTTGTTGGTTATGTGACTGAAGGGAAGTTGCAAGTGGTGCAATTTAGGATGATCTGTTTTTATTCATTACTGCATAATAGATGGCAGTTGGAGATTTCATATGGCCAACTCTGTTTTTGCATCCTAATCTTGCTAGACATTTGGTCTTCAAAGGCTGAAACAGAACCCATCACCAGAACTTTCCCTTCTGGATTACATAAGAATGTAGACATCTCTGGTAATAAATTTACTCTGACAGCTGCTAAAAAATTTACAAAGCTTGACAACATACTCTGAAAGCAAAGGAGAAAATCGAGACCTTGGTTGATTATTTACCTAAAACATTTATCTTTTGGGGAAACACAGAGAGAGAGAGAACATTCAAGAACGTGCATAAGAAGGCATTAAGATACTACTTTTTCTCCCACTTTGTGGCCTGTCTTTTAAGGTTTATTATAGGAGACATCTCTTTTTCATGAGGAAAAGTATAAATCACTTAGAAAAGCATGGGCTGCCTTTGGATTGCAATGCAAAGGCAATCCCTAATCATTTTCTTTAGGGAAAAATTTAAGTTTTTCCATGGAGACAGACAAAACTGAAGGAACCCCTTTGGCAATGATGTTTGCAGTCAATCTGGAGAGGCAAATGCATCAGCAAAAGTGAATTTCTAAGCATCTCTCTAGTGTTACAAACAGATTAGCTCTCACAGTTACCTAGACAGATGTGAATCTGTCCCACTTGCGGTCTTAATGCTTCCCTGTTGCTAATGATGTTCCAAGGGTATCAGGAAATGGAAATAAATGGCTGGTGTGGTAGCTGCCTGGAGCTGCCTTAAGTGCCAGCCCTGCTGGGTGTCAATTGTTTGTTTGGTGGCTTTCAAAGTAAAGTGGAACATTGATTTGTTTAAACACTGCAATGTATTTGTATTTTTCATCCCCTCCCAAGCTATCATTTTCATCTCATTTAGAAGATGAGATCACACTGTATTTCATAGAGAACAGATGCCATTCAGTGACTTGAAATATGACAGACTGATCTGCAACAATTTTTTACCAACTTATCTCTCAGGAGCACTTTTACACTGATACTGTGGAGCTCCTGACTATGAGGGAAGGGGATAAGAAGATAGGATTCAAGAAAACATGGAGTATTTAGACAGATATATTGGCTAATTTTCTGATTCTTTCAGTAATAACTTTTCCAAATTGGTAGCCCTGGGAAATTATTATTTTTTCTACTGATTTCTTCCTTTCCTTCATTCTTTCTCTCCCACCCTTTCTCCCTGTCTCCTAATCCTCTCTTTCCTCTTCTTCCTCTAATATGGTTTGGGTATTTGTCCTCTCCAAATCTCACACTGAAATGTGATCTCCAATGTTGGAGGCAGGATCTCGTGGGAGGTGTTTGTGTCTTGTGGGCAGATCCTTCATGAATGGCTTGGTGCCGTCCCCTCAGTAATGAGTGAGTTCTGGCTCTATTAGTTTACATAGAGAGCTGGTTGATTTAAAAGAATGTGCCACCTCCCCCTTGACTCTCTTGTTCCCTCTCTCACCATGGGGCATGCCTCAGTTCTCCTTGCCTTCCACCCTAAGTAAAAGCTTCCTGATGTCCTGCCAGAAATGGATGCTGGCACCATGCTTCTTTTACAGTCTGCAGAGGTGTGAGTCAAATAGACCTCTTTTTTTTATATAAATTACCCAGCTTCAAGTATTCCTTTATAATAGTGTAAAATAGACTAACACATCCTCCACTTTTTCTCTTAATATTTCTCTTTAGCTAATCTTTAGCTAATCTAGTATCCAATCTCTCACAATATATTCATGATGAAGTATTCCAGAACAACAAACCCAGTCAGAACTTCAAGACTCCATACTTGAAGTCTAGGCACACAGACCAATGGAACAGAATAGGGAACCCGAATAAACTCAAATACAGCCAATTGATCTCCAACAAAGAAAACAAAAACATAAAGTAGGAAAAGGACACCCGATTCAGCAAATGGTGCTGGGATAATTGGCAAGCCACATGTAGGATAATGAAACTGCACTCTCATCTCTCACATTATGTAAAAATCAACTCAAGATGGATCCAGGATTTAAATCTAAGACCTGAAACTGTAAAAATTATAGAAGATAACATCGGAAAAACCTTTCTAGACTTTGGTTTAAGTAAGGCAAACACTTCATGACCAAGAACCCAAAAGCTAATGCAATAAAATAAGATAAATTGGTGGGACTTAATTAAACTAAAGAGCTTCTGCACGGCAAAAGGAACAGTCAGCAGAGTAAACAGACAACCCACAGAGTGGGAGAAAATCTACACATCCGACAAAGAATTAATATCCAGAGTCTACAAGGAACTCAAACAAATTAGCAAGAAAAAAAAAATTCCATCAAAAAGTGGGCTGAAGACAAATAGACAACCCTCAAAAAAAGACATACAAATGGCCAACAAACATATGAAAAAATGCTCAACATCACTAATGATCAGGGAAATGCAAATCAAAACCACAATGTGATACCACCTCAATCTTGCAAGAATGGCCATAATAAAAAAAAATAATAGATGTTGGCATGGATGTGGTAAAAAGGGAACACTTCTACATGGCTGGTGGGACTGTAAACTAGTACAACCACTATGGAAAACAGTGTGGAGATTCTTTAAAGAACTAAAAGTAAAACCACCATTCGATCCAGCAATCCCACTAGTAGGTATCTACCCAGAGAAAAAGACACTTGCACACACGTTTATAGAAGCAAAATTTGCAACTGCAAAAATATGGAGCCATCCCTAATTCCCATCAATCAATGAGTGCGTAAATAAATTGTGAGATATATATATGTGTGTATATATATATGTGTGTGTGTATATATATGTGTGTATATATATATGTGTGTATATATATGTGTGTATATATATGTGTGTATATATATATGTGTGTGTGTGTATATATATATATATATATGTATATATTCCATTATATACCATGGAATACTATTCAGCCAAAAAAGGAATAAATTAATGCCATTCATAGAAACCTGGATGGAACTGGAGACTATTATTCTAACTAAAATAACTCCAGAATATAAAATTAACATCGTATGTTCTCTCATAAGTGGGAGCTAACCTATGAGGATGCAAAGGCGTAAGAATTATACAATTGACTTTGGGGACTCAGGGGAACGTGTGGGAGGGGGTGAGGGATAAAAGACTACAAATTGGTTTCAGTGTATCCTGCTCAGGTGATGAGTGCACCAAAATCTCACAAATCACCACTAAAGAACTTACTCATGTAACCAAATATTATCTGTTTCCCAAAAACCTATGAAAATAAATTTTTTTTTAAAAAGACTCTTTGGGGCTCTCAACTTCATTCTCTGTCAAGCTTGCTTCTCTGCCTTATACATGGAGGAATTCTACTGTTCTACTACTACCAGACTGGCAGATTGGGACTTTGAGAATATTCCTTATGTAGCTGAGGCTACTTTCTTCATAGGGACCATGCCAGGCAGAGGTTTCATCTAGTCTTCTGTGCCAGAGGAATCCTGGCAGAAAAATAAAATAAAATAAAACTCCTTCTAGTAAGTTCTTCTTTGCCCCTTGTTTAATCTTAGACTTGAGTTCAAAAAAATTCCCGAAAGTTTTATCATATTCTTGAAATTATTATATTGAGTTTTGAAATTCAAAATATCATGAATTTTCGCTTCTCTTTGCTTCTCCATTAAAATCATTTTACTCTTCCATGAAGTATGATTGGTTGAGGAGAGTTCCCAAAGTGAAGGGAGAAGCATACCTAATTCTCATAATTTCATCATAAAACTCCCCATCCCCAACACCAACCCCTGATACAGGTTAATATCACAGCAAGTCTTTCCCTGAAGGGGTATCGGGGTAGAACATTTCTGTGTCTACCACAGAAAATTGATGAGAAATGCAGTGTAGTACATAAAATATTTTAAACTGCAATCCAAATCCCCACTGTTAAGAAGGAAAGCACTAAAGATAGCTAAGGAATAAGGTGATTCTAATGAGCATATATGAACTTTTGATTTTACCTTAAAATAAGGTAAATAAGTGCTATTGATACAATTAGCTAAGTGCCTTCATTTTAGAGTTTTGTTTCAGTAGAAGGGAAGGAAGTAAGAAGACTTTAAAGGATTGGTCAGTTTCAAATAAGTTCCCAATATTTGAAGGGCTGATTCTTATCCTTGGTATCAGGTATTTTTCCACTGCCTTTCTGAATATGATGCAGTAAGTATTTGCTTTCTCATCATATGTGTCACTGTCAATTAGACACCAACACCTACCAGTTTGAACAATGGAGACCTGAATTCAAATAAATTCTTGCCTTGACATATTCTGACTGCTTTGGCTCAGATACTTAAACTTTTCACCATCTGTTTCCTCATTTCCAACATTAGCAATCAGATCTATGCTATGGTGCTGTTATGAGGTTCAAATGAGATATTATTAAGGCCCAAGAAGCAAGCTCACCACTGCTAAGTATTGACCTCCATGTGCTATGTCCAACCCTCCCCTCTCAAGAGAGTAACATTTCATTGTTTACAGTGAGACCTTGAATCAAATTGTTTCACTTCTCAGGAAGTATAGGTGTGCACTGTGCTGGGTGGGACATGATGTCACTATGTTGAAAAAACCTCACTCATAAGCAGGGAGTAAGACCCAACTCCATGTGGTGCCCTGCTGCCTATCAGAGCTGTATCCCTTCCTGCCCACTGCTGGAACAGACCCTTGACTCTTTTTTTTTTTTTTGAGACAGAGTTTCACTCTGTCGCCCAGGCTGGAGTGCAGTGGCGTGATCTCCACTCACTGCAATCTCTGCCTCCCAGGTTCACGCCATTCTCCTGCCTCAGCCTCCCGAGTAGCTGGGACTACAGGCGCCCACCACCGCACCCTCCACCACGCCCAGCTAACTTAGACCCTTGACCCTTAACTCCTGATTGCTTTCCCAAAAGTCACAGAATGAAACAATTTGTACCCAACATGAATTTGAATACGTCCAGTGCTTTCTGCATGGCCTAAATTAGGACACGCTCTGCCTGGGATTTAGCCAGCATTTCTCCTTGTGTTGAAGTTGAAAAAAAACACCTAGGCCTGAGTGAGTGTGGTAAATGCAATATTAAATCAAAAACAAAAATGTGATTAGTTATGCAATATTTGCCACTATTTCACTTATACCTTTATTTCTGGAGATTAGAGGACTGGATGTTCATGTTTCCTTTTTTTAAAAAAAACAGTGCTATAGAAGTTAGCTTATGGTAGAGGTTTTATAATTACCAATGCTTGTTGATTAGTTGAACAGTTTCTTAGAATCTATCAAACATACCATTTGGTGTCTCCATTTACCAAAATATAATGCAAAAGAAAAATCTCTAAAGAGTTTTTTTTTCTTTCTGTTATGTTTTCAAATTTTCTGCATAAAAAAATGACTAACTCCCACAGTATCTTTTTTACTAGGCACAATGGGCTGTCCCCAAATCCAGAGTATATATGTTATCCTTCTGCAGGGAATTCATATGAATTCCCTGCATGGGAAAAGTCTCATAATCTTTCAAGCAAGCTACAAACTCCCAAAGACAGACTCACGTTTTGGGGCAGAAGGTAATAAATACATTTATTCAGATTAATTGCACTGACAGTCTAAACATGTAGAATCTGAAATAGAGAATGTTGTTTAAAGACAGGCTATCTTAGTAGTTTCTTGTCCATAGACTCCAAATTAATGGCAAACACAAGGTTACTCAGAAAGATACAGAAGAGTAATAATAAATGGATGAGGAGACTTTCTAATCCAACATTAGCTGACTCAAATTATGGGCCATTGACTAAATTTTTTTTTTTTTTTAAGGCAGAGCCTTGCTCTGTTGCCCAGGCGGGAGTGTAGTGGGGTGATCTCGACTCACTGCAACCTCTGCCCCCCGAGTCCAAGCAATTCTCCTGCCTCAGCCTCCCAAGTAGCTGGGACCACAGGCACAAGCCAACATGCCAGGCTGATTTTTGTATTTTTAGTAGAAACAGTGTTTCACCATGTTGGCCAGGCTGTTCTGGAACTCCTGGCCTCAGGTGATCCGCCCACCTCGGCCTCCCAAAGAGCTGAAATTACAGGCGTCAGCCACCATGCCTGGCCTAAAATTCTTAACTAAAGTGTGTTTCCTTCAAGTAAAATTACTTTCACATAGTTTAATAGATACCATTAGACTTTAGACTTTGAATTGAAAAGATTAGGTTTTAAATTCCAGTAAGGTCACAAATGATCAAAACATTCTGGGAAAGTTTTCCTGAGCTTATTTTCCTAATTTAGTGTCTACCCTATCACCTGGCACAGAATGTGTTTAATATTTTTTACATCCTTCTCTTTATATTACCTATTTACTACCTTAAATTCCTGCTATTGTGTGACATTTTCTGAGGAAATGCCCTTAAGAAGCTTACAAATAGATGTATGAAGTAACACTTAAATTCACAAAATAACCAAACTTGATTTACAAGCATAATTGTAATTAATATATAATATTTAGTAAGTTATATTTTTAAAAATAATAATACCAAAATCAAAATGATAATAAGCTCTGGATAAGAATCTGGAGACCATTCAGAGGGGAGGTTAATTTAAGCAAAACTTTGTGGTGAGTGTGGGCTTTGGTTCTTTGCAACGCATATGATAGAGGAAGTTTAAAGGACTGATTGCATAAATCATATAGCAATGAGTGAGAAAATTATGAGAAAGTGAATAAACTCCATCTGGCAGAAGATATAAGAATCATAGAGAAAAGGTTGCATAAGGCTGGCAGTGATAGTTGGAAGAGAAACTGGAGTATGAAGGTGAATAGTATAACTATGAATAGAAGTTCCAAAGGCTTTACACTAATTGGAGCATTTGCCCAATCCAGGATCCCTTCTCTGGGAGGACTGGCCCCATCCATCCACCCATCATTGGTGTGAAACTATGGAAATTGTATTTATAAGATATGGCTTTGAACACCATTCCCCAACTTCCTTCTTCCCCTTACTTTTGGTAAAATATGGGAAATGAATACCTCATCTAAAATGGGCAGGCATAAGTTGGATGTCAGATGTCAACAATTCTAGGGGAAAAAAAGGAAGTTAGGAATATTCTAAACGGTTTGTTAGGCAACTAAACTGAGACCATGGAAAGTGCATGCTTAAAGTTATATAGTTTGAGCCATATGCACTTGAAAAAAGGATGAATATTCTTGGGAGGGAAGGCAAACTGGAGAAAGAAAGAGAAAACACAAAAGAAGATAATTTTTTTTAAAAAAAGAAAAGATATTATGAAGGATACACAGAGAGAAAAGATGAAAAATCATGGTTTTCTGGAAAAAACAGGAAAATAAATTCAGTTTCTGCCGTATGTCTGATCCCTGATGCAATTTTTTTCTAAATATTTCTCCTGATTTCTTCCTTTGGTTACTTTATTATACTTTATTATACCTTTGTATTGTTATATTGTATTTTTTTTCCTTTTTGTTTATTTTACTTGAAATAAGATTTTGTTGTCTGAAACCAAAAGAGTTTGGACTGAGGTAGAAGTAACAGGAGTATGTAGACTGGATAAAAATAAGGTTGGCCAAGGAAAAGTAAAACCAATTGGAAAACATTTGAGAGGGAAGAAATGAGGGAGTCAGGAAGACACCCGAACTAGAAAGTAAGGGATCAATTCAAAAAATACTATAAAGAAATGTACAGCAATAAGAAGTCAGTGATTATATGCGAAACTTCATAAAGACAAGTTGAAATTCACAAATGTGATTAAACAAGGTCATATTCAGTCTATAGTATGTACAATACCATAATATTGAATAATTAGATTAACCAATATAGGGAAGCCAGGATATTGTCCAAGTGATTTGATTTTGCAGGAATAATAAAGAATTTATTGGTGTTTTTATTAAATGTAAACTCAGTGAAGGTGGGGTTGTTTGTTTTTTTCATCACTATATAGTGGTGTTGTAAGACTTACTCCTCAGTTCAGCTAAAAGCTGGGTTCTTGTCACACAACCGTGAAAGATTAGGCTCACAGACACTTTGAAGGGTGAGAAGGGCAGGGTTTATTGGGTGAAAAGGAAACAAAAGGAAACAGGGACTCTCAGCAAAGAAATAGTCCTGCTAATATGCTTCCCGCCTCACAGATTGAATCTCAGTTTACCACCCCAGATCAGGAGAGGCCAGGCTCCTCCCCACTGCAAACAGCATGAACTTCCCAAGGCTCCACCCCAGTGTACACTCCTCCAAGTGTGCAGGCTGGTCAGAGTTTCTTTGGGGACCCCTTTATACTTGGCTGTCTTACTGGTGCTCAGAAAAATGCACAGTGGTTTATATTTGCTCAGCAAATATTTTTAAATAAAGTGTGGTTTTTTTTGTATGATAGCAGAACATTCACAATGACACGATGAGCAGGAAAAAAATAAATTATTTCATCCTCATTACTATATGAGCATTATGTTGGTGCTAGAAAAAATAAAATCAATGAAACATGGTAAACCTTGACAGAGGTTTACAGTCCTGGGAAAAAAAAGGCAAAGCTGAACGTACAGATACAAGGTTTATTGGCTCTTAAAACTTGAGAGTGGGAGGTTTTGGCAGAGAGTAACGGTTCAGCTTCATGGGAATTTTTGCTTTTAATACATACTCTGTTACCTTGCTCTACATCATCTAAACAGGTATCAACTGCACTTGTATTTTGTAGTTTGATATCTAATGCATAAGTCTGATATGAGCACCTTTTCCCATTTGTAGGATTCAGGCTCAGTACTTATGCATCATCAAGGTGCATCACCTCCATCTGTAACAGCTGGCAACATTAAGTATCTGGTAATTTCCAGGAGCTCCTCTCAGAGGTGTAGCTCACCTTGCAAAGGATCTAAAACATAAACAAGACGACACTGAGCAAAAGGGATGGTGGATCCAGTTCCAGTGAGAAGGCCATCTGTCATGGAAAATGATAGAGTCGTAATTGAGGGGAGCCCATGTCGCCAATGAGAGAATCACATTAAACAGCAAGAATAAAGGGAAAAGGACAAAATGAAAGAGGAGAATGAGCTGAGAGGATTCTAGTCATGATGGTATCACAGTTAGAGAAGAGCAGGTTAAAACGATCAATTCAGATAAAAAATATTCAATGGTGAAGTCATACTTGCACTCAACATGAATGCAGTGCTGTTTGTTGTATAGACACAGCATAATGGAGCTCTGTATGGCGAAACATATGATGTCATCCATAAAAATTGACCAGGTTACTCTATAGATATGTCTATATTCATGTATTCAATAATTATTCATCAAATGCATAATATATGCAAGACATTTTTCTGAGAGCTGTGGAGAATTAATTATCAATCTAACAAAACTCTGCCTCTGAAGTAGAAATTATCAAAGTTTATAAAAAAGACACACTCACATTAGTTTGAAATTTTCCGAATAAATTTCTTTTGTACTCTGGGAAGATCTTACTTAAAGCAAATTCATCTGTAAAGAATGGAGAAGCTTCTGTTCTACCATTGCCAAGGAAAATTCCAGTTAGTATGAATGAGGGCCCCAATCTCATATCTGTGCACAAGAAAGAGGAAAGGAAAGAATGGAGAGGTCAGAAAACAGTGGTGTGGAAATTAAAATCCTCATTTAAAAAATCTAAGAAGAACATGAGGGAAGCAATTACTCTGCATGTTTCCCAGCTGATTCACAGGAGATTCATGATTAGAGTTGGCCAGAGGAGGTGAAGGCATGGACTCTGTTGTGCCTCTTCCTGGAATTAGATGATATGGATGAGCAGTTCTCCCCTTGATGGAGTCCACATCATTTCCCCTGCCGTCCCTCTCGCTGGAAATGTCCCCCAGCTAACACAGGGCTTGCTCTGCTGTGGCTGCAAAGCTGAGCTGCTGGCAGGGGGCAGATTGCTTTCCACAGAGGAGACCAGATATGGTTTCTTTGCTGCTAACCTGGTAGCTACACAGGCAGCAACTCCTTTGGAAGAGACTCCACCCTAAACCCTTTAAGGCTGGGCGAAAGATTAATGCTGCAGCTTAAAGTCAAAGAAATTCCAAGCTCCTTGCTCCAGAGCAGATTAAGTCAGTAGGAGATCCAAATAATGAGAGCCCCGAGGAACTATTCTGAAAATCAGAAGAAACTGAAAGAAAAACTTAAAATAACATCTCTTTTAAAGGAAAAGAAAAACAACAGGGAGGTTTAATAAATTTATATGGCCTCTCACTGGATTGTAAACATTTGAGATGATAAGTAAACAGAAGAGGGAATGGTGCAAAAGAGGAAAAAAATAGATGGTTCTTACAACTCTGCAGCATCTGCCAACCCAAACTACAGTGCAGACCAGACTGGTGAATTTCTCTGGGGACTTCCCAGGGTGTGAAAGAAGGGAAATGGGGAAATAATAAGACCTGAGTTTCAAGGGAAAGAAAGAAAAAAATTAAATCTCTAAAAGTTTGCTTTTCTAGTCCCTGAATTACCATCAGCAAATGCTACGAAGGTGGATTTAAGGGAAGTATACATGCTAGAGATGCCGTTGAAGAAGGGAGGAAGCAGTGCTTGACCATCTGAAGCTGAGGAGTTCTGAAGATCCTTATCCAACCTCAAACTTGCTGGTGCTCATGTCTCTGTGGTTCTGAAGTAGAACTAGCCTTCAATCTCAGTGTCATGCCTTTATTCATTTAGGCCTGGAGGGAGGACAGAAGAAGAACCTTGCCTCTGTAATTTGGACTTCCATTATTCTGTCACAATTGCTGCCTTGTTGTTTTGTGGGTTTTTTTTTTTTTAATCATTTTTTTTTTCTGGCAGTTGCACAAGAATGTCCAGGAACCATATGGCAGAATGAGTTTTCATTTCTGTGTTCTCCTTTATTCCAAGTTCAAAATGCTGCTCGTGAAACCTAATCATAGATCTTAAAAACCCTCCTTGTCTCTCTCATTTCTCCCTCTCACTACTGCCTAGGGATTTGGCTCAAGGAAACCTTGGCTAACAGTCAACTGAAAGTTGACTCTCAGATGGAAAGGCTGGGAAATATCAAAGACCTGCAAATGTTAGTTTGATTCACTTCAAGGTCATCACATCAACCAACATTTTATCAGCATCTGCAATTTCTAGATGTTTTGTAAAGTGTTGTGGGAATACAAAGATGATAAAAACATAGACATTTGCTCAACCAGGGGTAGTGGAAAGTGCAAAGACTGAAATCAGAGGAGAGTTGACCTGACTCTGCTGCTATAATTATGACTGTTTTCCCTCTAAATTCCCTTTTCTTAGAATACGGCCCCACTAGCAGTCCAGGGCAGCATGAGGGGCTCATATGAACAGACTTTTATTCTGTGATACTGCCGTATTCACTGATCCAACACCACAGGTTCTCAGCTCAAGGATGAGGTTGGGCAAGGGTGACCATATTCCATCTCTATACTATAAATTTAGGCTTGGCTTGGTGACTAAATGCCTTTAATCCATGCACTTTGGGAGGCTGAGGCAGGAAGACTGCTTGAGCCTAGGAGTTCAAGGCTGCAGTGAGCTATGATTGTGCCACTGCACTCCAGTCTGGATGACAGAGAGAAAATCTATCTCAAAATAATAAATAAATAAATTATAGGCTTACAATGTTAGGCTTTAGAATGTTAGATTTAGCACCAGAATTTGCTATGCTGAAGCAAAGCTAATGGAAAGCTAAGATTGAGAAGAATAAAAAATAAAATTATTGTAGAGAAAGCCAGTGTACACAGAAATGAATACAGCAAATATGCAGAGAGAAGCAAAAATATGTGACAACTGAGAGGGAATAAAACAAAGGGTCAGAGCGGGCAGAAGGCAGGGACAGAAGAGAGAAAAGTGACTAATGACTGACTAACATGAGACGTTGTATTTCTTGTAAAGTATCTTACGACATTTCTCATATTCTGAAGACCCTTCTTTTTAACTTTAGCTTATATATTTTTTGTCCTTTGAAACCAAATTAACATTAATTATAACAGATGTTGACTTGTGTGGTCTAGAACAGATCATACGATCTCTTGAGTTATAACTTGGTTAACTTTTAGGATAGTGACATATTGTTTCTTAATCCCAGAGTCAATGATGATACCTGAGACAATGCTGTGATGATTGGCATTTATCTGCTCAGTACATGGTCTCTGAATGGTAATCTCCAGCCAAGGCATTAGTGATGGAGAGTATGGAGGGATCTAATCATGAAGACAGTGAAGGCTCCGGGAACTCTGGGAAAGATAAAATGGCAGTGGCTATGGTGGAGAAGCACGGTAGGGAAGAAGCTTGGTGTGGCATGGTTTGGCTGGGGTGAAGGACTAAAGGTGGAAAACAGAAACAGAGTATGTCTGGTGATTTTATGACCATGTTTAGGGATTTGAATTTCAAGTTAGTTTTGGTTTTAATATCTTTAAGGCATATCCAGTTGATAAGGTATGTGTAGGGCTGGGGAGGTAGAAGGTAAGATTTATTAACACAAAGTCCCTCAATCTTTTACATTCATGTTAACCCAGTTCAAAATCCAGAGTGTTTTACTCTCTATAATTTGCATTTTAAAAAGATTGGGATTTTTTTCAAATATAAATTGATATTATACCTTCCAATCTATTTTTAAATATTATCTTCATCAATTAAGATAAGTCTAGTGAATTCTCCTGCCCCATAATCCTTCTCCTCATTTAAGGACAAGCACATTTGGAATGTCAGCCTTGTAGACAATGTTTACCCTACTCACTGCCAAAAGCAAGATGATTCTGAGATTTGTTGGAGTACAGTGTACTGTATATGTGTTATGTACAGTGCCTGGCACACAATAATAGCAGGCAGCAGTAAACAGCTGTATTTATAGCATTGTGTCCTAATGGAAACATCAATCCTGTTTTCTGAGGAAACTACTGAAAATCCTAACCATAGTATTGTCCTCTACTCAACTGCCAGACTGGCTTATAACTTATTCCTTCAAAAAGCTAGAAGCTAAATTCTCATGCCATACAGAGTACAACCTGGAGATGAAATTGTAAACCATTTCAAAGGTTCATTTAACATAGAAACAGGTATTTTCAGGTATCTAACCATCAATTTCAATGCTGGTTTCTGAGCAGTTCTCAGGTGTGATGAATAGGTGAGGTGGAGGTGTACCCCAGCATCTAGCTTTGTATTGGGAACATGATAAACAATTATAATATTTATTATTCAAGCATTTAACCAGTGGGATATCACAGTTAATACAGAATATACCAATTTGTGCAACAAGAGTTTCTTAAGCAAAAACAACCTTTAGGAGAATCTTTTTCTACATAATGTGTATGAAAAAATAATTTTGAATAAACTCTAGTGCTGTTTATATTTAGAAATAGAATCCTTTCCAACCACAAATTTTTAGTCTAATAATCAGACCAATAACTAGCTCTACTTTGTAGGGTTGACAGCTCATAAGGGGCTCCACTAAAAAGAGAAGAAGAGGAAGAAGAAGCAGAAGAAGAAGAGGAGGAGGAAGAGGAAGAGGGAAGAAGGAAGAAGGAAGGAAGAAGAAGGAAGAGGAGGAGGGGGAGGGGGAGGAGGAGGGGAAGGAGGAGAAAGGGGAGGAGAAGGAGGAGGGGGAGAAGGAGGAAGGGGGAAGGAGGAGGAAGGGGAAGAGGAGGAGGAGGAGGAGGAGGAAGGAGACTGATGACTTCATCTAAGTATCCTGCTTTTAAAAATCTCTAATATCTTTGCTTCTTTTTAATACAGGACTTCTAGCTCCATAATTTCAACTTCCACAGAGTAGATGGCTCCAGCTCAGGCTTTTTTCCTGAATTCTAGATTGCACATACATCAGCATTTCAGCATTATCGCTCATCTCATTTTCCTCCTTTATGTTCACATCCAAATCTGCATTTACTTTATTCTCTATAAAAAATTCAATAAATAAAAGGAGTTAATTTAGCACCACACCACGAATTAGAAAGATTCAGGCACTTACGCTAGAAATGTAAAATTCATATTTGTTTAATGTAGTCCAATTCTATTAGACCCCGTGTATTAAAAAAAAACTATCTTCTAAACACCTTTGTTTTATTATCTTCTTTCTACACCTTCCATGCCTTCTTTAATTTGGTTCCAGGCTGCTTTAATATCAGTTCACCTTTCATCATTCTTCACGGTCTATCTGTTAAAATGCCACAGAGTTTGTGTTCTGATATGTGCATCTGATCATGCCACTACCTAACTAAATAAAACCTCAATTGTATATAATGTTCAATCCAATGAATGTAAAACTCCTTAGAATAGCATTCAAGCTCCTTCACAGACAAAAGTCAGTGTAAGGCTCCTAGACTCTCTGTTCAATGAGGCTGTGTATTTTCTGTTTTGTTCACTGCTGTATTTCCACTGCCTAGGAACAGTGTCTAGCACATAGCACAGAGTCTCATGCTCAATAGCTATTTGCTACATGAATAAATACATTTTCCCTTACCTTTCCTCGTCTCTTCCTAGCTCATGATGTTGAATGTTTCTGACATGCCCTACTCCTACCCACCACCCTGTGCTCCCTGAGATATCCAGCTCACCCTGAAATCCCAGATGTAAATGTTAACAATTTATGTGGAATTTCTCCACCTTTTCGATAAACATTTACAAAACCTTTTTTTTGCTCCCAATATATTCTGTTTAGATATCTAGTATTCCATGTGATATATTTTACTATAAATATTTGTGTATATCTTCAGAGGCTATTTTATATATCTATGCACACCTAAATGCTAGTCAAAAGCTGAGTATATAAACATTATTCAGTAGATATTTGATAAACGAAAGAAGAAACATTCATGATTTTAGAGGTCTATGACAAATATGTATTTTTTAACCCCCCCAGTTTTTTGAACCTAAATATAAAAAGGTAGATGTTGTTCTTTAAACACAAAATATGGCTAAAAGACATTTAAAAATAGATACACACATTTTCAATAAAATATTTACATATTTTAACTACTGGATACCTTATGATAAATCTGGGCATATGTAGCATGTAGTGTTGACATTTAAGATAAATGCCAGGGAAATAAGAGTAATTCTAAATAAACTTTATTTTAATAGTTATTTTGTAAATGATTTATGTAGTTTTTGAAAAGTATTTCTTAAAAGAAAGAAGTAATGTGAAAGAAAGGAAGAAGTACAGAAAGACAAATAATGCTAATATTCTCAGATCATTCTATTCAATTTAGTTCAATCTAAACTATACCAGAAATGACACACATGGTACTGATAAAAAATAAAATTTAGCAGCCTATGTTCCTCTGACCAACTGTAAATTACCTTCTAACCTGAATAATGTTTGCTAGCACAAGTTGTACATTGTTGTAAATGACACTTAATAGATCTAGCTTTGCTCTGAAATGCAGGGTAAATGGAAGGAAAAATACTAACAGAACATAAGTGTCAAAAAAAAAATTGGGGCTCAACGGACTCTTGAATTCCCATCCACATGTGTAGACATTTACCTGCATGGGTCTCAGAATGCATCAGGCAACTCTATCATCTTTTCAATCAACGCAAATCACTGATAAGATAAAAAGTGTTAGTGTTCCTCCTTCTTTTTACAAGGAAAACAAATAGAGAAACATATTCCAACCCATTTCTTATACCTTCTCTTTCCTAATAGATTTTGCTGGACACGCTAAATAGACATCATGAGGTTTTGTTAGCTTACTTGGGATTGTTGATTAATTGGGACCAACTAATTGGAACTGATTATGCTTGGGTACTGGTATGGTAATGAGGATCACGCATTGAAAAACTTTATGTATTTGTTTTCTCTTTGCATGCACAACTGAATATCCCATTACAAAGAGAATTTTCATGCTGTCTCCACATAAGGATTTCTAATCAAGAGATACTTAATATCAAATTTATATTATTTCTTCACTCTGTCTTCTCTTTCCACTTCTTTCTTGTGCCTTTACCTGTTATATGGGCTAATTATTATTTTGACTCTTCTTGCCTCATTTAAGAGACAGCACCTGTGGTATTTATTTACTCTGTCTCTCTCTGTAAGATTCAAAACTAATTACTATACCTTTTGCAATTGTTTTCCCCTGCTGTTCAGACCACTCTGCCAATAGAGATAAGCATGAGAAAACGGAGAGCAACAATATCTCTTAGAGCTCTGGGAAAAAAGATGGTCTTAGATTGCTTAATGACTACCATGCTTCTCTTTTCTTCTACAATGGAGTTTTTACCTCTTTAAAGGGTTTTTTTTTTCTTGTGTCTTTTTACTTCTTAGGAATACCCCCTACATATGGTGTGATAAGCTGCCAGCCAATTTAAATTAATTTTGCTAAATTGAGGAGAAGTTCATGTCCCTATTTGAGACAACAGAATTTCTCCTCCATATCCCCAAAAATAACTTAGAAGAATGATTAGCACTGCAGTAGGTTCCCGTGGTATGTGCCACTCTTAGACTGTCACAGATGTTTGCTACTAATAGGA
Organism: Homo sapiens; assembly: GCF_000001405.40. Classification (NCBI taxonomy): domain Eukaryota; kingdom Metazoa; phylum Chordata; class Mammalia; order Primates; family Hominidae; genus Homo; species Homo sapiens. Next base: position 52,979,738 of record NC_000017.11, on the reverse strand, counting down.
TTTTGTGTTCCATGCCAAAATTTTTATGTGACTGTTATTTTTTATCATAAAATTATGACTAACCTATTTGGCTTGTATTTTTAAGAAATTAATTTCCTCCCAAATGAGAACCTTGGGGAAAATATTCTGGTAAATAAAATAATTCATTTCTTAAATGTCTCACTACATTGTTCTAAAAAATGATGCCACTATATTCAACTTGTAAATAAAATAACTCATTATCAACAAAAAGAATAATTTAAGTTAGAAACAGGTTTAAATATTGAAAGAAAAAGTATTGGTGCCATTATTAAATGTCTTCTAATGACTTCAAGAATTAGGTACTCTGACATTATATAGTAGGTAAAAAATAGAGTAAGAAAGTCACCAGGCAAAAACCTGGATTTGAAGGTGATAGAATATTTTGTAAAATAATCAGCACTAGTCTATGGACTTGCTTACAATTTTAGAGCTGCATACATTTAAGGAATTAATATACACTTCAGGACAGTTGTTATTCTTCCAAATCCTTTTTAACTTAGAATAGTTAGATCATCTTCCCTTGCTCAGCAAAAATAAAATAAGTCTTTTATTTTCTCCAGTTTAATGCTGTTGTAAAAATTTAAAGGGGAAAAATGCCATTAGGAATAACCAATTCTAGTTTCTTTCTGTTGGAACTTATAATCAAAGACTGAACAAAAATGTTTATTTTTGCCCTATAATAATAACTTTCATTTTTTAGCACTTTATAGCTTACAAAGAAATTTTATGTGGATTATCTTCTTTATTTCTTAAACAGCTTTAGAAAGTTGGTGGTCATTGATACAATTTTACAAAATGAAAAATAAAGCACCACATGACAAGATAGAGCTAGAGTGTTTGGCATGGTATCTAGACAATTTAAATAATGCACATATACACACCAGGAAAATTCACTCATACTGCTCAAGTCTGCTTTAATCTACTCAAGAAAGTAAGTTTTATGAAGTCATATGCTAATTTTCATGTGAAAACAGATGCTGCTGACTTCAGGTGTTGGCCAAAACAGAGTAATTGATACTGAACTTGGTTTCCTACTAAAAGCAGCTATAAAATTGAACAAAATATATAAAGCAACAGTATGCGGATACCTTGAGAAAGTAACACAGGTCTGTGACCCTTGAAGGAAGAAAGAAAAGTAAGGTGAGCCTATCAATCATATTAAAATTGCCTTGGCTTTTTCTTTGAACCCTTTGTCTAAAGTCAAGCAGGAAAGTGGACTAAAAGTGGAGAAGTTTTTGTGAGCTAAGGTGGCTGAAGCAAGAGTTCCAGGCTGCTGAGGCAAAGCAGCTAGAATTTGTAACACAGTATCCGAAAAGTTGGAATCTGTGTAAGAAGGCAACTCCACAAATATGTATGAGCATACACATAGTGAGATTATAAAAGACCTAGCATATAACACCTGCCAAAGAACTGACAGCTGAATAGTAGTATCATTGACTTAATCTTTTCATCTCAGTCAAGGTGTGGAGACCTCATTGAAGACACCACAAACTCAGTTAAGTCAGCAGAAAGTTCACAACTGAGGAATAAAAACAATGCAGTGGAGGAAGAGCATGTCTTAGAACTCTGTTCACATATAAAAGAGACTTAAACTGAAAATTAAACCAATTTTGATAGAAACAAAATAATGTTAATAATTTAATAACATCACAATCAACACCCTATATATCTTTTATCTGAACGTCCAGAAAACAACTATACATAATTAGACATTTAAATAGACAGGAAATGAAAAATAGTCAGAATTCAGAGAGTGGGATTTGTACATAGATCTTTAATACAGCTATTTTAAATGTATTCAAGAACTTCAAAACACAATTAAAATGAAACCATATATGAGAATATCAGCAATAGAAATTTGATAATTGAATTAAAACACCAAAGACACTAAAAGAAAACTGCAGGCCAATAACTCTCATGAACATAAATGCAAAAATTCTCAATAAAACATTAGAAAATTAATCCAACAATGTATATAAAACAGTATATACCACTACCAAGTGAGATTTATCACAAATATGCAAGACTGACCAACATTTAAAAATCCACTAATGCAACTCATCACATCAATAGGCTGAAAAAGAAAAATTACACGATCTTATCAATACACGCAGAAAAAGCATTTGACAAAATCGAACACCCATTCATGATAAAATATCTCAGTAAACTAGGAATAGAGGGGATCATCTTCAACGTGATAAAGAATAAATTCAAAAATCCTATAGCTAACATAAAAAGTAATGGTGATAAATGTGAAGCTTTCTCACTAAGATTAGTAACAAGGCAAGGGTGTCTCATATTATTTCTTTTCAACATCACACAGCAAGCACTAGCTGATGCAGTAAGACAAAAATGGGATAAAATATATACAGATGAAAAGGAAGAAATACAGTGGTCTTTGTTCACAGTTGGCACAATTGTCTATGCAGAAAATTTTTTAAAAATTTAAGAAAAATCTTCTGTAGCTAGTAAGCAGGTATAGCAAGGTTACAGAATTGAAGATTAATAAAAGAAAGTAAATTGCTTTCCTCTATACTAGCAATAAAAAAGTATAATTTTATTAAAAACAAAATTCCATTTACATTAGCACCCCCTAAAATTAAATACTTAGATACAGTCTTAAAAAATAGAAGATCTAAATAAGGAAACATAAAAATCTGATTAAAGATATAAAAGAATAACCAAATAAATGGAAAAATACTCCAGGTTCATGGAAAGACAATCCTGATACTGTCAAGATGTCAGTTCTTCCTCATTTTATCTATAGATTCAATGCAATCTCAATTAAAATTCCAGCAAGTTATTTTGTGGTTATTTGTGAACTGAATCCAAAGTTTATGTGGAGAAATAAAAGACTCAGAATAGCCATCACAATATTGAAAGACAAGAACAAAATGGAGGAATAACACTACTGGACTACAAGGCTTACTATAAAGCTACAGTAAACAAGACAATGTCGTATTGGTGAAAGATTAGACAAACAGACCAAAAGAACAGAACAGAGAGTTCAGAAATAGACTCACATGAATATAATCAACTAACCTGTGATAAAGGTGCAAAGAAAGTATTGTCAATGAATAATGCCAGAACAACTGGGCATCTACATGCAAAAAGAATGAATGAAGACATAGATATTACATCTCTTAGAAAAATTAGCTCAAAATGAACCAGAGATCTAAATGTAAAATGTAAAACTATAAAACCACTGGAAGATAACATAGAAGAAAACTTAGATAACCTTAAATATGGTGATGATTTTTAGGTACATCTCAAAGGTATAACCCATGAAAAAATTAATTGTTAAACAGAATTTCATAAAAGTTAAAAACTTCAGCTCTGCAAAATATATTAAGAGAATGAGAAGACAAGCCATAGGCAGGAAAAACATATTTGCTAAAGATACATCTGATAAAAATCTGTTATCTAAAATGGACAGGTAACTCTTGAAGCTTAACAATAAGATAATACATAATTCAATTTAAAAATGGTCCAAAGACTTTAACAGACAGCTCACTAAAAAATGCTACATAGGTAGGAAATATGCATATGAAAAGATGCTCCACTGATACAGCATCAGGTAATTGCAAGTTAAAACAATGAGTTACTGCTGTCTACCTATTAGAATGGCCAAAACATGGGACCCTGGACTGACCACACAATGTCAGTGAAGATGTGGAGCAGTAGGAACTCTCATTTATTGCTGATGAGAATGCAAAATGCCACGGCCACTTAGAAGGTATTTTGGTGTCTTGCAAAACTAAACATACTCTTACTATATGATCCAGCAATCACGTTCCTTTATATTTACCCAAAGGAATTGAAAATTTATGTCCACACAAGAACCTGCACATGGATGTTCATAGAAGTTTTATTTATTCAATTACAAAATCTTAGAAGCAACTAAAATCCTTTTCAATATGTGAATAGATGCAGTGTGGTACATCCAGATAATGGAATATTATTCAACACTAAAAAGAAATGAGCAGAGAAGAGGTCAGCAAGATGGCAGAATAGGAAGCTCCCCACTTGACCTCCTCCCAGAGATGCACAAGTAAAGAGCTGCACACAGGTCCATTTCCTCTAAGAAAAATTCAGGAGCTAGTTCAGTGACTCCTACACACTGCAACTAAAAAAGTATTCACATCAAAATGGGCAGGAAAAGCTGAGACATGCTTACGTCACAAAATCTACCCTGGTCACAGCACCTTAAAATTGGAGGGAACCCCAAACTCCAAGCTTCTCCCCGAGGAGAGAAGGGTTTAGACCACACATACAGCACCCTGACTTTTACAGCTCTCACTTAAGAGAAAGACTCCTAAATCACCCTAGGAGTGAATGTGGCTCAGCATCCATGAGTTTTTTCTAAAACAAGGAGAACAAAGTGGTTGCCTTAAACAGGTATGTAAGCACTCTCTACTAAATTCCTCTGGGCTCAGTGTAGAACAAGCAGGCAACAATGCCCACATCCTAGTTTCTCCCTGGAAGGAATCTGACTGTACACTTACTCAGCTGATGTCTCAGAATATGTCTTCTTACTAGCTGGCATCTGAGAATTGACATGACAGGTAATTAGTAAGAACTCTCCTACTCCCCACTGCCTGGAGCCTGAACATGCATGAGGCACTTCCTGGGCCTTTTCCCCACTGCTCACACTAGTGATAAAACGAAATCTCCAGCCTCTTCCTTGAAAGACTTTGTCCACACATTGAGCACTCCAAGTTTTATAGTTGCCATCAAATGGACTGGTTCTTAAATCAGCTACTTTTGAGAGCCAACTAGGTTCAGAATTTACAAGTCCCCCGTGACCAAATGAAAGAAAGAGGTGGTTTCAAACAGGCACAATTTTCCCTAGCTCAGTGCAGAGTAAGCAGGTCAAAATGCCCACTTTCCAGTATCTCCCAAGGATTGTGACTGCATATGTGATGGTTAATATTAAGTGTCAACTAGATTTGGTTGAAGGATGGAAAGTATTGTTTCTGGCTGTATCTGCATGTTTCTTGAATGTTGCCAGAAGAGATTAACATTTGAGTCAGTGAAATTGGAGAAGAAGACCCACACTCAGGAAGACCCACCCACAATGTGGGTGGGCACCATCGAATTGGCTGCCAGCGTGGCTAGAAAAAGCAGGCAGAGTAAGGTAGAAGAAGCTGACTTGCTGCATTTTCCAGCCTTCATCTTTATCCCATGCTGGATGCTTCCTGCCTTTGAACATCAGACTCCAAGTTCTTCAGCTTTTGGACTCTTGGACACAATCAAACTCTTTTTATTTGAGACAACATGGATGAACCTGGAGGGAATTATGTTAAGTAAAATAAGCCATGCTCAGAAAGGCAAGTACTGCATAATCTCACTTATATAGGAAGAGTAAAAAATTTGAACTTATGGAAGTACAACGGAGAACGGTGGTTATCAAAGCTGGGATAGGGAGATAGAGAGTGGGGAGATGTTAGTAAAAAAGAGAAAAACTTCATTTAGATAAGAGGAGTAAATTCAATCTATTGTACAACATAATGCCTAGAGTTAATAACAATGCATTGTATTCTTGAAACTTGCTAAAGAACAGCTTTTAAGTATTCTCACCACAAAAATAAGTGTGTGAGATAATGTATGTATTAATCAGCTCAATTCAGCCATTTCTCATGAAGAACTAGAATGTTCATGAATATCAAATAGAATGGGAGTTAACTGAATTAACTGAACCAACAGAAAACAGAAGTAATTTTTTAACTGTGTTTAAAATGCTGCTGATCCTTTATTTTTCAGAATCAAGGACACTTTTCTTTTGAGCTATATACAGCTTTTAGCAATTGAGTAAAGTATACTCCTGTGAACAAAATTTGGAGCATATTTGATTCTCTCTACCTGTTTTCTCCAAAACTGGAAACTGTGAGTATTCTTAATTTATGGCAATATAGTTATTTGCATAAGTGCAATAAGAATCTGTTTTCTTTTTTAACAGGATACAATTGGAGAAATTGATTATTTTACCAAGGCTTTAACTGGAATGGTATGCTTTCCTTTAAGGAATCAAACTTGACTTGTAAAGCCATTAAAAGTTCTGTGAAAAATTGGCCTCATACCTTGTCTGCAACAGTCCCTGTACAGGGTTTCTGACCCGGGGTAAGTAAAGAATGTCACTTTCCAACAGGTCCAGGAGCCCCAAGTTATCTTGGGACCCCAAGAGGAGAGGAATTTATTCAACTCTTAGGTATTTGAGGGTACAAACCCATGGCTGATCTTAGCTTTAAAAAGTCTTAGCTAAGATTCCTTCTATGGAACGGAGTTCCATCAAAGCCAATTTAAAAAGAGCCTCTGTGAAAAATAATTATTCTTGCTGCACTTTATACAAATAATCAGGCCAAGTATAATAAAGGAAATAACTCTTAACATGATTAGTCTTTAGTAAAAATGAGAAACTGGAGACAGAAATATTATTTTTCAAGAACTTTGGTAAACTTGTTATTAAATTCTAGTCTCATTAGTTGTTTTTAAGCTTGTTTCTACAATTTAGGCTAACCCTGCTTATTCCTGTGAACCAACCACTGATCTCTGACTGCTGCTCATGAGAAACAAGAGGGATATCACCTTTTGTCAAAACTTAAGAGTTGAGTGGACCTTACCATACTGATGCTTTCTGACTGAGCCCCTCTCTACCCTGAATGCAACAGACCCTCATAGTTAGGCTGGAATATCATCACCCCTATTCAGCCTGAAGAAGTTACAGAAGATGGATGTTTATCCCTCTGTAACCCTTAGAATTAAGGGTTCTCTTATAAAAGGGAGTGGGGAAATGTCAGGGGCATGTGAACCAGAGCAACTTCATCTTAAATAGGAGCTGGGTAAAATGAGGCTGAAACTTACTGGGCTGCATTCCCAGAGGGTTAAGGCATTCTAAGTCACAGGATGAGATAGGAGGTCAGCACAAAATACAGGCCATAAAGACCTTGCTGATAAAACAGGTTGCAGTAAAGAAGCTGGCCAAAACCCACCAAAACCAAAATGGTGACGAGAGTGACCTCTGGTTGTCCTCACTGCTACACTCCCACCAGCGCCATGATAGTTTACAAATGCCATGTCAACACCAGGAAGTTACCCTATATGTTCTAAATATGGGAGGCATGAATAATCCACCTCTTGTTTAGCATATCATCAAGAAATAGCCATAAAAATGGGCAACAAGCAGCACTCAGGGCTGCTCTGTCTATGGAGTAGCCATTCTTTTATTCCTTTACTTTCTTAATATTAGCTTGCTTTCAGTTTACATTGCAGACTCACCCTGAATTATTTCTTGCACAAGATCCAAGAACCCTCTCTTGGGGTCTGGATGAGGGCCCCTTTCCTGTAACATGAGTACTCACTTATTCAAAACTTATGGGGTTTTAGGGTATTTACTTATTTAAATTTGAAATGGATATTCACAATATTGAAAACAAATTTAATTGTACATTTAAAATCTACAGATTGCACCGTGTATAAATTTTATCTCAAATTGAAAAAATCTTTAAAAACATTGAATTTACATACTTCACTTTTCACAGTGGTGTGTGCTAGCAATTCTGTAAGTAATTTCCAAGTATTGAGTACAGTATTCTAGACTTCAGTTTAAAAGATTGAGGCTAATGAGAGCTCACTGGAAAAGGGGAATTAAAAAAAACTTAAGCGAGGAAATTAAATTATAGCCTGTAGCATAGAAATATTTTTATAATACATTTGTAACTGATTCTAGCTTTGTTTGCTTAGAAGACCTAGAAACATTGAAACACAAGGAACAATGAGTGCTCCTAACATCCAAATTTTGTTTTCTAAACACCATTCTCCGTTAAAAGAAACCAAGGCTCCATTATAATTCCATCCTGGAATGTCTCGTTGCACCAAAATGTTTTTAAGTAAGTCTTAAAAATTTATATAAGGGATAGATAGGAAAATAAAGTTTGTCTTCAGATATTTCAGGTATATATTCAGATTTCTTTTCATTTTTAAATTGGATTATTGGTTTATTTGTTATTATTTGAGTTACTTAAATATTCTGCTTATTAATTTCTTGTCACTTGAATAGTTGCAAATATTTTCTTCATTCTGTGGGGCATCTCTTCACTTTGTTGATTGCTCCCTTTAAAGTGGAGAAGCTTTTCAGCTGCATGTAATCCTATTTGTCGACATGTGCTTTGGTTGCCTGTGCTTTTGAGTTCTTTCACAAGAAGTCTTTGCCCAGACCAATATCCTGAAGCATTTCCTCAAAATTTTCTTCCAACAGTTTTACAGTTTTAGATTTACATGTAAGTTGTTAATCCATTTTGATTCCATTTTGGATGTGGTGAGGGATAGCAATCCTGTTTCATTTATCTTTGTATGGATATCCAGTTTATCAAAGCACCATTTGTTGAAGGAACTATCCTTTTCCCAGTGTATGTTCTTGGCTTCTTTGTCAAAGATGAGTTAACTCTAAATGTGGAGATTTATATCTGGGTTCTCTATTCTGTTTAACTCATCTATGTATCTTATTTTTATGCCAGTATCATGCTGTTTGGTTACTATATCCTTGTAGTATAATTTGAAGTTGGGTAATGTGATGCCTCCAGCTTTGTTCTTTTTGTTTATGACAGCTATAGCTATTCAGTGTCTTTTTTAGTCCCACATAAATTTTAGAATAATTTTTCCATTTCTCTGAAGAATTCCATTGGTATTTTGATAGGGATTACTTTAAATCTGTAGATCACTTTGGGTGAAATATTTCATATACATTATTTTAAAATGTCTGAACATTTTAACAATATTGATTCTTCCAATCCATGAACATGAGATATCTTTCCATTTTTAGTGTGTCCTCCTTTATTTCTTTAGTCAATGTTCCCTAGATTTCATTGTAGAAATCTTTCACTTCATTGGTTAAGTTTATTCCTAGATATTTCATTTTATTTGTAGTTACTGAAAATAAGATTACTTTGTTTTTCAGAGTGCCTGCTGTTGGAATATATAAATACCACTGACTTTTTTATGCTGATTTTCTATCTGAAACTTTACTGAATTCATTTATTAATTCTAATAGTTTTTTGGTAGAGTCTTCAGTTTTTCTAAATATAAGATCATATTGTCTGAAAACAGTGACAATTTTACTTCATATTCAATTCATATGTTCCTTATATCTTTCTCTTCCATAATTGCTCTGGCTAGGACTTTCACTACTATGTGAAGTAACAGTATTGAAAGGCAGCTTATTCCAGATCTTGTCTTAATCCCAATCTTAGAGAATAGCCTTTCTGTTTTTCTCTTTTCAGTATGATATTAGCTGTGGGTTTGTCATATGTGGCCTTTATCATATGGTCAACAGGTATATGAAAAACTGCTCAACATCACTAATCATCAGAAAAATGTAAATCAAAACAATGAACTATTATCTCACCCTAGTTAAGATGGCTTTTATACAAAAGAAAAAATAACAAAGATGTAGAGAAGGGGAACTCTCATATGCTGTTGATACATATCTAAATAAGCACAGCCACTACAGAAAGCAATATGCAAGTTTCTTAAAAAACTAAATAGAACTACTAAATAGTATGATCCAGCAATCCTACTGTTTGGTATATATCCAAAGAAAAGGAAATCTGTACTGAAGAGATATCTGCTCTCCCATGTTTACTGCAGCACTATTCACAATACTCAAAATATGAAATCAACATAGGTGTCCATCAATGGACGAATGAAAACAGAAAATGTGGTACATATGCAGAGTGAAATATTACTTGGCCATAAAATATGGATGGAACTGGATGAAATAAATGTTATTTGGCCATGAAATAAAGACGGAACTGTAACAACATGGATGGAACTGGAGGACATTATGTTAAGTGAAATAAATCAGGCACAGAAAGGCAAATATCACATGTTCTTACAATTTTGTGAAAGTTAAAAGTTGATCTCATGGTGGTAGAGTTTAGAATGATGATAGAAGCTGGGAAGGATAGTGAGGATGAAAGGATAAAGTAGAATTTGTTAATCTCTAAAAACTACAGCTAGATAGTAGAAATAAGATCTAGTGATCTGTAGCACAATAAGGTAGGTATAGTTAGCAACAATTTATTGTATATTTTAAAATATTTAGAGAAGTAGATTTAGAAATTTTCCAACACCAAAAATTATAAATGTTTGAGGTAATAGATATCCCAACTACCCCGATTTGTTCACTACATAATGTATGCTTCTACCAAATCATCAAATTTATTCCATAAATATGCACAACTATTATGTACACACACATAAATTAATGATTAAAAATACTAATCCCAGCAAAATAAGAAAGAAAAGTTTAAGCTGATACTGTAATATCTCCTTGCAACAAAAAGTAATCAAAAGAATAAAACAGCCAGCTTGAAGAAACTCCAACTGGTAAGCTCCAGGAAAATTTGAGCCTCAAAATAAATAATTATAGTAACAAATTTTAAGTAATTTAATAAAATGATAATTCACAGAAGCCCATACTTACATAAATAAATGGATTGATAAATAATTGGAGAAGGGAAATTTCTTCTTAAAGTGAAATACCAATGATAGAAAATAGATGAAGAACTTACAAAAGTATCAATGTGCGGTAAAGCTACTTAGTAAAAGTTTAATAAGAAACAGGATATTTACAGTTTCAAATTATTGCCCCATAAATTACTTATTAATTACAAAGGAAAATGCCAACTTGACATTGAAGAAACCTGGTAGACACTACTTGAATGAGATGATCAAAACTGACATCACTAATTTTGACAAACCAACATAAATTTTCTTTCCATATGGTACACTCAGAAGAACATACAATCACTTTTGTTAGCATCCCTGACAGTAACAAATTACTTAAATAAGACCATGAAAAAACATCAGATAAGATCAAATTGAGAGACATTTTACAAAATGTCTGGCCTAAACTCATCAAATAAATACGTCAAAGTGAAGAGAAACAAAGGCTAAAGAAATGTTTCAATTTACAGACTAAAGAGACATGATAAATTAATCCAAAGCGTGAATCTGTATTAGATCCTGGCCAGGAAAAACTAGTTCTAAAAAATATTATTGGGACAATTAAAAAAATCTGAATAAGGGCTATAAATTACATAGTATTGCATAAATATAAAATTTTCACATTTTAGTAACAGTATTGTTGTAATATAGAAAATGTGACCTGAAGTATTTTGATATAAAGGGGCACTATATCTCCAACTTGCTCTCAAATGCTCATACATAATTTATATGCATATTTAAAGAAAAAATGATAAAGGAAATAGGAAAAGTGTAAACTAATAGTGAATCTGAATAAATATTGTATATCAGAGCTCCCTGTACTATTCTTGACATGTTTCAATAAATTTGAAATAAGAAAAATTGCAAGCAAAATATATATGCTGCTAATTAAAGATAATTATCTTTATGTGTTAAAGGGCAAGATTTTCTACTTATTGATATCATGTTCTCAATATACACTACTGAGTATGCATATACAAACAACTTTAAAATGGGTTTTTATAATATAGACTTTTAACTCACGTGGTTACATATCTTAATAAATATGGCTAAATTACTGTGAATTAATTTATTTGGAATCTACCTATGTAGTTTCTAAGTAGGATGCTTTCAAGATGTATTTTTTTCCTAAGTAAATTGTGCCTTTTGTGATTAAAATCTAAAGATTCAAGGAATTTAAGAGATTGGCATTTAATTAAGCTTTCTAAATTAAAAAGAAAAATATCTTTCAACTTCACTGAATTAATAGATAATTTAAGATTTTTTCCAGAGGTAGAAGTGTGTGAATGAAAAGTGCTCATTGTATATTGAAATGGTGTGTTTTAAAATGCATACTTTACATTGTGAAATAAAGTTTAACAAGTTCTCTTGGGAGCATTGTGCTTGGAAAAGGAAATGTGATAGTTCTGACTTAATCCCCTTCACTAAACATAACTTTAAAACTTTTTCCCCCTTGAAATGTGACAGTTATACTGGAATTTTAATGTTGTAACAGGGTATGCTCCATCAATGATAGAATGATGCAAAATTTATAAAAGCATGATTTAATTTCAAATGCAAACTACTTTGATGAGGGTTCTATTGATTATTTGAGCTCAAGCCTGAATTTCGAGTACTACATGTATATAGAAATACAATTGACACATTCTAGATTGTTCTTATTAGGTTGCTTCTGACATAGTTACTTGTTTACATAAGAGTTCCTATCTCTTTTTTGGGGAGTTATTGTACATTTAGCCATGTAATCATGCTCAACATTAAAAGTTTCAGAAAGGAATAAAGAACAGAGAAAGCAAAAATAGGAGTTCATACAACAGAGTTCTCTTCTTGAATTGTCTAACTTATGTTCGATGGTTAAAGCAAACACTGGAAGAATGCCTGATTTGGATCTGAATGTATGTAGGGGAATATCAAAGACACTTATAAATATGGTGAGTAAGGAAATGTAAAGAGAAGTAAAGTGTCTATAGTATACATAATGGCATTCGCAGCAACCTGGATGGAGTTGGAGGCCATTATTCTAAGTGAAGTAACTCAAGGGTGGAAAACCAAACATCATATGTTCTCACTGATAAGTGGGAGTTAAAGCTATGATGATGCAAATGCCTAAGAATGATATAGCGGGCACCCAAATGTGATAATTCTTATTTTTAAAATTCTAACATAAGTGGCATGTTTTAGAACAAACATGCTATGCTGGTATGATATTTGTTCAAATGCTTGTACACAGTTTGTTGAATGGCTGTAAATGTGTTTTGGTGCACTGGGTGCTGTTTATATACTTATATTTCTGTACTTAGGAAATAAAAATATACCACATTATTTAAAAAAATGGTACTGGGATAACTGGCTAACCATATGCAGAAGATTGAAACTGGACCCTTTCCTTACCCCATATACAATAACTAAGATGGACTAAAGACTTAAATATAAAACCCAAAACTGTAAAAGCCCTAGAAGACAACATAGGCAATAGGCACAGTCAAAAGTTTCATGGCAAAGAAACCAAAAGCAAATGCAAAAAATGCTAAAGTTGACAAATGAGATCTAATTAAAGAAGTTCTGCACAGCAAAAGAAACTATCAACAGAGTAAACAGACAACATAGAGAATGGGAGAAAATTTTTACAAACTATGCATCTAACCAAGGTCTAATATCCAACATCTATAAGAAACTTAAATTTACAAGATAAAAACAAGCCCATTAAAAAGTGGGCTAAGGACATGAACAGACACTTTTCAAAAGAAGGGATACATGCAGCCAACAATCATATGAAAAAATGCTCAACATCACTGATCGTTAGAGAAATGCTAATGAAAACCACAATGAGATACCATGTCACACCAGTCAGAATGGCTATTAATACAAGTCAAAAAATAACAAATGCTGGCAGGGTTGTGGAGAAAAAGGAACATCTATACACTGTTAGAAGGAGTGTAAATTAGTTCAACCATTGTGGAAGACAGTGTGGCAATTCCTCAAAAACCTAAAGACAAAAATACCATTCAACCCAACAATCCCATTACTGGGTATATATCCAAAGCAATATAAATTGTTCTATTACAAAGACACATGCAGCGCCATTCACAATAGCAGAGACATGGAATCATCCTAAATGCCCATCAGTGAAAGACTGGATAAATAAAATGTGGTACATATATACAACGGAATACTATGCAGCCATACAAAAAGAACAAGATTATTTCCTTTGCAGGGACATGAAGCTGGAGGCCATTATCTTTACCAAACAGAGGAACAGAAAACCAAATATTGCATGTTCTCACTTATAAGTGGGAACTAAATAATGAGAACACATGGACACACAGGATAACAACACACACTGGAGCCTGCCGGAGAGTGGAGCATGGGAAGAGGAAGAGAATCAGAAGAAATATCTAATGGGTGCTAGGCTTAATACCTGGGTAATGAAATAATCTGTACAATAAATCCCCATGATAAAAGTTTACCTATGTAACAAACCTACACATGTACCATTGAACTTAAAATGATTTTTTAAAAAAGAAAGATAGCTGCAGACCAATATCTCAGGAATGGATATGCAAACATCCTTAAAGAATATTAACAAATAGGATTTAGCAACATATAGAAAGAATTATATATCCTAACAAAGTGGGTTTTTTACAGGAATACAAAGCTGGTAAACATTTTACAAAATTAATGCAATCTACATATTAACAAGCTAACAAGAAAAAAATAATTACACCAATCTACACAGAAATGCCATTTGAGAAAACTCAACATCGACTCATGATGAAAACTCTTAGAAATACAATACTAAGGAGGACTTCCTGAACTTGATAAAGATCATCTACAATGAGTGAACCAACAAAAAGACTAAAAAATTATATAGATTATATCATTCTTAACTATCTAAGACTGAATGCTTTCCCAATAAGATCCGAGCCAAAGTAAGTTTGTCTTCTCCAAACACTGTTACCCAGCACAGTGCTAGAATTTATAACTAGTGTATATAAACAAAAAAAAATAAAAATCTTACAGATCAGTTAGGAAGAAATGAATCTCTCCCTTTTTGCAGATGACAAAATTATCTACTTAGAAAACCCCCAAGATATTTACAAAACACATACATTTTTAAAACCCTAGAACTAAAATGTTAGGTTAGCAAAATGGCATGATACATGTAAATATACAAATATCCTTTATATATCTATATGTTATTGATGAACATATGAGCAACAAAATTAATAATACATTGCTACTTATGTTGCTCAAAAAATTAAATACTAAGATGTAAATCAAACAAAATATATGTAGTAACTGAATGCTGAAATCTACACAACCTTGACAAAAGTAAATAAAGATCTAAATAAACAGAGATGCATACAGTATGTCCTCATAAATGCTGTCTATAGGTTCTTGAAAACAGTGACTTTAAATGAACCAACATATAATAAAACCAATTTTCCCATAGGCTAACTGATACAAACAAAACAAGTTCCTGTGGCACATTTCAGGTCACAGGAAACATCACCAAGTTTTTAAATAAAGACCAAAACACCTCTGACATTAAACATTAAAATAAATTGAGTTATACAAATGTTTAAGAAAGATTAACAAAAACAAGTCAAAAAATATTTATTATTCAATTGTTCCAGGTCAGGGCCACAGGTCCCTGAAGCCTATACTAGCAGCTATATTGGGCATAAGGTAGGAACCAACCCTGGACAGGACACTATCTGGTCACAGGATGCACACACACACACACACACACACACACACACACACTCTCTCTCTCTCTCTCTCTCTCTCTCTCTCCAACTGGACAATTTAGACATTGCATTTTAACGTGCACATCTTTGAAATGTGAGATATAACCAGAATACCCAGACTTAAGGAGAACGTACAAACTCCACGCAGACAATAGCCCTGGCTGAGAATTGAATTTTTTTCTCATCAATATTATAATGAAACAATGTTCAAAGACATGTTATTCAAGGACCTTCTGTATAATGTTCTTAAATTTAATGACTCAATATTCTAAAGACTAATGTAATGATGTAATGTTTATCAAAATCAAAACAAGATATTTTGTAGATATTGATAATAATAACGCTTATATGGAAAAGCCAAAGAACTAGAATAGCAAAAATAAACTTTGAAAAACGAATAATATGAGAATAATCAGTCTAACTTATTTAAGAACTCATTATGTAGCTAGAGTAACCAAGACTTTGTTGTATTAATGAAGGGACACACAAATCAATAAAACAGAAGAGAGAATCAATAAAGAAGGCCACAAAAATGCGCCTAATTTTTGAAAAAAAGGTAGAAAATTAGACATCTACAAGGAAAAAAGGAAACAGCAATGGCTCGTCCTCACACTTTATACAAATGTTAATTAAATATGGATCACAGGTAAATTTATCAGTTAAACATACAACTTTTAGAAAAAACAGAAATTATTGTGTTCTAGGGCTGGGCAAATGTATCTTAGACTTGACACCAGATGATAATCCATAAAAGGAAATTTTAATACATTGGTCTTCATCAAACAGCAAGACAAAACTTATGCTCTGTGAAATACCCTGATACAGTTAACGAAAAGCAAAGTTACTTCCTGGGAAATAATATATCCAACAAAGCACTAGTATCTAAGATATATAAAGACCACTCAAAATGTAACAATAAAAACAAAACCAAATTCAATTAGAAAATGGAGAAAACTATTTTGAATAGTGCTGCAATAAACATATGTGTGAATGTGTCTTTATAGTAGAATGATTTATAATCCTTTGGGTATATACCCAGTAATGGGATTGCCGAGTCAAATGGTATTTCTGGTTCTAGATCCTTGAGGAATCGCCACACTGTTTTCCACAATGATTGAACTAATTTACACTCCCAACAGTGTAAAAGCATTCCTCTTTCTCCACATCCTCTCCAGCATCTGTTGTTTCCTGATTTTTTTAATAATCGCCATTCTAACTGGTGTGAGATGGTATCTGATTGTGGTTTTGATTTGCATTTCTGTAATGACCAGTGATAATGAGCTTTTTTTCATGTTTGTTGACTGCATAAACATCTTCTTTTGAAAAGAGTCTGTCATATCCTTCGCCCACTTTTTGAAGGGGTTGTTTCTTTTTTCTTATAAATTTGTTTAAGTTCCTTATAGATTCTAGTTATTAGCCTTTTGTCAGATGAATAGATTGCAAAAACTCTTCTCCCATTCTGTAGGTTGTCTGTTCACTCTGATGATATTTTCTTTTGCTGTGCACAACCTCTTTAGTTTAATTACATCCCATTTGTCAGTTTCGGCTTTTGTTGCCATTGCTTTTGGTGTTTTGTCATGAAGTTTTTGCCCATGCCTATGTCCTGAACGGCACTGACTAGGTTTTCTTCTAGGGTTTTTATGGTTTTGGGTTTTATGTTTAAGTCTTTAATCCATCTTGAGTTAATTTTGTATAAGGTGTAAGGAAAGGGTCCAGTTTCAGTTTTCTGCATGTGGCTGGCCAGCTTTCCCCACACCATTTATTAGTTGAACAATGAGAACACACGGACACAGGGAGGGGAATATCACACATCATGGCCTGTCAGGGAGTGGGGGACTAGGGGAGGGATAGCATTAGGAGAAATACCTAATGTAGATGATGGGTTGATGGGTGCAGCAAACCACCATGGCACGTGTATACCTATGTAACAAACCTGCACGTTCTGCACATGTATCCTATAACGTAAAGTATAATAAAAAAAAAAAAGAAGAAAGAAAATTAGCGAAGCGCAGGAAGGGATATTTCACTGAAGAAGATACACATAGGGCAAATAAGCACATGAGAAAATGTTCAGCAACAGTGTCATTAGTAATGTGCAACTACCATAAAACCAAACAAATGCACTATTGGACATTTATCAATGATTAAAGACATATTCACACAAGAATCTGGACATGAATGTTTTTAGTAACTTTGTCTATAAAAGTCAAAACTGGGAAACAATCACAATGTTCTTCAATGAATAAATAGTTGTTTTAGTCAGTCTGGGCTGCTATAACAAAACACCTTAGACTGGGTAATTTATAATCAACAAAATATATTATATATACTTATAATATATATAGATACACACACACATATACACGTACATATACATATGTGTATATGTGTGTCTTGGGGAAACCAGCCCCACACCACCCAGCGGGTACCCCAAGTCCAGCGGAGACAAAGGAATTAGAAAGAGATAGAATACGTGTTTAAAAGGCGGGTCCAGGGGACCGGAGCGTCGGAGGCTTGCTCACCGCCCAGAGCTCTTTGGCCCCACCTAATTTATTGGTTTACAAGCTCTTTGTTCTTAGGGCAGATGGGAGGGGTAGGAAGGGATGAGGAAAAGGATTAATCAGCGAAGGAGAATCGTGAGTTATTAAATAAGATGTATAGCAGTGGCAGTTTCTGTGAATTTCCTTGAGCAAAGGTGTGTGTCTAAACTACTTAAGATCTTTAAGTTATCGGGACTGAAATGGGTGGGAGCAGGTTTCAGGAGGAGCCAAGATGTTTGATTGTACTCTACGGCTTCAAGGGAGTGTTTTATACATACATATATGTTTCTGGGAGAGACAGAGAGAAAAGGAGATTTATTATGAGAATTGACTTATGTAATTATGGAGGTGAAGAAGTCCCATGGTTTTCTGTCTGCAAGCTAGAGAAACAGGGAAGACAGTGGTGTAACTCGGTATGAGTCTGAAGGCCCAAGAACCTGTGAGGAGCCACTAGTATAAGTCCCAAAGTCTGAAGACCCAAAAACCAGGAGCTGTGATGTCAGAGGGCAGAATAAGACGGTTGTCTCCTTTCCAGAAAAGAAAGCAAATTCACCCTCATTCTGCCTTTTTTTTTTAATTTGGCCATCAATGGATTGGTGAGCGTGATCTTTATTCAGTCTACTGATTCAAATGCTAGTGTTTTTCAGAAGCACCCTTACAGACCTACACAGAAATAATAGATTTTTTTTGTTTGTTTGTTTTTACCAGCTATCTAAATATGCTTTAACACAGTTGGCATACATTTATATCTAAAATATTAACCATTATACACCTATACCAAAAAATACTACTCATCAATATAGAGGAATTAAATATTGATACACGCAGCAACCTGGATGAATCTCCAGAGGATTTTGCTGATTGAAAAAAATGCAGTATCAAAATATAAAATACTGTATTATTTCATCTACATAATATTCTTGTGACAAAATTATAAAAATGGAGAACAGATCATTGGTTGCCAGGGGTTAAAGAGGGAGTGAGTGAGTGGGAAATGGATGTGATTATAAAAGGGCCACATGAGCGATCCTGCTGTTGATGGAAATGGTCTGCATTTTCATTGTATCAAAGTCAGCTACCTGGTTTTGCTATTTTACTCTAGTTTTGCAAGATTTTGAAAAATGAGTAAAGATATATATTATCTTTCTGTATTATTCCTTATAATTGTAGTTGATTCTACAATTATCTCAATATAAAAAGTTTGCTTTAAAAAAAAGACCACCAGAAAATCAAATATGTATGTTTGAATAAAAACACATTCAGTAAACTAAAAAGCAAAATTAAGTGAAAACAGAAGTTCACTTCATGAATTTGGTAATTGAGCTTTTTTGCTATGAGCTTAGCTTTTGCGTTTGTTTTCAAGTGAGATGTAAGGTCATACTTTGGGCATAGACACAAATGCACACATGCCACGTATGTTAACTTAAGAATAAGCAGCAGTACTTTTGTATTTTTACTAAAAGACAGGGATTATGTGAGGTGTTTCTTTGTAACTGTGTTCCAGGCACAGAGCCTGACATGAAAAAGGTGATATTCTGTAAGCATCAGTCATATTGACTGATAAATCAATAACTGTCAACACATGTTTTCCCACACAAAGAAACTCTAACCCAAATATCCCAACATTGTGGCAGGAAACATGCAGATAAAGATAGGTGGGACAATGATGTTGACATTCTTTTTTTTTTGAGACGGAGTCTTGGCTCTGTTACCCAGGCTGGAGTGCAGTGGTGCGGTCTCAGCTCACTGCAACCTCTGCCTCCCAGGTTCAAGAGATTCTCCTGCCTCAGCCTCCCAAGTAGCTGAGATTACAGGTGCCTGCCACCACGCCTAGCTAATTTTTGTATTTTTAGTAGAGACAGGGTTTCACCATGTTGGTCAGGCTGGTCACAAACTCCTGACCTCAGGTGATCCACCTAACTTGGCCTCCCAATGTGCTGGGAGGTGTGAGCCACCATTCCCAGCTAATGTTGACATTCTTTTAGAATTCTGATCAAAAGAGACAAAGAAGGCCATTACATAATGGTAAAGGGATCAATTCAACAAGAAGAGCTAACTATCCTAAATATATATGTACCCAATACAGGAGCACCCAGATTCATAAAGCAAGTCCTGAGTGACCTACAAAGAGACTTAGACTCCCACACAATAATAATGGGAGACTTTAACACCCCACTGTCAACATTAGACAGATCAACGAGACGGAAAGTTAACAAGGACACCCAGGAATTGAACTCAACTCTGCACCAAGCGGACCTAATAGACATCTACAGAACTCTCCACCCCAAATCAACAGAATATACATTCTTCTCAGCACCACACCACACCTATTCCAAAACTGACCACATAATTGGAAGTAAAGCTCTCCTCAGCAAATGTAAAAATCATAAATTATAACAAACTGTCTCTCAGACCACAGTGCAATCAAACTAGAACTCAGGATTAAGAAACTCACTCAAAACCGTTCAACTACGCGAAACCTGAACAACCTACTCCTGAATGACTACTGGGTACATAACGAAATGAAGGCAGAAATAAAGATGTTCTTTGAAACCAATGAGAACAAAGACACAACATACCAGAATCTCTGGGACACATTCAAAGCAGTGTGTAGAGGGAAATTTATAGCACTAAATAACCACAAGAGAAAGCAGGAAAGATCCAAAATTGACACCCTAACATCACAATTAAAAGAACTAGAAAAGCAAGAGCAAACACATTCAAAAGCTAGCAGAAGGCAAGAAATAACTAAAATCAGAGCAGAACTGAAGGAAATAAGAGACACAAAAAACCCTTCAAAAAATTAATGAATCCAGGAGCTGGTTTTTTGAAAGGATCAACAAAATTGATAGACCACTAGCAAGACTAATAAAGAAGAAAAGAGAGAAGAATCAAATAGACGCAATAAAAAATGATAAAGGGGATATTACCACCGATCCCACAGAAATACAAACTACCATCAGAGAATACTACAAACACCTCTACGCAAATAAACTAGAATTCTGAAATGATGAGGAGGGATCTCGATAAAAACCCATTTCTAGAGTCTAGACTTTAAAGTAGAAGTTAGCATATGGCAGTACTTTCTTTAGCCACCAAATCATTTCAAGATTTGTTTATACCTCTTGACCATAAATTATAAGCAAGATCATAAAACTTTTATGTGGTAGGATAGTTTGAATTTAGAGAAAAATGCTATATTTAAATTATAATTAGCTTCAGTGATATTATTTGAAAAAAATCACTGGATTAATTTTATTCAGTTGGTGTAGACAATGAAAACCTGGCTGAGTCATAAATGGGAGTCATAAATGAGAAGGCTCTGAGGCCTTTTTCAGTATTAACCTGGAATAATAGGATAAAAAAAATCTGATACTGTTTAATCTGCCAAAATCCACTGACTGACTGACTTTCCTTGGATGCATAAAGATTTAGACTTCATGTTCCTTGGAGACAAGCAGACTTTCAAGTACTTTGCCACCCAATGCCATCGACATTGTGGGCAGTGTAACCTGCTAGCAGAAATAACCTGCTTAAGTTTGAGAACTTTTTCTTTTTCCCCATTGGGTCTAGGAAACAGTAGGGGAAAACAGCATTAAAACTACACATTGTGCACATGTACCCTAAAACTTAAAGTATAATAATAATAAAAAATAAAATAAAATAAAATAAAATAAACTGGTATGTGTTTTACTCATATCTAGCTTATCTTTGCTTTGGATGTCAGATTCCACAGAATCAAATATAAATAAATTAAAAATAGCCTTACTTTTTAGTCTTTAAAGGTGAAAAAAATGTGTGCCAATTTATGTTGAACATTTACACCAATTGAATGGACTATTAAGTATGTTTTTATAGCTCATGACTTGATAGAACAGAAGCAAAAAGCAAAAAATAATAATAAAAAAACTAAAAGGTGAGTGGCATTTTATGGGGCAGTGTTTTCAGACAGGTAAAGAAAAAGGACCCTCAGACATGGTCTACATTTTCCCTGACTTCATTTACAAGCTAGATAAAGTTGAGGCCTAAATGGAGGAGCACACCATTCATTCCAGCCCTGTCTATCCCCAAATTCTTCAGCTCTCTAGGAGGTGTTCTCTAGAGAGAATTAGTACGGTTTTGCACATTCTCGTAGACATTGGATGCTAGGCCACTGCTGAAGCTGAGCTCAGAGATAAACCATAAAATACTTGAAATTGCAGCCGACTTCCTCTAGCTTAAATGTAACAAGAATAACATGGTAGCTAAAATATTGATGGTTGGTGATAGGGCTAAAGACAGTTAATCTAATTAAATTGTGACTAAGCCGTGGTTCAACTTAGCAACAAGAGAAATCTGAATAATTAGCCCGTTACAAATGCCAGATAAAAGACAAGCCCTGCACATTGTTGAAAAGAGATAAAACCAAATATTATTATAATTTTGTCTCCACTGTAATTTTATTATAAATATCTGTAATATAATAAAAAAAGTATGAGTCAACCAAAGCAGAAAAGAGTCATAATTAAGAAAAAGCATAGTCAACAAATGATGCCCTGTAGATGACCTAGTATTTAGAATTATCAGACAAAGCCTCTAAAGTAATAATTTAAAATATGCTAAAGAATGGATGAAAGAAATGTGAAGCTGAAAATTTTGGGTGAAGGGAAAAAAACATGATTTGAAACTAACACAAGGAAGAAGACAGCAAGCTCATTCCTCCTCCTAGAGACAGAGGAACAGAAGAAAAAAAATCTTCTGTGGAGAGTTAGACGCAACTTATGTGGAAACAGTAGGTGGCAGATAGACTATCTGTCCAGAAAAGAACAGGACTATCAAAGTGTTCAACTTAAGTAAAACGTATCTGGCACTTAATACAAAATATTAGGCAACACATTGTGTTTTTATATATGCTCTCAATTAATCTATACCATAATGTAATCAAGCACCTATAATTCAGAATTATGCAGATAAGAACATTGAAACACTGAGAAATTAAATAATTATGCTGAATTTCAGATATAGGTATATCATTTATATATATATATAATATATATAGTAGAATACATATAAGTGTAAAAGTCTAGCATTGTTACCATGAACAACACTGCCACTTAAAGGGCTAATATTAATAGAAGAAAAAGAGGGATGTAGAATATATGTCATAGATGATAATATCATATGAAAATGATATTTCAATTATGGGAACGTATATTTTTATATTTATGTTTATTTTTATTCTTAGCTATGAACAGCACCTTAAAAGGCAAGCCATTTTCAAAACTTCTCCCAATACAAAATTAATCAAACATCTTGATTGATAAATTTTGTAAAATTTACTCCAGTTGTGATATATTTAAATATCCCTGCAGTGCAGTGGTTCTCCAAGGGCAGGAATTTGTCCCGCAGGGTACATTTGATGATCTCTGAAGATACTCTTGATTGTCACAACTGTAAGGGCGCTACTGGCATCTGGAGAGTAGAGGGTTAGGGGTGCTGCTAGACATCTTACAATGCATAAACAGTTCCACACTACAAAATGTCAACAGTGTAGAGGTCACCATAGTGGGAAATACTTGACTCAGGGTAAAAACTGTCTCAAATTAAATGTACTGATAAGCAGTCATCTCTGAAAAACATGTTGCTTTGCCTTGAAGAGCTCAGGTCCCTTTATTTAACATGTATACATGTTCAGTGAAAAGTTAAAAATACTTCCATCATTTGAATTAACTTGTGATATCTTTTGGATTCTCATTCTTCACCATGTTTTCTTCATAATGAACTCCAGCATGGAGATGTAAAAACAAAGACAAGGGCAAAGAACAGGCTACAGTTGCCTGTCATTGAGAGGCATGGGCAGGAGAAATAGGTAACTCCTGGAAATTCCATCTAGGTTTTTATTCAACAGTTTTATGTCATTGTAGGAAGAAGGAAATGTTCACATCACTACTTGTGTAGGCTACATAATCACTTAATCAGAATTTATAACTTGCAAGGTTAGTCTTCTGTTCTTAGTTTTTTAGAGAATACTTAGCATTAGAATTATTCTTTCTCTCAGTTTCTTTCCACAAACCTAAATATGAATAAATCTGAATCTAGTTGTTCTTAGTTTTAAATTAAATTCCACTAGCTAAAGCCTGAACAATTGTATTAAGCTTTCTTGACCTCATCTTGCTCACTCTTAAAATAGACATGATAACAAAATAATACCTTAAGACTAGCAAACGGGGCAATAATTCATAAAGCATCTAACATAGTAAGTAGGCAGAGAGTAGGTACTTAGATATTTTACTTTCCTCTTCCTGACATCTCACTAATGCAAACAGAATCTTTTGGGTCCATCTCCTGATTTTTGACTAGTTTGAGAGACACTGGGTTAACAAAACACAAGATGTATAGAATATATACACTGAACCAATTTGTAGTCTTTTATTCCTCACCCCTTCCCACCCTTTCCCTCTGAGTCCCCAAAGTCCACTGAGTCATTCTTATGCCTTTGCATCCTGCATCCTGCTCGGGAAATGGGTGCACCAAAATCTCACAGATCACCGCTAAAGAACTTACTCATGTAATCAAATACCACCTGTTCCCTTAAAACCTATGGAAATAAACTTTTTTTAATTTAAAAAATAAAAATAAAAAATGATCTCACTGCCAAAAATTATATAACATGGAAACAATGTATTATTAAATATATAAATGAAATCAAGGATTATCCTGTCACATCTTCCCTGGTATATCTTTGCAGTAACACAATTTAAAGAGCAAGTTTGAAAGGAAATGGAATCCATTTGAATTTTTGTATCCACTCGACCTTCATATTTGTCATTTACTTGTCATTTACTTGTTCAATTATAATTAATATTTTCTGTAAAATTTACTTTGAATAACTACTTGTCTTTAGTTTTTAAATACAATCGTCAAAGAAAACACAGCTTTCTTCAGAAATACATGCTAATGATTTCTGAAATTGCATTAAGGACTTAATGTGATAGCATTATGTATCCCTTCTTGTAGAATCAAGAAGGAAGTGGAACTAGAGTAACTTTCTGTAAAGTATTATTGTGGCAGTGCCAAGAAAATAATCCCAGTAAACTTCTAACTCTTTTCTAGGTTGTCATATATGCTTTATTTGATGCATCACATAAGTGTTTCTAAAAATAAATCCATTTGGAAGCTTTGAAACTTAGCTAAGCCTTAACCATTAAGAGAAATTACAAATTGTATATCATATTTAGAAAAGTCTGTAATCCCAGCACTTTGGGAGGCCAAGGCGGGCAGATCATGAGGTCAGGAGTTCAAGGCTAGCCTCACCAACATGGAGAAACCCCATCTCTACTACAAGTACAAACATTAGCTGGGCATGGTGGTGCACGCCTGTAATCCCAGCTACTCAGGAAGCTGAGGCAGGAGAATCGCTTGAACCCCAGAGGCAGAGGTTGCAGTGAGCCGAGATCAGGCTACTGCACTTCAGCCCGGGCAACAGAGCAAGACTCCGTCTCAAAAAGAAAGAAAGAAGGAAAGGAAGGAAGGAAGGAAGGGAGGGAGGGAGGCAGGGAGGGAGGGAGAAAGAAAGAGAGAAGAAAGAGAGAAGAGAGAAAGAAAGAGAAAATTGTTACAGTAATATTTTAAAATACATATATATAATATTTCTCTGGAGATTAAAAGGATATTAGAGATTATCTAATCCAACCCCATTCAGTACAGAGATGAGAAAACTGAAGTCTAAGTACTTTAAGATACATGTTGGACTACACAACTCTAGTGTAGTAAAAATTAAACTGATACCCTAATGTCTTGATACTAAGTTCAGAGTTATTTGCACAGCCTTGGCTATACTCATAAAATTTTGAGGTATGATTATCAAGATAGGCTTTCATAATTTATCATTGTTTCTATTAATTCCTTCTGCATGTTAAATAGACATGCAGAAAGATCCAAATATACTAATGACTATTAGTGTTGTTTTTTAAGTGAAGCTAAATCATTAATACAAAAGTAAACTCTTCTGTAGAATCAATAATTGGTGAACATCTATTTGAAGAGAGGTGTATGTTATTTGATCTTAAAAAGTAAACTTCTTTTAACACCTATAAAAATAAATCTGTGCATTGGGGATAAAAGAATAAAAATTTTGGAAAATAGAGAGGGCATTTTTTTAACAAAGTAGATAAAAGCAGAAGCATTTAGTATTGTTGGAAATTTTACTAGATTAATCAATAAACAAAATCAGAAAGTATTAGACCTATTGGTCTTAATATTTTTCAGCCTCAATTCAGCTGAAGGATAAGCCACATCCCATCAGTAACAGGGACTATTTTTAGCTCAATGTTAGTAGGGACGGCCGGCGCCGTGGCTCACACCTGTAATCCCAGCACTTTGGGAGGCCGAGGCGGGCGGATCACAAGGTCAGGAGATCGAGACCATCCTGTGAATGGTGAAACCCCGTCTCTACTAAAAAAAAAATACAAAAAGTTAGCCGGGCGTGGTGGCGGGCACCTGTAGTCCCAGCTACTCGGGAGGCTGAGGCAGGAGAATGGCGTGAACCCGGGAGGCGGAGCTTGCAGTGAGCCGAGATTGCGCCACTGCACTCCAGCCTGGACAACAGAGCGAGACTCCATCTCAAAAAAAAAAAAAACAAAAAACAAAAAAAAATGTTAGTAGGGACTTGGAGAAAGACTTGGTAAAAGTGGGTAAATGCCTTGAAATTTTTTTTAAATACTCTGACAGATAATTTTATACACTATATGTGATATACAACTTATTTGTAAGCTTATTTTGTAGTTTGAGAGACAGGTTTTGAGTAATTGACAGATAATAAACTTAAAAAGTTACTAACTTCTAAACCCTGATTGTCTTCGTGTACTTCCACAATTTATTGCTTTAAGGTTATGTGGAGGTGGGAAATTCGAACTGGATTGATATTCACCCATAACCACATTCACCATCTTCATCATAGACTAACAATTTAAATTTTTAAGATAAATTAAAATCACAATGGGGCTAATAATGAAATAATAGTGAACATGGATTAATTCATATAACCTAGTTTTGAAATGAGTATAGACTTATTTGTGATCATTTTAGTATATTGGCCTTTATTTCTGCAAGAATTCTTCCTGTATTGGTCAATTGGTGGTTTAAGAATATGTGTACAGAAATTAAAATTTCACTAGCAAGATATTAATTAAAAAGAATTACATTTTTGCTTAAGAATCAGATAGAATATTAAAAATATATGATTCTGAACATCATCTGTATATCTTTTCCCCCACAATTAATTTACGTCACACAATTTCTGAAGGAATTATTTGGGAAACATTCCACAACACTGTCTTATTTATTGCTGCTGTATTTTTATTTGTTTTTATTTCAATAGCTTTAGGGATACAAGTAGTTTCGGGTTACATGGATAAATTGTATAGTGGTGAAGTCTGGACTTTTAGTGCAGCAACAATACTGTTTTTGTGTAACTTTCTCTTACCTCTATCTTCCTTACCTCCATTTCTTCCCCTGATCAAGTTCTTTTCTATTATGCAAACTCTATACACAGCTAATTTTCATGCACAGAAAGGTCCCAGTAAAGTACCCTTTCTTTTTGGCTCTCACTGCTTTTGTACAATGATCTTTTGTATATTCCACCTCCATTCTACTCTCTCTCCTCTTCATTGCTGCTGATGAATAGGCTGTGCATTATATGCCATCATAAAGTATTCCAACTCCCCAAACATGGGAAAACTAAATAAAAAGTTAAATAATTATAGTAATGGATTGTAATGCATTGAGTAAAAGAAATATCAATTAGGCCATACTAATATAAATAAATAGTAGAATAAGTAAACGGAGCGGATAGCTCTTTGATACATAATAGACCAATTAAATATAAAAGAAATTATGAGAACAGAAAAACACCCTTTGGCAAATATCACAGTAATATTTATATATCAATAGATGCTAAAAACGGGCAAAAGTTCAAGAAAAAGCAGGACATTTAAATAGTCCTTAGGTATTTTCCCATAAACTTACTCTCAATTACAAAGAAAAAACAGTAATTTTACAGTGGAGTCACCTGGAAGATGCCATTTTAAAAGACAGCATTACCCATAATGAAATAAGTTGATATGCAGGTAAGAAAGAGAGAGCTTGTTTGGTTTATTTATTTTTTCTTTTTTCTAATCAGTCTCTGCTTATCCATGTTTTGGTTTACTGTAGTTTGCTTAGCCTCTTGTTTGTTGGGTGGTTTTCACTTCAAGTGTGCTCAGTTGGGAGAAAAGAAACAAACGCACGTTAGTAACAAAAATGTTTATTATATGCTAGAGTCAGTAAATTCAGCCAAAGTAAAAAGGGAATTATTTTTCTTAATTTGAGATTTTACTGTCTGGCCTAGGAGAAAATAATTAATGGTTATTTTATTGGAAGGGGTAATTTATTTAATAACAGACAAGAAAGATAGAATTGGAGTTGGATCATTCACAATTAGCCTCAGAAGAGTGGACTCAGCACTATGATTTTTTCATGCTCCTAGGAATCCTCTTCCATGAATATCCAAGGAACACTTAAAAACTTGTAATGCTCCAAGTTTTTGGAAAATAAAGAAGTATTTTCTAAAAAAAAAAAAAAAAAAAGACTGCGGCTACTGATTTGAGAGCCTTGAAGAGAGAAACTGAAAAAGCCAAGAGTAGCCTGAATTGAGAAGAGAGGTTGAAGTAGAAAAGAGCGACACCCTCCTCTAAGAATCAGATTTCTGCAAAAGCCTAGTCTTGTGAGCTGCAGAGAATCACGTAAAATATTATTCTGAACTTTATACCTTCACCGTCTTGTTTGCACCCTAAAATCTCCCTGCCTTTTAGTGAGAGACATTGTGTTCCTATATTATAGTTCTATGTTTTATATAGAATGAGCTGATAATACAGAAATCTGATCAAAAAGAAAGAAAATGCAAAGATGTTCAGACTGGGTAACGGCAGTAAGCTATTTACAGGCAATACAGCAGAAATGTAAGGATACGTGAAGTTTAAAAAGGCGAGGAGGAAAATTTATATGCAGTCAAATTCAACTAAAAACAAAGCTGGTGCTGTTATACTAATGATAGAAAAAGCAGTATTTAAGGCAATTTAAAGCATATTACTAGGTTGGTGCAAAAGTGTAATTGCGATTTTTCCTATTACTTTTAATGGCGAAAACCACAATGACTTTTGCACCAACCTAATAGCTACCCAAAATCCTCACATCACATTACTCTGACTCCTTCTTCCACTTTTAAGGACCCTTTTGATTACATTGGGACTAGTCAAGGTAAGTCTACTGGAAAAAAATTCTCTATTGATGGAGATAAACAGTATCATTTCATAAAAATAAATATTCATGAAGACATAACAATTTTAAACTGGTATGCACTGAATAATATAACTTCAAAAAATGAAGTAAAAAAATAACAGATACTAAAATAGACAAATACCCATGTATAATAAAATGTTTTTAAAAGACAACTTTTTCAGTAATTGGTAGAACAACAAAATATTCAAAATATTTTAACAACATGATTAAATAGCTTTCCACAATGGACGTACATAAACACCACACAAAATAAGTTCAAAATATCCAGTATTTTCTAGCAACTTGGAACACTTTCCAATGACTGCATTACCATGTTTTCTTATCACTATGAATTAATAGCAATTACAAAAAGGAAACTAGCAAAATGCCCCATATTTATAAATCAAGAAATACATGTCTATGTAATCCATGAGTTAGAGGAAAAAAAGAAAAATTTGGTCTGAATTATAATGTATTCTAAATAAAAGAGGATGCAGCTCATGTAGTACTTAAGGAAAGATTATAAACTTGATGGCATTTTCAGATTCTGTGAAGCACTGAAAGCTAATGAGTTAAACCTTTATCTCAAACAGATAGTAAAAGAAAAAAATAAGACCAAATAAGTAGGTGGCAGGCAGAATTATGGCTCCCCAAAGAAATCCATCTTAATCACCAGAATCTGCGAATGCATTAATTTACATGGCAATAGAGAATGACGATTGAAGATGGAGTTAAGATGCTAACAAGCTGATCTTAAAATAGGGAAATTATGTGGGATTGTCTGAGCAGGTTGAATGTAATCACAAGGTTTCTTTACCAGTGGAAGGGGGAGGCAGAAACTGAAATCACCAACATGCAATGTGAGGATTTGACCTGCCATTGCTGATTCTGACAATAAAGTAAGGATGCCACAGATCTTCGAGAAGCTGGAAAGGGGAGGGAAACAGATTTTTCCTTAGAACTTCCAAAAGGATCAAAGCCCTGCTGACACCTTGCTTTTGGCCTAGTGGGACCTGTATTGGTCTTCTAACCTTCAGACTGTAAGATAATAAATTTGTGTTACTTTAAGCTACTAAATTTGTAGTAACTTATTACAGCAACACTAGAAAACTAATAATACATATCAGAAAGAGAATGATCAAGAATAGGAAATAATCAGCAAAGTAACAGCAATAAAGTTAATCAACAAATTTAGTTCGGGGAAAAGACTAATAAAAAAAGATAAACCTTTTTTGAGACTGACGAAGAAAATAAAGGAGAAATGAAACAAATAAGTAATAGAATGAAAAAGGGAACATCACAACCAATGATGCAGACATTAAAAGTAGTGAGGAGAGGATGCAGCAAACCACCATGGCACACGTATACCTATCTAACAAACCTGCACATTCAGCACATGTATCCCAGAACTTAAAATATAATTCAAAAAAATTAAAAATTTTTAAAAAGTAATGAGAGTAAAAACAACTTTGGAAAATGTAAATTAAGTGAATAAGTTGTTTTTTGTTTTTTTTTTTTTTGAGACAGAGTCTTACTCTGTCGCCCAGGCTGGAGCGCAGTGGCACAATCTCGGCTCACTGCAAGCTCCACCTCCCCGGTTCACACCATTCTTCTGCCTCAGCCTCCCGAGTAGCTGGGACTACAGGCACCCACCACCACACCTGGCTAACAGCCTCCTGATTAGCTGGGACTACAGGTGCCCGCCACCACGCCTGGCTAATTTTTTTGTATTTTTAGTAGAGATGGGATTTCACCGTGTTGGCCAGGATGGTCTCCGTCTCCTGACCTCGTGATCCACCTGCCTCGGCCTCCCAAAGTGCTAGGATTAAAGGCGTGAGCCACCACCGCGCCTGGCCCCTGAATAAGTTCTTAGAAAAACATAACTTAACAAAATAAATTCACTACAGAGTAAAAAATTTGAATAATCCCTTAATTACTAAACAAAATCAATCAGCAGTGAAAACATCTTCCCTTAAAGAAATTGGCCAGTATAAAGCCAACCAACTTGTGCACCACATTCCAGGGCCAACAGTGACATATTTGTGGTGAGAGGCAAATAATCTAAATTAATTCAATCAACTTGTAAATCAGCAGGTCTGTTTGATGTTTGAGAAATGAGACACTTTATTGAACTTGAACTCAGCTCCTGAAGCTGAAGCAGCCATCTTTGTAATCTCAAGAAGAGTTGAAGATACTGCTAATTCCAGGGAAGACAGGGAAAAGGAAAGAGAAAATACCATCAAATACATCAGTGACAGCCCTGAGCTACCGGTATAAAACAAACCTGAAGTATGTCCTACCTCTGAACTTTCAATATTTTAATAAAATATCTTCTTTCATAATGTAGGTGGGTGTGGCTTTTCTAATTTTGAAACCTAAAAAAATGCAGATTATATGATTCTTGAATGAATGAATGGTTATACAGGTAAATTGCTCACTCTGTTAGTGAATGAAAACTAATTACAATTGGTAAAGATAGATCACAGTGTGAACACTTACAGAAACTTAGTAATAAAGTATAGTGATTAATGAATTCCAACTATGAAATTAGTTTTCCTTTATATAAGGCTGAAATAAAAATGAGATCTACATAAAAAAATGCATTCTTTACTTTCACCATTAGCAGCAATTGTCTTAGAGATGATAAAAATATTAAAGTTTCAACATTTAGTTATGCTGAAATATGAACAAATTCTAAAATATTTCCTGCGATGCTATGTCTCTATTAGGCATAAAAGTTTGATATTAGCAGGAACAAACAGCTTTCATGATGACTTAAATAAATGTCTGAACTGTGAAATCAGTAAAGAGATCCCTTCTCAGAGAAAACATAGTAAAAATATGCTTCCACACAAGGTCAGTAATGCTCTCTAAAAATATTATTCTTAACCCTAAACTATTTAGAGGTTTTAAGTGGGTAAAGAAAATTGTGCAATGAAGTGAAATACTTATCAGTTGGTTCATCATTCTCAGCCCAGCAATCTAATGATCATCAGCTACTTAAGTGCCCATTAGAAGCCTA
Source organism: Homo sapiens (assembly GCF_000001405.40). NCBI lineage: Eukaryota > Metazoa > Chordata > Mammalia > Primates > Hominidae > Homo > Homo sapiens. Next base: position 52,947,606 of record NC_000017.11, on the reverse strand, counting down.
GCATTATGGTGTAATGGGTCATATCATATTCATTAGCTATAGACTGGGCTATAACTTTTAAAAGTAAATGTTACCATATCTAACCGCAGTGAGATTACCTACTGTTGGTGTTTCTTGACAGTGGTGGTGGTTTCAACAGGTAGAGCGTGTAGAGCCAATGGGTTTTTCCAGTCTATTAAAGTTCTACGACAAGTGCCATTTTTGACCTATTTGTTCATTGCCTACTCACCTGGCTGAGGCTAGAGGATTATTTGGTATCATATAACAGAGCAAACTCAGCTAGTCCCCAGGGAACAGAAATTTTCATGGGATTGTATTTGAACTAGCACTTGACTCACTGAGTTAAACAAGGCACTCCAGTCCCAGTTAAAATTTTCAGCAACTACAGTTCTGGTCAACATCTTGACTATAATCTGATAAGATACAGCCATATCTGCTCACATAAGCTTCTTTCAAATACTGGACTAACAAAAACGCTGAAAAAAATAAGTATTATTATTACAAGCTATAAGCTATAGTTATAAGCTAATTTGGGTATAATATTTCACTCAGTGATATATAATTACTGTTTTCATCCTAGAAGCACTCCACTAAAGGGAGATTTCAATCTGTTTAATTCAGTTAAACATTAAGTGTCCTCACTTAATGTTGAGGAAACTGAGGCCTAAAGATCAGGGACATACAGTTCTCTAGAATCTCAATGAAGTGCATATTATCCCTCTAATTGGGAAGAAAAATCAATGTGATAATGTAAAACAAGGATAAACATTAGCAAGAATGGCATTAACGCAATGGCACATGTAGACTTTTTTGTTCTCGATCTACCTAATAATGCATTTAATAGTCTTCCCTGGAAGCTCTTATCCATCAAAATGGCACTTTTAAATGCAAACCATTAAGAGAAAAAAATAAAGGTATATTGTTGCTCCCTTTTCTTCGTTCAAATAAAACTTCTTAGAAAACAATGATTCCTGTTCCTTCTGACCATTTACAGAAATATAAATTCATTTAGAAAATAATACAGAGTCAAGAACCTAGAGTTAAAATGATAAATGGCAAGGAAAAAGAAATTCAGATATTAAAGTCAAGCTTTCAACCTGGTGTCAGAAATGTTGGGTGGGAATCAGGCAAGGAGAGAGGGGTGAACATCACTTCAGTGAGGTTTCCAGAAATTGAGTCCTTCCTTGATAGAATAAAAAATGTCACACCTCTTTATTATATCAATATACTATAAATATTATTATAGCCTTAAAAAACTGCTTTGTAATATAAGCAGCCCATAAAATTGATGTTTCTAGCATTACTCCAACAATAAAGACAGTTTTCAATGAAATTCAAAAACTGAATTTACACAAATAGTGTTAAAATACTCTCCCATCTTTCTTGGTAATTATCTAATTTTGTCTTATATAGTGATGAAAGTATTAATACAGTTACTGTATACTATTTTTACTTGCTATCATGGTATCTTATTACCATATTTTTATTTCTGGATAGAAAATATTAGAGTAGAATTGCATTCACATACATCCAGAAATAGACTACCCTTGTCCTGTTTCGTAGATCTGTAAAACCGGCTCAAATCAACTATATCACATCCAATAAAATTTTGTTATGATGTAGCTTTGCAGCCACCAGTAGAATTAAAACATTTTTCTGTAAACTAGCTGAAGTTAAAAGATTGTTCATCACTTATGGGCACTTACACTCCTGGGTATCACATGTGATATAGTTTATTTTCACATGGACACTTTTCAATAAAGATGATAAGTAGCCTTAAAGAAAGATGACAGATTTTTAATGTTTTTAATGTTCTCGTTGGAGAACATTATCTTATGGAGATTTTTGTGTGTTTTTCTATTTTGTTTTGTTTTAAGGCATGGGAAAAGTGTGCACTTTGCCAGATTAGGATGCTGGAGTTCCTACATAACTGGAACATTGTTCTCTGTGTTGGAAAATATCAGTGTGAAAAATGAGATCAAAATACTTTTGGTTTCAGAAAACATAAATGAGCAAACAGCTCTAAAATCTTAGGACTGCATGAGAAACCAATTTGAAACTGAACAACAGAGAGGACATCCATTATTCAAATTGCTATCACTAGACAAGTATAAAATTTATTTGATGTAAACATAATTTCTGAAAGGTAGCTAAGAATTTCTCTCTTCAAATAAAAAATGAAATTCTGTCCCTAGAGCTTTTGCATACAGCAGTCTAATATTACAGCATTATCTGTGCATTCCAAGTCTTGGATATCAGTTGATATGATGAAAATGAATATAAAGATATTTTTTCCTGGCAAGAATATATTTAATAGTGATTTTATGCATAAGACTTCTCCTGACAATAATGGAGGTTCTGATTCAAAGCAACAAATTCCCAACACCTGAGATATTCTGAACGTATCTTTGTTCTTTGCTGAAGGAGCCTAAATAAAATATGTAATTAATATATAATTTAATACTCTTCACCAAACTATTGACGCAGCATTCAAAAGAATCTGAAACATTTAAAAAGGGAGGAAAAAGAGGAAAGAAATTTAGTGTCAAGTCAAATAATAAAGTTGAGATAAGGCATGGAGGTTCATGAGTGTAAGGGGCAAAAGATGGTGAGGAAATTAACCTAGAAACCTATGCATTAAATGACAGACCATTTTCTCAGAAAAAAAAAGTCACAATTCAACTGGTAAAAATTATTTAAAAGGAAAAAAAATCCAATAATTGAAACTCTGTGGAAATTTTTCCAAGGTCATACAACAAATGAGAAACAACAATTCAAGAAAATCTACTAAATCTCAGTAAGAACAATGAGAATCTGTGTCATTCGAGACATGAGCCACTCACTTCTCCCTAAACCATGGGTAGGTGTTATGGAAACTGTAGCCTGGATGTTCTACTCTAGCAAGATACAGCCAAGAAAACAAGAGATTCCTTTACCCCCTCTCCTAGATTCCAGTCTAGGGCTATGGTTTCACTCTGAGAGGACATGACTGTCACTGACATTTTTCAACTCCCATCCCCATGCTGCCGAAGCTCCATTCCAGGCAGGTACAGCAAGAGGACAAAGGACAACAGGCAAAGAATACTGGGATCCTGTTTGTCCCTGCCCCTGCTTGCTTGTGAAACAGGAGAGTTCCTTGATCCCCCTCCCAGGACATGGGACATGGGTGTGGCTTGCCTGTTAGGTCAGTTGCCACCACTGCCCAAACCTCTGAGGGGAGGGAGAGCATGCAGACGGACAGGTGCAGGGGCCCAAGTGGGTGTGTGTTCCAGTGTGCCCTTAGCCCTGCTTTTCAAACAGCTTAAGTGTTAACCATCTCAGCAGACTCTTTGCCTTTCTGCAAAGGCAGAGGGCCAGTGTGACAGCTTTCTGTATCTCAAGCTCTTGTCGAGTGTCCCAGAAGAATCCAGTCACACAGGGACTCGAAGGATGAATGCAGAGGTTTTATTGAGTGGTGGAGGTGGCTCTCAGAAGGATGGATGGGAAGCCAGAATGGGGGATGGAGTGGGAATGTTAAATGCACGTGACCCAGAGCAACTCCATCTTAAATAGGAGCTGGGTAAAATAAGGCTGAAACCTACTGGGTGCATTCCTGGACGGTTAAGGCATTCTAAGTCACAGGATGAGATAGGAGGTCAGCACAAAACACAGGTCATAAAGACCTTGCTGATAAAACAGTTTGCAGTTAAGGAGCAGGCCAAAATCTACCAAAACCAAGATGGCCACGAGAGTGACCTCTGGTCTCCTCACTACTACACTCCCACCAGCTCCATGACAGTTTACAAATACCATGGCAATGTCAGGAAGTTACCTTACATGGTCTAAAGAGGGGAGGCATGAATATCTACCCCTTGTTTAGCATATCACCAAGAAATAACCATAAAAATGGGCAACCAGCAGCCCTGGGGCTGATCTGTCTATGGAATAGCCATTCTTTTGTTCCTTTACTTTCTTAATAAACTTGCTTTCACTTTGCACTGTGGACTTGCCCTGAATTCTTTCTTGCACAAGATCCAAGAACCCTCTCTAGGGGTCTAAATCAGGACACCTTTCCTGTAACATATTTCTGGTGACCGCAGAAGGGACTATAGTGCAAAAGCCCTGACCCGACGGCTACCTTTAGGTAAGTGCTAGAGTCCTGTAACAGGAAGATGATCTCCCCTCTGGAGCCTGGCCATCCAGCTGCCAAACTCCTCTCCAACTGCCCCCAGCCAAACTCCTCTCTGAGTTCAGACGTTTCCCCTCCTCTTTATCTGCTGCGTCATTCGCCATTCATCTGTTTTTCTCGTCTCCTTGTCTGCTCATCTGCTTCTGGAGCCTGTGTTTTGGGGTTTATATGGGTACAGGATAGGGTTCATGGAAAAAGGCAACTTTTTAAGTGTGAAAACAGAAATGCCTGTTCCCACTTAGGGCCACAGGTCCAGGCTTGCCAAGGAACCACCCTCTTCTACCCAGTGTTTCCCTGTCTCCTGTCCATATCATGTGTAGGGCTGAGGTTCTATGCCAGAATGGAACCCAGTCACCCAATAGTACCCAATTAAAAAGTAAGGTCATCACTACAGGGAAAGCAGACACTCCCAGTTCTGAAGTGGTACAAGACTTCTCAAAGAACAAGGCAATTCATAAAAGACAAAGTTCCACAGCTAAATCTGAAGGCACTGACTTTATTTGGAAAGATTATGGAGAAACTTATGTCTAACAGTGATATCAAAAACAAGACAGATCTTGGTTGAAAGCATTTAAGAAGAGACTGGTAGCTTTCTGAGTAAAATGCTACAGCAACAGAAGTTCAATACGGAGATCCAGGGAAAGTTCCAGCCAACAATAGCCCTCAAAGATTAGTCAACTCTGGGCCTCAGGAGGGCTATGCATATTATACCCTAGGGTCCATCTACTCAGGATCAGTCAGAGTAAGATACAGAGTAAACTGGAAAGCATTCCCCAAAACCTACACAGACCCATCAACAAAGGGTGGAAGTCTCATGGCCACAACCTCTTATTAAACACTGACTGAACAATAGATGACACTGACCCAGAGGTAACTGTGATGAAGCTAGACTTAATGATAAGGTCACTAGCAGTCTGGAAATTTGTGTGCATGGTCAAGGGACTGCATTATCAGGATATATCAGAGAGATATCCTCAAAACTACCAGTCCCTAGTTGAACATGGGGCAAAAAATCATAAACTCACTCAAATTTGATGGCAGCCTTTAAGCTGTAAAAGGAAAATAATTCTTGGGACCCCAAAACCACTAAGCTAAGGGGAAAGTCAAGCTGAGAACTCCTTAGGGCAAACCTGCCTCCCATTCTATTCAAAGTCATCCCTCTGAGGCTCACCTGAGACAAATGCATATCTGATTGTCTCCTCTCTCCTACTGTTTACGTAAAAATGCAGATTCACTGAGCCAGACTATATTGTGTATTCAGAAGGAAGGCTGATCATGGACTCAAAAGAATGCAACCTTTTGTCTCTTATCTACTTCTAACCTGGAAGCCCCTTCTTCAGTTGTCCCACCTTACCAGACTGAACCAACATACATTTTATGCATATAGATTGACGTATCATGTCTCCCTAAAATGTATAAAAGCAAACTGTACCCTCGACCCTCTTGGGCACATGTCTCAGGACTTCCTGAGGCTGCATCATGGGTGTGTCCTTAACCTTGTCAAAATAAACTTTCTAAGTTAACTGAGAACTGTCGCAGATATTTGGGGATCACAAAAATATGACATATCCAATGAGAAAGGGCAAAAATGCAAGAAAATAAGAGAGCAGAGAACATTTGACTAATAACTGGCTTATACTTACACAAAGATAAACATTAGGTAGCCAAGCTGAAAGAGAAAATCAAGGTGAAGAAATATGAGTAGTGACATCAGAGGTTGCACGCTGTAGAATCAGTTAAACCAAGTCACTAAACAAACAAAAATTAAGAAAAAAACAACAAGAACCAATAGTGACAACCAGGGGTTGTCACTATCATAAGCTGCTACAATGCATGATCTAAAATAGCCAGTTTTTAACAACAATAATAAACATGAGACCTGCAAAGAAACAGGAAACCATAACATATGCAGGGTCAAATTTAGAAACTGCCATCTAAGAGTTCTAGAGAATAGACTTAAAGATTTCAAAGCAGCTATTTTTTAAAATATCCATATATATAAAGAACTAAAGAAAACCATGCTGAAAGAATTATGGAAAGGTCTAATGACAGTATCTCATTAAATATTGAATATCAACAAAGATAAAAATTATACTAAAGAACCAAGTGAAAACTCTGGAAATTAAAAGTACAATACGCAGAATGAGAAACTGACTGGAAAATTGTACTGTAAACTTGAGCTGACAGAGGGAAAAATCAGTGAACTTGAAGCTAGATCAATAGAGGTTCTGGAATCTGAAAAACAGAAAGAAAAATGAAGAATAAACATAGCCTCAGAGAAATATGAGACACCACTAAGCATTTCAACATATGTGTAACAGGAGTACAAGAAGGAGAGAAGAGAAAGAAAGAAACAGAAACAATATTCTAATAAACCATGGCTCATAGCATTTTAAATTTAATGAAAAACAGTAACATACATATTCAAAAAGCACAGTGAACTCTAATTCTCATAAATAAAAAGAGGTTCACACACAGACACATCAGGATCAAAACATGGAAAGACATGATAAATTCAAAATATTGAAAGCAATAAGGCAAAAATGATGTATTACATTCAAGGGAACTCCAATAAGATTGACAACTGGCTTCATATCAAAAACAATAGCAGCTAAAAAGTAGTGTAATTTACATATTCAAAGTGCAGTTAGCAAAAACAAACAAAAACTATTAAATAGTATTATATTGAGCAAAACATTTTTTTAAAAAGGTAAATTTTAAATCCCCAGATTTTAAACAAACAAACACGCAAAAATTGAGAAGTTCTATTGCTAGCAGAAATGCCTCATAAAAAGTACAAAACATTTCTTCAGGATAACAGTAATTCAAATTTTCATGGAAAACAAAAAGAGTTCCAATAAATGTAAATATGTAACTAATTACAAAACACAGTGTAATTCCATATTTCCTAAAAAAAAATTGCATAAAAGATGTCTATAATCTTCATATATGTGTGTGTATATATGATAGAGATATTCTTATATCTCATTGTGATTATAATTTGAATTTTGCTTGTAACTATTGATGATAAACACCATTCAAGTGTTTATTTTTCTTCTTTGATGTCTCCTTATGCCTTTTTACTATTTTCAAATTGCATTATTTGTCTGATTTTTACTGTTGAGGTTTAAATAGTCTTAATTTAGTCTAGATGCTGGTCGTTTGTTGAACATGTGACTTGCAAATATCTATAAGCCTTATATGTATTGGTCTAGAGTTTCATTTTTTTTGTACTGTCCTTCTCTGATTTGAATTAGGGTAAAATTAGATTCACAAAATGAATTAGGAAGTGACAATTTTTCTATATTCTCAAAAAATATGTAGTATTGGTCTTAATTCTTAAACATTTGGTAAAATTATCCAGCAAAAATATGTGGGCTTGAAGATTTTTGTGGGTAGAAAATTCTTTAATAAAAATTTAATTTTCTTATAGGAAAATTCCTATTTCAGTTACATGCATTATTTGACTTCCCTTGAGACTTCCTCTTTGAACCAGCAATTACTTAAAAGTATGCAGTTTCGGCCGGGCACAGTGGCTCACACCTGTAATCCCAGCACTTTGGGAGGCCAAGGCGGGCGGATCACGAGGTCAGGAGATCGAGACCATCCTGTGAAAAGTGAAACCCCGTCTCTACTAAAAAAAAAAAAAAAAACACAAAAAATTAGCCGGGCACGGTGGCAGGCGCCCGTAGTCCCAGCTACTCAGGAGGCTGAGGCGGAAGAATGGCATGAACCCGGAAGGCAGAGCTTGCAGTGAGCTGAGATCGTGCCACTGCACTCCAGCCTGGGGAACAGAGTGGGACTCCATCTCAAAAAAGAAAAAAAAAAAAAACACACACACACAAAAAGTATGCAGTTTCATTTCTAAGTATACGGAGATTTCCCTTTTATTTTTATAAGACTGATTTCTCATGAGCAGATAAACACTGTATAATTTAATTTTAAAAAAATTTGTTGAGGTTTTATGTCACAGATTATGATCTATCTTCCTATAGGTGAGCACAAAAATGTCTACCCTGCTGTTGGTTGGAGTGTTTCATAAATGTCAATTTGACACTGTAGGTTAATGGGTTGTTAAGATCTGCTGATTTTATGATTAGTCTGTCAACGGTTAATAGAGAGATGTTGAGGTTTCCATCTTCAAGTTTGAATTTGATTATATTGAAGCAGAAGATGCAAGAAGAAAAACAAACTTTCTTTCTTTCCTTTGGTATGAACAGCTTCCTCTTGAATACTTACCCCCTCCATATGACTGTACCCTGGTCTTCAAGTCTTTATGTGTTTATAGATTCCTGTTTTCTATAACTAGTGTCTGTAAGTCTGTTTTTCATCTGAGTAGCACCATGGAGGTCATGAGACATGCTTAAGCAAGCTTAGATTACAGCCACCTGGGTGCCATAGTGAAGGACACGAGATAAGATTGTGCAGGCATATTGAGCACAGCCACCTGGCCCACATAGCAAGAGTCACATGTAGGCCTGAGTTATAAGCTTGTCACTGATTGATAAACTGCCTTTGTTCTGCTTCTGTAAACCTGATTTTGTGCCACTGTGTTTCACGCCACAGATGCCTGTATAAAAGTCAAGCCCTGTCATTGTTTGGGGCTCAGCCTTTTGGATGCGAATCTGCTGAGCAGGTGCACCTAAATAAAATCCTCCTGTTCCACCTATTGGTCTCTCTGGTCTCCTGATTCCCACAACAATATAAGCTTTTGCTTTACAAATTTGAATCTCTTGTTTAGGAAACATACATTTAGAATTGTACCTCTTCTTGGTAGGTTGACCATTTTACCATTATAAAATGCTCCTCCATTATTATTATAGCAACTCTAATGTCTATCTTGTCTGATATTAATATAATCATTTTTACTTTCCTTTGATTAATGTTTTCATGTTATAATTTTCTCCATAATTGTACTTCAAACTGACAAACATCATATTTGAAGTGAATTTCTTCTAGACAGAGTATCGTTGTGTCACATTTTTAAATTCATTCTGCCAGTCCTTGTCTCTTAATTGTCATGTTTTTTCCCTTTACATTTAATATACTTATTGATCTCTTAGGACTTAAGTGTGCCATCTTTTTTTTTTTTTTAATTTCCAATTTCTGTTTCTCTTCTTCATTTCTTTCTGTTGGCTACTTGAACTTCCTTTAGATATCTATTTTAATTTTTCTATAGTGTTTTTTATGCATCTATAACCACCCAATGCATTCACCTTTCTTGGTGCCTAGACAGAGCCAATTAATTAATTTTTGAGATAGTCTCGCTCTGTCACCCAGACTGGAGCACAATGGCGTGGTCTCAGCTCACTGCCTAGACAGGACCAATTTATTTATTTATTTATTTATTTTTGAGATAGAGTCTCCTTCTGTCGCCTAGGCTGGAATGCAATGGCCTGGTCTCAGCTCACTGCAACCTCTACCTCTTGGGTTCAAGTGATTCTCCTGCCCTAGCCTCCGGAATAGCTAGGATTACAGGTGCCCACCACCACACTTACTAATTTTTGTTTTTTTATTAGAGTCAGGGTTTCACCATGTCGGTCAGACTGGTCTTGAACTCCTGACCTCAGGTGATCCACCCACCTTGGCCTCCCAAAGTGCTGGGATTACAGGCTTGAGCCACCGTGCCCAGCCAACAGAGCCAATTTATAAAGATGGGGAATTGCAATGCAGAAAGGGTAATTCATGCAAAGCTGGATGTGTGGGAGACTGGAGTTTGATTATTACTCAAATCAGGCACCCTGAGCATTTGGGGATCACAGATTTTTTTTTTTTTTTTTTTGAGACGGTGTCTCGCTCTGTCGCCCAGGCTGGAGGACAGTGGTGCAATCTTGGCTCACTGCAAGCTCCACCTCCTGTGTTCATGCCATTCTCCGGCGTCAGCCTCCTGAGTAGCTGGGACTACAGGTGCCCACCACCATGCCCAGCTAACTTTTTGTAATTTTTAGTAGAGAGACGAGGTTTCACCGTGTTAGCCAGGATGGTCTCGATCTCCTGACCTCGTGATCCACCTTCCTTGGCCTCCCAGAGTGCTGGGATTACAGGTATGAACCACTGTACCAGGCCTTGGGGATCAGAGTTTTTAAAGATAATTTGGCAGGTAGAGGCTTGGGAAGTAGGGAGTACTGATTGGTCAGGTTGGAGACGGAATCACAGGGGGTCGAAGAGAGGTTTTCTTGCTGTCTTCCATTCCTGGGGAGTATGGCAGAACTGGTTAAACCAGATTAGCAGCCTGGGTGATGTCAGCTAATCCATCAAGTGTAGGGTCTGCATAATATCTGAAGCACTGATCTTAAGTTTTACAATATTGATGTTATACCCAGGAGCAATTTGGGGAGGTTTAGACTCTTGGAGCCAGAGGCTGCTTGACCCTAAACCATAATTTCTAATCTTGGTAGTCCTTCAAAGGTAGACTAGTCACCAGGGATGAAGAGGATCTTCTTGAGAAAGGGCTATTATCAATTTTGTTTCAGAGAATTCCTTCCCAGTTAGTTCAGCCTATGCCCAGGAATGAACAAGGAAAGCTTAAAGGTTAGACACAAGATGGAGTCAATTAGGTCTAATCTCTTTCACTGTTATAATCTCACCAGTTATAATTTTTGCAAATGTGGTTTCATGTCTTCTTGCATAACTTGTTTTAGTAGTTATTCTACGTATTATAACATGTTTATAACTTAACACTGTTTATTAAAATGTTGTCATTTCACAAGTTCTAACAAATTGTGGAAGCATTACATCCCTTTACATTCCCTTAGCCTCTCCATTTTATAATATAAATATTATAAATATATAAAATATATTAATAACTACCTTAAATCATTTTTTATTCAACCAACAAAAATTTAGAAAGCTGAAAAGAAAAAGAAAAATCCTACCTCACCTCACTTAAGCATATTTTTGTTTACTATGTTTTTTCTTCTATCTTGATATTCTGATTCCTTTTTTTCTTTTTTTAATGTTGAAATAATTTTTAGTCATTATTTTTGAAGAGGTCTGATGACAAAAAAAAAAAAAATAAATTACTCGTGGGGCCGGGCACGGTGGCTCATGCCTGTCATCCCAGCACTTTGGGAAGCCAAGGCGGGTGGATCATGAGGTCAGGAATTCGAGACCAGCCTAGCCAATATGGTGAAACCCTGTCTCTACTAAAAATACAACAATTAGCTGAGCGTGGTGGCACGTGCCTGTAGTCCCAGCTACTTGGAGGCTGAGGCAGGAGAATCTCTTGAACCTGGGAGGCAGAGGTTGCAGTGAGCTGAGATCACACCACTGCACTCCAGCCTGAGTGACAGAGCGAGACTCTGTCTCCAAAAAACTAAATAAATAAAATAAAATACTGATGGTTTTTCTTTATCTAAGAACGTTTTCATTTTTCCTTCATTTCTCAAAAATGGTCTTTCCAGATTTAGAATTTGGGGTTGAGTATTCTTTCTTTCAGCACTTTTTGAGCTCTGTGCCATTTCCTTCTGGCCTGCATGGTTCCTGATGAGAACTTTGCTTTTACTCAAACGTTTTCTCCAAATTAGGTAGTGTGCTGTGTCTCCCTCACTGCCTTCAGTTTTATTTTTCAAAATTTTAAGTGTAATTGGTTGACATGAGCTAATTTTGGTTTACCTTGTTTGAGGTTTGTTGAGCTTCTTGAATCTGTAAATTTTTGTATTCTCCAAATTTGGAATGTTTTTAGGCATTATTTATTTGGATAATTTTTAACCCCATTTTCTTTCTCTTCCCCTTCTCAGACTCTGATGTCATGAGTGTACAATCTTTGGTTCTAGTCCTCCAGGCCCCTGATGCTGTTCTTTTTTTTCTCCATTATTCTATTTTTTCCATGTTGCCCATATATATTGAGTAATTTCTGTTATTTTAACTTTCATTTCACTCATTCTTTGTTTCTTTCATTCTACTATTGAGCCAATCCACTGTCTGTGTGTGTGCATTTAAATTTCAGCTTTTATATGTTCTATTTATACATATTTTTAATTTTTAAAATATCTTCCATTTATTTGCTGAGGCTTTTTAATTTTGCATGTTTTAAGCATTTTTGGAGTTGCTTATTGAAACATTTTTTATTATGGCTGCTTTAAAATCTTTGTCAAATAACTCTGAAATCTCTGTCATTCCAGTGTTGGGATCTATTCAGTGCCTTTTTTCACTCAGTTTGAGACCTTCCTGGCTCTTCGTATAACAAATGATTTTTATTGCCACCTAGACATTTTTGTACCATAATATGAGACTAGATTTTATTTAAATCTTCTGTTTTAGCTGCTTTCTCTGACACTACTATCATAGGAGAAGGAGGGCACTGTCTTATTATGCCAGGTAGGAGAAGGAAAAGTAGGAGTCTGTGTTCCCCATGGTGCCACTATTGATACCCAAGAGATTTGGGCTCATCACTACTGCTAGGAGGGGGTGGGAGTTTTAGCTTCTCATGTGGTCTCCACTGACAACATGGTGAGATAGCCTTGTTACTGCTGGCTCTCAGAAAACTCCTAACTACTCTGATACTACCCCAGTGAGGAAAGAGAGGAAGGAGTCCTTGTTATTTTCAGGCAAAGGTGGAAATCTTGACTTCTCATGTGGTCTTCACTGACACTACTCATGGGTCTCATGAGTTAGGGGAGGTCTCATTACCAGCTGGCAGAGGAAACAGAGTAATACATTTATTTAATCTTACAGGAAGTAAAATCCTAATTTTATTAAATTGTACTTTTAAAATCGTCCATCATTTTATTTCATTATGTTTGTTTTTATGGTCAAGGTCTGTATTAATATGCAGTGTAGTTTTATTTTACTATAGTTGTATAATGTTTCTATAAGAACAATATAAATGTGCCACTCTTATCTCTTAATATGGGAAAGTATAATTAGAGGCATAATTAACCCACAAGGCTGTCTCTGCTTGATCTACCACTGAGTTCAACCCAAGTCACACTTCCAGTGGGCCATTCACAACCAGTGACTGAGTGTGCTGAGGTATTAATACGTGCTTATTTCTGCAAGCTACAGGAGTCTTCCACAACAGTGACTTTGGCTCAACAACACTTGATTGACCTGGTCAAACCTCTATTGGAACTGTGTTATACTATGACGCTCTTCCTTTAACTTCTCATTTCTTCCTCTTTCACAGGTGACAGACTTGCATCATGGTCTGAAGGCTCCCTTGGCTTTCTCTGTTTCCCTCCATTTTAACCTTGAAAAAGTTTCCACACGTCTCTTAAACAGCTAATTCTGTTTTGGTGTCCACTTTTCAAAGGAAATAAGCTAACACAAATCCCTGTTAAAATAATTGTATTCATGTAAAAATAAATCTTTTGACTATAAAACATTAAGTAGTAAGAATGCAAGTAGTTAGACCTTCAGAAAACCATTATGAATATTGTAAATGGTGTTTTAGCATTGAGAAATATTTCTGTAGAGGGTCCAGAAATACTTGAATAACATACCTTGCTATATATGCTTCAGTTATATTCATATCAATGATAAAATATTCAGATATCTGTGTGGTCTTAAGTATGTCTAAAATACTTTGAACACCTCTCATCAAAAGGTAAAGTTTAATTTTTTATTTCTGTTGAATATGGGAAGCTTCAGAGACTTTTTTTAAATAAAGAGAATGAGACAGAAGTGCCAATGAGTGATTTTTGAAGTCAGACAATAAAGAGCAATACTTTCTGCTTTCTTCCTGGTTCTTTCTCTCTTGAGATACGGGCCTTGGAAGCCCTGAGACTACATATAAGAAATCCAGCTATCGTGAAACCACTATCTTGGAGAAATCATGTGGGGAGATCATGTGGGGAGATCACATAGAGCTATATAGAGAAATCCAAGATGTCACGACTCTCTTACACCCAGATGTTTGAGTTATTCCAGCCCAGGCACCAGATATTTGAGTGAGTGACTTTCAGATGATTTCAACTTCTAGCTTTCAGCCACCCTAGTCAATGTGAAGTATGTGAAACAAGCAGGTTCCACCAAGACTGCCCAGATTCTTAAACAAAGTAGATGTTGTTGCCTTAAGCCACTAAGATTTAGGGTCGTTTGTTATGCAACAATATATTTCTGGATGTATTAGATTTCTGGATCTTGTTATTTGGTAGTCTGGTGTTAAAGTCTGACTTTGTTACTGATTTGAGTATGGTTTGTCCCATCTGATACTCATGGTGGCATTTGATTGCTGTTGTAGTGCACTTGGAAAGTGAGGCCTAATGGGAAGTGCTGGGTCATGGGGATGGATCCTTCCTGAATAAATTAATGTCTTCTTTTGGAAGTGAGTGAGTTATTGCTCTTGTGGGAGTGCATTAGTTCCCAAAAGAGCATGTTGTGGTAAAGGATCCCAGCCTGTCCTGCATGTCTCTTTGCATACTCTCCCTTGACTTTCTGCTTCTTCTTCAAGTCTTGACACAGCTCACGGCTATCACCAGAAGCCACGCAGATGCCAATGCCATGCTCTTAGACTTTCTAGCCACCAAAACTGTGAGGCAAATGAACCTCTTTTTTTTTTTTATAAATTAGTCAGTCTCAGTTATTCTGTTATAGCAATACCAAACAGACCAAAAGGCCCTCCTCTCAGCCAGTAGATACTTTACTTAACTTATCTTTGGAATTACTTTAGTGTAAAGGTAATGGGATGACTTTACTGAAATTTTGGGAGCAAATGCATATAATCAAACTCCCAGATCCTCAGAATAGAATTTTATAAATGTATTTCTTCATGTCAAATTCAAGTACTATAAATGAAAATAGTAAGAGAGATAATAAATGTAGCATGGAAAATAGACTAACAAATTTACCAATTTGTAGAAATGTGTAACCCAGGACCCAGTTTCATTTCATATAATATTCAAAAAGCAGGATCCGGAACTATAGTGAGCTCTTTAAACATATGGCAATCAATAAGACTTGAATGATGGTATTATCTCAGTAGGAGACTCTAAGGCTCTAATGTAAAAAAAAAAAAAAAAATGCCACACTGTTATCAACCACACAATTAGCAAACCTTTACAAACCTGTCATCAGAACACTTGTCTTTTCCAGCTTTTTGAGCAAAAAACCGTTTAAAAGCAAACAAAGAAGAAAAATGTTATTAATGCCACACTCTAGGCAGTTTCAAATATATTCAATGTTCATTTCTCCTTATGTGAAACTGACAGCTGCTATGTTTAATCAGGCCAAGAACTTAACAAATGTCAGCCTAACTAAGTTTTTATCCAATACATTTGAAACATTCCTTTACCTCCTCAAATGAAAAATTAGTTATACATCTCTTCTAATATAATTATTGATTATTGAAAATAATATGACACTAGAAAAGTGCAACTAAAATGTAATTTGCTGACCTGTAATATTCCCATAAAATGAGATGAATATAGGTGCAATAAACTTAAATTTTAAAAAGTGCTTCATTTTCTGAGCACTCTTTAGGGACAGAAGCTAAATTAAATAAAAATATTAATGTTCTCAACCCAGAAAAACAGGATCATAAATTTCATTGCATAGCCTAGCCAAGTATTACAAGTGATATCCTGAAAGCCAACCTACTTAAACAAGACAGCAAGAATTAATCTATGGAATAATATGCACATTGGAAACATGCAATAGTGAAAATGTCAAATTAATTTGGAAATTAAAACCTTAGTAAATTTGAACATGGCTTAATGCACATTTAACTCAGGCTTTATCTAAGAATCAAGTAACACCATTTTCATTTTTTCTTATACGTTAAGTTAGAAGTGACAGACTAATAATGAGACTCAGTATTGATGATAGAGATATTTCAATTTCTGGAATCTCTAAAAAGTGTCCTTTTTCCTCGTACTCTTTTTTCTCTTTTCCTTTTCTTCCTTGTTTAATTGCTTAGTATGTTTTGTGCACCTTCTTTTCTCCTTGTACAGGTTGAAAAGCTATGAGATATAGCCTACTCTCAAGGAAATACCAAGGTATAGATATAGTTAATAAGTAAATAGGCATATTATAAAATATAAATGTAAGTATGAGAAGAAATCAGAGAAAATAAATCAAGTGAGGGTAGAATCAAGAGAATATTTAGCGGAGGAAGTGGATAGTTCAGGCCCTGTAGCCTAAATGAGTAACACAGAAGAACCAGAGGAGAAAACGTATCAGTTGGATTCTGAAGCAGTGGAGAGGGAGAATTAAGAGGCATTACTTAGAAAACAATCAAGCTCCATGCAAAGAGACTTCATGGAAGACATGAGACTTGAGTGGGACCTTAAATGACAGATATGCAATTAATTAGCAAAGAGAAAGCCATACTCAAATTTTACGGAATGTCCATTCAAAATGTTTGTTGCACTGAAATTTGATTGGATTAGGGAAAGAAGATATTGTAAGGATGAAAATATGAGCAACATTCCCAAAGACAGTGGGGTGAGAGGACTGAGAAACTCAGTCAGCCAGCCTGGGAAAGAATACAAGAAACTTGACAGTCACACCAAAATATGTGCAGTTGAGGTAGCTGATAATGAGGAGACATTATTGACATGCACAGGTATCAATATGATTTCTGTGTGATGGGTATTTCTTAATCTCAAAGACAGAAAAATGACAGAAAAAAAATGGTGATTCCTTAAATAGAGCTTCTCCCCAGAGCCACCTCACCCATTTGGATCATCATGTTGAGACATGTGTGAGGTATCAGGGAGCTGGCATCAGATCCTACAAGACGTGGTACAAGTATGCTCACTAGCGATGCCATTTCTCTTATCATGAAGTACAGAGAAGGTGTCAGCTAGGAATTAAATGATGTATTCCCAAAGGGAAACATTTTTTAAGAGCAACGTTGTTCATGGGTTAAATGCTAATGTCCTGTGAGATCTGACTGGTAATTAAAATGAAAGCTTTGTTACAATATGTCAACCTCTTGGCTATGCAAGAGTAGGAATCTTACAAGGAAGTTACCCAAGCTATTTTATTTGACAGTATCCCAAGTATGCCATCCTTTGAAATATCAACTGTCCTCTATTACTCAAAGTAGATGTATTTCTTAGCTTTTATATAGTAGCTAGATGCTTTCTCAGCACTGTTCTAGTTTGTAGGTGAAACATGAAGCTGTGACATACCATTTTAGCTTTGTCAGAACAGCTCAGGTGGCACTTAGCTGACATCTATTGGAACAGTCATGAAACTATTCATGCCTTTATGGCCTATGGAGCAGTTTGCTAAAGATTTGGCACCAATTCTATTCCATTTGTTTCCCCTAGCAGGACTTACTTTTTTTTTTCTTTAATAATCTTTCACAGTCCTATGTCTGTAAGCATTACGATGGGCCATGGATTTGTATTGGTTGGCCTATAATCAATAGGTTAACCTATGTTGAATTACACAGAGTAGCCAGGTGTGTTAGGGAAAAAAACACGTTTATGTAAGAGATAAACTTACTCTGGCAGGTAAATTTACCCCTTTGCACCTGCTGAGACTTTTAGTTACACTTTAAAAGTTCACCCTAAGGTATGAACATTTCAGGAGGATTTGGTCAGCATTTCTGTGGAGATAAGCAATCAAGGCTATCAAAACAATATAATTCATTCATTCATTCATTCATTCTATCATTTGCTTAATAAGCATGTAGATCAGAGTTCAAAAACTAGTGGCACTGAGATACGTTCAGGTCCCAAACATATTATTGTTTACCTATGTGAACCCTGAATATCTGGGACAGGTCACAGTCAATTTAGGAAGTTCATTTTTCCAAAGTTAAGGATGTGCACCTATGATACTGTCTGAGCAGGTCCTGACGACTTGTGCCCAAGGTGGTCGATGCAAAGCTTAGTTTTATACTTTTTTTTTTTTTTTTTTGAGACGGAGTCTCACTCTGTCACCTTGGCTGGAGTGCAGTGGTGTGATCTCGGCTCACTGCAACCTCCACCTTCTAGGTTCAAGTGATTCTCCTGCCACAGCCTCCCAAGTAGCTGAGACTACAGGCGCCCGCCGCCACACCTGGCTAATTTTTGTATTTTTAGTAGAGACGGGGTTTTCCCATGTTGGCCAGGCTGGTCTCAAACTTCTGACCTCAGGTGATCCACTCACCTTGGTCTCCCGAAGTGCTGGGATTACCGGCGTGAGCCACTGTGCACGTCCCAGTTTTATACATTTTAGGGAGACAAGAGACATCAATCAATATATGTAAGATGACAATTGGCTTGTTTCAGAAGGGGGCCTCCAGATTCTAGGTAGGTAAGAGACAAATGGTTGCATTCTTTTGAGTTTCTGATTAACCTTTCCAAAGGAGGCAATCAGATACGCATTTATCTCAGTGAGCAGAGGGATGACTTTGAATAGAATAGGAGGCAGGTTTGCCCCTAGGCAGTTCCCAGCTTGACTTTCATTTTAGCTTAGTGTTTGGGGGCTTTAATATTTATTTTCCTTTCACACCTAATAACTTTTATTTGAATGATTTCCTATCATTTTTAAATAGAAAAATTTAATGTAAGGATCTGAATCCAGGAGTCTCCAGAAAAATCGGAAGGTCTGGTGACACAGCTTGCATTCCTGGAGGGCAATAGTTGGCTAGAGCTCAGGACAGGCTATCTCCTACCTGCAGGCCCCTTTGAGCTCCCATGTATACACCATCCTCCTTCTCCTCCTAATTGCCCATATGATTGATATCAGGCATTCTTCAACTAGGTCCTCAACTACATTATGTGTCTGACCTTTGAGTGTGTAGGCTTCAGAGCTTTGCTGGAAAAGGATACATCTTTTAATACGGGAAAATTAATCCTCTTTGTTGTGGAAGGAGTAGTGTTTTACTCTATGTGCCCAGGGTGCGGGTGATAGTTAATGAGTACACTAGGTTTCTGCCAAAGGTTCCAATTTATTTTTGATGTGGAGGAGGGAAGCGTTTGCCCAGTTTCTGTTAAACACTTTTAATGGATTTCTGATTCACAGGGCTAGCTCCTGGTAGCCAGAATTATACTTTGTCACTCAGTTTTCATTGAATACCCAAGGAAACAGACACCAACTCAAGATAGGCCAACAATATTCTCTCTTCCAGACATTTGTACGTGGATTTTATAGCTCTTCAGTGTCTGCATGTTGACACGGACAGGAGAGAGGAAATACTGTGTAAAAGAGGGCAGTTCCTCAGAAAAGGCACCACCCTCAAGCCTGAAAACCCGTGGCCTGAAGTGAGAAGAGGCATTTCTGTTTTTGCATCCAAAAGTTGCCTTCTGACCCAACACACCCCCCTATCCTGTACCCATATAAACCCCAGACCCCAGGCTCCAGAAGCAGATGAGGAGATGAACAGAAAATCGAAGAATTGCAGAACAGCATGGCAGAGAAGGAAAGAAGAGAAGGAGTGGCTGAATACCAAGAGGAGTTTCGCTGGGGATGATCAGAGAGGAGATTGGCGGCTCCATGGCCAAACTCCAGGTGAAGATCATCTTTCCACTCCAACCCCCTTCCATCTCCCCATCCATCCTGCTGAGAGTCACCTCCAGCACTGAGTAAAACCACCACATTCATCCTTTAAGTCCATTTGTAACCCAATTCTTCTTGGATGCTGGACAAGGACCTGGGTACCAAGAAGGCACTGAGCTGTTTAACACTTAAGCTGTCCACAGAAAGTAAGGCTAAAAAAACACCCTGTAACACATGCCCACGTGGGCTTTGGGGGTCATGGGCTCCCACTCCTGGATGCTGCCACAGGGCTGGAACCCAGGAGCACTGGGGCACTTTCCCCAGCTCCTGCACCTTACCCATGTCTGTGCTCCCCTTCTTGTAAAGGGTTTGAGTGCACACGGAGGCTGAACAGGTGAACCATATCCCTGTCACATGTTCTGCAAGAGGGGTAGTCAGGAAAACCTCTCATCTCAATATGAAAAGAAGTATATTAGGAAGCCATATTTTTACAAAATAAATAGCAAGACAGTCAGTCTTCAGAGAACAGTGATGGCAATGACAGTGACAAATGACACAAATTCTCAGAGGAATATATAATTGAAGAATAAAATTCTGAAGACTTTTCAGTTGCTGTTTTCTTGTCTTCCCTTCTCTTTGGGGTTAATATTATATTCATGTATATTTAAAATAAATGCTCTCCTTTGGCTTACTTAGTTTAATCCCCATTACTTGAAACCAATGTGATCTAAATCAGCAGCCCCCAGACTTTTTGGCACCAGGGACTGGTTTCATGGAAGACAATTTTTCCACAGACTGGGCGCAGTGGGGGTAATGGTTTTGGGATAATTCGAGTGCATTATATTTATTGTGCACTTTATTTCTATTATTATTACATTGCAATATATAATGAAATAATTATACAACTCACCATAATGTAGAATCAGCAGGAGCCCTGAGCTTGTTTTCCTGCAACTGCACAGTTCCATCTGGAGATGATGGGAGACTGTGACAGATCATTAGGCATTAGATTCTCAAAAGGTGCATGCAACCCTTGCAAGTGCAGTTCACTATAGGGTTTACATTCCTATGAGAATCTAATGCAGCTGATGTGACAGAAGGTGGAGCTCAGGTGGTAACAAGAGCAATGCGGAGTGACTTTAAATAAAGTTGAAGCTTCCCTCACTCACCTGGCATTCACCTCCTACTGCAACTGAGTTCCTAACAGGCCACAAATCAGTACTGGTCCATGGCTGGGGGTTGTGGACCCCTGATCTAAACTGTTACAATGGAAAAATGAAAAAATCTGTTAAGCTGAGGCTCTAACAGATAACAGACAATAATGATATTCTTCACCACCCATCAAACTTAAAGAGTAAGGAGAATAATACAAATTCATCATCTCAGTTTAATTCTGTTGTCTAAAATCTCCTTGGTTTTCTAAAATCAAGCCACATCCTGTTCTATGCATATTTCCAATTTTAAGCATGTACAATTGTAAATCATTATATTTTTATTATCACTATGTTATTCTGTTTTATTGTTTGTTTCTCCTAGTTTGAATGCTATCTCTTCTAAATTTAAATGCAGCAAGTTGGTTCCATAAATTAATATTTATTTTATTGGAATTCTAGCAGTAAATACAATGACACTGAATATTTCCAAGTTGGTTTTTAAAACCTCCTTCTGAGCAAGTAGCTTGAGATAGTCTCTTTTCATAATAAAGAAGAAAAATAAAACACCTTCTCATTAATGAATTATTTTGCATATGAAATCCATACAGTCCTGGTATGGGAACCATAAAGATTATTGAGATAGGAATAATGCAGTAAGCCAAAGTGATATTCAGCTCCAGTGACTATTTATTTAAACAAACCTTGAAATGCTTTAGTATAATGTAACAAGTGGGACCATGCCTTAAACTTCATGCTGTCTTTTTTTTTATCTCAGACATATCTTACTTTTAGCAACTCATTGTATAAACAGAAAAAGTAGAGGATCAACTTAATACGACAGCAAATTCACATGTGTTTCAAAAATGCAATGTATGTACCATAGCAAAAGTATTTTATTTCACAATGTTTTACTGAAAGATGTTTTTATACCAGGCCAGTACTCACTATGCATAGAGACAGGTAACCTACCTACTTTGGACCACAGGCTGCTAGGTCATATTAAAATGAGGATAATAGTTGAATCATTGTTCTTTTTATGCAGGAACCACTAATGTTTTTAACCTGCTTTTTTTCA
The DNA here is from genome assembly GCF_000001405.40 of Homo sapiens. NCBI lineage: Eukaryota > Metazoa > Chordata > Mammalia > Primates > Hominidae > Homo > Homo sapiens. The sequence continues at coordinate 52,925,834 of NC_000017.11, read as the reverse complement.
TAGTGAGAAAAGGTATTATCTTTATCTCTGTTCAATCAGTATCTCTAAGGATGATAACAATTGCAGCTAATAATTAGTAAGTCCTTTTTTATGGCACTATATACTTTACATTTGTTGTTCCCTATTCCTCACAAGATCCTTATTAACTATATTTCACAAAAAGGGACTGTATCTTAGGGAAGTTAAGCAATTTATTTAAAGTCAGACAGCTAAGAAGTGATAGAGCAAAAATTCAGACTACCCTCCAGAATGTGGAGGTAGATGAATCTACCTCCACTGTGTCTGTAGATGAATCACTACACTACAGTTTGTACATGTTTAATGGTTTAAAATTGGTAAACTCCTTTGACCATCACAAAAACAAGATGATAAAAACAGATGTTATTATTAGAACAACTTCATAGTTGAGGATCTCAAGGAAGTTTATCTTATAGAAGCAATCAGTATTCCAGTCATAACCTGAATCAGACATTCCAATTCTGTGCTCATTGGGTTGGCACTATCTAAGTGAGAATTCTTGGCACAGAAATCCATTTCAAACTAGCTTAAGCACATAAAGGAAATTTATTTAAGTTATTCATGTGTTCTCATTGAACATAAGGGCAGATGTGTGTTCAGACTAATGAGCAAATGGGACCAAGTTTTCAATACCTGAGTAACTTTGTCTTCAAACTTTGTGCACATCAGTTGCATTCTTCTTGCTCTCTCCATAGCCAAGTTGTCCCATTTTCCTCACCTCTTTTTAAAATTGGATCTTTCTGCTTGCTTTACTCAGTCTAGTCCAGAGGTTGGCAAAGTGTTTCTGAGAGAGAGATAGTAATTATTCAGGGTTTTGCTAGCCAAGGGGTCTCTGTAGCAGCTACTCAACTCTGCCCTGCAATGTGGAAAAAGTTACAGACAATACTTAAGTAAATAAATTAGACAATGTTCCCAATAAGCTTGATTCACAATAACAGGCAGTGGGTTGGATTTTGCCCATGAGGAGAGCTATAGTGTGCAGACCCCTAATCTAGTCCATAAAAATTGATGACAATTCTAAAATCAGTCCAGGCACAGTGGCTCAAGCCTGTAATCCCAGCATTTTGGGATGCCGAGGCTGGTGGATCACCTGAGATAAGGAGTTCAAGACCAGCCTGATTAACATGGTGAAACCCCATCTCTACTAAAAATACAAAAATTAGCTGGGCGTGGTGGTGGGTGTGTACTTATATATGTGCTGTGTGTGATGCCTATAAAAAGAGCTCTAATTAATTGGCCTAAAGGAAGATAAGTGCTTGGATCAAATATTTTTTAAAGGGAAGATAAATGGTATGGTACCTTTCATATGACTTTAATCTTTGAGAAATAAAAACAGCCTAAAAATTATTGGTAAAAAGCAGATGTTGTCAATATAAATAGGTGGACTAAATTATGCAGGTCAGATGCTAGGTTTGCTAAATGTTTTAAGGTTATATATTGCTTTCTGGGTTTTGAGAACTATTTGACTTGCCTGCTCCACAATTGGTAAGGCTTGGGGACATATAGAACTAACCATGCCCCAATTTTGCTGAAAGGGGTCAAATCTTGGCTGCACCTAGCACATAATTAAAACAACTTACCAGGTTTTACATTAAAGTTAAAAATTGCTAGGCATTACCATTGTAACATGTAATTGAAACTACTAGAAACAGATTTACATGCAAGGTGTATAAGAATAATAAAATGTGTTTTTGGTAAAATATTACAAAAAGGTGTAAATTCTCATCTAGGGTTAAAATTTTTTTAAAAATTATATAAGATACAGCTAAAAGATCAAACAAGAGGTGGAAGGATTATAAAGATTAGTCTTGCAAAAATTCTGTGTGTGAACATACTGACTTCATTCAAAGGGTATTATATGGTTTTCCTGCAAAGTGAATATTAAAATAAAAGCACAACAAGGTACTCGTAAGGCACTAATATGCTCAGGATTATAAAGGGTTTTTTTGCATTTTAAATATCTGAGTCATCATTTTGGCAAAATAAACAACTTATGGTAATGTGGAATTCTGTTTCATAACATCAAGTGTTTTAAACCTCTAAAATATTTAAAAGGGTTCCCAAAATCAAACTTCAGTTTCAAAATTGTCTTTCCTGATACCTGGCTGTTGGATGCTTCAGAGGGCCCTTGGAGTTTCCAAAAGGGAAATAAACAGGATTATTAGACATCTTCAATTACATGAGATTGCCAAAATGGTGTTCAGTCTTCTTCAGGTTATATTTTGGTCAATAATATTTTGGTCAACTAATGTATGTTCCAAAATTGTATCGGATTTCTAAAATTCTAATGTCTGAGTATATGCTATCAATCATAATTAAGGATGTTAAGTTATTGTAAACCACACTGACAACCAAACTTCTTTGTCAATTGTGTTTCTAACTGTAACTACCCTGGACATTTTATTATTCACAGACAATTATTGTCTTGTTTTAATCATTTTCAAAAGATGGTTTATAATAAACTATAGAATTTTGACACAAGACATCCTTTTCTCTCCCTTGTTGGAGGAGGACTCAATTCTACAGCTTCATCTTAGCACCTGGCTTATGATAAGGAGTCTGTGCAACCCCGCAGACATTCTTTTTCCCAAACTCAATTCCAAGCTTCGGGTCAAAGCCCTAGGAAAATAAACTGTATTTGAGGGATCCAAAGGTAAATAATAATGGAAGTTAAAAGGCACAACGCAGGTGAGTATGACTGATTCCTGCCGATTAAGCCAAGCTTACCCCTTTCGAATGCATCCTGAATCCCTAGGACTCCTTTGTAAAAATGGCTTATTTTTTCTTTTTCTTCCTCTGTCCTTTCTTCACTGACAGGTAATTGTGTCTCTGTAATATGGGATGCTCCACTCACATGCATCCTCCAAACTGGGAAGAGTTAATTTACCAAACCTTAAACTGGCTGGCTTAGGACTTGGCTCAGGGGAAGGGAACCCAGAAGCCTAACATGCAGGCAAAAGGGTAAACATTTTTCTCCTAGTCAGGCTTTTGGCCCCCCTCTCCCTGTACTAAACTGGTAAAAGTTTTCAGGATTCTTGAGCTGTCCTCCTCCCACCTTGTGTTGTTTTGATACACGTTTTCTAATAACCTGGTTTGTTTCTTCTTACCTTCAGGCCATCAAACTCCAAACGGTCACAGCTGGAGCCTCATGATGGCTCCTTCAGCTGGGAAACCTTAAATAGGCCTCTGAGGGAGCTCTGACTACCATTTTCCCAAAAGAGCATCCCCTGTTAGCAATAAGCAGTTAACATCAGTCTTCAACCTGTGCTTATCCTTATTCTAACAGCAGTCAGATGTACTTCTTTAAAGGGGTGAATGGTAAAGACAGGAGGCAGTCAAGGGTGCCCCGACAAAACCCCACCTTCAGTCTTAAAACAGCCTGGGCCGGGCGCGGTGGCTCACGCCTGTAATCCCAGCACTTTGGGAGGCCAAGGCGGACGGATCATGAGGTCAGGAGATCGAGACCATCCTGGCTAACACGGGGAAACGCCGTCTCTACTAAAAAATTGAAAAAATTAGCCGGGCATGGTGGCGGGCGCCTGTAGTCCCAGCTACTCGGGAGGCTGAGGCAGGAGAATGGTGTGAATCTGGGAGGCAGAGCTTGCAGTGAGCTGAGATCGTGCCACTGCACTCCAGCCTGGGAGACAGAGCCAGACTCCATCTCAAAAAAACAGAACAAAAAAACAGCCTGGAGGCTGAAAAACCAGTCTGACAGTCCTGGATGAAGCCCACCCTTTCCCAACAGATTGTTTCTGAATAATGCCCACCTGTGCATTGGGGGGATGGGGTGAGGCCTCGGGAAGTTTGTGCCATCTGCAGGGGGTAGGAGCCTGGCCTCTCCTGTTCCTCGGTGGTGACCTGGGATTCAACCTGTGAGATGAGGGCCTGTTAACAGGAACCTCTCTTGCTTTACAGAGATTTTTTCCCCCTTTTTTTCCCAATAAATTCCATTCCCCCTCACCCTTCAATATATCTGTGTGCCTAACTTTTCCTGGTTGTGTGACAAGAACCTGCTTTTTCCTACAACAGTATCATGTCTTGAATTGACAAATTGTACGTTTTTGGTCTATCATTCATAGCACTCTGCTTTTGGTTACAATTTCCATTCTAGTTAGGCTGTTTTGGATCACAAAAGCCAAAAAGCTTAAATTAAAATTATATAGACACAGGAAGACATTGTAAAAATAGTAGTATGTTTTGTGGAATCTAAATGCACAGAAGCTTTTAGGTGAAAGGCATAACTGGAAACTGGCATTCCCATGATGTGAGGACTACCTCTTTTTCCTTTCTTTCATCTGCTTCATAGGCCTCTTTACAAAGATTCCTTCCCCAAATTTCTAGCTCACTTAGCATCAAATTTACCCTTTAATTGTTTTGGGGCTTTATATCCAGTCATCCAAAGGGGTCTAGGATTTTCTTTCTCAATTCCAGCTCTAAAATGCCTGAGGAAGAAACCTGACTGGGCTAGTTTGGAATAGAGGTTCACGCTCGAGTCACTCAGGTGTGCTCAGAGGATTGGGTTGGATCGGAAAATGACTGAGTCTGCTGTAAGATGTTGATGAGGAGGCAGAGGGTAATTCTAGAGAGCCAAGCTGAGCAAAAAAATATATATTATTTATATTATATTATATTATATATATTAATTATATATATTATATTATATTATATCATATATATTACATTATATATATTATATATATTATATTATATATATTATATTATATATATTATATATATTATATATATTATATATATATATATATCAATGTCTACAGTGGGTACACTCACGATTTAAATAATGAAACATAAATATCTCATATTTGACATGCCATAAATGCTAGAATGTTCTTATACAAACATTTTTAAATGCCCATACATATTTCTAATTTCATCTGTCAAAGGAAGAGTTACTGAGCTCTTAAAAAGCACTGGGTGAACCCCATAAATGAATCCCAGAAAACTCAGGCTAGACTATTTTATAATTTAAGGAACAAGTAAATATATGAGTGCAATTGACCCTTGAACACCGCAGGTTTAAACTGCATGGACCCACTTATATGCTGATTTTCTTTTGCCTCTGCCACCCTTGCAACAGTAAAACAAACACGTCCTCTTTCTCCTCCTTCTGAGCCAACTCAATGTAAAGATGACGAGGATGAAGACTTTTATGACGATTCATTTCAATTTAGGTATATTTATATATATTTTAAATATGTTATCTCATTATTTTCTTAATAACATTGTCTTTTCTCTGGTTTACTTCATTGTAAAAATACAGTACATGATACACATACAAAATGTGTGTTCATGGACTGTTTTAAGTTATTGATAAGGCTTCCAGTCAACAGCAGGCTATTCATAATTAAGTTTTGTGGAAGTCAAAAGTTATATGTGGATTTTTAACTGTGCTGTGGGTTTGAACCCCTCACTTTTGTGTTGCTCAAGGATCAACTATAAAAGTTATCCTCCACTGGGAAAAAAAACAAAGGCAACCCCACAGTATCTTAAAAATAGAAGAGAATTTTATTTATTTATTTTTATAAAAAGTTCCGAAGGTAAGCTGTTAGGGAGTCCAGAACAATTCCACAATGTCAACTGGGACCAAGGCTCCTCCTGTTTTACCTCTCAGTCATCCTTACTTAACATGTGCTTATCACGTCCTGGTCGCAAGTGAGATGACTCACATGAAGCACTGAATTGGTATTTCAGGAAGACAAAGAACGAAAGGCTCACACCAGCTGATACTACACGTGATCTTAGCCAAAACCCCGAGAAGCAATTGACCAACTGTAACAATTCACTTCTTAGGGTGCATTCCTAGAAGTCCCACCCAATAATGTCTACATAAATCTTATATGTCAGAAATTAGTTATATGGGAAGCAAAAAATATATTTTATGGAAGCATATTGTAGATTTTAATAAGGAAGAAGGAGAACAATGTAAATTAATTAAGCAATTAGCCATCTCTGCATTCTTAGATATTCACATAAATAAATATAATTTTAGAGAAACTTACAGATATTCAGAAGATACAGTATTTCTGTAGTGTATGATTATGGAACATTTTATTGTATCAGGATAGATTTTAAACTGTTAAAGGTATAATAGGAACATATGTTAATAGAGGGGAGGTGAAGAGAAATTGATGCTAGTTAATAGAAATAAGAGGAAAACTGTAGGGCAGGCACCAAGAAAACCAACTGTGTGGTTATGGCACAGAGACTATGAAAGGAGGAAGAGGATGCAATATTAGAAAATCTTGGCTGGGTGTGGTGGCTCATGCCTGTAAGCCCAGCACTTTGGGAGGCCGAGGCAGGTGGATCACCTGAGATTGGGAGTTTGAGACCAGCCTGACCAATATGATGAAATGCCACCTTCTACTAAACATACAAAATTAGCCAGATGTGGTGGTGCATGCCTGCAATCCCAGCTACCTGGGAGGTTGAAGCAGGAGAATCACTTGAACCCAGGAGGCGGAGGTTGCGGTGAGCTGAGATTGTGCCATTGCACTCTAGCCTGGGCAACAACAGTGAAGCTCCATCTCTACAAGAAAAAAAAAATCTCGAATCCTAGTTAGAGGAAAGATTTAGAAAGGCCATTTGAAAGCTAAAGAGTTAGTTCTAACTAAATATGAGACATTTTTCCTTGGAAGGATTTGAAGGAGGGAAATGTCTTGAATAAACCTCCATTTCAACATTGCTTCACTATGGGGCAATATACGTATGGCCCCAGGGGCAAATTATGAAATAATTGGCCACAGGCACATTTTTCTTCAAGGTGCATTCCACTATTTAAAAAAGTATAAAAATATTTTACAACTACATTGACTTAAAATAAATCAGCAGTATATGTGGAAATGCTTTCTCAGACTTAATCATTTTATAAATTCTAATTTCAAAGGAAATGAAAATATTTTCATGATGCCCTAAGAGGATCATGGGTCCTAAGCATGGTTACTATTTTGCTAAATAGATTAGTTGTCCCTGACTTGCCCATAGAGAAACTATATCATTTATAAGACTGTGTATTTAGTAGATAAAGATGAATGTTAATCCCCAAGACAATGGGGAAAATGTCTCCAGGGCATGTCAGAGGTCTTCAGGGTAGCCTCTCCCAAAACAGGCTTGGAGGCCTAGGAGGAAAAAGTGGTTTCTTGGACTGGATCCAGGGTCCCTGTGCTGTGTGCAGCCTAGGAATTTGGTGCCCTGCATCCCAGCCACTCCAGCCATGGCTGAAAGGGCCATGTGACAGAGGGCAATGAGGCAAAGGGAAGAGATTTAAAAGCCAATGTTCATTAGAAATTAACATTTTAAGGGGATTAGTTGGAAATAAAAGTGGAAGAGCCAGAGATAATGTTTTGGGTTTCCTCAACCAATCCTAAGGAGCACTGTTGAATAGATGAGGTTCCCTGTTCCTTTTGTTGTTCTTCCCTATGTCCTGGAAACAAACTTTCAATATCTAATGTTATTAGGCTGATCCTTCTGCTCTTCTCCCATATCATCATCTCTACTGAGCTATCATTATACTCGATATAGATTATTATTCTTTCTGCCTTGATATATCCTTTCCTTGGTGCATCCAGAGCAACCACTTGCCTGGCTTTTAACAGTATTTCTGGTAAATCCTCTGACTTTTATGCTGATTGTCCCTCATGTCCCTGACTTTTAATATTGAACCTCTTTTCTTTTCTACATGTATACTTGTTATCTGTGGTTATTTCTTTGTATACGATTCTATGCCATGGCTTTAAATTTTATACATGACATATTTATATATCCAGACTGGATTACTGCCTTGAACTTTACACCTATATACCCAGCTTCTCACTTGACATATGACATATGTATTTGGAAATCGAATAGGTGTCTCAAGCTTACCTTGTCCAGGACTTAACTCAGCATATTTGTATTAGTCCATTTTCATGCTGCTGATAAGGACATACCCAAGCCTAGGAAGAAAAACAGGTTTAATGGACTTACACTTCCACATGGCTGGGGTGGCCTCACAATCTAACAGAAGGCAAGGAAGAGCAAGTCACATCTTACATGGATGGTGGCTGGCAAAGAGAGAGAGCTTGTGCAGGAAAACTCTCCCTTTTAAAATCATCAGATCTCATGAGATTTATTTACTATCATGAGAACAGCATAAGAAAATCTTGTTCCCATGAATCACATCACTTCTCAAAACTTCTGCAACAGTCATGGATGACCAACATGGATGAAACTGGTGGTCATTATGTTAAGTGAAATATGCCAGGCACAGAAAAACAAACTTTACATGTTTTTTCTTATTTGTGGGCACTAAAAATTAAAACAATTTAAGCCATGGAAATAGAGAATAGGATGGTTACCAGAGGCTTGGAAGGTTAGTGGGCAGGTGGGTAGAAGTGGAGATGATTAATGGATACCAAAAAATAGTTAGAAAGAATAAATAAGACCTGGTATTTGACACCACAACAGGATTACTATAATCACTATTAATTTATTGTACATATTAAAATAACCAAGAGTCTAATTGAATTGTGTGTAAAGCAAAGGATAAATATTTGGGTTGATGTATACCCCATTTACTCTGATGTGATTATTATGCATTGTATGCCTGTTTCAAAATCTCTTATGTACCCCATAAATATATGCACCTCTTATGTACCCAGATTAAAAAAAAATAGAAAGGAAGGTCAATATTTGCTATGACTAAAACACTCACAAATAGAATCCTAACAATTCTTATAAATCAATCACACAAATGAGGAAGAGAAAGGAATCAAATGTCAACACAACAGAATTTTATCAAACCACAAAGAAAACAGAGAAAGGAACAAACAATATCTAAAACAACTTGAAAGCAATGACGTGACAGTAACAAAACTTCACACATCAATATTAACACTCAATGTAAATAGATTAAATGTTCCACCTAAAAGACTGAAGAATGGATAAAAAGACATAATCCAACTCTATACTACCTACAATAAATTCACCTTTCCTGTAGACACATATAGACTGTAAATCAAGAGGTGGAAAAAATATTCCATGCAAATGGAAACCAAAAATGGGCAGCAGTAGCTATACTTACATCAGATAAAATAGTATTGAAATCAAATAAAGTAAAAAAGACAGAAAAATGTCATTATATAATGATAAAAGGATCAAGCATAGTGGAGGACAATCTTAAAATTTCAGAATTGAAAAAAAATACTTAAAAACCTTATGGAGACAAAAATAGTTTGAATAGCCAAAGCAATCCTAGCAAAACGAACAAAGCAGTAGGCATCACGTTACCTGACTTCAAATACTACTACATGGCTATAGTCACCAAACAGCATTGTACTGGTACAAAAATAGGAACGTAGATTAATGGAATAGAATGGAGAACCCAGAAACAAATCCACATACCAAAAACCAACTTATCTTTGACAAAGTCAACAAAAATATACACCAGAGAAGACACCATTTTCAATACATGGTGCTGGGAATATTTGAGAGTCATATGTAGAAGAATGAAACTAGACCCATACATCTCACCATATACAAAAATTAACTCAAGGAATAAAGACCTATATGTAAGATATGAACCTATAAACATTCTATGAGAAAACCTAGGAATAATTATTCTGGACATCTAGGTAGAGAATTTACAACCAAGTCCTTAATTAATGGGTGCAGCACACCAACATGGCGCATGTATACATATGTAACAAACCTGCACATTGTGCACATGTACCCTAGAACTTAAAGTATAATAATAATTTTAAAAAAAGAAAAAAAAAGCTAATGCAACAGAAACAAAAATGAAAAAACACAGATGGACTTAAACTAAAAAGCTTCTGCACAGCCAAAGGAATAATCAAAAGAGGGAACAGACAACCTATACCCTGGGAGAAAATATTTACAAACTATACATCTGACAAAGGGCTAATATCCAGAATCTACAAGAAACTCAACTCAACAGGAGGAAAAACAAAGAAACCCATTAAAAAGTGGGCAAAGGACATAGACATTTTTCAAAAGAAGATATGCAAGCAGCCAACAAACATATAAACAAAATGCTAAATGTCATCAGAGAAGTGTGAATGGAAACCACAAAGAGATACCACCTTATAGCAGTCAGACTATTATTAAAAATTCAAAAAACAACAGATTTTGGCAAGGATGCAGAGAAAAGGGAATGCTGTTCCCTTTACAGATGGTTTCCCAATCCTGTTAGTGGGAATGTAAATTAGTACAACCACCATGCAAAAAAATACAGAGGTTTCTTAAAGAACTAAAAATAGAATACCATGCAATCTGACAATCCTACTACTTCTACCCAAAGGGAAATAAATAATTTTTATCAAAAAGATACCAGCACTCATATGTTTATTGCTGCACTAGTCATAATAATAAAGACACGGAATCAACTTACGTGTCCATCATGGGGCACTGATTAAAAAAACAGGATACACACACACATACACACACACACACACACACACACACACACACCTTGGAATATTACTCGGCTATAAAAATGATTTAAATTACGTATTTTGCAGCAATAAGGATGGAACTGGAGGCCATTAAGTGAAATAAATTAGAAATAGAAAGTAAAATATAGCACGTTTCTCATTATAAGAGGGAGCTAAACAGTGGGTACACATGGACATACAGAGTGAAATAGTAGACATTAGTGACTACAAAAGGTGGGAGGGTAGTGAGGGTTGGAAAATTACCTATTGGGTACAATGTTCACTGTTCAGGTGATGAAGCCCAAACTTCATACCTGTGCAATGTGTGCATGTAAGAAATATGCACTCATACCCCCTAAATACATAAAAACTACAAAAAATATTAAGAAAGTCTTTCTTTCTGTATTTTTGTATATTTTATGTGCAGTGTACAGTAAGTACAAGATTTTAGCATGACATTATCTCATTCACTTAATATTTACATTATATTTATAAAATATAATTGTCTAATATGTGCAAGGTTCTGCGCTAGACTCTGGTGATAAGGTGTTTTAAAAGTTAAAAACTGACACTTCCCTCATTGAGATAGAATCTAATGGAGAAGGCAGACATTGAATAGGTGATCACAAGCTGAAGGGTAACTCACAATATGGAGGCTTAATGCCTTTCATTGTACAGCCTAAATTCTTCATAGATACAAATTTCTTTCTACATCTCTTCTTAATTCATATGAGCCACGATAGATGATTTACCTTTCCCTGAAAACGCTTAATAATTTCTTTGCCTAAACTTTTACCATCATCAGAAATGCTGTTCCTCTATTTCATCCATTTCAGATCCCCTTATCTTTCAAGACCGAATTCAAAAGTCTTCCTTTATCCACTAAGTCAGAATTGATTGCTCCATCTTCTATACTCCTACAGCATATCGGATTTCAATTTGTATAGTGACTTACTTATCAGTCACTCCCACTAATGTATCCTATGGGAGAGCAGAAACTGTGCCTGCTATTACCAGCACAGCATCTTGTGCCAAGCATAAATTTAAATCATGTTTGTTGAGTAGATGAAAAACGTAATTTAAACTTATTTGTTTTGCCTTGCAGACAAAATAGCAGTTGGTAATTTTTGTTTTTTTGCTTATTAACCCATTGCTATTGTGGCTTACAAACAAAAGTGAATCTTCTTCCCAAATCAAAGTGAAAAGTAAAGTCTCAAAATATATTTTGTCTACATTCTACATTAATCAAAATTCATCAGAGTCACAAGTGATAGCTACCTCTGATTTTTGGGTAATTGTAGGTATGGCACTTCTTTAATGAATTTGAATTAAATTTAAATTTATCTATTAATAGATCATGTCTGTAACTGAACTGGGTTTTGTTATTCTGTAATACTTCAGTCACATAGGCTCAAACTTTCAGGATCTTAACTATCATTCTATCATTTTACAAGAAACCCAAGAGCTTTGTCAATCAAACTTCTGTACTTAAAAATCAATGGAAGGGAATTGCAAATTGCGAAGAAGAATGCTAATAGAAAAAGCCTTATGGTTTTACAATATGACAACAAATTACCTAAATCAGCAGCTTAATCTATTTTATTAAAGGAAATAGTGCAACTTGAAAATCCATTAATGTACAGAACATGTTAATTCTAGTTCCTGCCACAACCATAGTGGTTTCCAAGTAAAATGATCTTCTTCATAGCCCTTCATTAAGAAGCAGTGCTGGACATTTATGTTATGTATTTTTAACCCAATTTAATTGCAGCTGATTGGGGCAGAAAACATATCTACACACTACTGTGAAGCAAAATCATCTAAAAAAATAGGAAAAAACAGTTATTTACGGAACCAGTCAGGAGTCTGAAGTGTCAAAAGTTAACCTGAAAGTTATCTTCAAGACACAGAAAATAGTCGACAAAAAGGAAATCCTTGAGGCACATTAATAGTAAAACAGAAGAACAAAAATCAAAGAACTCCTGCTGCTGGATTTTTTTTTTTTTTTGTAGCACAGTCGACTTTGATTTAACAAAGTTAAAACACATAGTACAACAATTGTATATCAAATAGAATTCTTCACACCACATTTTATCACATTTTCCATTCTATTATACACTTGAAATCCTTCAAGTATTGCCTCTGTGTTTTCTCTTCCCTACCTCTCTTCTAAACTTCCAGACTTAAAGTTTCTAGTACTGGATAAATGTGTCCACAGAGATATTTCTCCAGCACCCCCAAACCCAAAGGTCCCAAAACAAGCAAATGCTTTCCCCATAAATTTATTTTTCTTCCCATATTTAGCAGCTGCTGGATTTTTTTAAGATTTTTTTTTTAATTAAAAACTGTCAAGTCTAATGTGCAATTTACTTTTCATTTTCTATTTTTAAACGTTTTTTGTCTCAACATTTTTTTTTTTTTGAGACACAGTCTCGCTCTGTCACCCAGGCTGGAGTGCTGTGGCACGATCTCAGCTAACAAGCAGCTCTGCCTCCCAGGTTCAAGCCATTCTCCTGCCTCAGCCTCCTGAGTAGCTGGGACCACAGGCACCTGCCATCACGCCTGGCTAATGTTTTGTATTTTTTATTTTTATTTTTTTTTAGTAGAGGCGGGGTTTCACCATGTTAGCCAGGATGGCCTCAATCTCCCGACCTCGTGATCCGCCCGCCTCGGCCTCCCAAAGTACTGGGATTACAGGCGTGAGCCAACGTGTCCAGCCTCAACATTTTTTTAACTTTTATTTTAGGCTGGGGAGTACATGAAAAAGTTTGTTACATAGGTAAACACATGTCACAGGGGTTTGTTGTGCATATTATTTCATCACCCGGGTATCAAGTCCAGTACCCAATAGTTATCTTTTCTGCTCCTCTCCCTCTTCCCACCCTCCCAACTCAAGTAGACCCCAGTGCCTATTGTTTCCTTCTTTGTGTTGACAAGTTCTTACCATTTAGCTCCCACTAAGAAGTTAGAACATGCAGCATTTGGTTGTTTTAAAAAACAAGCCTGTTGAGGTATAACTTATATGTGGTAAAATTCATTCTTCTTATGTGTACAGCTCTAAGAGTTTTGACAGATGTATATTATAGCATTTCCACCATCACAATTGGGGCATAGAATATTTCCATCACCACCAGAATTTTCCTTGTTCAGTTCCTAGCTCTATTATCTTCCTGAGAATCCTTGATTCCCATGAAGTCTGGATGAAATGAGTCAGTCAGAACCAAAAGAGTACTGATACTGTCTTTGTGTCCCCACCCAAATCTCACCTTGAATTGTAATAATTTCCATGTGTTAAGGGCAGGCCAGGTGGAAATAATTGAATCAAGGGGCTGTTTCCACCATACTGTTCTCGTAATAGGAGAGTGAGTACTCAACAGGTCCTTCTCAAGAGATAAGGGGTTTCCCTCTTCGCTTGGCTCTCATTCTGTCTTGCCTGCTGCCATGTAGGACATGCCTTTGCTCCTCTTTGTCTTCCACCATAATTGTGAGGCTTCCCCAGTCATGTGGAACTGTGAGTTCATTAAACTTGTTTTTCTTTATAAATCACCTAGTTTCGTGTATGTCTTTATTAGTGGCGTGAAAATGAACCAATACAAGTACCCATTGTATGATCTAATTTATCAACATTTAATCTACCATTTATTACATTTATCTTTATTCATCAATTCATCTATGACGTTAGAAAGCAGGATAGTTTTTACTCCTGGGGGCATGGTATACAGGTAATGACTGGAATCAAACCTGAGTGGAGCTTATGGGATGTTGATAATATTCTGTTTCTATATGGGTATGAGTTACACAGGAATATTTAGTATAGGAATATTGATTAATTTCTATGATTATAACTTGTGCAATTTTCTGTTTGTGTTATACATTAATAAAAACAATTACCCCTTTCCCAGAAAAAGTTAAAAAATGTTACAATGGCCATGAGCAAAAGCCAAAATCCTTACCACAATTTAAAAGATTGTACATAATTTTTCCCCCTTTTCTTCTTTTCCCCTTTTTTTTTCCAGCAATATTGCTGCTCCAAGCACACAACAAATACGCTTCTCCTTCAGGCCTTTGCCATAGTTGTGGTATTGTTTGAAACACTTTTTTTGCTGTAAGTATAATGAAGTCCCTCACATTCTTCAAATCTTTGCTCAAATGTAGTACCAATAAATTCTATCCTGACCACCCTATTTTATACATAAAGTGCTCATCACTGCACTACTGAAATAAAAGAAGCCACAGGTTGAGCAGAACTCATACTTTGCATTTTTAACATAATTTTATTTTTTTGTTAGTCATCAAGTAGAGACTTTGAGTAATCAGTTGTGTTTGCAAATCTGGAGTTCAAGGGACAATCATCAGAATGCACAAATTTGGGAGTTGTGGGCCTAGAGAAATATTTGAAATATTGGGTTCATGAAGTCACCAAAAAGTAGTGTATACATAGGAAGAGAAATATCCAAGAACTGAACACTGAGGCAACCCAACTTCAAGAGGCTAAGGAGAAAAGGGAAATCAATAAAAGAGAATGAAAAGGATAAATCAGTGAAGTCGGATAATATATGGAGAAGGGAGTTATAAGCTATGTCAGGTCCTAATTAAAGTTAGCAGACTATATAACTTGTTATCCAAACACTTTTTAAAGTTAAAACAATCCCCATCTTAGACAACAGTTTTAAAACAGAACTGTCTTGGGAAACCATGATCTATATGAATTAAATTAGGTGAGGACTTAAAATTGACCATTAAATTTAGCAATGTGAAAGTTACTATGCAAATGCAAACAAGTACAACTAGGAGAGCTGGGGAAGTCTAGAGGGTTGGAGAGTATCCACCTCCATATTCATGTCTAATTCATTTAGAAATGGGTCTTTGAAAATATGATCAGTCAAGAATCAAGATAAAATTATACTGGATTAGAGTGAGCTTTAAGTTCTAAGACAGTGTCATTATAGGAAGAGAAGAGAACACAGACATACACAAAAAATAAAGCCATGTTTATTAGTCTGTTCTCACACTGCTAATAAAGACATATCTGAGACTGGGTAATTTATAAATGAAGGAGGTTTAATTGACTCACAGTTCCACATGGCCAGGGAGGTCTCACAATCATGGTGGAAGGAGGAGGAGGAGGAAAGTCACGTCTTACATGGTGGCAGGCAAGAGAGCGAGCCTGTGCAGGGGAACTGCCCTTTATAAAACCGTAAGATCTCATTAGACTTATTCACTATCATGAGAACAGCATAGGAAAAACCTGCTCCCATTATTCAATTACCTCTCACCAGGTCCCTCCCACAACACATAGGTATTATTACAATTCAAGGTGAAATGTGGGTGGAGACACAGAGCCAAACCGTATCATTCTGCCCCTGGCCCCTCCCAAATCTCATGTTCTCACATTTTAAAACCAATCATGACTTCCCAACAGTCCCCAAAGCCTTAACTCATTTCAGCATTAACTCAAAAGTCCACATTCCAAAGTCTCGTTTGAGACAACACAAGTGCCTTCCATCTATGGACCTATAAAATCTGAAGCAAGTTGGTTACTCCCTAGATACAATAAGGGGTAGAGGCATTGGGTAAATACACTCATTCCAAATGGGAGAAATTGCCCAAAACAAAGAGGCTACAGGCCCCATGCAAGTCCAAAATCCAGCAGGGCAGTCAAATCTTAAAGCTCCAAAATGATCTCCTTTGACTCTGTGTCTCACATTCAGGTCAAGCTGCAAGAGATGGGCTTCAGTGGCTTCAGGCAGCTCTTCCCCTGTGGCTTTGCTGGGTACAGCCCTCTTCCCAGCTGCTTTCATGGACCAGGGTTCAGTTTTTGCAGCTTTTCTAGGTGCATGATGCAAGTTGTCAGTGGATCTACCATTCTGAAGTCTGGAGGATGGTGGCCCTCTTCTCAGCTCCACTAGGCAATGCCCCAGTGGGGACTCTGTGTGGGGGCTCCAACCCTGCATTTCCCTTCTGCACTGCCCTCCAGATGTTCTCTACACAGGCCTTGTGCTTACAGAAAACTTCTGCCTGGACATCCAGGAGTTTCCATACATTCTCTGACATCTAGGTGGAGGTTTCCAAACCTCAGTTTTTTACTTCTGTGCACCCACAGGCTCAACACCATGTGGAAGCTGTCAAGGCTTGGGACTTGCACCCCCTGAAGCCATGGCCCAAGTTGTACCATGGCCCCTTTTAGTCACAGCTGGGGCTCAGGGCACCAAGACCTGAGACTGCACAAAGCAGTAAGGCCTTGGGCCCAGTCCAGGAAACCATGTTTTCCTCCTAGACTTCTGGCCCTGTGATGGGAGGGGCTACCACAAAGACCTCTGACATGCCCTGGAGACATTTTCCCCGTTGTTCTGATGATTAACTTTTAGCTCCTCATTACTTATGCAAACTTTAGCAGCTGGCTTGAAAACGGGTTATTTTCTACTGCATTGTCAAGCTGCAAATTTTCTGAACTTTTATGCTCTGCTTCTCTTTTAAACATAAGTTCCAATTCCAAACCATATCTTCATGAATGAATAAAACTGAAGGCTTTTAACAGTACCCAAGTTACCTCTTGAATGCTTTGCTGCTTAGAAATTTCTTCCACCAGAGATTTCTAAATCATCTCTCTCAAGTTCAAAGTTCCACAGATCTCTAGAGCAGGGGAACAATGTGTTCAGTCTCTTTGCTAAAATGTAGCAGGAGTCATTTTTATTCCAGTTCCCAACAAGTTCCTCATCTCCATCTGAGATGAGCAGCATTTAGTCAAAGCCATTCGAGTCTCTAGGAAGTTCCAAACTTTTCCACACTTTCTTGTCTTCTTCTGAGCCCTCCAAACTGTTTCAGACTCTGCCTGTTACCTACCCAGTTCCAAAGTTGTTTCCACATTTTTGGGTATCTAGATAGCAGTGCCCCACTACCAGTACCAATTTCCTGTATTAGTCCATTCTCATGCTGCTAATAAAGACATACCCAAGAGTGGGTAATTTATAAAGTGTGGAAGTTTTTTAGTTTGTTTGTTTTGAGACAGAGTCTTTCTCTGTTGCCCAGGCTGGAGTGCAGTGGCGTGATCTCAGCTCACTGTGACCTCTGCCTCCCTGGTTCAAGTGATTCTCCTGCCTCAGCCTCCTGAGTAGCTGGGATTACAGGTGTATGCCACTGTATCTGGCTAATGTTTGTATTTTTAATAGAGACAGGGTTTCACCATGTTGGTCAGGCTGGTCTCAAACTCCTGACCTTGTGATCCACCCACCTCAGCCTCCCAAAGTGCTGAGATTACAGGCGTGAACCACTGCACCCGGCCTAAAGTACAGAGGTTTAATTGACTCACAGTTCCACAAGGCTGGCAAGGCCTCACAATCATGGTAGAAGGCGAAGAAGAAGCAAAGTCATGTCTTACATAGTGGCAGGCAAGAGAGAGAGCATGTGCAGGAAAACTGCCCTTTATGAAATCATCAGATTTCATGAGACTTATTCACTATCATGAGATCAACACAGGAAAAACCCACCCTCATGATTCCATTACTTCCCACTGGGTCTCTCCCATGACATGTGAATATTATTACTATTCAAGGTGAGAATTGGGTGGTGACACAGAGCCAAACCATATCACCATGTAATGATGAAGGCAGAGATTGGAGTTATGATGCTAAAAGTCCAGTAAAAGCTGGGGTCACCAAAAACCTGGAAAAAGGAAGGAAGGATTCTCTCCTGTAGCCTTCAAACGAAGCATGGCCCCAGTAATGCTTTAATTTCAGACCTCCAGGCTCAAGAACTGTGAAAGAATGCATTTCTGTTGTTTTAAGCTACTCAGCATTTTAATACTTTGTTATAGCAGCCCTAGGAAGCTAATACAAAAAGCACACTAGAAAAAGGCTTAATAGAGAGTAAGAGGAGACAAATTGAAGTTGGATAGTATAAAAGAATGCTACTCAAATTGCACTACAAAGAAAGCTTGAGGACAAGCTTTTTAATTTTCTGATCTGTTGCAGAACAATGTTTCTGTAAAATACAATAAAAAATGAATTACTATGAAACAAATGAAAGAAAAAACAAATATATAGAAAATACAAGCCACATTTTTACTTGATTCAACTGAAATATAAAATTATCCAACAAATAGTTATAATTATTTTAAATGCTTACTCTCAATTGTCGTTCTCTTCATAGAATGGTGCTCGCAGTTCAACAACTGGAACTGGTTCATAGGCCACACACTGAGAGTATGGCTGGTCCAGACAACGCTTTTAAGGGGATCTTAGAGAAAATCGAGTTCAATTATTCAATTTAATAGATGAGAATTACTTTATTGGAATGTTTAATTTATATGTGTTCCTAGAAATTTGGGGGATAATTATATAAGATGTAAATATGTATGACTAGGGTGGGAAGAGTTTGTCTTTGATAAAAAATAGGGTCACCCTCAGCAAATGTGTAGTGGGTAATGTTGGTCCTCTGCTCAGTTGCTCTTGGATCTTTCTTGCTATTTCTTTGAGCCTTGCCTTCAGCTTCAATGTAAATTTGCTTCTAAAGGCCTATAATACAACCCTTCTTTATGATACTGTCCTTTGATTACTGGAACTTTTTTTTTTTTTTCCAAAAAGGGCTTGGAAATTTACTTTATCTTAGTTCACAGGCACAAAAGTATGAAAGCTTAGCTAAATTGCTTCCAGTAGGACTAGTCTGTGGGACAATTTACACTCCAAACTGCTCCCTGGGAAGAGACTGAGACTGGGAGTTCGAAACCTGACGCTGATTTGGCTTTTTTGCTCTTCTTGCAGTGCTTTATCTTTTTACTTTGTGGTTTGTCATGGAAGTGTTTCTACAGTAAGCACTTGCATATGAGTCCTCATGTCTGTGTCTGCTTTTAAGGAATCTGATTTAAGGCAAAATATAACCACTCGCAACTAAAAAAATGATGCACAAAGTAGTTTTCTATTACTAATGTGTGGTGGTATTTATTTATTAGAATAAGTAAGTTACTATGACTTGATTGCTGGGTTAATAGAGAAAACGGTTCACCAAACCTGGAATCTTTTCTGTAAAATTTGATAGATGCAAGAGAAGTTTTATTTATTAATATACTTTGGGAGTGTTATATAAGGTAAAATTTCTCTCAGGAGTAATAGTCTTAGTTTTAGAAGTATAATGTGGTATATAATGAATATATTTCCATTTTTTTTGCTGTGCTGTGGATATTTTAATTGGCATTTCACTGTTTTATATGCTAGCTAGCATTCTTATATACAAATATTTGCATTTCATAATATGCATATATAAATCATTTGTATACCATAAATTTAGTAAAGTGTATGTATTATATACAATCAAATATAGCTTAAATATATGTTGGGGGTGAAGGGGTAATAATAAAATACTCTTTCTCTTGGAATTTTACAAAGTAGATTCTAGCAGAGTATTGAGAAAAATTGAGTATAATTTACTTGATCTGCAATCAGTTTGCGTTTTATATAATAAGCTTAAGGCTCAAACTGTGAATGTCTTATTCTTTTCATGTAATGTAGCCTTAATAATATGAATTACTTCTGTCTCATTCTTAAATATGCTTATTTAGAAGCAAAAAGGTTATACACTGCTGCACTGATGGCTAATCTAAGGCTCTAGACTATTGTAAAACATTTGGATAGGAACTCAAATTATCAGAACCTGTTATGTTGATGTTGTATTTCATTATAAATAAAAGCTTTGTACAAATGTACCGGACATTAAAGATGTTCTTAGATGCGTCTCTTATTTAAGAAAAAATTGCAGTTATTGAAAGATCTTTAAGGTTATAATACATTATTAAATCTACCTCCACTACCTCCTAGTAAATGTCCTGTCAGTCTCCCCTACTCTGGCACCTGTCATATGCCTTTTGAAGAAACCTCTATCAACTAGGTCCAAAGGTGAGATGCAGACTGTTTCTTGCATACTGTGGCAGCTTTTCAGGGAATATTTTCATCTTTACCTACTGCAAAAGAAAGTTTGAATGACATACAGGCATGCGTACTGAAAAAAAGAGAAAATAGCCTTGATAAAAATGGTATAATGTATGTAAAACCATTTTTTCACTGCTTTGTGGAATTTTTATGGGAAATTCTCATGATTGTGCGTAGTTGATGATAGAATGCTAGGGCTGGGTGGAACCCAAAAAAAGCAATTTAAACAGATCCCTTTGTTTAGGTCATGCAGATTCTAAGACAGATCACTGCCATATTCTTTGCAGGCTATGGAAAGTCATAGAATAAAAAATACTTCATATGAATTAAATTTGACTTTGACAGGTAGGTTATAAAATGTGCAAGCATTTCATCAATAATGTTATAGCCAAGACCTGGAGAAAAAAATACCCTAATTTTTATGAACTTATCAGCATTTGCTTCCCAACCTTAACTTGACACAAGAGAAAGGAACAGTTAATGGGAATATCAATGTTAACAATCTAGAAATCTGGCATTTAGACATTCTGAAATAATCAGGTTGATTTGCAGAGAGTTACAAATACTGTTAAGTAGAAATTAATCATACAATTTGTGTAAACATCTTAACAGGAAGGTTATAAGTGCATCTGGGCTCTCAAAATGGCAATGATTGTCAGACAAATGTCACAATTATATTGAAAGACATGAGTGATAGTTCTGTTGTTACTGCTGGAATTTTTTGCCTCTGCCTTTGTTTTATACTGAAATGATCAAATAAAAGAAAATACTCAAACTGTTAGTAGTCATCTTAGCTCCCTGATCTCTGCAGACCCTCATCAGTGTAAGGAACAAGAATGGCATTCTGCCAAGCCTGAGGAGCATTTATTTGGCCATTTTCATTGAGTTGCTATAGACTTTTGGTTTCTCTAACTGTTCTTGATAACTCTTGTAACTTGTCCTGTGAGAAATCACTGCTAGGCTAGGTAAGTCAATGCCCAGACATCCCCAGGTATTTTACCAGAATTAGCCTTGAGGCTGCTCTGGGATTCTGTGTATCCCTTTATTCATGGGAATTTGATAATAAATTTGGTCTAAGGACCAACATTACAATTTTCTTTTTTCTTCCCCAAAACTGTAAAGTTACACCTATTTATTAAGAATCTAACTCTAGGTGAGGAAGACATAGTTCTTTCTACCCCAGCCAGGAAGCATAGTGTCTGTCTGACATGTCCTAAGGTAAGTGTGGCAATTTTCCTGAAAGAAGGTGAAATTCTTTTAAAGTTGAGAAAATTTATCAAGCAATTTTTTTAAAGACTGAGTCTTACGTGTACAAATAATTCAAAATAAAAATGCCAAAACTAAGCACCACATCTACCCTGATAATAAATCTTATTTTATTTTATTATTATTTTTTTTCAGATGGAGTCTCACTCTGACACCCAGCCTGGAGTGCAACAGCACTATCTAAGCTCACTGCAACATCCACCTCCCAGGTTCAAGTGAATCTCGTGCCTCAGCCTCCCGAGTGGCTGGGATTACAGGCATGCACCACC
The DNA here is from genome assembly GCF_000001405.40 of Homo sapiens. Lineage (NCBI taxonomy): Eukaryota > Metazoa > Chordata > Mammalia > Primates > Hominidae > Homo > Homo sapiens. The sequence goes on along the minus strand of NC_000017.11, from coordinate 52,903,913 downwards.
ATACCCAACTAATTTTTGTACTTTTGGTAGGGACAGGGTTTCACCATGTTGGCCAGGCTGGTCTCAAACCTCCTGACCTCAGGTGATCTACCCACTTCAGCCTCCCAAAGTGCTGGGATTACAGGCATGAGCCACCTCCCCAAGCCTAAATCTCTTTTTAAAAATGGTGGTAGTGATGGAGAGGAATGATTGATTAGAGAATTTCCCACACAGCAATGGGGCAAGTCATATGATGAAAAATATTAATCTACATTACTACAAAGATAGTAATCTACCTCAGTGCCACAGAGCAGTGAGTAACTCAGGAGTCTGCATGTTCTTTACAAAAATGGCACTAGCCCTGGCTACTTGTGGGGAGAGAGACTCTTCCCAAGTTGTTTTAGTTTTCCAAGCAAGCGTATGCCTTTCCCTTATAGATTTAACCTACTGCCTATGATGTTTTTATTTTTATGTTAATAGAAAAGAGGTGCAGCCCATTAACAGATCCAATGTATGTTTTAAAGTGTGGGATGAAAACATAAGGTAAAAAGACCCTAATTCAGTGTCTCAGCTGCATTAGTTTGGGTTTTGAATGTGGATTTCTATATTTATTACACTGTTAATCTTTGATATGTGCTGCATTTGTTTTTCATAATTTTCATAATTTGTTTTAATACACTCATTGTATTAGGGTTCTCTGGGGGGCAGAACTAATGGATTATATATACATATATATTATATATATTTATATATATAAATGGAGTGGATATATATCATATAAATTTTTATGAACTTATCATCATTTGCTTCCCAACCTTAACTTGACACAAGAGAAATGAACAGTTAATGGGACCATCAATGTTAAAATCTAGAAATCTGGCATTTAGATATTCTGAAATAATCAGGTTGATTTTTATATGCATAGAATGTGTAGAGAGTTGGAAATACTGATATATATGATATATATGGGAGTTTATCAAGTATTAACTCACACGATCACAAGGTCCCACAAGAGGCCATCTGCAGGCTGAAGGAAAAGGAGAGAGAGTCTGAGTTCCAAAACTGAAGAACTTGGAGTCGAACTTGGAGTCTGATGTTCCAGGACAGGAAGCATCCAGCATGGGAGAAAGATGTAGGCTGGGAGGCTAGGCCAGTCTCTCTTTTCACATTTTCCTCCTGCTTCTATTCTAGCCGAGCTGGCAGCTGATTTTATTGTGGCCACCCAGATTAAGGGTGGGTCTGCCTTTCCCAGCCCACTGGTTCAAATGTTAATCTCCTTTGGCACCACACTCACAGACACACCCAGGATCAATACTTTGCATCTTTCAATCCAATCAAGTTGTCACTCAGTATTAATCATCATGCTCATTTTCTCTCTTTTTCTAGGCTTTGTGATTTCAACTTGGTGAAATACAGAAACTGCAGTATTGCAATATTAAAGTTATTTTTTACATATGCACCTTGTAGAAGTAAGGTGTGGGCCGGTGCTGTGGTTAGTGAGAGCCTACCTTTATCTCTAAGAATATTTTACTGGGACTTTTACTTTACTCTATGTAATGATAGATTTTGGTGTATGCAGCACTCCGTGGTATTTTCAACAAAGCTATTTTAACATTCGTACATCTGTAAGATGAACATTTAGAAGGTCACATCAAGGTAAACCAAAAGATATGCAACACTTTTAGTGGGACTGACTAGTAAGGAAATGGGAAAGATCCAGAACTGAGGCTAGAGAAAATCAGCTATATAGGCCTTGGTGCTGAAGAAAAAAATTCAATAACACAAATTAAGACGAGATCAGGCACTTCCAGGGTGGTATGGCCACAGACCAATAACACAAATTAAAATATCCAGAGGGAAAACTTAAGTTCTACTGGAACCAGTACTGGTATTTAATATTGTTGGCTGGATGAAGTTGTAGCTTCCAGAGAGATGGACCCTGAAGTAAAAACAATGGCAATATCTTTGTTCACTTGGCTCCTCCTCTTCGGCTCTGGTTAGTAGCCTGGCAAACAAGTTACTATTGAGATGAGGCTTGTTACAAGTGTTGCACAAGTATTGACAAGACCTAGGCAGCTTTTAGTTTCCAAATTTTATTTAAGTATTAGTTTGGTGCACAAATAATTGTGGTTTTTGTCATTAAAAGTAATGGCAAAACCACAATTAGTTTTGCACAAATCTAATAGGTTAAGAATCAAGTCAGGGATTCTTATGTCTCTATTGCACCTACAAGACAAACAGTGAGAGTGTGGCATTTAAGTTCTTTGGAAGAGACAGCTTTCTCAGGCTCAGGAGGACTATTTACATAAAGCTGTTAATAGTAATTATAAAATAAGGGATAAGTTTTGAGTCAAAATTGATAGGCAAAGCTAAGAGAAGAAATGGGAGAAGAGTATCATGGGATAAAACCAAGGTACAAACTTCTGGTAAACTGACAAATCAAGTGGTAAGAGTACTTTGAGTAGACTGAAAAATCAGGTGTAGAGGGGTCTAAAACAAAATAGCTCAAGATATACAGCACCGCCAAATGGGAAACATTGTTTGAGACAGACTGCTTTAAAGACTCATTCCTGGGCTGAAGATGAACCTGGGTGGTGATGGAGAAAAAATTTGACTGCTATGCTATGAGCAAAAATGAAATCTAGTACTACAGTCTACATACTACTACTACTGCTATTCTATGAGTGAAAATGAAATCCAGTACTGTAATCTACTGTTAGAAGTTAAGGGAAAATGATTTTTGGTGAACAGGTAGAAGCCAGAATTTACACAAGGAGCAATGGGTGGAGTCTGTCCAAGGTTATTTCCAGCCCCATCCAGCTTGGAGGTGAGCGGAGATTGAAACAAGGCTAAAGCCAGAGGTGAGAGGGGTTTATATCATCAACTGATAAGACTGAGAATTAGATAAATGACCTAATATTAGCCAGCTACTTTCCCACATAGATCTTGCAGTTTAAAATATACAGTAAGCCATTTATGTAGTTACTGAAACCATCTTTCCTGCTTCACCCATATCAAATTCACAAGCTGTTCCAATCAATTTGTCTCCTGAAATATGACAGAAACCTGCCCACTTTCTTTAGCTATACCCCTACCATACTAGAACATTCTGCCCTTGACTTTGATAGTTGTTTCCTAAACAGTTTGTTGCTTTCATTCTTGTCAAGAACCTCACCCACATCAAACCATTTTCCTCATGAGACAGAAAGATTTTAATGTATGTCAATCCAGCTATATCACTTTCTTGTATAAAATCTTCCTATTGGTTTCTTCTGTACTCAGCAAAAAAAAAAAAAAAAAAAAACAACTGAGGGCCTTATTCTGGCACATGATGCCTTACCCGTTCTACCGTCTGTCCCCCTCCCCGATTCTATTCCCACCACTCTCTTTCTGGATTACCGTCCTTTAGCCAAATAATACTTCCTATTTCTACAAAAGGCCAAAGGTCCATCTATATGGAGTTCTCTGCCTCCAGCTCTTAGCATGGCTCACCCATTTACCTTTAGGTTTCAGCTCAAATGCAAATTCCTATGGAACACGCTTAACCTTCTTCCAGTTTAGTTATTCTCTATCATATCAACCTAGTTTCATCCATATATCACAATCAAATGCATTTATTTATCCATTTGCTCTGTTTTCTATCACTACACTATAATATCAATATGATCTCTCATCTAACTACCCTATATTTTCCAGAGTAAAAAAAGGAATGAATAAAATGAATGAATGAAAAGATTACCAATCTCACTTTGTTTAAATGAAGTGATTTATCTTGATACTTGTTCATTCTTGAGTTTCCACTATTTTATGCAAGCAGCTAATCTAGTTTGACATCTTCATCTTGGATCCAAATGTAGTATAAATGAATGCCTACCAAATGGTAATAATAGATATCATATCTATAGCAAATGCTATATGACAGGCACTGCGTGTTCACTTTATACATACTAATTATTTAATTGTCATTGTAACCTTTTAAGTTTGGTGCTACTACTATACCAATATTGCAGATGAGATAATTGAAACATACCTGGGTTAATGTAGATGGTGTCACCACAGGTATTCACAGCTAGGAAATTTTACTTCAAAGTACGTATAATTTTTGGATTGAATGCCTCTTTTTCACCAGAAAATTCATAGCAATTGTATTTACTAAACCATTTACATATAAATTATTTAAGAAAATCCAGATTGTATGGAAGAAGTAACAAATAGAATCTGGGGTATATATATATGAGATGCAGTGAATTTTTTTTAGTATTCATGAAAGGCACACTCAGATCTCACTTTGTGATTAGATATCTAGAGTCACTTGACAGATGTAATAAAAATATGGTTTCATGTCAGGCAATGAATGGAATGTAGTTTATTTTCTTCTTCTGAAATTACAATACTATAGATAGAGTAAAATAAAAATTGGTGGGAAAAGGCAAGATTCTCCAGAGGACCATAAATACAAATATATGTCATGGTTGTAGAAGGGACCAGGCTTCTTTTCATGTCCAGTGATATTACAGATTCTCATGGGGTCACTGATATCCAAGTTGTTTGCAGGAGTTTGAGGTCATCAGTTCAGCAATAATTCACATCATTACAATGAAAAGCTGAAAAGAACAAAGAGATAGATAGGAGCACATAGACCCATTTCTGGTCTTTATTTTACTATTTTTAGACTTTTTGTCCGAAACATTCTAAAAAGCAGTTTGAAATGAAGTCTTGGATTCAACCATGAACTACACAGTCATTGAAGCCTGAGGAATATAAAGGAGCTAAAGAAAGACACAGAATCTGTCAGTGATTTTTTTAAACCCTGAAAGTGTAATTGACTCCTATATGCTTCATTTTCCCCTTAGGAAGAGAAAATAAGGTTGATGTGGTAGGGTACCAGTTAAATTGCCAGGAAGGGTAGTGGGTTCCAAGTGGCAAGAAGTCCTAATCTAAGAGCTGAAGGAAGAATCCAAGTTGATTTGTGTAGAAGAAAGATGAGGTCTACATCAGGGAGTTTATGTATGCATAAGGTTCAAGTGATACAGTAGGGGTATCTACAGTCAATACTACAAGGAGGTTTACCAGCTATCCAGCTTTACAAGCAGGAATATAAAGTCACTGGATGTTTCTAACAGGTTCTGGTCTACAGTATACTTCTATCCCCTTTATTTTAGGTACCTTATAATTTCTGTTTTCTTAGCCAAGAACAGAGACATTTAATTATAAGGTACAGTGCGCTTTTCTTAGAAGGCTTTCAATGATAAATATAGATAGATGATGATAGATAGATAAAATAGATAGTAGAAAGATAATAGATAACAGATGATAGATAGTAGGTAGAAAGATGATAGATAGATAATAGTTTATTCAACTGTCTTCTATTTATTGCATAACTGTTAATCTTTGACATCGGGTAAGGGACTATGGACCCAAGTAGTACCTGTGATCCTCAGCTGCAGGGAGTCTCAGAATGGTTTCCAGTGGGCACTGACAAATGTTGAGTATTAGACCACCTCAGGTTTCCAAAACAAGAAAATATATAAAATTATTAAATTTACACTCATTACAAAATAAAAAAAGAAAATGTGGGCAAACTTCACATTTCCATCTTTCATTTCTGGTAATGCCACTATAAAAGACTTCATGGTATGAGCTGTTACCGTGATGGTCAATGGCAATAGAATAAAGAAGCCTTTGGGGGAATGCTGCAATGAAGAAATTGTAGCTCATGTAATTCACCACTGAAACATACTTCTTCACTGTGTCATTATCCTGGCTCCAGCTTCATTATACTAACCTACTGCTAACCTAGCAAGCTGGTAGCATACACCATGCTAAGAAGTGGCAGAGGTGAGAATTGCAATTTTGATAATACAATCATGAGTTTTCAGAAAAACATCACTGGGTTTAAAATGAAAGAAGACAACCACCCAGATGTTTAATTTTTTAAACACCAAGAAATTTGCAAATATCTGGATAAAAGAGCAGATATTTTTTAATGTCAAGAAATCATTGATTTTGAATAGGGTTAATGGGAAGTGAGCTATGTAATAAGAAAAAGGAAGTCTTGGCCTCTGAAAGTTCTGCCTGGTGAACTGGAATAATGGGAATGCCCAATACTCTACGAATGTGATAAAATAATTTAATTGACTTAATTTACCAGAGCTGCTCAAGTTTCTTTACTGAATTTGGTATATTCCATTTGCAATGATTTAACAAGGGGAATAGGACCTTCAGGAGAAGGCCCTGACCTATTTTCAAAAACAACATTGGTTCACCCTAACAACATGGTAAAATGAAGATGATAGCAGTGCATGAACAATGGGGAGACTAACAGTGAAAATTCCATTAGGTTGTTAAGTAGGCTAAATTTGTTACTGCATATAAAACATTTAGAACAGATCCTGGTCTATAGTAAGTGCTATATATGCATTCACTATCAATATTATTTTATTGTAGCATCTCAAATATTTATACAAAAAATAGGCCTAAAATCCTTATTAGCAACTTATTATATTTCTGCCAAGACTGTGTGTGTTTGGACAAGGGGAAAGGCAAGCAATCCAAGAAACTTCATTATTTACATAATGGCAACACGTAACACAGATGAAAGTAGGTTGATTAGAAATCTTGCATAGTATACAATCTATGGGACATGCCAAGATTTATTTATTTTCAAAAATTTCTGAAACCCAGACAATGGATAATTATGCAAAGGCAGGATGAAAAACTCAGAACATTTTAATTTATAGCATCTTTCTCAAGGAGATTTCTCAATTTGTCCCCACTGTTGCAAACTCGTCTTGATAACAGCTCAGGGAAAAATAAGTTCATAATATTTTGAATTGATTGATCAAAGATATGCAGAAGCTAGACAGAGACTGTAGAGTTTTATCTTCCAAATGTTTTACAACTGAAGAACAATGTTTTATCCTCCAAACGTCTCCTTCTAAGCCCAGGAGCACTGAGAAAGTAGTAGTAAGATGCAGGCCAATGCCACCGCCAACATTTGCTATTTTTTTTTTTCACCTAGAAAAAGGAAACTTTAATTCAAAGGCACCCCAAGCCACTTTAACAATATCTTGCAAATAGTTTTGAAAACAATGAGATTTGCACTAAAAAGTTATGACCTCAAATTTTACCTCTAGAACTTTACTAAAATATGTAAAAATTATGTCCTATCCATACATTGTATTACAATAAAGAGAGGCACCAGGTCATCTAGTAATTGTTCAAATGTGATCCCTGAATTGTCACTGACCCACAAATGTTACAGAGCTGGGACTAGATAATTACATAAATTAAGAGAGCATATAGAAACCTGTATAGCAATCTGACACTATCATCACTTCTAAGGGTGTAATCATTTTCCTTCTCATTTCTTTTTATTTCATTTTGTCATAGTATCGGTTAATAATTGATTTGAAAATTTAAAAAATGTTTCATTAGTGGAAATATAATAAAAGGAGACTGGAAATTGTAAGTGAAGAGCACAGAAGGGTCTCAGCTAAGTCTCTGGGTGCTAACTAGGATCCATAATTCATCTTTAGGAGAAGACATGGGAATGACCATGAGCAAGTGGGGTTCCTAAACATCCAGACATGGTGTACTCAAAGCTGTTCCTTGCTGTAAAATTTATACAGAATTATGGAAATATTGGCACTATTATGGACCCTTTAAATTCTCCCTCCATCCTAAGCATTAATAATTTTATATTTGACACTGTCTGGTGCTGGAAATTTTAAGAGCACCGTAGCCTCCTTTGCTAATGACACCAGAGCCCTTGTTTTCCTGGTTTCCTACCACCCTTTTGTCTGTTTACTCTGTGAACTCAAGCGGCTGTCAGAGTAACTCAGCAAAGTGACATCTAGCATTGACTACTTAGATGGACCACTCTGTCAATGTCCTGCATTTTTTTTTTGCATTTCTTTATTTTTTTTGGAGACCTTTAGCTCTATTTTCCACATTTTTCTAGCTTTCACCTGTTACTTTCAGTAACCTGACTTTATTTTTTCTTCTTCTTCAGTTTTTCAAAAGCAGAGGCCAGTGATTTTCTTTGATTTTATTTCCACATACTCATACGTGGACCCTAGTGAAGTGTAACTCCACCTCTATTCTCCAATTAAGCAACATCAAGGCTTCCAAGTCTCAATCCCTACAATTCTGCAGAGTTGCCCAATTTTCTGATGCAGATTGTCCTGCAAAGGAGATGTGTAACGAGATTAATGTGGTTTTCATGCCTGTTAACACATCCATTCTGCATCCCATGGATCAAAAACAAATTGTGACTTTCAAGTCTTATTATTTAATAAGTATATATTATAAAGCTATAGCAGCCATAGACAGTTAATCCTGTGATGGATTCAGGCAAAGTAAACTGAAAACCTTCTGAAAGAAAATTGCCATTCTAGATGCCATTAAGAACATTCTTGCTTCATGGAAGGATGTCAAAATATCAACATTAACAGACGTTTGGAAGAAGTTGATTGCAATCATCATGGATGAAAGGTTTCCATCCATGAGGACTGGAATCAATTTTGAAAGGTTTGAAACATTTCAAGACTTCAGTGAAGGAAGTAACTGCAGATGTGGCGGAAATTGCAAGAGTAGTACCACTACTCCTAGTGAAGATGCTGTGAACAGTGTTGAAATAAAAACAAATGATTCCAAATATTTCATAACTTTACTTGATAAAGCCGAGGCAGGGCTTGTGAGGATTAATTAATTTTGCAAGAAGAAATACTGTGGGTAAAATGCAATCAAACAACATCAGATGCTACAGAGAAATCTTCTGTGAAAGAAAGAATCATTCTGTGCATCAAACTTCACTGTTATCTTATTTTACGAAATTGCCGGCCTGGTGCAGTGGCTCACACCTGTAAATCCCAGCACTTTGGAAGGCCGAGGCGGGCGGATCCCGAGGTCTGGAGTTCGAGACCATCCTGGCCAACATGGTCAAACCCCGTCTCTACTAAAAATACAAAAAATGAGCCAGGCATGGTGTCACGTGCCTGTGGTCCCAGCTACTCGGGAGGCTGAGGCAGGAGAATTGCTTGAACCGGGAGGCGGAGGTTGCAGTGAGCCCAGATTGTGCCACTGCCCTCCAGCTTGGCGACAGAGTGAGACTCCATCAAAAAAAGAAAAAAAATTGCCACAGCTACTACAGTCTTCAGCAACCACCACCCTTATCAGCACACACCTATCAACAATGAGGCAAGATCCTCCACTACAAAAGATGACAACTTGCTGAAGGTTCAGGTGATTGTTAACATTTATCAGCAATAAAGTATTTTTAAATTAAGGTACATACATTGCTTTAAGATGTAATGTGATTGTACATTTAGCACACTACAGTATAGTGTCAACATAACATTTAGATGAAGTAGGAAACCAAAAAGTTCATGTGATTCACTTTATTGTGATATTTACTATACTGTGGTTGTCCAGAACAGAACTCATAATATCTCTAAGGTATGCCTCTACATATTTCCCAAGATCATCTTGAGGCTCAACTGGGATAAAGTTATGTAATAATTTGTCTTATGAATATTAGTTGATTTTTTTTCAAGACAGGGTCCACCTCTGTCATCCAGGCTGGAGTGCAGTGGTACAGTCTCAGCTCACTGCAACCTCTGGGTTAAAATGATCCTCCTGCCTCAGCCTCCTGAGTAGCTGAGACTACAGTATGTGCCACCACCCCTGCTAATTTTTGTAATTAGTTGATATTTTTATCCACAAGTAATACCCAAAGCATGGAATTAATCTTTACTGAAATACATATTAGCCACTATAAACTGAAATATAACTTACTGAATAAATATAAATGGCTCCTAAATGTATGACTGAATAACACTTCAGCAATGAATACTAATAGTTGAGACAAAGAAAGAGAAGTTTGTATATGAAGGCAGGAGTTCAGAGATAAATGTTTATTCTCAAGGACACATAGGAATAACATATTTATAGAGACAAAATGGTCCAAAGGAAAGTAAAAGTGACGATAAAAATTTTATTTCTGGTTAATTACCAAGTGCCCTCAAGAAGAACACTGTTAGTAAGATAGCTTCCTCAACAATCTATTCCCTTGTTACTATTAACTTTAATTTGTAAACAGCATCATAATGATTTTACTCCAGAATTCATTAAAAATCTCTCTAAATCTTCATCATAAAATGCTGCACAAAATCCTGTATCTTGTCGACCTGATTACTGAGATAGGATCCTATGATTTTTAGTCTTGGATCTTTCATAGGATAAGTCAACTGAAACTGACAAAGTAAAATAGCATTTGTAGTAAAGCCTCCTATTTCCAGTGTTTGCTACTGTGAAACAACTAGTGAAAAAGTATCACATATTTACAAGAAAGATTAGTGGGTCCATCCAAACATTTGTATTGAAAACACATTTTTGTGCCAATTGTTTCTTGGTTAAAAATGACTAGGTGGTGTAAAATAAGCGTATCCACTTTTTCACAGTTCCAACTGTAACTTTTTTCGTGAAATGCACGACTACACATTATTAACTGTCCCTTTATTTTATTGTCTTGAGCCATGAGAGTAGATAATCAGTTTTCCCTGTAATGAGAAAAGGTTCTAATCAATAATTAGCTACCTGCATACAAAGCTAGCAATCTTCAAAATTATTTCCATGTACTTGAACATTGAGACCCAGAGGCAAATATTGCATTGTGTCTATTGTTGAAAGATGCTCATAAAAACAGAAAGGTGAGAAAAATTTTCATTTTATTGTTCTTTAGTTATTATATTTAATATGTCTACCAGTTTCCAAGTTCATTGAATTATTTTAGAGTATGTACAGTATATAAATTTGGAGATAGAAAATCTATTTTAGTAAAATCTATTTTCCTGTAAATAACTGCCCTTGGTGATGACACTCTTCGTTTATGTGTTATGATAACTCAGATATAAATAGTTTTCATAAAGTCGATCAAACCTCTTCTCCCTTAGACTAAACGGGAGAAATTTTTACAATTCAAGTATATCTATAAAATTTAAAGAAAGAGACTAAAGTAGATTATTAATTGAGAGTCACACGCAGCTTTTTACAAACTTTGTTCTTTTCCATCTTGTCATCTTAAGCATTTTGATGTCACTAAACAGATATGTAAATACAGAAATTGAAGAATAAATTTCAAGGAAATATTAAACAGTTATGTCATATCAGAAATATTTTCTTAATTTCCTTGCAAATTTTAGTTTATGGATGTTCAAACCTACTGAAAAGCTAAAATAATTGTAAAATGAAGACTTGTAACATGGGCATTTCACCTATATTCACTAATAATTAATGTTTTATTACATTCGTATTCTCTCTCTCCCTCCACACACACACACAGATTTAGATATAAATATATGATTTATATACAGTTTACATAGTTTTGCTTTTGCTGAGTCATTTAAAAGTAAATTTTAGATAGTTTGACACTTCATCCTTGGATAATTCAGCATCACATTCTAAAGCCAAAGTCATTCTCCTGTAGAACCAGAATACCATTATCACAGTAAGAAAATGAATTTAACATATCACCATGTACCATAGAGTACATATTAAATATCCTGGACTGTCCCCAAAATGACTTTTAAAATTGTTGTGTGTGTGTATGTGTGTGTGTGTGAATTTATTTGCTTGCTTTGTTATGCTTTATAATCGGGATTCAAGTAACATTTCCCTATTAACAGGAGAGTTCCTGATTCTGCATTGAACATAATGCAATACCCTCTGTACTTTGATAGCCTGTGTTTTCAAACACAGTATCATATTTATGACCAAAACAAATGGCTAAGAGTAACACAAAGTTAATTCATTCATCTATTTAGCAAATATTTATTGAGGGATTATTATGTGCCATGTAGGGTTCTAGGCTTGAGGATACAGTGGTGAGCAATATAGAAAATCCATTGTCTTCATGGACCTTGGGTTTGAGTGAAGATAGCTATGTAGAGATATAGCTACCTAAATACATAAAAAATATATTCAGATAATAAGGACTGTAAATGAATAAAGCTGGATGATATAATAAAACATAGTTTTGGTCTCTGCTTCTAGTTAACCGGTTGAGAGTTACTTTGAGAAAGTGTTACTGATGCGAGACTGTCAGCCACTTGAAGTGCTGGGAGAAGAGTCTTTTAAACAGAGAGAACAGTCAGTACCAAAGCCCTAAGGCATAAATGTTCTTAACAGACGTATTAACAAAGGTATTATGTTTATATGACATAATCTTTTGGGCAGGCCTGTTAGAGATGTTTCATTATCTTAAGTTTATATCATGATGTGGCTTCCTCCAGAGTTCCAAAAATTTTTCTGAACAAGTTTATTACTTCAAGGCTTAATAACCAATACACTTGAGTTTTACTTTTGTCTGCATTACTTATTAACTGTGGAATATTTGCCAGGTGGCATGACTGCATAGACTTAATTCCTTATACATAATTATGAATCTAGATAATTATTAAAAGAACTGTTAAAATAATAAAAGAGACCTCCATAGATCTTTTAAGAGAATAATATATGACAGCGCTTATAAAGTGCTTAGCAACGTGCCTGACTGGGGTTGTCATGTGAGCCTCATACATACCTGTATATTGCATTTCCCCTTCTTTTAAACAAATGTTCAATTCAACGCAGGCATTTTTTTTTAAATTTGACTTTAAGTTCTGGGATACATGTGCAGAACGTGCAGGTTTGTTACGTAGGTATACATGCGCCATGACGTTTTGCTCCACCTATCAACCCGTCATCTAGATTTTAAGCTCTGCATGCATTAGGTATTTATCCTAATGCTCTCATTTTAGAGAATTGCAATGTTATGGCAATATTGAAAGTATAATCCTCATTATTTCACTTGAAACTATCTTTTGAATAGAAAAAAAGTCATGATTTATTTTGTAGAAACATGGAATTTCTAAATTTATAAAGAAAGATATTGACATTAAAGTCATAAATTCTTGTAATATTTTAAGTGGAAATTCTAGGGTAAAACAATCAAACCTGGAAAAACTAGCAGTTATTTCTAGAATACTCCTTTACACTAATATTAGAAAGAAACATCTTCCAGTTAAAGAGCCTTTGGAGTGATCTGGGATGGAATTATCTAAATGAAATTGTTCAAATATAAAATTATTAATAGTAATAGTGTGTGGGAGTAAAAAGAGGCCTGGCTTTTAGTCCTAATTCCACCATATTCCTCACTGGCTGACCCTGGGGTTCAACTGATATCCAATGTGATATTGACAAGTCACCTACCTCTCTTAATGTGTTTTGTCATTGGTCAAACATCAAGGTTAATCTAGCAAAGATCACAGGTGAATGGTCCAAGCACCAAATCCAGTTGGGATATATGTTTGTTATGTCTATCTGTTTTTAAAGTTTTAAAAGCAAGCAACTTAAAATTGGCACATTTCACATGAAAATGTGAATATCTGCCTGGTCTTGAAAAAATGGAATGAACTAACAAATTCAGGTCTGCATTTCTATTAACCAACAATTTGTTGGAACTAAGTAGCTGCTCCCTTTTCTAAGATAGGGAGTCTGCACTCCAGTTTCCATCACTCACAAAACATATGCAATGCACTTTCTACTCCCACCCAACTTAAGCCAATTATGCTATCTGCCTGACCCTACCAGAATTTGAAATTGGACCCTAACCTAAAGGATTTCTCAGGTTTCATTTCAATTATGATACACAGATTGTGTGAATGTGAATGGAAAGAGTACTAACCTTTGTGTCGTTGAAAGATCAGCCTATCAAGCCATGAGAAAGAGGATTCTCATTTTGGATCTGTGATTTTGATAAGAGCCAACAACATGTATTGAGTATATTGTCTAGAGCTAGAAACCTTAAGTGTTTTACATGCAACATCTCATCTGGTTTACAAATCAACATCCCTCTGCTTTTGACCTGAAGAATCAGGCTTTGAGAGGTAAATAACTTGCCAAGGTCACACCACCTAGTAACAGTGCAGTTAGCACTAGGATTCTAGTGTTTCTCAGTCTACTATAGAAATTGGGCTTATCACCACTATGATATAGTGTTGACCATTTGCTACACGTGAAACCTTGGGAAACTTTATTACACTCTCTATAATTCTATTTTTCACTTTTAGTTGGGTTTAACATCACACAGGTTGTTTGTGATGATTAAATGAAAATACATGGAAATATCTAGATATAGAAATTGATATATAGTAGGGACTCAACAAATATCTGTACTAGCCTAGGCTAGAGACATACATAGTATTCACGTTATATAGAACTTCTTTGGATTGCAAAGCAGCTAATTACTACATAAAAATTGCTTTACGTTTCCACTGCCATTATACCAAAGAATCATTTATAGACATTAGAAAGATAGCGTCAAGGGATCTGTCCAGAAGAGAATGAATATAGACATTGCTATCAAGTGTTCACTGTGAGGAAGTAGTGGTTTTGAATAAGGACCAGGTGGGCAAACAGCATGTGTAAATCTGCCATTGAACCTCAGACTTTATCAACTCAGAAATAGAGTCTGGAAAGACGGACGATACACTATGATTCAGCCAGTGTGTGACAAGGTATAAACTCTATGGCACCAGACAAAGCAAACAAGTCCGTGAATATTGCAAATGAGATACTGAGATTCATCCTGTGTTCAGCTCATGCAAATGGTTAAAGCCACAGTTCATTCCTAACTCTTCTACAAAGAAACATGTACAGAAATATCTGCTGCTTAAACAGGTTCTGTAAACCAAGTGTGAGATGCAGGTGCTTAAAGGAACATTTTCTAATTTAATACAAAGGTTATATTAAACCTTTATATTATTATTAATATAAATATATAAACTGTATATGTTAATATGTATGTAATTTTTGAAAGACTTTTTCCCCATTGCAAATAGTCTATAATTATAATTTAATATGCTTTGTTTTTGTTTTGTCTTAAGACACACAATATCATATTTCTACTTTAAGAATAAATAATATTAATTACTCAATAGGCACAACTAATACAACGTACACTTTAGTTCAGGGTGGGCAAATTATTCCCTACTGGTCAAATCCTTCCTGATGCCTTGTTTTATAAATATATTGGGACACACACAGCTCATTTTTTTTTAATTGTCTACAGCTTCTTTCATTCTATAATGCAGTTGAGTAGCTGCAACAGACACCATATGCCTACCTAGCCTAAAATATTTTTTCTCTGACCCTTTACATGAAATGTTTATATAGCCTTTCATTTGGTTCAGTAACAGTCTTTTCTTTTTAATATCACTTCCTCACCTTCTTATTGGAAAGAGAGAGAATTCTAGAAGTTACTTGAAGAGAAAACCTTCATGATCAATAGAGAAAGGAGAGAGATTCACGGACAAAGAGGGAGAAAAATAAATGATCTAGACACCAGCTGCTTCTCAGAATTGTATGGCCTTTAAAATCATTTGCAGGAAACCTACTGTTTAAAATCAACCTGGAGATGAATTTAGTCTTAGAAACCTACTGTTTCTTAGAAACCTACTCTTTCTTAGAAACCTTAGAAACCTACTGTTTGCAATCAATCTGGAGATGAAATTAGTAGAAATAATGAAAAGAGGACATCTCTGAAGAGGATATTGGGACTGGAGTCATTCTGTTTAACTTTCAGACACAAACATGGTTCAATTGGTTCAACTGACCAACAGGCAGAAATACAGGCTGAAAAATAACAGTGTTATAATGCTAGCATAGATTAGACAAAATTAAGGCAAAGGCTTATCCAGGCTTCCAAGATCAAACATCCCTGCCTCAACTCTACTGTTATGTATGATTTTAACAAGGATAAGTTGTTGTTTATTTGCTTTTAATGCAAGCAATACTCAAGAGTTATTTTAAACCTACTCACAAAAAGATAATTTTATTGAACCTTATTAATTCCTCTCTACCAAAATTCCATGAAGGGAATTGCTAAATCTGAAGACTGAAAATAATCTAGAGAATAAGCCACTATAAGCCCTTGCCTTCAGCCAACAAACGATTATCCATGTTCTTGCATTATGCCATGACATTTTGCTTTGTCCAGAGTATTTGACAATGCCACCACTCCTTTTTTTTCTTTATTTTTTTCTTTTTTCTGACAGAGTTTTGCTCTTGTTGCTCAGGCTGGAGTGCAATGAAGCTATCTCGGCTCACTGCAACCTCCGCCTCCCAGGTTCAAGTGATTCTCTCCTGCCTCAGCCTCCCGAGTAGCTGGGATTACAGATGCCTGCCACCACACTCAGCTAATTTTTTTGTATTTTTAGTAGAGACAGAGTTTCGCCATGTTGGCCAGGCTGGTCTTGAACTCCTGACCTCAGGTGATCTGACCACCTTGGCCTCCCGAAGTGCTGGGATTACAGGCATGAGCCACCGAGCCCAGCCTCCTTCTTGTTTTCAATATTGAACATCTAAAACTGGACCTAATCTATTTTTGTTTACAAAAATTTTAAAAGTTTATATCAAGAAACTGAAGTTTAATCTTAAAATGAGGGTTCTTGAAAAAAAAAAAAGAAGAAGAAAAGCTTAGATCGAGGGTCAGTAGATGGGGGCCCACTGGCTAAATTTTACTCATTACCTCGTTCTGTAAGTCTTATAAACCATAAACGACTTCTAAATAATTCAGAAAAAATTAAGAAACACAATCATATTTCATGACACATTAACATTTTATATATTCCAATTTCAGAATCCATAAATAAAATTGTATTGGAACAGAGTTATCCCCATTTATTTAGGTATCTGTGGCTGTTTTTGAGCTACCATACTAGAGTTGAGTAGATGTGGCAGAACTGTATGGACCACAAATCTGAAAACATTTATTATCTGGTCTTTTATAGAAAAAAGACGCTAGCCTTTGGCATACAGCTTTATCTTA
This sequence comes from Homo sapiens, assembly GCF_000001405.40. Classification (NCBI taxonomy): domain Eukaryota; kingdom Metazoa; phylum Chordata; class Mammalia; order Primates; family Hominidae; genus Homo; species Homo sapiens. Next base: position 52,887,064 of record NC_000017.11, on the reverse strand, counting down.
TTTATGGTAAACCTCTGAGGTCTAGCATCTAATACAACTTCAACGGTTATTTTACGTTTTTATTTTTGCTCAATAAGTGTCATTTACTTCTTAGGGAGCATGCACTAGAGCACATAATTTTTTCAGGAACTAGATTTAAAAATCTATTTTCAATTATTTAGCAAACACATTCATTCATTCAGAAAACTTTTGTGGAATACTTAAACTAAACTACTTATACTAGCAATAAAATCCAGTGACCCAGAGTTACTAAAGCCACACAATTGTGTATGTTTGTATATATTTTTCTTTACCTGTGCTGCCAAACATGGTGCCTGGCAAATATTAAATGCTGAATAAATGTTTATGTGACTAAACAACCATGTGGCTTCTGTCCCAGAAAAACACATAGTCCAGTAAAAGAGACAAACAGGTAAAAAACAGACTTGCCCTGTGGACTATGAAAAAGATGAAAATAACTCCTTTATGATAACAGAGGTGGGAGATTTCACAAATATGGCAGATGAGAGGAATCTTACAGAGCAATTTATATATATGGACCCTCTACTTAATTCTTAGCACTATGTGGGAGATGATATAATAACTGGCTTGGTATTAGTCAAAGTGCTGGGATGTCGAAACTAGAAAGACTCAATAGGAAAGAAGACTGGCAACCAGATACGGGAGCAAAGAAATTAGCTGTCAGTAATAGGTTATTTGTGTTGGTGAGGAGATTGTGGCAAGCAAAGACTCATCAGGCCTAACTGGACTTGGGATGTTCCAAATAACCAAGAAATCTAGCAGCAGCAAAGCCAGTGACAGAGTATCAGCAAAGGAGCCTGAATTCCTAAGACAGGTCTCCCCCATCCAGCCAATGAACCAAAACTTGGCGTCTGGCAATGACGATGATAAGTGAGAGACGGCAGTGTAACCAGGCAGGAGATATATGGGAAGGTCAGGGGGCATAATCAGCAAGTGCAGGGAGCATGATAATGAGGACTTCTAGGATAGATAAGCCTGGAATCAGGGAGACAGGCAGCTGGAAGGTAGAAAGGCTCAGAAAAGTTAATCCACAGGAAATGAGGCTCTTGTCATCGGATTGTGACTCAGGCAGTATTTTAGCCCCCAAAAGACTCAGGAGATTAAGACATCATATCCAACTAAGAGGAATGTGTCACTTATTATAAGTAGATTACCAAGGTAAGGAATTATACTAATTATACTCTCTCTCTCACACACACACACGCACACACATATATATATACACAGATACACAACTTAGATATTGGAACTAAACCGGTTGGCAAGGCAAATGCATGATTAGAGACATATTATAAGCCATTATTATATATCTGAGGGGCAAAAGTCGTCAGAGTGCCACAGGAGAAAATCTGATGTGACACTAATTCATGAGTTATTGCCCAGTCTTTGAATGTGCTTGATCATGAATAGTGTAGATTCCTATCATCGGATTTAGACCACATTTAAAATTCAAGTGCTTTGACTGAGAAGACTCGCAGAGAATTGACAGAAAAAAAGCCAAGGCAGATTTCATAACATACAAACCAAAAGAAGAAAACAACGTTCAGTAAATATTGACAAACACTGAATCACAGCAAAAGCCCGTATCAGATCACAAAGTAGAATCTGTGCAGTGTGGTGCACTGATCAACCAACACCACTATGAGCTGGTTTACCAAATGAAGCTTTGCCATAATTACTTATTTCTCTTTCAAATTATTTAGTAAATTGACAAATACTAGTAAAAGAGACACAGCATCTTTGAAATTTGAAAAGAAATCCTTGTAATAAATAATGAAAGGGTGGCTAATGGTTCAGTTAGGTGTTTTTGTGCCCAGTGAAAATAATTTACTGAAAGTTAAAAGGCAAAAGGAAATTGATACTCAAAACAGTGTTTCAGAGGTTTTCCCTTGATCCTCTCAAATTCCAACAAGTTTACCAATAACCTGGATAAACAACTAGAACATATGGATATTTAAGATTTTAATATACTCAAAAGCTGAATGAGAATGTTGACATGAAAAAAGAAAGGGTTACGATAAAAATAATAATATATGGTATTGAATAATGGGCTCTAATCAAGCTCAAAAGAAAATGATACTCAACATTAGTGTATGTGGAAAAGATTCAGGACTTTTAGGCAACCATAAGTTTAATACAAGTTGATAATATGATGTGGCACCTCAAAAATTTAACACAATTTTAGCCTGTAGAAATAAGAATGTGGGGTCTTTATTATTGAAAGCAATAAGCTCATTGTAGTTCTAGGCATCTTTGTCTAAGAAGAAAAGAGTCAAAACTAGAGGTCTGTATAACAGAGCTATAAGAGGAGGGAATAGTTTTAAAACATGCATATGGAATATAAGTTGTTTATATACCTGGTGTTCTGCTCTTCATGGAAGATCTCATTCCCTATATCCTTTCATGATGAATTTTGAGAAAACAAGGTAGGAATAAGAAGGGGTATGGAAAAGAAGCTCACTTGCCTTGAACTAGCTTGAACCGGCACAAGTTCAGCACTTTTTTTTCCTTAATTGAAAGCGAGAAGTGACAGCTTGCTGGCAGCCCTCACAGCCCTTGCTCGCTCTCGGCGCCTCTTCTGCCTGGGCTCCCACTTTGGCGGCCCTTGAGGAGCCCTTCAGCCCGCCGCTGCACTGTGGGAGCGCCTTCCTGGGCTGGCCAAGGCTGGAGCCGGCTCCCTCAGCTTGCGGGGAGGTGTGGAAGGAGAGGCGCGGGCGGGAACCAGTGCTGCCTGCGGTGGTTGTGGGCCAGCACGAGTTCCAGGTGGGTGTGGGCTCGGCGGGCCCTGCACTCGGAGCGGCCCCCGACATTGAGGGGCTAAGCACCCAGGCCAGCGGCTGCGGAGGGTGTGCTGGGTCCCCCAGCGGTGCCGGCCCACCAGCGCTGCGCTCGATTTCTCGCAGGGCCTTAGCTGCCTCTCGGCGGGGCAAGGCTTGGGACCTGCAGCCCGCCATGCCTGAGCCTTCCCCCGACCCCCGTGGGCTCCTGTGCGCCGGAGCCTCCCTGACAAGCGCCGCCCCCTGCTCCACAGCGCCCAGTCCCATCGACCACCCAAGGGCTGAGGAGTGCAGCCGCACAGCGCGGGACTGGCAGGCAGCTCCACCTGCGGCCCTGGTGCGGCATCCACTGGGTGAAGCCAGCTGGGCTCCTGAATGGTGAGGACTTGGAGAACCTTTATGTCTAGCTAAGGGGTTGTAAATACACCAATTGGCACTCTGTATCTAGCTCAAGGTTTGTAAACACACCAATCAGCACCGTGTCTAGCTCAGGGTTTGTGAATGCACCAATCAACACTCTGTATCCAGCTAATCTAGCGGGGACATGGAGAACCTTTGTGTCTAGGTCAGGGATCGTAAATGCACAAATCTGCACCCTGTCAAAACAGACCACTTGGCTCTCTGTAAAATGGGCCAATCAGCAGGATGTGAGTGGGGCCAGATAAGAGAATAAAAGCAGGCTGCCCCAGCCAGCAGTGGCAACCCGCTGGGGTCCCCTTCCACACTGTGGAAGCTTTGTTCTTTTGCTCGTTGCAATGACTCTTGCTGCTGCTCACTCTTTGGGTCCACACTGCCTGTATGAACTGTTAACACTCACTGGGGAAGGTCTGCAGCTTCACTCCTGAAGCCAGCGAGACCATGAACCCACCAGGAGGAACGAACAACTCCAGATGTGCCGCCTTAAGAGCTGAAACACTCACCGCGAAGGTCCGCAGCTTCACTCCTGAGCCAGCGAGACCACGAACTCCACCAGAAGGAAGAAACTCCGGACACATCCGATCATCAGAAGGAACAAACTCTCGACACGCCACCTTTAAGAATTGTAACGCTCACCGCGAGGGTCCGTGGCTTCATTCTTGAAGTCAGTGAGACCAAGAACCCACCAATTCTGGACACAAAAGGACTTACTTGATATTGATGGTGATATCAAAAAAAGAGGTTATTTATCTTTGCATAATTGATACAAATCTTGATCTTTTCATTTTTTTCAGGGTCCACTTCATGATGTTTTACTAGGATAGGAATACCTAATTGTTTCCAATTCTGAGAGGTAATATCCTCCAATTGGTAACGGTTGGATGATCTTTATTCTTAAGCTATTTAAAATGGGTTAATATAGCTGGCATTTTAAAATGTCCTGGCTCATATACGTAATAGATCGTATGAGAATCCATGCAAAAAGTGATAAGAGATTCACAAAGAGGAAACAATTATTTTATACATATGTGTGAAGGGTTGAGGTCTTGATGAGACAATGGATTTGTACTGTGCAGCTACTGATGGCAAGATAAGAGCCAGAGGATTCCAGTTTCTCTTAGAGGATTTCAACAAAACATATAAAACTTCCAACAAGTAAACCTAAACTTGAATTATTCATAATAATGATAATTATAGCAGTTTGGATACGTGCTATAACATAAATTATTTGTCTACTAGATGACTCTAAGCTTCTAAAGTCTTTAAGAAAATAGAAGGTTGAAACAGGCAAGTGAAACATGAGAAATTTGGAAGCATTCGCTTGGGCAGGACATTGTAATCTATGAAACTTACACAAAAGGGAACTTTGGTTCTGGTTTTATTTCTTCCATTTCTTCAAAGGGTAACTTTGATTTGAGCAAGACATTGAACACTTACAAGGCTTATATGTCTCATGTTTAATGTCTATCTAAATTTTAATTCTAACTTTTAATTATTCCTCTATGCTTATCAACAATGAACAAAATTTGGTTAGGTAGAGGAGAGTAGATGGTAGTAGAAGAGATACAAGCAACACGAAAGATGACGGAGAGTTAGAAGCAACCATGCAGTATGAGGAAGTAAACTGCAACTAGGTTTCTGACTGGAGAGAAAATTTTGCAGCAAGTTGAACAATATCATGTGGCTAGAATTCTAAAGATATGCCAAGTCAAGCAGACAAATTGATTCTCAGGGTGGCTGGTAATAGGAATCCAGTAAGTATTTTTGAACAAATGAGTGACAATATGAAAGTTAAGTTTAAACAAAGGTAGGTTCAGAGAATCCAAGTAGGAAACTATGCCAGCAGTTTCACTGAGGTAATAAGGCATTTTCCCACAGTAGTGGAAATATAAAAGATGAATGGGAATTTTTTTAAGTTAACAGAATGTGGTGGCTACATATATAGATAATAATAATTACCATGTTACCTGGGAAAAACGGTATCATTAACAGAAATAGTAAAGTTGGAAGGGGAGGCTACTTTCACCCTGTTAATGCTAAGCATGGATATTAACATGTACAATATGATATAATTAAAGAACATCCAAATAGAAATGTCCAGGAGTGAGTTAGAGATGAAATACTAGATGCAGCACAATTTTAACAGAGAAAGCCTGGAAGTCTTGAGAATAAAAATAATAGAAATGTTTGCACTCTGTGGAAGTGAAGAATTGAACAGAGGAAAAGAAACAATCCAGGCATCTCTGTTAGATTCTTGAAATCAAATTTTCTCAATATAGGGGAGAAGCAGCAAGAAAAAAATGTAGCGGGGAAAGGAGCATTTGCTGAGCCATGTTTCCCGTTTATTTCCAAACTATATACTAGTCAAATGGCTTAATCAAAAACCATTACCATGAAAGCTGTAAGATCCTAAAACATCTTGAGAAACTCTAAACTGCCTGAGGAAGGCAAGCTATGATTCTCATAGGAGAAAGTATAGTTTCAGAGGCAGAAATAGAGAAGTGTCAAACTTCAAGAACATAAAGAAAAATTGAGAACGAGTTTCTTCTGTTACTTTGTGATTTAAGAAAATAATTTAGTGAAAGCTAGAATGATCCAGCCCTGCTATCTTTTAAATGTACCAAATGTAGAGCACTGGTGCTGGCTTTAACTGAGAAGCTTCTCTGAGATGCAATTATTTCCCTTTCATTCTGCTTCTTAAAAAAAAAAAATAGTCCCTCCACTACCAGCCTGAATCCTGCTCACAACATTGCTATCAAAATTCACCTAAACTAGAGACATGCAAATGAGAAGACAAGGCAGGTGAAAATTTTATCTGAGACTGGGCAACATTTATGTAAGATACAATAACCAATACTTATCTTTCATCTTTTGGATAATAGCCAATCTAACAAGTGTAAGGTGATATCTCATTGTGATTTTAATTTGCATTTCTCTAATTATTAGAGATGTTGAGCATTTTTTTCATATATCTATTGGTCATATGTGTTCTTCTGAGAAATGTCTATTCAAGTACTTTGTCCATTTTTTAAATAGGATTACTTGTTTTCTTCTTATTGAGTAGTATGTGACTCTTGTATATTTTAGATATTAGCTCCTTTTCTGGTGTATGTTTTGCAAATATTTTCTCCAATCTATATGTTGCCTCTTCACACTATTATTTCCTTTACGGTACAAAAGCTTTCTAGTTTGATATAATTCATTGTCTAATTTTGCTTTTGTTGCCTGTGCTTTTGGAGTCATAACATTACCAATTTCTGGAATATAGCAAGCCCTTTTCTTATTGGCAATTATTCAAAGCCCATTTGCTTCCAAACAACAAAGTGCTGAATCCATAAGGGGAAAGAAAGCATGGCTATTAATTCAAATCAAGTGAAACATTTTTAGAAAATATAAAAAACTCCTAAATACTCCAAGTGTTATAAACACTTGTGTTTAAACAAGTCTTACAAACTAACCTACATAATATTAGGTGGAAACTAACAGAAGGGGTGATATCAACTCATGACTGGAAACAAGTGGTGTTTCTAAATTGGAGGGACTAACTCAAATATTAGTCGATACTCTATAGTTTACAGTTTTAGTGTTAGGAGTATTGACTTAAATTTGTTTTTTAAACCTTAAACCAAAGCAACTCCTTAGAGTTCTAATGAAAATTAGTTACATCATACTAAAATGTGAAATGCATGAAGTCAGAAATTTCTATTTTTATTGACTAGATTTACTAATAGTAAATACAACTTTACTATTTTTTTTTAATTTTTTGTTTCCTTTATGTTCCTTCCTTAGAACAGTGCCTGGCACCTGGTAAAAATATTTATAGAATAAATGAATGCATGAATTAAAAACTGAATAATAAAGAGAACGAAATTCTGTGGTAGCTATAACTAGCCTCAAATTTAGGAATATCATATACTGCATTTGCTAATTAATTAGCTAGCTAAAGTAGACTATAAAAATTCTGATTATTGACTTCACACTTTATTTCAAATAATTTAAAGATAACATCAACAAATAAAGTGTCTGTACATTTATTCTGGAGAATTAGCTGAGCAAATTTCAGTATTAGTTTTGTGAAACTCACTTACCAGAAGAATAAAAACTTGAAAATAAAAACTTTGCTTTATTTTATCTTCATACTATTAAGAAACTTGAATATGTTAACAATATTTTTTCTTTTTTTAACTAGGTAATAAAATTAAACATATAGTCATATTGTTAGCTGTCAAATGCGTGATATTTTTAAAAATCAGCAGTCTCTCTCTAAATTAAAATTAAATGTTTATTCTTTCTCTTATTATTTTTTCACCATCTCTGTAGTCTTCTCTCTTTTGTTTTTCCTTTGTTCTCTTGAATTTCCCCCATTTCTTTTTTCTCTAACTCTCCTGTATAAAATTCTAAAATAGATTCTCTTTGCAATTTCCAGTTTTCTTTATCAAAGTTACAAGGTAGGAATATAAGCTCATGTCCAGAATTTTTCACCAGCTTCCCCAAAGAAAATGTATTATTTGTGAGTGAGTGTACTATGTACAGTAGCAAAATGACTTTTCTTCAAGTTTTCTCTTTAGAAGCCTCTAGAAGAATCAACTTATCCATAAACATTTTAGAAAACAAGGATTAGATTTGTTACCTGTATATTATTCCCCTTAGAGCTCAGCTGAATCTCAGCTGAATAACGGCTGATTGTCATTTAACAGCTTCCCTGACCAGTTGGTTCAGCTGCCTTACTATTTGTGTAGCAATAATTTTTCCCTTAGATTTATCTTCCACTTCTGTTTTACATGAAACCCAGAATAGCCTGGTCTTCTAAGGCAGGCACATATTCTGAAGTTCAAAGTAAGACTCCTGAACATTAACTTTTTCAGACTTAATTTTATGAATTTAGATGCATCAGTTGCTCCAACTTCCAACGGTTAGGGTCTTCCCAGCATCAACCTCTAGACACATGAGTAAAAAATCGTTCAGATGACTCCAGCTCCCAGCTTTTCAGTTCTTCCAACAACTGCCAGTTGGGAAGAAAACAACTTTCCCACCATCTTTGGTCCGAATTCCTTACACACAGAATCAGTAACTAAATTAATGGTAATTTCACCATTGTAAATTTTGAGGCAAGTTCTACACAGCATAGTAAATGAACCACTAAATTTTTATCAATTTTACTGATCCTTCCTATGGACAAATGTATGAATTTCAAAAAATGTGATTATGTGCTATTTTTATATTATTGATTTCTTCTATTAGTTTTTCCTGTCCTCTACTTACTTAGGATTTTTCTCTTTTTTTTCTGGTTTTTTAAAATGTAAAAATATATATTTTTTTTCTTTTCTAACATAGGTACTTAAAGCAATAAATTTCTCTCAAGGCACCACTTTAACTGTACTTCACACTTTCTAGCATGCTGTGCTTTAACATCCATTTAGTTCAAAATATTTTCTGGTTTTAGTGTAAAGTGTTTAGGAAAATGCTTAATAGATTACTTTGCCAGTGATGTTCAAGTCACATGGACCTTTTTCTCTACATGCTTTAGCAACTATTGAGTGATATTTTTTAATGTTCGAACAGATTCGCCTTTTTTTTTGTTCAGAGAAAAAAATGCATTAGAAGCCTTTTAGGTGCATACACACTTCAGATTATTATTTCTTCTTAATAGACCATTTACCATTTGGAAAATGCCTTCTTTCTGTTTAGTAATATACTCATCTTGAATACTTTTCTGATGTTAATATAGTCTTTCTGACTCTATTATGACTACATTCATTCTTCAATTATAGAACACGATCTAGTAATGTTTGCTTTATTACTTATGCTGTATTTTCTTTTTTAGTGGGGTAATTTCTATTACACACATGTTGAAAAATATTATTCCTTCCTCCATGATTGTATTCATGCTTAGTTTCTCTATGCTAAATATTGAACAATCCCTTTTTATATCTTTCAAACCACTGATTTTCTTAATACCTAACTGCTTGTTTATACTCTTCTAATTTTTATTTAAATGTATTTAAGTGACTATATATACATACTGACATTTCTTTTTCTAAATAAGCCTATTTTTGTTCATAGTCTTGGGTCTTGATGTTTTGCAGTTTATCTGTTTACTTATTTTATTAGTGATTTCTTTTATATGTATTATCTATCTCAACTGCTTGGGAACAATAATACTCTTCATTGTGTCATCTGTTGAGTCTGTCTCTTGAAGTATTTCCACAGTGTATCATGATTTTTCATGTGGAATATGTTTCAGTAGATTTTTTTCCACACTTTAAAATTCCAAATTCCAGTGCTGTTTAAGTGATTTTTTTCGGAACTATGGTGTGTTTACTTCCAATAAGACCCCAGCTACAACACCAAACAATAAGCAATATTTACAATACTTACTATCGGAATACTCACACTATGTACAAGGTATATTTTCTAGATCAGTCTCATTGAGGTGTAAGTTGTATGTAATAAACTAAAACTATTTTAATGTATTTTAATGGTATGGTTAAATGAGTTTTGCAAATGTATTTAACCATGCAACCAACACCAGAATCAAGATATAGGGTATTCCGTAATCCAACAAGTTTTCTTCTTCCATTTTGTATTCAGTTCCCCCAGACTATTCAATACCAATGTATGTTTTTATAATTATAATTTAAATTCGCCTTACCTAGAGTTTCAAATAAATAGAGATACAATTTCAAATAAAAAGTGCACAACACTTTGGTGGCTAACTTATTTTGCTCAGTATAATGTTTTGAGAGTCATCCATGCGGTCGTTATCAGTAGTTTTTAGTTTATATTCCTCATCAGTATTGCATTTAATAACTGTATTTCAATTTGATTATCCATTCACCCATTGATAGGCATTTGCATTGTTTCCACTTTGGGGCTATAATAAAGCTTCTATGAAGCTTGTTATTCAAGTCTTATATATATATATACATATGCTTTCATTTATCTTGGATAAAAATACCTAGGATTGAAAATTCTGGGCTATATGGTAACCATCTTTAACTTTTTTTTTTTTTTTTTTTGAGACAGAGTCTTGCTCTGTCGTCGCCAGGATGGAGTGCAGTGGCACAATCTCAGCTCACTGCAACCTCTGCCTCCTGGGTTCAAGTGATTCTTCTGCCTCAGCCTCCCAAGTAGCTGGGACTATAGGCATGCGACACCTTGCCCAGCTAATTTTTGTATTTTCAGTAGAGAGGATTTCAGCATGCTGGCCAGGATGGTCTCGATCTCTATTGACCTCGTGATCCGCCCACCTCAGCCCCACAAAGTGCTGGGATTACCAGCCTAAGCCACAGCGCCCAGCCTTTTTTATGAGAAACTGCTGAACTGTTTTTCCAATATAGTTGTGTCATTTTACTTTACCAATAAAAATGTCTAAGACTTCTACTTGTTCCACATGTTCAGTAACACTTAGCACTGGTGTTCATTTTAATTTCAGCCATCTCAGTGGCTGTGCAGCAGTATTGTGTTACGAAAAATTTTTAAATGAAGGTAACATTTATGTACAGTAGAGTCCACTCTTTTAGTGTTCAGTTCTGTGAGTTTTGATAAACACATATAGTCCTTTCACCAGTACAGTCAAGATACAGAGTAGTATTACTCCCCACAAAATTTACCTGTGACCTTTGTAAGATCATACTCTTGCTCCCACCTCCTGCCCCTGCAACAACTGATCTATTTTCTGCCTCTATAGTTTTGTCATTTCCAAAACATGATATAAATAGGGTCATATATTAGATTGCATTTTGAGTTTGGCTTTTTTGTAGCATAATACACTTGAGATTTAGCGATAGTATTGCACTTGTATTGCACATATGTGTTTTTGGTAATTATGAATGAATTTCATGCTTATTTATTATCCATTGAATTCTCAGGCTCACCAACTCACTCATGTTAAAGTTACACCGTTGATCAGGAAGGAGGGAGACCTTGAAACTTGAAATAGAGTCGTCTGGTTGGACGCAGGCAAAGCAGAGATTCTCAACCCATTGAGCCCCCCTTGTCAATGGAAACAGCTTTCTCCACTATGTGTGAGGGGACTTACAAATCTGTTCCTAAGTAGCACACTAGCAATGTCTTTAAATTACATTATATAGATATTGTTTTTCAAATTAACAAAACAAGAGGGTATACAAAGATTCTTCATGGTTGGCCATGGTCTCTTGTTAAATCTTAATTCTAGATTTGAAAATCCAAAATAGAAAGGCGTTAAGACCACTGTAGAGTTGGAAATACTCTGTGTCACATTTGAGAAGTTTAAGCATTATTCTCTACCTTGGTTTTGTATAGATTACTGGCATAGCATTTGGGGAAGGAATCATAGCTTTTAGGTAGTAAAAGGGTCATGACAGCTAAAATTCCTCTTATTACTGTCTCATCACATACTCCAACCACATCATTTTCTTGACTAGTTGTTCTGTTTTGTGCTAAATCACTAAATCTAGGGCACTGTTGTCTCAGGTGTGCAGCTGCAGTTCATTTATCTGGGTCTGCTGCAGTAGAATACGTAATAATATTCCTTTCTGTTCTCTTCTTGCCCCTTCTTCAATGAAGACCCTAAAGAGAATCTCTAGATTTCCGGAACAAAGTTTCTTTTTATTTAATATTCTTTAGGTAACTGGGGAAAATGCAAAGAGAATAGGAATCAAGCTCGAGAGATCAGTATTTAAAATTTAGCTTTACCCCCACTTGGGCAACAAACAAAGTTTCAACAAAGTTTTTAAATAAATATTATACTACCTGGCATACACTGTTATTTTATATAGTAAATTAGATACCATGTATACCAATATCTAGCCCAAACTCTGACACTTAGTAAATGCTGATGGATGACTTATTATTAAAACTATGCTCACTGAGAAAAAATGAAATATAAATCTAGGTTTGCCTATGTATATTTTGTTCTTTGACATAATCATTCATATTTGAAATTATCATTTATTTTTATGATAAAAATTAGCACTTATTATTTATCAGACTGTGTATGGGTTTACCACTGTGGACAAAATACTGTGACTATCCCTGAGATGTTCATTCTAAAATAAACTAGTGGAGAATCTACAGAGCAGTATGTTCTTAACACTGTAGGGCAGCTTAACATTTGTTATAACAATTAACATTTATTCAGTGCACTTTCTTGCCTGACATACTTAATTTGAAGAAGAGTATGCGAATAGGGGCAGAAGTATGTTAGCAGAGGTGATTCTGACCTGTGATTTCAAGCATCTTGCAGTCCTTCATCTTTAGTGTGGGTGTGCCTTTTCATTTCAGATATAGGCTTTGCCAAAGAAGGTAAAGCAACTAAATCATGTGTAATACATATTAGGATTTCAAAATATATTCTACCAAAGAATTAATGACTCTAGAGAAATAAAATATATTTTCTTTAGTTTGAAGTCAGCTCAGAAAAAAACCCACCTTTTATCAAAATGCAACAGAGGGGAGAAGATAAAGCAATCTTTGAAATTATATAGGGGGTGGTTGTTCAGGGAGATTTAGTGCATTAGCAAGAAAATTGAGCATTCTTAAGTGAAAGAAGGTAAAGGCCTAATACACTGAGAAATTAGGTAAAAAGACCAACCTCAGAGTATTCAAGTTAAAATGCCCAAGACCCACTGGGAGCCTAAGAACCATGTCTGCCATAGTCTACCAGCTGGAAGATAAATTAATTAAAAATGAATTAAAGGTTAGTATATGCAAGGATTTCTTTACAGAAATACTAAATGAATTTCATATTTGAGAAAGCCTACACAGCAACAGTAGATATTAATATCAAATTTGTAAGTTAATAAATTTTAGCAAATATTCTTAAGATATCATATTCTAAAAAAGAGTTTTTTAAAAACCACATGATATTACTATGCCAGTAAAATCTTCATGTTCCTCCAAAACAATGTGTAGGCTTATTGTTCCAAGTGGTCAGTACTCTGGGAAAACTAAGAGGAAAATTTAATTTTGAGGAATTTCTTGTAGATATCTTTTCCAGTATTTTGTCTTCCCTCCTTACCTGTGAACCCATGTTGGAGCAAACATTTCTTTACATCTTTCTGTAGTTACATATATCTCTATAGTTGTATTGGGAAAATAAAATTCTTTTTCTGAATCTGGGAATCTATATGTAAGGTCACCAAACATGAGGAATTGAAGACAAGCATCATGATTGTCTATGGTGGACTTCCTTGAAAATTTATACTTCTTGAAATATAAGAAAATTACTACAATTAAATGTATTTCTTGGAAACACATTTCTAGATTTATTGGGAAAAGAACTTATTAATAAAATATTGATAAAATGGTAGGCAAAAGACTAAGGTTAGAATGGATCAGCTCAATTTATAAACTTATTAGTGGTGGAACCATGGGGAACTTGCTTCAGCTCTCTGGGTCTCAGTTTTCTCATTTGTAAAATGAGAGTGATAATAGTACTTACATCATAGAATTGTTATCAGAAATAAATGAGTTAATAACTATAAAGCACTTAAAAGAGTGCTTCCCACATAGTGAACTTTGCATTTGTGTTAAATAAAAACATAAAGACTCCAATATTAGAAAATTAAAAATAGGATGGAGATAATCTTAGTATGTTTAGAGATTATGATGCCACAGAGCACTGGCTCAACAATACATGATCTATGATGAAATATCATTATGGAATCTCTCAATATTAATAGCCAGATGAGCCTTCTAATGACCCCCAGCTAATTAAACTGATGAGAGAAAATAAGAAAAGAAGTGACTCAACAAAGTGAGATACAAGGACTAAATTGCCCAAGACTGATCCCTGTAGCTTGGACTCCCGGGAAGCAAGTTTGTATCCTGCAGAGGAGAATATTTTAGAAAACGAGACCTGCTCAATGGAAAGCAGATACATCAAAGCGCATAAGGCAGTCAATTCTGGTAGGATGCTGAGGTTGTGGGGCTAGAAGCCAAATCATGTAGCCACTTTGCATGTCCTAGACCTTTGATGGTGCCAGGGAAAGGATTGGTGCTCCGAGTGAGGGCAAGAGGATGCAGCTGTGCTACATCCCACTGCTGCAACACGAGACTTGTGGTCAAGCTACTGATTATGCTGAATAGGGTGTGGCTTGTGTTTTCCTAATCAAGCATATTAAATGCTTCACAATTCAAGAGCCAATGGTCCTGTCCCAAACTCTGACATTTCTTCTTGCTAAATTCCTCTGTGCTGTCTGAGAACAAAAGAGGCTGTGGAGGAATCATGCGTCAGCTATAGCTCTAGTGACTGAATTTTCACCTCCTGTGGTTGCTGTCTGATGATTTGCCCGCATTTGCTTGACAGAGGTTTTAAGCAAAACTTAAGCTTGGTCCGCCATCTTCTTTCACAGTTTCAAAAGTATTGATGAAACGTGGGATACAATCTTTCTCACAGTGGTGAGGTAGCAGCATTTTAGGCTACAACCCATGTTCATGCTACACTAACAGCTCAGAGTGCCACTGTGCTACATAGAGAGAAACGACATTCCTGAGAAGGTGGACTTAGTGAGCTGGACCACAGAATCTCAACAGTTTTAAAGTCCATAGTGAATGATTAGAATGGAAGGGGAAAAAAGGTCGAAAAGTACAATCGAAAGAGAAGAAGGGAGGAGGAAAATAAGGAAGAAAAATGAAGGAACCCAATTGGTGCCCTGAGCATAGGAGAGATGTTTGATTAAAACGAGACTGTTAGGCCAGGCGCAGTGGTCCAAACCTGTAATCCTAGCACTTAGGGAGGCCAAAGCAGGTGGATCACTTGAGCTCAGGGAGTTCAAGACCAGTGTGAGAATATGACAAAACCCCATCTCCACAAAAAAATACAAAAATTAGCCCGGCATGGTGCCACATGCCTACAGTCCCAGCTACTCAGGAGGCAGAGGTGAGACAATCACCTGAGCCTGGGTAGGTTGAAGCTGCAGTGAGCCATGATCGTGCCATTGCACTGCAGCTGGGCGACTGAAAGAGAGACCCTGTCTCATAAAAATAAATAGATAAAAAATAATTGCTAATGAAATTATATCCCTGGTACCCTTGCAACTTTGGTCTTTGCCATAACTGGTATAAATGTAAGGCACTGCAGTACAAAAGACTGCAGAAATTTCTTGAGAATGAAGTTGTGATCCATCTACTACTCTGTAAGAGTTTATCTAATCATTTATTCATTCAAGAAATATATACATATATTTTTTGAGATGGAGTCTCGCCTTGTCACCCAGGTTGGAGTGCAGTGGTGCGATCTCAGCTCACGGTAAGCTCCACCTCCCGGGTTCCCGCCATTCTCCTGCCTGAGCTTCCCGAGGAGCTGGGACTACAGGCACCCACCACCACGCCCAGCTAATTTTTTGTATTTTTAGTAGAGACGGGGTTTCACCGTGTTAGCCAGGATGGTCTCCATCTCCTGAACTCGTGATCCACCTGCCTCAGCCTCCCAAAGTGCTGGGATTACAGGAGTGAGCCACTGCGCCAGGCCTCAAGAAATAATTTTTAAACACTTATAATGTTCTTGATGCTCTTCTATGTACTGGTGAACGAAACAAAATTAAAAAGTCCTCCCTTATATAATCTTCATTTTACTGAGAATATGCAAATAATGTTTATGTTTATATGTGTATGTATATGTATATATATGTGGTGTACTCACTTATCAACTGTGAGATATCAGATGATAATAAAGAGAATCAAAAGAAAGTTGGATAAGGGATAGTGTCATATTTTAACTTCAGATAATGTTATCTGAGGAGTCTCCTCTGAAAAATGTGAATGTTGAGTAAAGATCTGTAAGAGTGGGAATTAATTATTTGCTATAAGGGGGAAAGTGACCTAGGTAGGGAAAACAGCTACAAACACCCTGACACGAAAGTCAAAGCTGCACTGAATGCAAAACAAGAAAGCGAAGTAAGGGCAGGAGAATGTTGGGAGGTGGGGAATTTAGCCAGAAGCTCAGTAATGGAGGACCCTATTGCCATGCAGAGGGATTTTAAGCAGAGAATTCATGTGACTGTAATCTTTTTTTAAAAAAATAATTTCAACTTTTATTTCAGATTCACGGGTACATGTGCAGGTCTGTTACATGGTGTATTGCCTGATGCTGAGGTTTGGGGTACCTACCCATGATCCCATCACCCAGGTAGTGAGCATACTACCCAATAGGTAGTTTTTTAGTCCACGCCTTCCTCTCTTCTTTCCCCCTCTAGTAATCCCCAGTGTCTGTTGTTTACATCTTATGTGTATGTGTACTCAACGTTTTCCTCCCACTTATAGGTAGAAACACATGGTATTTGGTTTTCTGTTCCTGACTGTGATCTTAATAAACTGCTTTTTCTTTTGAGACGGAGTCTTGCTCTGTTGCCCAGGCTTGAGTGCAGTGGTGCAATCTTGGCTCACTGCAACCTCTGCCTCCCGGGTTCAAGCAATTCTCCTGCCTCAGCCTCCTGAGTAGCTGGGATTACAGGCTCCCCCCATCGCGCCCGGATAATTTTTGTATTTTTAGTAGAGATGGGGTTTCACCATCTTGGCCAGGATGGTCTCAAACTCCTGACCTCATGATCCACTTGCCTCGGTCTCCCAAAGTGCTGGGATTACAGGTGTAAACCACCGCGCGTGGCCTGAACTGCATTTTTAAAGGAGCACTAAGACTGTAGAAAGAACAGGCGGAATGAGACTTGAAATAGTCCTGATGTTGTTGGCCTCAACCACAAGGAGCACTGAAGACTGTGAGCAGTAGTTGATTCTCATTATGTTTCTAAGGCACAGCTAACAGGATTTGTTGCTAGAGAGGTCATGTGAAAATGTTCGTAAATACTGAGAGTTTAGGATACTTTCCTGTTGCATTTTCATAAATGAGATTGGCATTTAATCTTCAAAGTGAAGATACAAATTATGTTTAATATGATATTCTATACAAGATCATCTGTGACAAGAGTGCTTAGTCCAAATTCTAGAAATTCCCTAGAATGTTAAAATAGTACAATACAAAAATGCATATAACTTGAAAGGAGGAATAAAAAAAGGAAAAACATGATGTATTCCTTCCCACCTCTCAACATGCTAAAATATCGCTTTTCAAAGAAATGTACAAAAGGAAATAGATTTGAAAATAATAAGTCTTAGGAAAAATTGGATTTTTAATAACATTATTGTTTTGATGATAAATAGGTAAACCAATTCAAGGAGGATGGTTCCTTATGATTTGGAATGAGCAACCACCTTAGAAAAACCTTTTAAGTGTGGATTTTTATAGTGAATAGCTGTGCCTCGGAAACTGAAGAAACTGGCTTTCCTATCCTTTAATGACAGACCACTGCAATAGGCTGGGCTGATTTGTCACTTTTCAGCAAATGTCTGTCAGGTACATAAAAGTGAGTAGGAGCTGAGTTCCCCCTTCTTTTGTGGGAAGACTGAGCTAAATGTGGTCAGCTCTGAAAATTCATAGATTGATAACCTTACAGTCAATCAAGCAGGATATGATCAAAAAATGATCCAATAATGAAATGCTAATGTTCACCCACAGATATTACTTTCTGAAGGACTCATCTAGAAGTAGATGGGGACCTGTTCTCTGAGAGAGGATGTTTTCTCTTACCCGGGCAAAACATATTCTTTTAAATGTGTCTATATGGTATCAGTGGCCGACATACAGAGCTGACTAAGATAAAATGTCCACACAGGAGGAGTAAATAATTCATTACAATTCAACATGAGAAATGTATAGACTGTAGGAGTCTTTAGGGCTGTTTACATATTTCACACAAAGCTGTTCTCACCATTTAGTCATCTCGTAGGGCTTGCATTTTTCCATTTCCTTTGAAGTTAGCAGAGGTCATTTGAGTTGCTTCATTCAAAAAAAATGTGAATGAAAATGATTTTGGTCACTTCTGCATAGGGGCCCTAAGAAACAGATCATGATCCACCATTCTTTCCTGCCGCAGTGATTGGGTAAGCACAGTTCCTGTTGTAGCCTCCATCACCTGGGATCCTGAGTGGCTAATGAGAAGCAGAGCCCCCTTGCCAACCTCCACTGGCTATGTCGTGTGAGCAGAGTTCACAGCTATTGTTTCAGGGCTGACACAAATGTAGAAATGGTGCCATAAGATATTAGAATAGTCAAATTAAAGATTTCAAATAAGGGTCCTGGAGTCTTGAGAGCTCGGAGCTGAGCCTCGACAAGTTAGTAGGAGTAAGGTGAATGGAAAGTTCTTATAGTGTAAAACCGGCCATACAGAAAAGAGAATGACATGTTAGGAAAACTGCAGCATGGTTCATCATGACTGGAGATCAATAAAGTGTCCATAATATTGGAAAAGTATGTAAAGATTAATAGTGGACCTTTTTGACAGACTTATTTATAGTTATTTACTTTTGTAGAGATGATTTAAGTTTTTATTAAGTGCTTGAAGCATACAAAAACATCTAAAGCATATGATAAACACTATGTAACCGACAAACAGCTTAAAAATAAATTAAAAATATACTTAAAGCTCCCTGTATGTAAAATTATTCATTCACCTTCTTTTCATCACCACACGTAATCATTATCCCAAATATTACTCTATGAGCAGTGTAATCCTAAACAATATACATTATTTTATTTATTTGTAGAAGATATATAATATCATATTGTATTTTTTTTAATTATTCTATTTTTAAAATTAGTCTGTATTCTGGCATAAGCATAAGACACTCATTTAAAATGCTGTATAAAAAGGTGGTATACATACACTATGGAATACTATTCAGCCTTACAAAAGATGGAAACACTGTCACTTGCAACTACATGGATGAACCTTGAAGACATTATGCTAAGTGACAAATACTACATGATATTACTTATATGTGGAATCTAAAAAAGTCAAGTCATTGATGCAGACTCTGGAATGGTGATTACCAGAGGCTGGGGAGGTGGAGGGGATTGGGGTGAAGTTGGTCTAAGGATACAAAATTTCACTCAGCCAGGCAGAAATAAGTTCAAGAGATGTATCGTACAACATAGTGAATATAGTAACAATGTATTGTACACTTGAAAATTGCTACCAGAGTAGATTTTAAGTGTACTCACCACAAATGTATGAGATAATGCATGTTAATTAGCTTGGTATAGACATTCTGCAATGTATACATATTTTAAAACAACATGTTGTACACCATAAATATATATAATTTTCATTTGTCAACTAAGAAATAAAAATGAAATACTGTATAGTATTCCGTTATTTGAATATAATAATTTTTCTCTTTATTGTCCTACAATATGGCATTTAGATCATACACTATTACAAACAATGGCACACCATTTTGCAAATATCTCCTACACATGTGCAAGAGATTATCTAGAATGTATACCTGAGTGTGAAATCACTGATTCTAAGAGTATGCAAATCTTGAATTTAACTAGATACTGCTAAATGAAGAGAAGAATTTAGACTTATCCCAGAAGCCAAAGGAAACTCTTGAAGGATATTTAAGCAAGGCCATCAACATGATCAGATTTTTTTTAGAAATTTGTAGCAGAATATGTAGACTTTATCAGGCTTGAGCAAAAATTTATGAAGATGTGAACTAAGGCAGGGCTCAAAGCAGTAGAAAAAAAATAGGAAAATCACAAGACATTAGGTAGCTAAATGAGGAAGAGAGAAATAGTACATTCGGTTTCTATATTTATTAGCAGGCCTGTACTCTGTTCCTGCTTCTATTTCTGAGTTTCTTCATGCACTTAGGTAAATTATTATTTATCTTTCTTCACATATTTTTCTTAGTTGAAGGCAGAGAGCTATTTTGTATTGCTAACCCACTGCACGTAAGACATCTTTTTAGGGTATTTGTGAAAGCATATTATAATGTTGGAGTTACTCTTTTAGAGTCAGATTCTTCTTCTTCTTCTTACTATTACTATTATTAGTGAGATAGGGTCTCATTCTGTCACCCAGGCTGGAGTGTAGCAGCACAATCTTGGCTCACTGCAATCTCCACCTTCCCAGGCTCAAGTGATCCTCCCACCTCAGCCTCCCAGGTAGCTGGAACTACAGGTACACACCACCACACCTGGCTATTTTTTTTTTTTTTTTTAATTTTTAGTAGAGACGAGGGTTCACCATGTTGCCCAGGCTGGTCTCCAATTTCTAAGTTCAACAGATTCGCCTGCTCTGAGATTACAGGCATGAGCCCTAAATTTAAATCTATGTGTGAACTCTCCTTCTTCTGTTTCTTATTCTGTTCAACAGAGATGATAATAATATTCACTTCACTGGATTGTCATTAATATTAATAAAATATTTAAAGAACATATAGAAGTTACTGTGGCATATAGAAGTTACTAACAAAGCTATTGTTATTTTAATTATAGAATCAAATCTGAAAGTAGGTGATAGCATCCCCTAGTAAAGAATACTCACATCTAGAAAATTTGATTAAACTATCCAGAAGTTTGACTAGAAATCAGGAGATTTAGGATTTGAAAATGATATTGTTTCCACTAAGGCACATTCCCCATAGTTTCTTCCCTATTTATCGGGTCCCCATTCCCTTTTTTTTTTTTTTAAGTTTAATGGACCGTTCTTATTTTCCTCTTCACTCCACTATTACTCTATAATATAATTTATATTTTTTTCACTTTTGAAAAAGGGAATTTAGATTTTATAGCTTTTATATGAAGTTCTTAGGATAAAGTCTGGACTTGCATGGATTTTCAAACTTTAACCCTTACCTCCTGCCAGATGAAGGGAAAACAAGTTATTATTTAACACTGTGTAAATGGGAGAGTTAGAGGGCATAGAAGTTGTACACTAATATGAATTTATATTCTGTAACAATCAATTTGAATATGAAAATATAGAATGTGCTTAGTTAGCAAAAGATTTACAAAGAAAAATATACGTGTTTTTGGTTACGCTAAGATAGTAAATTGTGCCAGTGACTCAGAAAAATGGGTAGAAATAAGGATTAATTGAATACTTTTACTGATGAGCCAAAATATATACCCATATGTTTATGATTTTTTCTGTCTAGCGTACTTTAGGGGATCTCCAATAATTTTATTTGCAACTGCTTACTTTAAAAATTTAAAAATTTGTGGTAAAACACACGGTGGGTTACTTCATGTGTGCAGCTTTCAAGTTAAACGATGTCTTTACATTAGCTAATATTGGCGGCGATACTGGGCAATATCTGGAGACATTTTGATTGTCACAATTATAAGAGAGTGCTACAGGCATCCACTGGGTAGAAGCCAAAGATGCTACTAAACATCCTAGAATGGACACGAAACTCCTCCCAGAAAGGAATTATCCATGCCAATGTTTCAATGATGTGGAGATTAAGAAAACCTGTCCTGTATTTATGGCAGGTTGAAGTTTCATATCACCCTAACTTTTGATCACAAAGCTGTTTATCGTGGAATTATCTTGAATTTTTGGCCTTTCAATTTCAGCCTGATCCCAAAGCAGAACACATTAACCGGACAATTGTAGGGTGCCGGGTGTTAAAATCAACTGTTTAAAAATAACAATAAACAGCGGTACACCGCTACTCAGCTACAATTAGAACATTGATAAATACTCATTGCTCATAATGTCCTATTGGCATTAAAGCATGATATGATAAATGATCACATAGTTAATTGTTTCACTACAGCTTCAACATTTAAATATATAGTTTTGGAAGCAATTAATTCAAAGTGGATTCGTGTTTAGGCAGGATTGTGATAAATAAAATGTCAACAGTGGCATAGAAATCTAGCTGCTCTCAGCATAAGCAGTTTATCCTACACACAAATATACTGTGTTCTTTACATTTCTCATTTTTGTCATTGTCACCAACATTATAAAGAACAATGAGCATTGTTTAGACAAAAAATAAATGGACCTTATTTTCCCTAACCCACCTAACTGAAATTGATTTATATATCCAAAGTAATGTTTGTATGACTCCATATGAAAGAGGCTAATAGCTGGATCATGATATGTATGTCTACATCACACGTATCATGAAGTACATCTCATTTATACCTGACCATTCCTCACTGCGTTATTGCATTTGATCTGTCCTCCCTCCAACACATTGTGGTCCACATCATCAGTTATCATAAATACAAACACACAGCTCTCAGCATGTTAGTCACATATTTTAAAACTACAAATTTCATCCCCTTGCCAATAGAATAAATGCCTAGTGAAGCACACAAAATTATTTTCTTTTGGGTAACAACCTAAGTATCCAGCTTTATCCCTAGTTTCCTTCCCTCTCCTTTACCTTTTAAATGGATTTAAGAGTTTTCATTCTTGGTCAAATCAGCCTATTATTTTTTCATATACATACTATTTTCTCTTACTCGATGGCTTTTTTGCACTCATCCATTAAGTAATTTACTTTTCAAGGCCCAGCTCAAATAACATCCTCTTTGGACACCCTGCCTCTACTTCACACTGTGGCTACATCATGTTCCCTTTTGTTTCACAAGTTCATAGCCATTTTGTTGCTTATACTTAAGACTTCTTTATGGTTTTCTATGTTTGGGGATAACTTAATACATACTTCTAAGCAGTTTATTTCATCTTTTTCCATGATTAACTTTCATCAAAGCATCTACCATTTGGGGAAAAAACAATGTCACGCTATTTGTTGTTGTGACAGTGGTGCGTTCACCAAAAGATAAAGGATTCAAGTAACAGCGCAAATTGTACTCCTACTGGTCCCTGGCTCACCAACTTGGTATTAGAGGATAGAAATAATATCCAATCCTAAAGTCACAATTTTAATTTGTGGAGCACACCGTCACATTATTTCTTCTCAGTATACGTTGTACAATAATGTTGATGAATTAACATATTGCATTTGATGAATTTTCAGCTAATGGTAAGGGGTATTATAAATGATTTTGAATGGAAGGTGGTTATTATTACTCCGAAAGTGTTTTAGAAAGCATTAACATTAAGTGCATATTGATAGAAAGGGCACACGCATTTTAGCCATTTAATACATTTCTAATACCAACTAGAAGTGGCATAAAATAAGCTATCAATATTGAATAAATGTTCTAGCAACATAAATTATAAATTTTAAGTGACTGGCATAAAATATGCATAAAACATGGTGCTTATTAGTAGTCTTACACAGTTTCCTTTCTAAAAAGCCATTAATATTGTGATGACCTTAGGTAAACAGTAACAAGCTTTAGAGAGAGCCATCCATTAAGCCATTCTAAATTTAACATAGAGTAAATTCCATAATTAGAGATGTTCCTGCACACACAAACATGGCCTGAAGAAAATTTTAGGCGAAAAAATATTCTGTGAAACTGAGGGGAACCTCAAAGTGATGTAAAAGAAAAGGCTTTATGCTCTGTCTCCTGATTTATCACTATCATTTGCTCAATCTAAAATTAATGAAATAATCTATACAACAAACCCCCAAGTCACAGGTTTACCTACATAACAAATCTACACACATAGTCCTGAACTTACAATGAAAGTTAAAATAAAATAAATAAATAAATATTTCTACTTTTTCTTTTCCTTTTTTCCTATTCTGGTCTATACAAAATGATTTTTTTCACTGATGTCACAGAGGAAATTCTCTGAGAATTACAGTTAATCAGACGTAAGTTTAGAATTCCAGCTGCCCCAAATCTTGCTAGGTGTGTGATCTCAGCAAATTACAAAACCTTATTAAAACCCAGTTTCCCTAGCTATAAAATGGGAACACAGCAGTAACTGCACCATGGGATTGCCATAAGCATGGAATGGAATGTGCCTAGAACTCCATTATAGTCATGGTTCAGTAAATAAATGTTACTGTCTTGTTTTCTCTTCCTTCTTGTTTTTTGTAGCCTAAGTCGAACCTCAAAGAAAGTAGTATTTTCAAACTAAGCAAAATTTTATGGTTGATGTTTTCTGTTACGACAAGTTGGGATGAATTTATAATTCTAGTATTTTGTTTATTTATATGTAAGATACAAATTGTTTAAGCAATATTACTTAATAACTACTCTTTAGTTATTAACTACTCTAGCACTGTCTAATACATTAGCTACTAGGCACAGGTGGTAACTGAGCATGCAAAATGCAGGTAGTCTAAATTGAGACGTGCTGTGAGTGAACAAGACGCACCGCATTTTAAAGACCTATGAAAAACATAGAATATCTCATTTCTTATATTAATTACACGATAAAACAATATTTTGTATATAATGAGTTAAAATGTGTTATTAAAATTAATTTAGTCAGCATCACTTACCCGTTTAAGTCGTGTTTTATAGAAAACAAAAACTGCGTATGTGTCTTGCATTACATTTCTTTTGGACTGCTTTTTAACTGGCCGACCAGTGCCTGGTATTTAGCCCCCAAATTCTAAGGAAAATTATGACACAATAGCAAGCCAAAGAGGTCCGATGGTACTCACCGCTTGGTGATAGTCGATTTTCCCTTTGTGGTCGCCAAAATGTGTCCGGAATTGGTTCCTTCTGGTGGGTTCTTCGTCTCATTGCTTCAAGAATGAAGCCACAGACCCTTGCGGTGAGTGTCACAGTTCTTAAAGATGGTGTGTCCGGAATTTTTTCCTTCAGATGTTCAGATGTGTCCAGAGTTTGTTTCTTCCTTCTGGTGGGTTCATGGTCTTGCTGACTTCAGAAATGAAGCCGCAGACCTGCACAGTCAGTCTTACAGCTCATAAAGGTAGTGCAGACCCAAGGACTGAGCACCAGCAAAATTTACTGCGAAGAGCAAAAGAACAAACAACCCACACACCGGAAGGAGACCTGAGCGCAGTTGCCTCTACCAGTTTGGGTGGCCAGCTTTTATTTCCTTATTTGGCCCCACCCTCATACTGCTGATTGGTCCATTTTACAGAGTGCTGATTGGTCCATTTTACAGAGTGCCAATTGGTCCATTTTACAGAGTGCTGATTGGTCCGTTTTTACAGAGTGCTGATTGGTGCGTTTACAAATCTTTAGCTAGACACAGAGTGCTGATTGGTGCATTTACAATCCTTTAGCTAGACAGAAAAGTTCTCCAAGTCCTCACCCAACCCAGGAAGTCCAGCTGGCTTCACCTCTCACCTTTGGTGACTTTGGGGCCACTGTTGACTACCAGGTTAGCAATTAGAAAGGTGAGCTGAATACAAAACAGAGGAGAAGCAGGACATGCATGGTTTTCCAGGCATCATGCATCTGTCACCCTGTCTAACCACAAAACCTCTCTGAAATTAGTAGTTTTTGTGTCACATTGCCTTTTTAATTTTGCACAAATACTCAACTCCAGCATCGTCCCATACAAAGGAGGGAATTCTAGCAAGCAAAGTTTTAGCCTTAGCCATGTTGACATAACACAACCTAGTACATCATCTATTGATTGTATTTAGTTAAGGACTGTAAAATTGTGATCTTTTAATTCTGTAATTCTATATTTCAATTCTGTATTCCCTTGTGGATTTATTATCTAAAATACTCTGCTTTTAATAGAATAACTTTCTGCATTTGCTAGACCTATTTGGTTATCCAGAGATACTTGTCTAATTCCCATTAGTTATAAATTTTCAGGGTAATAAATGGTTGTCTTAACAACATTCAGTGGTGTCTGATGAGTGATGCTTTGTTCCTCTCATTTTTATCTCCTCTCTCGCCTCCTTTTTCTCCTTGTCGGAGAATGTAGGCTACCATTTGAGCTCCTGGATATTTTTATATTTCCTTTTTAAATGAATTACAATCTTTTTGAAAATAATGTCTAGATTGTTCCATATTTGTCCAGTAATTCACCTTCGCTATTTTATACTTCACCTGCAACTTGTGCTTTCTGCTAGTTGTTGTCAAGTTTGTCCTCTTGGATTACCACTCTGCATGTGTTTTTTTTTCCCATAGGGGTGAGTGGTTGTTGGCTTATAATGCCATTCCTTTCTTACTTCCTTTACTTTGACCCTGCTATTACATAGTTGCTGGTATTGTGCAGAGCCTGTTGCTATTTTTGGCCTATCTACCTTTTTCTGAGATTCCTGGTAAATTTTTTTTTATCAGATTTTGTTCAAAATATCACTCATGTTTATTTTTAAATATTTCATTTGTTCTATTTGTTTTATAAGGAAATTTTATAAAAGTCTACACTGCCATCATGTTCCTTCTGTTGGAATTTCCACAATTTTTGAAAAGCTTTAACTATAAGGAATTTCTTTATTAAATTTACCATAAATCTATGCCTTTGAAGCTTTTACTGAAGATGATCAGCCTTGATTCTCTACTTCTGTACCCTTACTAAAACAATGTTTAATTCCTTTTGTGGAAGACACATCTTAAAAGTCCACCCCCAAGAATAACCGTATCCCTACTGAATCTTTTCTTCAGTTTAGACGTTCCCTCATTTCCTCTACACATTCTATACATATTCAACAGAAGTTATGTACTAATCTGCATGTCTACATTGGGAGCTTTCCAAGAACAAGGCTGGCATGGAGAATTTACTTTTTATCAAAATATTCAATTCTCACAAGAAAAATAAATAAATATAGATGGGTTGATGGGTTTGCCCAGAAATGTTCCAGTAAACAAACTTGGAAAAAAAGAGAGGGATGAGACACAGATGATGCACCAATATCTAGGGCTTAAGGGAGTTTCCTGAGAAGGAACTCATCTTTATTTAAGGGTAAGATAGAGATCAGTGTTTTACATTCATTCATTTGGCGAATGGGTAATGAGGTCAGGCACTTGCCTAAACATTTTAGGCACTAATCTGAGCACCAACTAAGTTGATAAGAAAGGTGTTTCATCTAAACTTGGTAAAGTTGTTCTTATGTTCTTGGGGGTTATTCTGTGTTTTTGTTTTTATTTTTTGTGAGTACATATTCTGTTTTTCAAAGGAGGATAACAAAAATGTAAAGAGGGAAATAATATTTTGGAAGACTGAAGATATATAATCAATGGTTAGAAATGCTTCTACTTTGAAGATTCTTGATCAGCCAAGAAATTGACAGGAAACTTCTCAGGAGCTGTCAAAACAGATAAAGAAAAACTTTCAACAAAGGATTTATTAGAAATGGTAAAAATAGGAAAATTAATCGCCATCAACATACTAATATTGGAAAGGGAAGTGTTGAGTGATTACCACAAGGAAGGCAGAAAATTAGGTCTGTGATCCAGCAAATTGCCATGGCTATTAAGAAATATATAATTTTGGGGGCCCCAATCACTTTACAGATTTGAAAAACGCATACAATTTTGTAAGTACAGTTCAGTCACCCATGACCATTTATATTTCCAAGCTAGCATGTTGAGTTTCCTCTCCATTGTTCTCCCACTATTCCCTGTCTTTTCAAGCTAAGCATTAACTTATGCATATAACTGAATTCAGTACTATAGTTGTGATCAGATGAGTGTAGAGTTATATGGAATAAAAATATTGTTGCCAACAGCCTTACTGATGAGCTGCTGAGTTTTGGAGGTAAGGTTTTTTCTGTTATTTTTCCCTTCTTTGAGTCACTTTACTTTCCCTGTAACACAATACCATCTATTCTTCCAGTTATGAGAAATAAAGGCTACTGTTCTACATGGATTTTCAGATATTTACTATGGAACTCTATAACTCTAATTTTATTTTATTTTATGTATGTATGTATTTATTTATTTATTGAGATGAAGTTTCACTCTTGTCTCCCAGGCTGGGGTGCAATGGCGCGATCTCGGCTTACAGCAACCTCCGCCTTCTGGGTTCAAGCAATTCTCCTGTCTCAGCCTTCTGTGTATCTGCAATTATAGGCACTTACCACCACTCCCAGATAAGTTTTGTATTTTTAGTAGAGATGGGGTTTCACCATGTTGGCCAGGCTGCTCTCGAACTCCTGACCACAGGTGATCCACCTGGCTCGGCCTCGCAAAGTGCTGGGATTACAGGCATGAGCCACTGTGCCTGGCCTATAACTCTAATTTTAAATAATGCATGAGAATCATCTTGGGAACTGATAAAATTAAGTATTTATGTATGAAAGTGACTACCCCTCCTCCTTAAATTTTTAGTAATAATTCTTAGTAATGTATTTATTCTATCAAGCTTTATTGGATTGAAATCCTATTGTTACGTAAGGTTGGATGATGCTGTTGCTATTGGTTTAAACCTGAGTAATGAACAGTAATTGATTAAAAATTATTCTTTGAATTATTTTAGTTAATAGCTAATAATTTAGTTAATTTAGTTAATTAACTATTAACTATTAACTAGTTTAGTTAATTAGTTAATAATTCTTTGAAAGATTTTAGTTAAACTCTGTTTTAAAAAGTAACCATAGTTTAAACCTCTAAAGTTTAGAAAGATACATCAACAAAGTTGTGTGTGTTTGTGTATGTGTGTGTGTGTATGTGTAGTGTGTGCATTTGTGTATGAGTGGGTAACTTGTGAATTTACAACATTGGTACTAAAGATATATAGAAAGCAATCTTTCGCTTATGCGCTTAACATCGCATTTATACTGAGAAGAATCACATTTTATGTAAATTTGTCTTCGGTATTAGTGGTCATTATTGACAATAATGGTAATCATCAATATTTCCACTTTTAATTAGAGTTTATTAACTATGGTTAACAAAAAATTTTGCTTTTTTGAGTGTCAATATCCTGGACATTGAAGGTGTCTATTTCCTGCTCCCTACAATAAATATTAGGTATGGCAAAATCCCAAACAAGACTAAAGGTTTGGAAAATTTAGGGAGTTCAATATAATGAGATACAATTTAAAAATTAATGATAAATATGGAAAAACTAAGTTAAATACAAACGGTTTCATAGGAGATGAATAATTCAGAAAAACATCTTTTGTATGTACTGTTTACTTCTTTTGTTCCTTCTTTAAATATTAAATAGATATTGATTACTGTGGAGACAAATATCAAACTCTATTAAATGAGTGGGTAAATATTGACTAATGTGAAGTGGAGACCAATACTTGCTGAAGGGGACAATAATGATTGATATTCATTAGGAATAAGTTTAGTGTATGGCCATATAATCTCAGCAAAATATCTCACCAAAATAACTGCAACATTTCTCCTTTAGTGCCTTTAAATGTGATAATATATAAATCTTATTTTATTCAAAATCATTTTGGAACAAAAAATAGTTTTGGGCTAGATGCCAGTTGAGTGTTTCCTTTTTTCTTCTAGCTATAACAAATAAACAAATATTTAGATATTCTAGATATAAATTTTAATATGAAAGTTTTAATGATCTTACACCAAGCAATTAGGGCATCTCATTTTCATAAAAAAGTGATACAGGTCTATAATCTCTTACCCAAATTCCCTGGGAATAGGTGGTTTTGAGAATTCAGACTATTATAAATATTTATAAAATAAATATGGGGCATATACCAAATATTAGGCAATGCCCCTACAGCAGTTAGAGTAGCACCCCATACTAAAATTCATTAGTATTTGTGCGGTAAGGAGCATTAATACTCACATTAAGCAAAATAAATTACAAAAAATGAAGCCTCATTTTAGTATGGGTCATGTTTACTGAAAAATAAATTTTTGCTAATGTATGCTACTAAACAAAAAGTATATGAGGCTGTAGTTTTAGAATGAGCTCCTAGGCCCAAACAGACGAGACCCAGCCAAAATGCAGTCATTCATGCTAAATGCCACATAGTCAAACTAAAACCGTAAGGAAGCAGATAGATCCACAAACAGAACAGTTTTCCTGAAAACAGGAGATTCCAATCTACCTGAGTCAGTCTAATAAGAAGTCCCCTCTTCTTTACTCTTAAAAAAAGTAACATGAAGTAACTTGATATTAACCAGTCAGCTTTTTTCTATTGATTTGTTTCCTTATTCCTACCATATGAAAACCCATTGTTCTGCTATTGTTCAGTGAGAGCTTTCATTCTATTTTGCAGAATGGAGGCTGCCAGATTCATGAATTGGGAATAAAATCCAATTAGATCTATAACTAAATTTATTGTAATTTTGTTTTTTTGACAGAAGACGGAAAAAAAGAAGCACTTCGTTTTGGAGCATTAAATTGTTTAGACCTGTTTTTAAAAGTTAGTTCAGGTAGGGCACAGAGGCTCACGCCTGTAATCCCAGCACTTTGGGAGGCCAAGGCAGGTGGATCCCTTGAGCCCAGGAGTTCCAGACCAGCCTGGGCAACATAGTGAAAACCTGTCTCTACAAACCATAGAGAAATTAGCTGGGTGTGGTGGTGTGCGCCTGTAGTCCCAGCTACTAGAAAACTAGAAAAGCTGAAGTGGGAGGATGGCTTGAGCCTAGGAGGTTGAGGCTGCAGTGAGTTGTATGAGTGTGCCGCTGTACTCCTGCCTGGGAAACAGAGCAAGATCCAGTCTCAGAAAAACAAAAAAAAGTACAAAATGTTTGCATTGTTAGCAGTCACTTTTTTTTTTTTTTTTTGTGATGGAGTCTGGCTCTGTCGCCCAGGCTGGAGTGCAGTGGCGCCATCTCGGCTCACTGCAAGCTCGGCCTCCCGGGTTCACGCCATTCTCCTGCCTCAGCCTCTGGAGTAGCTGGGGCTGCAGACTCCCGCCACTACACCCGGCTATTTTTTTGTATTTTTAGTAGAGATGGGGTTTCACCGTGTTAGCCAAGATGGTCTTGATCTCCTGACCTCGTGATCTGCCGGCCTCGGCCTTCCAAAGTGCTAGGATTACAGGCGTGAGCCACCGCGCCTGGCCAGCAGTCACATTTTTTAACATAGTACTCTGGAGAAGGATTTTTTTTCTTCTCTAATTAAATGTATATTTTTATGACAATGCATAGAAATGCATTATGACAGCTATTTTTTTTTTGAGATAGGGTCTCACTCTGTCACCCAGGCTGGAGTGCAATGGCACAATTATGGCTCACTGCAACCTCAAGCTCTTGGGATTATGTAATCCTCCCACCTTAGCCTCCCTAGTAGCACTTAGTAGCTACTTAGCTCCTTAGTAGCACTTCCCAATGCACAGGTGTGCATTACTATGCCTGGCTAATTTTTTTAAATTTTTTTTTTGAGACAGAGTCTCACTGTGTCTCCCAGGCTGGTATCAGACTCTTGAGCCCAAGTGATTCTCCTGCCTTGGCCTCCCACAGTGCTGAGATTACAGGCATGAGCCACCACACCTGGCCAGTAACAACTTTTGAGAGTCACTGGAAACCTTCACAGGACTCCCAAAGAATGATGCAATGTCATGAGTAATATTGTGATTGACTTGAAATAAATGGTATTAGGGAGCTGCAGAGGCAAGATCAATATTCGCTCAATATTAACACAAAGAGCCATGGAATTATGAGTAATAACAAAATTGCAACCTCTTTCTAGAGGTAGAAAATATGAAATTAGGCAAGAACAGCACATTTGGCAATAAAAAAAAACCATGAAGAGTTGGTTCTTGAATTGAAATAGGAAGAGAAGGTACCTGGAGTCTAGGAAAAACCTCTACAAGTCTTCATGGGACAATAAACAAATACATATCTACTTTTTCTCTGCCCATGAGTCTAAATATGTACCAACAATCAGTACACTTCACATGGGTCCATTATTTCATAATGTATTTTTAAATCAAATGGTTTATATAATCAAGCTCCCTGCAAAAAATAACCTGCCTGCAGACAAACATGCTTTAGTGGCCTGGTGGCAGCCCTGGTCTTTAACATACATCCTTTGAAAATGGGTAAATGAAATAGCTGTAATCCAATGTGTTAAGTGATATAGCCCTCTATAAGTACTGTAGAGAAAGTGCATAAATTGCTATTGAAAACTGAGAAATTTGGCTGTAGGGTCAGAGAGAGTGGGAAAAAAAGAGATGATGTTTGAGTGAATTTTCAAAATATTCATTGATATATATATTATTTCATAAATAATGTTTATTAATGGATTCTTGAAGTTTGAAAGAATGACAAAGGTGGGATGAAAAGGTGAAGCTGGTATTTTCTTTGCAGAATGTTGTCAAGATGTTTATTACATTGAAAATAAAAGCAATAACTGGGCTTAATATGGTTGGAATATTTTGATCCAAACTATACTGTGCATCAAAGGCAAAAGTAAGTTTGTGCTGGCCAACACAAACTCAAAATAAGACAGTTCTGAATGTTTAAATGTATCTCCCTAAGGAAGATTAGTTGACCAAAAATAACTTAATTATCACTCTTTAAGAGGTGGCTTGGAATAAATAATCCATTGAGAGGGGGAAAAAGTATCCTTTTGAGTTTATGATGTAAAAGGAAGATAAACCTTATTCATGGCTCTAAATGGCATAGCATCAGTTTTTTAAAGCAAGGTTCCGAAGTAACCCGTAGTAAAGAACAAAACTACTGCCTGGTAGCTAACAGCTCTGAGTGTGGCAGCCTTAGTCCATATCATACAATCACATCTCCGTTTTCACACATATCAGATGTGAGACTATTGAAAATTACTTAATCACTCAATGCCTTATCTGTAAAATGGATATAGTAGTACCTATCTCAAAGAATTGTTAAAAAAGATTGGTTAGTATCTGTAAATTGTTTGGATCACTTTCTAACATATATAAATGAATCATAAATGTCACTTATAATTAATCTTATTAACTCTGAAAACTCTGGTCATCAAGCAAATTTGCTGGGTTGTAGAAGACCAGGAGTCATTAATACTATAGTTAATGTAAGCTGTGTAAGCCACATCCTTCATGTGGGGATAAATTCCAAGACTTCTATTATCTTCTGCAGCTGGGTCCTAAATGGGAGATGGTAGGTAGTAGAGTGGAAGGGCCAAGCGTGCACGGCAGATTGTGTCGTTACAATTTTGCCTTTTTACAGAGATTTCTCTTCTGTTAAAAATCCTCACACAATAAACAAAATCAAATTTAATTTCCAAAAATAAAATTTCACATGGATGTCAAGTTTAAATGTAACAAGTTTCAAGAAGAAAATATTGTAAAATATCTAAATGAAAAGATTGACACAATGAAGAAAGTGAAAATGGAAGCCACAGTGTGGGAGCATATACGTTCATACATGGACAAGTGGTTGATTCATGTCCAGAATAAATAATTCCTACTAATCAATAAGAAGAGAAAGAAAATAAATATGTATACACATACACAGATATACAATATGTATGTGTGTATATATATGTGGACAGGGTCTTGCTCTGTCACCCAGGCTGTAGTGCAGTGGCTTAGAACATGGCTTAGTGCAGCCTTGACCTCCTAGGCTCTCACCTCAGCCTACTGAGTAGCTGGTACTACAGGCACATGCCACCAAGCCCGACTAATGTTTTATAGAGATGAGGTTTCACCATGTTGCCCAGGCTAGAAACAAATATGAATCAACAATATGATACTGGAAAATAATCCAGAAACAAAAGCACATGCTATGAGATTTTACTTATATAAACTTCAAAAAGCAAAAGCAAAAAAAAAAAGTGGAAAGCAAGACAATCTAAGGTCTTTTGATGTTGGATAATGGTTACTTTTGTGAAACGTATTCATCTGGCATGAGCATACGTGGAAAAGTTTCAGGTGTTGGTAATGGTCTATTATTTGGTTGATTACACAGCTTTGTCAACTCTGAACATTCATTTGACTCTATATATTTGAATTTTGTAGTTTTTTGTAATAGGTTATAAATCAATAAAAGGTTAATTTCTTTTTTAATTTTTGGTGTTGGAAACGGCTTTATTTGGTGGAACATCGTGGATTGAATAGAGATAACAGGTAGAGACTGAAAATTACCAAATAGTGTTTTGCAAGGCAGGACAAGCATTGTACATTTCAGCAGAGGAAGCATCAAGGGCTAAATATGATGGTAGAAATGGTGAGCTCTGGGTGCAGCAGAGCTCTGGGTCCCTGGACAAAAGGGAGATTCAAGAAAAGTTTTGAATAAATTAATGAATGTCTAGGGGTGAGAAAAAGTATGATGTTTCCAAGAAGAACAAGTAGTTGTATGTACTGAGATACTGAAAAGAGAATAATTGTTTAATTGTTACTTAAAACTAATTTATTCTAAAAAAAAACAGATACTGACTTTTTGTTACTGAAGAGCTGAAAGGTAGAAATTCAGTGGTGATAAAGGAATAAGCTTTGATTTATAGTGTGATAAGTTAAATTTTGAGCCAGAACTCAATCTTACCTTTGGAAGAGCCTAATCCAGAAAATGATTTTATATAAGAAAATCATATG
Organism: Homo sapiens; assembly: GCF_000001405.40. Taxonomy (NCBI): domain Eukaryota; kingdom Metazoa; phylum Chordata; class Mammalia; order Primates; family Hominidae; genus Homo; species Homo sapiens. Next base: position 52,852,745 of record NC_000017.11, on the reverse strand, counting down.
TAAAAATTCAAAATAAACATTTTTATACAAACTTACTGTGCCTAGGAAGTCATCTCTGAAATATATTCTCAATTTACCCTAATAATAATCTGTGGTGACAGCTAATAGTTAATCCAACTTTAGAGGTCTCAGTTTATTTTGGCAGTATGTTGAGGCTCACAGAGCTGGTTGGTAGCAGATACAGGAAAGAAATTTAGATATAATATCCTCTTTATGCTCTTCCCAATAAGTTCATGGTATAAAATAAGAGGTCAAGTATTCATAAAATCAACCTTTGTACATGAGTGGTTTTTCATAATCAGGGATTGAGGTAACTTTAGTAACTATGACACAGAATTGAAAAGCCAAAAGAAAACTGAATGCAATATATTGTTAATTACTATGGTCACTATGTTGTACTTGAAAAATGCTAAGACAGTGGATGTTAAGTGTTCCCACCAGAAAAACATTAACTATGTGTATTAACTGTGTATTGTATATATAAATTAGCTAGACTTAGTCATTACACAATGTATATATATTTCAAAACATCATGTACATGACAAATACATATAATTTTATTTATTAATTACAAAATAACTAAAAAGAAAACAGCTACAGACATTTAATTGCATAAAACTGAAAAAAGAAACTGCACAGCAGAAACATCAGAAGCAAGTTAAAACAGCAAACTGCAGAAAATGCTTATTTGTATTACAAATAACATTTACAATAGTCTAACAGCTTTTAAAAATGGAAGGAAAATTATCAAGTACTTAGAGAGAATGTGCTGGGAATCTTAATAAAACCTTCATAGAAGAAATGCAAATCGAACTTACACATATAAAATATGCTAAACCTCATTTATAATAAGATAGATGTAAATTAATACTTCACTGAGATAGATTTCTCCCATCTCAGATTAGCAAAAACTCAAAAGTTTGATAATTGACTTAGTTGACAAAGCTTAAGAAAATGAATTCTCAGATATTGCTATTGGGAATGTAAGCTGTTACTAGTCTTATGGAGAGGAATTGGCCATATATTAAAAAATTATTTAGGCAAAATTATGCAAAGGCAATTTAATGAACCAATAGTTATAGTAACAAAATACTCAAAACATCCCAAATGTCCACCTACAGGGGACTCATTGACTAAACTATGAAATATCCATGAAATGCAATTATGAGAAAATCAAGCTGGAAAAATTAAATGAGATATCTCTGTGTACAATAAAGTAAATGATATTCAGCATGTAAGGCTAAGTGAAAAAGAGATTGAGGCAAGTGTATGTAATATTTTACCATTTAAAAATATAATATAAACATATATATGTTTGTGCTGTATGTTTGTGTGTAAAGAGATGGTACAGAGATAGTTCCAGAAAACATTACAAAATAGTAACGTTAAATGTAATATTAAAACAAACTTTTTATGTATAAGGAAAGAAAGGCAACAGGGCAACCAGAACAGCTATAGAAACCAAACTCCTCTCAATATGTATGTTGTTATATAGATCTTCCTTGAAATTAGGTGCATTTTCCATAATTTCAAAACAGAATTAGCTTTTCACAAAATTCCTAAAAAACAGAAGCAAAACCAAACAGGTGTATGAATTGTGAATCAAGTTGGTGTCATAATCATTAAAGAGGAACAATTCCAAATGCTCATAAAACACCATAATTTGACTGTATATATCAAATGAGGTATTTCATAAGGGGTATATGCTGATAAGGACAAAAGCAAGTGCAAGAAGTATTTTAAATTCTCAGTCATATTGTTGTGAGTGGTATTATTTTTATTCTGAGACAATAGTGTGTACCTTATGGCTAAAAGAAATGAATAATTCTTCTGGCACTTTTGACAACTGTGATTTTGGGATGGAAGAAATGAAATAAAGATGGAAGATGGAAGAGGTTAAGTAATAACCTTGATACAGAGTTTGAATGAGAAATATCAATATAAATTTACGAAGCCTTTAACTGGAAATAAAAATGCATGTAACCCATCTATATCCACTGAAAAGTCACAGGAACAATGACTGACCCACTGGCAATATTTAACCATGATTTTGTCTCCAACTTTTATTTAATGGTAAAAGGAACCAGGAAACCTTGCAAATATTTAACATTAGGTCTAAGGCAGAAAATGCAGGAGATGCACATTAAGTATCTTTTGTCATATAGAAGACAAGAAACCTTTCAAGTATTATTTTCTGTGGAGTTAAAAGTATACAGGAGTAAATTACAGCTCCACTTGGCCAAAGCTGAGTCATTTCGATCATTGAAATTGACAATAACTGCACTAAACTGAAATATATAAACTGTGTTTAAATTCTTGAGTAAACAGTGATAGAAATAAAAGAAAAAATCTAGAAGGCACATCTTCGGAGGATTCTAGGAAAGTGACTTATTTTGAAAACCAATAAATAAAAGTAAAAAAAAAAAAACTTTTTACCTTGATTTTCCATAAAATCCATAAGTGAGGTACCCATGATGTTGAAGAGTGGGGGGTTTTCTTAGAGAACTATTTGACTTAATAGATGATGAAAGCATGATTGTATCAGACAAGCACAATTTTCCCTAGTGGAAAAGTAGAGCTAGGCAATGATCACCAATGGCTGCTTGTATCATACAAAGAAGGGCCAGACATCATGTCTCTCCTAATGAAAGTATTTTTGAAAGAGAGAAAGAGAAAAAAGAGTCAACCCAGAGTCAACCCAAAATCTGATCAAGCCTTAAGCCTCAAGATCTAAATACCAATTTACAGGAAATGTAGAGAACAAATAAAACCATTCATTGACATCACAGTAATGCAATCAGCACAATCCAGTTTATGGAAAACTGTGGAACAAACTCAGTTTCATCAATAAATCAATTACAAATAAGACAATAAATCACGGAGGATGAACTCATAAATTAAAAGACACTTGAGAAATCTCAACTAATCATTATAAATAGACCTTCCTGAATTGTGTTTAAAATAAAGGGTGTGTGTGTGTGTGTGTGTGTGACAATTTAAAAATTTTGAATACTGACTGGGTACTTGATGATATTAAGAAGTTATCCTTATGTTAATGACAATAAGTATGTTAGCTATTACAAGTATTGTGATTATATTAATGAGAACCCTTACCTTTGAAAAATATCTACAAATATATTTATGAGTGATATTGATGTCTGTAAGTTCATGTTTCTGGATAAATATGATGTCTCAGGTTTGTCTAAAATATCTGTGCTCAGAAGTGATTGGGAGTAGATATGAAACAAAATAGAGCATGAATTAAATGTACATAAGGGTTCACTGTACTAGTGCCTACCCTTTCATAAATATTTTAAATTTTCTACAATAGAAAGTTAAAATACATATATAGTTTTATTCTAATAATATCTATAAATATTCCGTGGCATTTTAAGAGCACTGGTGTTTAAAGAGTCATATCCCATAGAATCTAAATCAAGCACTCCTCTATGAGATCTCTTGCAAAGTGACAGTGTACAGTTTCCAAGTTTCTTTCCATTTGTCCAAAATCATTTGCAGAAATGAAATAAGAACTATCTCAACCATTCTTCAATTTAATTTTACTTTCATTGTCTTCCCAACTCTATTTTTGTTGAACTATCAAACAAATTCTGTTTCATAAGGTAGGAGAATAATTTAATCTAAGTATCAAGCAGAAGCCAATGTGAGTGTCCCTGATCTCAAATTAGAATGATGTGCCTGTTTTTCCTTCATGAAAAAAATAATGGATCAATACCAACATGAAAATTTTGTCTAAATCAGTCATGGCCTAGCCATGCCTTTTCTCCGTTAAGAAGTTTCTTTATGGATGATTCTTTAGTATAAAGCTGTGAGTTTGTAATAAGGATTAATTGAGTCAGTCACACATAAAAACTCACTCTATCAGATTATCTAGTAAATTCTAGCATCAAATAATCTTCTCTTACAAGAATTAAAGACTAGAGAGTTTGACATTTATTACTAGAATGATTGATTCTTTTGTGGAGATTTAAAAACACTATTCTTGCTCAGCTTTTTACTAATTTGGAAAGCTATAGAGCTTCAGATGTTGGGTCTTAAATCCAACTTTTCAATACATAAGAAGTTACATTTAAAGAGGAAGAATCATTATGGAAAAGAAATTTTTGCTGGGCTGGGTGTCTCATGTCTGTAATTCCAGCACTTTGGGAGGCCAAGGCAGGTGGATGACCTGAGGTCAGTAGTTCAAGACCAGCCTGGTCAACATGGAGAAACCCTGTCTCTACTAAAAATACAAAAATTAGCTGGCATGGTGGTGCACACCTATAGTCCTACCTACTCAGGAGGCTGAGGCAGGAGAATCACTTGAAGCCAAGAGGCAGAGGTTGCAGTGAGCTGAGATTGAGCCACTGCACTCCAGCCTGGGTGACAGAACAAGACTCCATCTCGAAAAAAAAAGGAAAATAAGAAAGTAAATTTCTTATCAAAAGTAGCCCTTTGATTTTTAATGCATTTTGGCTTTAAGGGAAACAGTAAAGCATCTTGTGGGCCTTTCTTATTCATGCTGAGATTATCTGGAGGAATTAAATATATGTGAAAATCTCCCTTTTTACAAAATTTGAGGGCTTTGGGGAAATCTCAAAATCTCCTAAATTTTGAGAATGGCATATATGCAAAATAAGGAATAAAGCAACTTACCAAAGAACTATTACTTTGTTAATTGGAAACAATAAGATCAGGTTTTGAGCTGCAATGTTTTCTCCACCATTTTACCAGATTTATTTCCCTATTTAATTAAGGATTATATATATGTCACTCTTGTTTATAATTTTCTTTAAAAATATCGAAGTTTTACTTTGACCATTCATTTAGAGCTAACTTGCTTTTCTTCTGTAAACATTTTCCGACATATTTGTACATGTATTAGGGTATATATAAAAATGAAAAAGAAATATAGTTATCCATCAGAATCCATAGGGGATTTGTTCCAGGATCACTCCCCATACCAAAATCTGAAGATTTTCAAGTCTCTTATATGAAATGGCATAGTATTTGCATATTACCTACACACATCTTCTTTAAGTCATCTTTAGATGATTTGTAATACCTAATGCAATGCCTACACATTACTTCATTCATGAGGATTCAACAGCAAATTCAAGTTTTGCTTCTTGGAAATTGGACTTTCTTTTCCTCCCAAATACTTTCTATCTCTGGTTGTTGAATCCAAGGATATGGAATCCACAGATATGGAGGGCAGACTGTATATCTCCACTGACATAACGTAAGAAGCAGGTAGAGTGATCTACCTCTATGAATTGAATAATGCAAGCTTGATTTTCAAAATGTAAGTAGAGCTTATAACACTGGTGGTTACAAAGTTTAAAATAGAAATGGAAATAGCCTATCATGACTGTAGTCTTCAAAGTAAGAGTATATATGTGCGTGTAGAATTGCTTCTGCCTAATGTGAGTAAATTTGTCCTAATGTAGATAGGTAATCATGTGAATTACCAAATGACAATTCTCCAGAATTTGGGCATTCAATAAATTAGTTAAAAGTAATAAGATTATTAATTTTAACTTTAGTAGATCAAGGAGAAAAAAAGGCCATGAGATTTTATTTTTTCATTTTTCTCAGCCTTTCAAAATTATCAGACCTAGGTTCTCAATAAAAGAATTTCACAGGCCAGGCGCGGTGGCTCATGCCTGTAATTCCAGCACTTTGCAAATCTGAGGCAGGCAGATCACTTGAGGTCAGGAGTTCCAGACCAGCCTGGCCAACATGGTGAAACCCCATCTCTACTAAAAATACAAAAGTTGGCTGGGCATGGTAGCAGGTGCCTGTAATCCCAGCTACTCAGGACGCTGAGGCAGGAGAATCACTTGAACCTGGGAGGTGGAGGTTGTAGTGAGCCAAGATCACACCATTGCACTCCAGCCTGGGGGACAAGAGCCAAAAAATAAAAAATAAAAAAAATAAGAAGAATTTCACAAGTGAAACTCAGTTGTGTAATAAGAGATATTTCCATTTCAATGATTAGATATGTCACTTACAAAGTGAATGAAATTTTGGCCATTCATTACCACTCGGCTTCTCAGCCATTTTTTTTTTTTTTTTTTTTTGAGGTGGAGTCGCAATCTGTTGCCCAGGCTGGAGTGCAATGGTGTGATCTAGGGTAACTGCAACCTCAGCCTCCCGGGTTCAAGCTATTCTCCTATCTCAGCCTCCCAAGTAGCTGGGATTACAGGTGCATGACATCATGCCCAGCTAATTTTTGTATTTTTAGTAGAGACGTGTTTCACCATGTTGGCCAGGCCGGTCTCGAACTCCTGACCTAAGGTGATCCTCCCACCTCTGCCTCCCAAAGCGCTAGAATTACAGGCATGAGCCACTATGCCTGGCCCTGTCTCTGCCTTTTTTGATATGACTTTGCAGTTCCTCTTGCTAGAGGCAGAGATTACATCTCTGCTCACCAATGTTGAATCAATTGTGAGTAGAAGTGACAGTGGGCCAGCTTGGGTCCAAATTCCCTAACTCATTGCAGGTCTGTACTCACTCCTTTTCCACTTCTTCTGTGCTTGTAAGAACATGCACTGAATAATCTATAGGCCCAAAAGAGTGAGAGACATATGAAGCTCCTGTGAAGCTATTCTTGGCTTGCCGCTAAACTCAGCCAACTGCAACCAATTCAGATGCACTAAAGCCAAGCCTCAATTGCATAAATAAAACAAAAACAAAATATAATTATTATTTGAGATTTTTTTGTTATGCAGCATAACAGTGGCAAATGCTGACTAATCCAGGCATTGGTTATAGAACTAAGACATTGTTATGAGATAAGCCTGAAATGTGTTATAGTTGCTGGGGACAGAGCAGGAGAGGAAAGAAACCACTATCTGATGCTGAGAAACACATTATCTATAAGTCTTGATTTCCCTTTTGGCAAAACTGGGAAAAATAGAACTATTTCATAGATACAGTATAAATATTTAACTGGATAATGTATGTCAGCTGCTTAGCCAATGCTTGGCACATACAAATTATACTCAACAAATGTTAGTTTTAGACATTTTTATAATTGCTATGTGCAACATTCACAGACCTCTTAAGTTTGCATTTCAGGAATGACTTTAAATATCCTAAAAGCTGTGAAACAAAATGTAAAAAAGAAAATAAGCAGCACCTTGCTCATCAACATATCATAACTTATCAAATTATTCCAGCTCAGATCTTCTCCTAATCCATTCATTTCCCTGACAACAATGCAAAAGGTTCTTTTAAGCTAACAACTATTAAATTTTTAACACATGCCAGTAAACATACTGAAAGAGTATTAATATGAACCCACAGTAATCTCATCAAGTAGGTATGATGTTTTATTTCCATAATTATTATTCTTCTCAGTTGATGGGTGAGGAAACCAAGACACAGAAAGCAAGGTAACTTCCTCATAGTTAACACTCCAATAGGGGAAATGACTACAATTTGAACCCAGGATCATCTGGTTACACAGCCCTTGCTCTTGTCCATTATGCTTTGCTGAAGCTTCCTGGAGCACAGAGGTTCTATCTGGTAGCACAACAGGTGATTATGGTCAGCAATAATTTATTGTACATTTTTACATAACACAAAGAGTGGAATCAGAATGTTTCTAACACAAAAAATATGACAAATACTTGAGATGATGGATACCCCAATTACTCTGATGTGGTTTTTACACATTGTATGCCTGTATCACAACATCACATGCACCCCATGAATATATACACATTATGTACCTCTAATAACTAAAAAATATTAAAAATAAATAATCTGGGGCAAGGTGTGGTGGCTCACATCTGTAATCCCAGGGCTTTGGGAGGCCGAGGCAGACGAATCACGAGGCCAGGAGTTTGAGACCAGCCTGGCCAACATTTCACATGGCGAAACCCTGTCTCTACTAAAAATACAAAAAAATTAACTGGGCATGCTGGCAGGCGCCTGTAATCCCAGCTATTTGGGAGGCTGAGGCAGGAGAATCACTTGAACCTGGGAGGCAGAGGTTGCAGTGAGCTGAGATCGCAGCACTGCAATCCAGCCCAGGCAGCCATGCGAGATTCCATCTCAAAAAAAATAAATAAAAATAAATAAATAAATAAATAAAATAATCTGGTTAGAACTAGAAACTAACTGCAGAGTTTTGGAAATATGCCCATACCCTGGCCTACCCTCCATAGATTCTGACTTCATTGATCTGAATTGGGACCAGAGATCTTTACTTTAAAAAAATAAAACAAAAACCCCAGGTCATTCTGGAACATAGCTGTGATTGAAACATCCCACCTACAGGAATGAAACACTACGGTATAGTGGGTAAGACCTTGACTACAGCATTCACATCCGTAGATTTGAATCCCAGCTCTGCTTCCTGGACATATTTTGTTCCTCGATTTCCACAACTGTAAAATGGAGATTATGACTGTAACTACCTCAGATAACTTAATATTTGTTAAGTGTTTAGAACAGAATCTGGATATAGTAACTGCCACATTGATGATTGTTAAATAAAAAGGGCAGGCAATGGAAACAGAAATAACTTGGTTTAAATGGACATAACTCCAGCTGTTGCTCTATGCCATATACTTCTCACCTCCAAAATGACACTTATTGAGGGTCTTCTTTATCTCTCTCTCTTCCTCCTTTTTTCACTTATTTTATGTGAGTTTAATGTAATTTAATTTTAGCTACAGTTTTCGAGCAAAAATATGTAGCACTGCTGGTAAGTCCTTTTCTAATATTTGAAATGTACTGGGAAATTTGAACGCTGACCTTTGAAGGCTGAAAGAATTCCTAGAAGTTTTAACTTGTAGAGTCATTTGTAAGTGGCTCACTTCATTCTCACCATTCAAAGACCAGAAAGGCAGTACAAGTCAAACATTTTTTAGGGGGTTAGTTAACTCACACATGGCTTTGTAAACACAAGAGACCAATACGGAGAGGATGTAGAACTTAGGATCCCTTGAATTTTATTCAACTCATTTCTAATCAACTTATTCAGAAAACAGCACAATAACAGATTGTCGCTGAAATACAATAATTCTGTTCTTCAGGGAAAGTTTGTATTGAGCTATATAGTTTTTTTTTTCTTATAAAGGAAAATACAAGAACTGATATTATCCAGGTCTGGGCAACTTTCCAGTAAAAGTTGCTGAGACAGGATAATCTGTGATGGCTTTCATTTCTGTAGAGGTAGACAATTTCAATTTTGAAAGTATCTGCAAAAATAAAGGGGGGCACACTATTTCCTAATTTGATTTGGAAGACTAAAAACTTTCTAACTCCATGCTCAGTGCTTTTCCCAGACAATCTATTTGAAATGGTCCAATACAAATAAAGATAATCAGTTAAGTCTTGTGTTTTACTGAATTTTTTTCAGGCATTATTTCCACAAGCTTTCAACATACTGTTTTGTTATGGCCCAATTTCCTATACTGCATCACGTTGTTTTATAAATATTTATCCAGATTTTGTTTTCCCCAAGGAAGTACAACCTTCTTTAGGTTTATGTCTGTGTCTTTTTTAGATATAAACTAATGCATATGTGAGTTTCTGTGCTGTGTGGTGAGATAGCACATTTTTTCTTCATAAAGATAAATTATTGTTAGGTAAAGCTTGAAGGTGGCTGAGAAGGGAATAGGAAAATGTCATGAGGAAATCAAGGGAAGAAGAATACAAACTCTTATCTGTTTTACCAGCAAGACTTTCTAAATGGACTCAGGTTTTTCTAACCAAGATTCACATGCAAAGTCAGGGTAAACAACACTTCTGAGATAAATAATACTGCATGCTTGGAAGAGTTAGGGCTGTCAGGGCAGTCCCTGCACTGAGTTAAGTTATTGACACAGAAGTAAATTTGAGAGAGCTACACTGAGGAGGCAGCAGCTGCTGAACCCTCTGCTGCTCAACCAGCTGCAATCCCTAGGGAACTGAGTGCATATAAAGAAATATGATGCCCCCCAACCCCCCAAAAAACCAATCTGGAATAAACCATTCTTAATCAAGTGTAACACCAAGGAAGGTGTCATCCTGTCTTTCCCTTGAAGAACTACAGGGGAAAGACAATTGTCTTCACTAATGGCAGTGAGAAGAAGAGTATGACCAAGTTTGGCCACAACATATGATAGCAGGTTCTTATGTATTTGTGACCTGGTAAGTGCAGAAGATGTGAACAGTGACAATGCTTTGGTGTGCAGGGTTTAGCCATGACACCAGGCTTTGGCACTACAGACTAGAAAGGGCAGCATTCTGGAGGAGCCAGAAGGTAGTAGCAAAAGTAGAGATCTTTTATAGTCCCGTTTTCAAGGCACTGGTATTTTGGTTTCTTGTTTTTTTGTTTTTTGTTTTTGTTTGTTTTTATGTTGTTTATTTTGTTTTTGAGATGGAGTCTTATTCTGTCACCAGGCTGGAGTGCAGTGGCACCATCTGAGCTAACTGCATCCTCCGCCTCCTGGGTTCAAGTGATTTTCCTGCATTAGCCTGCAGAGTAGCTGGTATTACAGGTGCCCGCCACCATGCCGGACTAATTTTTGTGTTTTTAGTAGAGACTGGGCTTCACCACTCTGGCCAGGCTGGTCTCGAACTCCTAACTTCAGGCGATCTGCCCGACTCCGCCTCCCAAAGTGTTGGGATTACAGGCGTGGGCCACTGCGCCCGGCTGACGCTGTTATTTTTGACAAAATTAAGTATTTCGGTGTTACATTGCTGCAGATGCAAATACAGAGGTATTTTTTGTTTTGCTTCTGGTTTTTTTTTTTTTTTTTGCTTGTTTGTTTTTATTTCCAGGCTTCCCTGGTGTCCCTGGCAGTACCAGGCTTCTTATCTCGGCAAGAACAGTATTCATGGATTCTGTAGAGAGCCCACTATAAGATGTAAGCTGGTAAGTCCATGGATATCAAGGGATGTATCTGAGCTCCAGATGTATTGGCAATGAGACAGGATTCCTGAGCATCACAAAAAGATTCAATAGATATATTGACTCTCTACATACTCATATTTCTGGAGATACACATTGAATATTTTATGCAGAAAAAACTTGGCAATACCTTGCTTACTTTAAAATACTTAGTTGCTTAATGATCCTTTTAGTTCTGTGGATCAGATATTCATGAAGAACATGGCAGGACCACTCAGGATCTTCTGCCTGGCCCGGTTAGCACCTCCATCCTAATCTTAGTTCTCCATTTTTCTAGCTAGTCCAATCCCTGAATTTATTGTCTCAGATGTCTCTATCTTTCCAAATAATCCACCAATATCTAAACTCATTCCTCTTCTCTTTTTATTCCCTATTGTTTTTACTACCATAAGACATCATTTTCAAATTAAATAACTAATATACCTAATATAACAAGGAAATTTGAGCTAATTATCTATTTTCATACCAAAATATTACATGTGTTAATTTTATTTTTGGGTAAATCCGTCTCTAGCTCTTCCACAGAAATTAAGCACACTATTTTGTTGTTGTTTTATTAACAACTTTAGCTTTTAGAGCAGTTTTAGGTTCACAGCAAAATTGAGAGAAAGGTACAGAGATAGCCTACATGTACTTTTCCTCTCACATGCACAGCCTCTCCCTTTATCAAATCTCCCACCAGAGTGGTACATTTGTTACAATCGATGAACCTACACTGACATATCATTATTGCCCCAAGTCCGTAGCTTACATTAGCATTCACTTTTAGTGCTGTACATTCTATGGGTTTGAAAAGCAGAAAATGGCATACATCCATTATTATAATTATTACACAGAGTATTTTCACTGCCCTGGAAATTCTCAAGCATGTGTTTTTTTTCTTTAATATTCTCATTACTCCTTGTATATATTGTAATAATAGTACTCATGATATATTGTAATGCATATTTGTTTCCTATTAAACGTTTCTTAAAAGTACAAACTGCGTTTTTTATTTCAGTACTGACTGCATTTAACAAAGACAATTTATAGTGAGATTTTGAGAGTAGTCATTGAATAGTCATATTATTTAGAGTTTGTGGATACACTGTCATTTGTCAATAATAGCTTCCCTTTCATATCATACCAACAATGTTAGCAGCCCAGAAGAGACGGCTGATGTTTTGAAGGCCAGTCAATAAAAGTTATTAGTCACTTTTCAAATTCCATAAACTGCCTTAGAGATTACCCAGATTACATGATAGCTGATTCAAGGTACCTCCAGGTATTGGAGGATCACAAACATATATTTCATATAATCAAGGAGACCTTCCTTAAGAAAAAAAAAATTAATGCAAATTTGGTGCAGAGTCTTTGAAGGAGCCCATGTCTATTCTTCACAGTCAATTTATTCTTTCTGGTATGTGTATAGTTATCTTTACTGAACAAGATTGAAATGTATTTCCACAAATTTTACTGAGTTTCAGTATAAAAAATAGTCATATATGGAATAAAGGAGTATTTTGTTTTGAGGGGGATGAGTAAAACTATTACAAATATCCTTTATTTTTATTTAAACTCCCTTATATGAAGACCTACTGGGAATTTTATTTTTCTTCAGAGCCCAGCCCAAGATACAGCCTGATTTTAATTTATAAACTCATCTGTATCTTGCTAATCAAAAATGAGAACTTTATGACCCACCAAGTTTCTTCAGTTTTTAGCTGTTAAGAAACTGGGACGCACATAATAGATTTAATTGTCATCACTCTTAATAGCCTTGGTTTTCTGAATTTTATTTTTCTTCTCCTTCTTCCATTTTGATTACTTGGATTTTCATCTTTTATTCTTTTTTTTTTAACCAAAGTTTTTCCATCTTACTGCATCTATATTTATGTGTAAGATACCTCCGATCACCTGGTATAAATAAATAAGTAAAGTCTGAATTATTCACCTAGGAACCTAGAAGCTGAAGAAAAGAACAGGTAGAGATGAAAAAGATAGGACTCTCTAGAGATGGTAAATAAGGACCGAGCTATTGAACTTTCACACTTCCATTCCCTATCTGTATTCACTCAGCAAAAATCAGAAATACTTGTTTCTCCCTCTTGTAATGGGGAGACGTAGGGTCAGTGTGAGAGACAAGGGGTAAGGTTAGCCTACCTGGTGTGATTCTTGCAAGGTCAAGGCTAGCAGCAAAATGTACCTTAACAGGAGTTGCAAAGAAGCTGAAACTGGGTACACAGGAAGCTGAGAGTCCAAATGGGTTAGGAAGGGTTGAAGAGGTCACTTAGACAGAGAAGAATGTGCCAAGACAAAATAGAAGTCAGAAACGGGTATCTGAAACCAAAGATGTCAGAAGGAAAAAGGAAAAGTTGAAAGAGTGAGGAACAGAGGAAGAGATGGTCTTGGACTGGCTGCAGTCAATGACACACATTCACTTTCTCATCTGTCTCCTGTGATACAGGGACAGCTTGGCAATCTTTCCAGGACTAGTTTAAGGGCAGACTCAGGAGACAGTGTCCACATGGTTTTCAGAGTCCATAGTGGCATTATTCCTAAGAGAAATTAATTTCAATATTTACACAAACTCAGAAAAGCTTTGAGAATTAGTAATGATTTAGGTTGTCAGAACATTATGTTCTTCAACTTCATCTGCTTTACAAGACTTCTTTGATAAATCCAATTTATCTTCCTGGGCTGCATCAAGCTTACCTGGGCTTCTTGTGCATTAGGGAAATTATGTTTCCAGTAATTCCATATCTACCTTGCTGCCACAATTATTTGGTCAGTATCCTAACCACAAAAACTGTGCCTAATCTTTAGTATTGCGTCTAATTGTTAGGTAAAATTCCTATACGACCAACATTTTATTTGTTTTATTTTATATAGTGGTTTAAGAGACCACATTGACATTTTCATTAATGACATGCAAGAACTCTGAAATAGAGCTATCATATAGTGCCCCCACTCCATTATTTAAGACGAATAGTTTGAGACACAGAGAGATTAAGTGACTCATCTCTAGACATGTAGCCTGAAGATTCAGGACAAAGACTCTAGTTTTCTTATTATAAGTTGAATGTTCTTTGTTTTATGTCACAGACGTTTCAATGAAGTTGTTTTGACTGGAATACCTTAAAGCTCTGACCTTATCCACTGTGATGGTTAATATTGAGTGTCAACTTGCTCAGATTGAAGGATGCAAAGTATTGTTGCTGAGTGGGTCTGTGAGGTTGTTGCCACAGGAGATTAACATTTGAGTCAGTAGACTGAGAGAGGCAGACCCACCATCAATCTGGGTGGGCACAATCTAATCAGTTGCCAGTGATGCTAGAATAAATGCAGGCAGAAGAACATGGAAGGACTAGACTGGCTGAGTCTCCTGGCGTCCATCTTTCTCCTGCGCTGGATGCTTCCTGCCCTCAAACAAGGGACTCCAAGGTCTTCAGCTTTTGGACTCTTGAACTTACATCAGTGATTTGCCAGAGGCTCTCAGATCTTCGGCCACAGACTGAAGGCTGCACTGTTTACTTCCCTACTTTTGAGGTTTTGGGACTCGGACTGACTTCCCTGCTCCTCAGTTGACAGACAGCCTATTGCGGGACTTAACCTTGTGATTATGTGAGTCAATTCTCCTAATATACTCCCCTTCATATATTCATCTATCCTATTAGATCTGTCCTGTTAGAGAACCCTGACAAATACACCCACTGTGAGCAAACAAAGCCCACTTGGGGATCCAGTGACATTACCCAATCATCTGTTCATTCACTCTATCAGTCAAAATTGATTGAGCAATCTCTGTGTGCCAAGTAGAGTATTAGTTGCTAAAGGCTGGACTTACCTGCTAATTAGATGTCATGTCTGAAACAGGAGTGTATCTTATTGCCTTTAGGATAATGGCAGAAAGAGTCAAGTGGGAAAGTCCAACCTTTGCATTCAAAATTCTACATAAAAGCAAAGCATATGATATGGTTGGTTCAGATATTAATGCCACTGTGTTCACCCAGGAAGCAAGTAAACAACGCTTGAATGCACATGGCCAGGTCTGGAAACCTCCTGATGTCAGCAACATGGAAAAGAGAATTGGCTCAGAAGCCACAGGCATCTCCCCAACATCACTGTAGCTTCTGTCAGCCTTGGTGGTGGTGCCAATTCCGACTAGTCCCACAGCTGCCTCCACCGGCTGTGCTTCTTTAAATTGTTCACAGCTTTTACTTTTGGAGAGGGTTTAGTAACAGGTGGAATTTAGACCCAAAAGTTCAGTGGATTATATCCAAATCCTTGATAGACTTAGTATATCTGATGCTAATCAGCAGACTGTTCATAAAACAATGAAGGGAGTGGATGGTGCCCTCTCTTCTCCTAGGGGGACTTCATATTTTAGGGAAAAGGGAATGGGGTGTGAAATAAGGGGGAGTCAGATCCATGATCTGACTTTGCCACTACTCTGTGGCTTTGGGCATGATTTCTGAAATCTGATCCTTAATGTTCTTATTTGGGTAAATAATTATAAGCACACACTTTTTTCTACAAGTTTGTGTTAAATGTTAAATTCATATGAATGTGGATGATGTATAACTAAGGGGAATAAAAAAGTGAGCTGCTGATGAGTATGTATAAAATTTTTAAACTGGGGGTATTGCGGGAATATAAGGAGACT
This sequence comes from Homo sapiens, assembly GCF_000001405.40. NCBI lineage: Eukaryota > Metazoa > Chordata > Mammalia > Primates > Hominidae > Homo > Homo sapiens. Next base: position 52,837,188 of record NC_000017.11, on the reverse strand, counting down.
GAGATAGAAAGTAATAGTGTGCTCTATATAATGGCATTAGGAAAAGTCTGGAAGACTCCAGACCAAAGCAGGAGTGGAGTAGTGTGGAATTGAAGGGAGCACAGGCAGGGATTTTTGCTTTGCAATTTATAAGTATTTTGAATCATGATGGGATTGTAAGTGGAGTTTTATTTTACTCTGTGTGTATGTGTATGTGTGTGTTTTCTATAAAGGGAAGTAACAAATCCTATGCAGATAGCCTTCGTGAAGAGCCTGGATCACACTACATATTCTCTATGGATAACTTAATTTTTTCCTTTTCTTAAAAGTTTTTTTTATGATGAAATTGTCATTTCTGCTTATTAACATCTTCTAAAAGAGATACCAGAAAACCATTGAACAACCTTTGGAGTAGGCAACATGTAGGACCCAAGATTTTGAGGAACCAGAACACACTCCTAGGAAAGGGAGTTACTACCATTGTTTAAAATAATCATTTCCTGGTTGTGTACTGTGGGAGCCTATTCACTTCTTGTTCTCCCAAGAAGCCTCAGAGTAAAATGGAAAGAAGAAATAATTTGAAATCAAAATAGCTATGTTCTGGCCCTGGCTCTACAACTGAACATTTGCAAGTCACAGAACCTATGCATCCTAATATGCCTAATCAGAACAGTTGGTTGGTTTTTCTTTTTTTCTATGTTGTTATGTAAATTTAATAATGAAATTAATAAAATTTAAATATTGCAAATGTAATTTGGTCTCTAACTTTATATGGAAAGTTTTGTATGTAGCAATAATATTAATGTTTTCTAATATTCTCTCCTCCACATCTATTTTTTGTTAATTTTTAAGTTTCATAGGTACAAGGTAGGTAGATATATTTATGAGGTACATGAGATATTTTGATACAGGAATGCAATGTGTAATAATCACATCAGAGTAAATGGAGTATCCATCACCTTAAGCATTTATCATTTCTTTGTACTACAAAGATTCCAATTATATTCTTGTAGTTATTTTTAAATGTACAATAAATTATTTTGACTGTAATTATCCTGTTGTGCTATCAAATATTAGATCTTATTCATTCTATCTAACTACATTTTTGTAACCCTTAACCATTCCCACTTCCCCATACCCACAATAAGGACTTTTGTTGCAGCTGTGATCTCATTAGTTGCTCTTGGTTTATTCAGGTTTTGCAGTTTTGTCATGGCTCAACCTCGGTAGTTTGTATGTGTCTAGAAACTTATCCATTTATTCTACATTTTCAAATTTTTTTGCCTATAGTTGATCAGAGTAGTTTTCAATGATCCTTTGAATTTCTGCTGTATCAGTTGTAATGTTTTCTTTTTAGTCTCTGATTTTATTAGTTTGGGTCTTCTTTCTATTTTAAATAGTCTGGCTAAAGTTTTGTCAATTTTTTCTTTTCAAAAAAAACCCAGCTTTCCATTTTGTTGACTTTTTGTATTTTATTAATTTAAATTTTATTTGTTTATGCTCTGACTTTCATTATTTCTTTTCTTTTACTAATTTTCCATTTGATTTGCTCTTGCATTTCCAGTTCTTTAAGATGTGTCATTAGGTTACAGTAATTTGAACTTTTTCTACGTTTTGGATGTAGGTGCTTTTTGCCATACACTTTCTTCTTAGTACTGTATTTGCTGTATTCCATTGATTTTGGTATGTTGTGTTTCCAATATCATTTGTTTCAAAGATTTTCAAAATTTTCTTAATTTCCTTATTGACCCACTGGTTATTCAGGAGCATATCGTTTAATTGGTGTGGGTTTGTATAGTTTTCAAAATTCCTCTTGTTATTGATTTCTGGTTTTATCCCATTGTGGTCAGAGAAGATATTTGATATAATTTTAATTTTTTGAATTACTTTAAAACTTGTTTTGTGGCCTAAAATGAGGATATCCTTGAGAATGGTCTATGTGCTGAGGAGAAGAATGTGCATTCTGCAGCCCTTGGTTGAAATGTTTTGTAAATATCTTCCAGGTCGATTTGGTATACAGTGCAGACTAAGACTGATATGTCTTTTGATTTTCTATCTGGATTATCTGTCCAATGGTGAAAGTAGGGTGCTGAAGGCTCCAGCTATCATTTTATCAAGGTCAAACTCTTTCTTCATCTTTAATAATATTTGCTTTATATATCTGGGTGGTCCAGTGTTGGTTTCAAATATAATTGCGATTGTTGAATCCTCTGGCTGAATTGATCCCTTTGTCATTATATTATGACCTTCTTTATCTCTTTTTATATTTTTTTCTTAAAATCTATTTTGTCTCATAGAAGCATATCTACCTCTGCCCTTTTCTGGTTTCCATTTGCATGGAATATCTTCTTCCATCTCTTTATTTTTAGTCTATATGTGTCTTGGTGTGTTTCCTAAAGGCAACAGATTATTGGACCTTATTGTTTTATCTATTGAGCCACTTTGTGTCTTTTAACTGGAGAGATTAATCCATTTACCTTCAAACTTATTACTCACAATAATGACTTACCCCTGCCATTTTTATGTGTTTTCTGTTAGTTTTGTGGTCTTCCCTTCCTTCCCTTTTTCCTTGTTTTCTTTCTTTTCATAAGTGATTTTCTCTGGTGGTATGTTTTAATATTCTGCTTTAGGTGTTTCTGTCTCTATTGCAGGTTTTTTATTTGAGGTTTCTATGAGACTTGCAAACAATATCATATAACCCATTATTTTAAACTGACGACAACACTAATTGCAGAAACAAACTGACAAAGAAGCAAAGAGAAAACTAATATCTCTATACTCTAATTTCATCTTCTCACTTTTTAACTCTTTGTTGTTTCTATTTATGTCTTATTATACAGTTTAGGTCTTAAAAAGTTGGTGTAATTATAGTTTTTGATAGGTTCACAATTTAGTTTTTCTACTTCAGACATGAGTAGTTTACACACTACAATTGTAGTGTTATAATATTCTGTTTTTCCGTGTACTTACTTTATCAGTGAGTTTTGTTCCTTCACTTGATTTCTTATTACTCATTAATATTTTTTTCTTTCTGATAAGAATTCCCTATAGCATTTCTTGTAGGACAGGTCTGGTGTTGATGAAATCCTTCAGCTTTTGTTTGTCTGGGAAAATGTTTATTTCTCCTTCACGTTTTAGGGGTATTTTCACTGGATATACTATTGTAGGATAAAAGGTTTTTTTCTCTTTACATTTAAATATTTTATGCCACTCTCTCCAGGCCTATAACATTTCCAGTGAGAAGTCTGCTGCCAAATGTATTAAGCTCCTTTGTATGTTGTTTCTTTTCTGTTGCTCTTTTTAGTATTTTTATTGCTGTTGTTGTTCTTGATCTTTGGAAGTTGATTATTATGTTTTTAGTCTTATTTATATTAAATGTGTTTGGAGTTCTACAACCTTCTTGTACTTAAATATTAATGTTTTTCTCCAGATTTGGAAAGTTCTTCAATATTATCCCTTTGAATACATTTTCTACCCAAATATCTCTCTCCACCTCCTCTGTAAGGTCAATAACTTTTAGATTAGCCCTTTTGAGGTACTGTGTAGATCTTGTAGGTATGCTTCATTCTTTTCTATTCTTTTTTGTTTTGTCTTTTCTACCTGTTTCAGAGCTTGTCTTCAATCTTACTAACTTTTCTGCTTGAGCCATAGCCTGAAGTCAGCAACCTTAGGAATCTACTTAGTGCTTTATTCTACTGTGGCTGAGCTGGCATCCAAGCCACAAGACAAAGTCTCTCCCACACTTTCCTCTTCTTTTTTCAAGCAGGAGGAATCTGCTTGTTTCCTCCTATTCATGGCCACCACCACCCAGGGTCCAGGGGACATACGGCCTGACTCCTGCTGATGTTCATTCATAGCCCAACGGCTCTAAAGTCAGCTTATGATGAATGCTGCCAGACTTGGAACATCCCCTTCAGGTAAGTGGGTTCTTTTCTGGCCTAGCATAAGTCCAGAAATTCTTTATAGAAGCCAAATCCTGGAATCAGGGACCACAGAAGCTTGCTTTGTGCTCTACCTTACCATGGCTGAGCTGGTACCCAAGCTGCAGCACAAAGTCCCCTTTACTTTTCTTTCTTCTTTTCTCAAGCAGAAGGAGGCTTTCCCCATGGCCACCATAGCTGGGAATGTGCTCCGCCATATCCCCAGTAATGAAACAGTGCTTGCCACCCATCGTAGGCATGCAGCCCAGAAAGATGGATGGATGGATGGAAAATTGTACATATCCAGGACATTTCTAGAAGGGAGATAGTCCTAAAAAAACTAGTAAGGGATTGGGCCTGGAGCTCCATAAATCTATGTTTACTTTTCATAAGTCTGGAGTCAGTGAAGGTAGAAGGACTTTATTATTTCAGAAACAGTTCCACAAATATTATAAATCTGCTGTATTGTAGACATTGTCTACCACTTTCCCACTATACTATGGTACTTTGTCAAAAATGTTTAATCTTGGTGGTATTTAAGTACCATTATCAGATTCTCCCATGGAGGAATGTTGTTACTAATTTAATAATTTACAGTACTAACCATTGCAATAAAGAAAATGCATTTAAACATGAGAAGTTTCTTATATAATTTGATGGGAAGAACTTTGAATTGTAGAATTTAATTTAGTGTCCCTAAGGTTTCTTTTTTTTTCCCTAACCCTTAGAATGTGAGGACCTTTTCCACATGTAGGCTAGGATGAGGTCCAAAGTTTAAAGGAGTGATTTGTGCCAGAATAGAGGAAGCTTTGACCTAAGTCATTATATAACTGATAATCAGTCCTGGTTGATGCTTGCAATTCCTCAGTCACTAACTAAAACATGTGAGTAGTCAGACTCCTGGGAAACGCTTTATAATTTAGGGCATCTATCGTAATGGTTCTTCTGGTAGCTATTGAAGGCACTAAAAGGCTTTCAACATCAGCCTGACAAATAAAATTTGTGTTTAAATTGATATTATGAAGAATGATATGATGCATGGCTTAACAGGGGCAGTTAGGAGTTGATGTAAAATATGACGCTAGTGCCTTAAGAGACTATGGAGCTCCTTTGCAAAATTTTGCCATTTTTCATCCATGGAAATTAACTTAGTAGCCTGTATACATGTGTCAAAACTCGCATTTCCTCAACACTCACTTATAGGAAAGTTGAAACTAGGTGAAATGCAGCTTTTAGCTAAACTGACTATCTAAGGAATCATAAAATTTCTTTTAGATTATCTCAGAGGAAATCAAATAGAGCTAGTTTAAATCCCGGCTCTGGGTTGCACAAATGTGCAACATGGGGCATGTGACTTCCACTTGCTACCTCAGTTTCCACATTTGTCATGAAAGTTTTATTGTGAGAGAATTAAGTGTATGGACTATGCTATAAGAATTCTAGTGTTTGAATCCTAGCTGTTCTGCATTCTATGTAGCTATCAATATGCAACTCCTGTTGGTCACCTGTTGTATTCACTTGCCAGGGCTGTTGTAACAAAATACCAGAGAGTGGGTGTGTAGTGAATTATTTTATAGCCAGGGCCCAACTTATGATGGTTTGACTTGTAATTTCTTTACTTTACAATGGTGTAAAATGAAAACACATTCGGTAGAGTCCTGGACTTATGATGGGGTTATTTCCCAGTAAACCCATTGTATGTTGAAAACATAATATAGCCCCATTCTAAATTGAGGATCATCTATTATTTTATGTTACCTTGGAATCTATTTTAAATATGTTTAATGTTCTCATACCTGAGGCAGGTTTCATTCATCCTTTACACTGTTTCTAATTCTACACCTTCTCCCAGTTTCTCAATGTGCTGGGTCCAGATAAACCTACCTGTTTATGCCCAAATGAACATTTTGCATAGATTTCTAGTCACCCTCTCCAATTGCTTTTTTGTAACTTTCGCTACTGTAAAAGTTACCACTGTCTTATTATAATCGTGTGATTACCTTTCAACTTCTCCCAGTAGGCTATGAGCTTCTGAAAGCAAGGTTCTGTTTCTCATTTATTTTTAAATGTATTTGCTAGTCAACAAATGTTTGGTTAGTGAGTGGATGAACAACAATTGAAACCAAGACTGTGCATTAAGGCCTCTTAATCATTGTTTTGAATTTGAGAGATGGCTGCATATGGGGTGATTAACAATTATGTAGAGCCTCACCTCTGCCCAATATTTCTAGTGATTCTATTTAAACTATGATTGGAATAAAGGTTTGATGTGCAGTTTGATGTGCAGCAACAAAGAAAGTAGGAATAGATTTTTTCATATTCAATCATTCTTCAATATGAATCTGCCTAAATTACTGCATACTAGATATATCATACATTCTTTCAGATCAATTATAGTTTACTGACTAAACCTCTGGCCAGAAACTTAAGAGTTCATAGCAGGTTTGTCTTGTTTTTCTGAGTCCTCCTAATAACAGACATTGAGAAACAGAGAACTGGTATTATTTTTATGAATTCTGGGAAAGACAATACCATTTTGCAGTTTTCTGCCTAAAATAATTTATTTCAATATGAAGCGGTAATATTCGTACTTGAAATATCCATTAAGGCGTCAGTCTATCCCCATTGGTAGTGGAGAGTGAATTACAATGAAAACTTATAACAAATGGAAAATTGTCTTTAGTAAATGTATTCTATGTAGTTATCCAGACAGTTCTGAGAAAACAGAATATCAATTATTCAACACAAATACATGGTACCTAAAATATTGGAAAATCTGTAAAGTTTTGGTCAGATTCAGCTAGCAGTGTGGTAGCTGCTCTACAAGGAATGACTGAATTCGTCTATAGCATATTGGTAAATAATGAAGGAAGAATAACGACTTTAGTGAACTTGAATCACTCATTTGAACAACAGATCCTAGACTATACAGATATAGATGACAAATATATCCTTGTAGTGGTTTTAACACTAACATCTCTTTAAGAAGATCTAAGGGCATTCTCTCAGAAGATATTGTTAACTCAAAACCCTCAAGCTTTCACATAATCAGAATTGAGTTATTATTTTTGTTGCCTCTCTAGATCACTGGGGTTTTTTTTTTTTGAAATTTTATAAATAGTGAAAGGGATTTCTCATCCTGCTATGGTTTGGATGTACATGCTCCTGTAAAATTTATATGTTGAAACTTAAGCCCTGAGGTGATGGAAGGTAGACACTTTGGGAGGTGGTAGGTGATGAGGGCTCTGCTTTCATTAATGGGATTAATGCCCTTATAAAAGGGGCCTTAAAGACTTCCCAAATCTTCCAGCTCCTTCTCCAAGTGAGAATATCAATATGGAACCATCTATGAGAAACGAACCCTCACCAGACACCAAATTTGCCAGCACCTTAATCTGGGACTTCTGTTTCCAGAATTGTGAAAAATAAATATCTATTGTTTATATATTACTCATTATAAGGTATTTTATTATAGCAGTACCCCAAAAAAAGTCCCCAAACCACAGGTATTAACAGCTCCGTGTGGAATTTTAGACTACTTTCTCCCTTGATCAATAATAGAATGATGTGACAGGCAAAAATGAGAATATAGTGCTGTTCATTTTGTAGTAAGACCTATATTGCCACTCCATGCTGGTTTTATAGGGTTTTTTTGCTATGTTTTTGGTGAGAAAAAAGTTATTTTATGTATTAACTTTTGGAAGAAACAGTTTTAAAATACTTATAAGCGCCAATTTCTTCCTAGCTTGGAACTTTGCTTTAATTGTTAACAAAACTCATAGGTGTATTCTAATCAGGATCTCAGCTATAAAGCTTTTATAGTATCTCATCTTTACAACCTCTTTAAAAAGATTAAACCAAATGACTATTTTTTCTTATTAAAAAAATAATTGACAAGAATACATATTGATGAGTACTGTGAAGAATTTTGCTTAAAAATAAATTGTTTCAGATTTAAAAGTATTTAAATATTGGATCACTAAATATTGGTTACTATAGTCAAGTCCTCATGTAAACAGTAGGTGATCAAAGGAGAACTAGAAGCTACCCTTCGAGTTTGTTCCCCTCAATGCCTTCTCTCTCCCTCTCTTACCTCTATATCTAATATGGACAAATTACTCCATGTCCATATTTGTAATACGGACAAAGACACTCCATGGGGGTTGAAATATCACCCCCATAAATTTCTGCTAAAATATATACACAATACCTGTTAAGGTAAGGTAAGGATATTCTTTACGTCATTTATTGCTAGTAATAGGAGTTATTTTGTTTTATTATGTTTATAATTGAAAGCAATGGTAAATAGGGGTGGTAAATAATCCTGATAGATCAAAAGCAATGTGGAAAAAAATGAAGCCTGGAGCATTTTTGCGACAGCCAGATGGGAGGGGATTCCTCCGAGAAATGCAGCCAGCCTATCCGCTGTGGTGGAACCTCAGGAAGTTCCCGCCATTTGCAGCAGGGAGGATCCTGGCCCCTCCTCTTCCTGTGTGGAACCTGGGATTCGATTGGCCTGGCGGGAAGCACTTTAGCAGAGGAACTCTGGCTTTCGAAGAGTATGTGTTTCCCCCCTTTTTTGCCTCTTTTCACCCATTAAAACCCTGCTTTACTCGCCCTTTAAACCATCTGCGAGTCTAAATTTTCATGGCCGTGGGACGGACAAGAACCTCGTCTTTAGCTGAACTACAGAAAAGTCCTGAAACATTTTTGGCACGCAACTTGGGGGCTGGAGAAGTGGTGAGTAAGATGCAAACCGAGAATTCTTTTTCCTTCTCCCTTCTGAGCCTTTTCATCCTCATGGCCTTTTCCTTCCTTTTTCAGGAGGGACTGTCGAGCAGCAGTTCCACGCCGCTCCCGCTCCCTGCAGGGGCTGGGACGCATGGCCCAAGGGTCCTAGCCACCAAGTGCTGCTGCTGGAGCCTTCCGCTTTTCCAGCCAAGAGATTCAGCTCCATAGGACAGGAATTAAACTTTCTCCCTGGTGGAGGAACCACTTGCATAAGAATAAGAGGTTCTTCCTCAGGCATTTTTAAACTGTAATTTTTTCCTTCCCTTTCACCCTGCCGGCAGTTAATCTTTAAAGTTTTTTTTTTTTCTTTTTTTTGAGACGGAGTTTCACTCTATCGCCAAGGCTGAAGTGCAGTGGCACCGTGTCAGCTCACTGCAACCTCCCTCTCCTGAGTCCAAGCAATTCTCCTGGCTTAGCCTCCCGAGTAGCTGGGATTACAGGTGTGCACCACCATGCCCAGCTAATTTTTAAATATTTTTAGTAGAGACGGGGTTTCACCATGTTGGCCAGGCTGGTCTCGAACTCCTGTCCTCAGGAGATCCACGTGCCTCAGCCTTCCAAAGTGCTGGGATTACAGGCATGAGCCACCGCGCCTGACCGTTTTTTTTTTCTTTCAGAAGAATTTTACTAGGTTAGCCCCCGCCCGCCCTGCCTCTCCGCCCCGCCCCCCCGTCCCCCAAACTGTCATTGTATTCTCTGCCAAGTTTTGGTTGTGAAATCAAGCTTTCATCTTGTTTTACATCCTGGGGACATGGCCAGTAACTACTTGGCAGGGCTTTGTTTAGCAACCCTACCTTAGTGGATGAGCACTCTCAGGTTAGATATCTGCATAGTTGCCTAGCCCTGTCTTTTAAAGGGCCCTACACAGAGACTGGGTTTTCTTCTGCCTGTGTGTGTTGTGTGTAATGTCTGTAAAAAGAGCTCTAATTAATTTGGTTTAAAGAAAGGCAATTGCTTGCATCTAATATTTTTCAAAGGGAAGATAAAAGCTGTGGTATCTTTCAGTTCATGTGACTTTACTCGTTAACAAATATAAACAGCCCTAAAGACTATTGGTAAAATGCAGGTCAGATGCAAGGTTTGCTATGTGTTTTGAAGTTACAAACTGCTTTTTGGGTTTTGAAAACTATTTGACTTGCCGGCTTCACAACTGGTAAGGCTAGGGGACCTATGGAACTAACCATGAAGGCACACCTTGGCTGCAGTTAGCACACAATTAAAGCCAACTTAGCAAGTTTTACCTTAAAGTTAAAATTTCTAGGATTTAATTGAAACTACTAGAAATAGATGTACACGCAAGGAGTGTAAAAACAGTAAAATGTGTATGTGTGTGTGTTTTTGTAAAAAGTTATAAGAAGGCATGGAAATGTAAACTTTTGCCTAGTGTTAAAGGATTGTTTTGAGTTAAATTAGGAAAAAGATGAAGTTTCAGAGAAGCGGTGGAATAATTGTGGAAATTAATCTTGCAGAAGAGGTTCTCTATGTGAACATATTAACTAAATTAAAAAAGGAGTATTACATGTTTTTTTCTGTAAATTGGGCATTGAAATAAAAGCGTAACAAGGTGTTCCTAAGGTGCTAACATGCTCTCTGGCAAAATTTGTAAACGGTTATAAAAGGTTTTTGCTTCTTTAGAATTTCTGAGTTATCATTCCGGCAAAAATAAATAACTGGTGCTAGTCTGGAATTCTATTTCATAATACCAAGTGTTTTAAACCTTGAACATTTAACAGCCTTCCCCAAATCAAACTTCAGTTTCAAAATTGTCTTCCCTGGCACCTAGCTTTTGGAATACTTCAGAGGGCCCCTGATCAGTGTCCAGAAATAACAGGTAAACAGGATTAGTTGACATGTTTAGGTACGTGGGATTGCCAAAATGATGCCAATCTTCTTTAGGTTATATTTTGGTGATTAATGCTAATATATGTTCCAAAATTGTATGGGGCATCTAAAATTCTAATGTCCGAGTATATGCTATGAATCATAATTAAGGTTTTTATGTTATGTTATTGTAAACCACAGAGATAACCAAACTTCTTTATCAGTTGTGTTTCTAACTGTAACTACCCTGGACATTTTGCAATTCACAGACAATTGTTGTCTTATTTAATCCTTTTCAAAGGATGGTTTATAATGAGCTATATAACTTTAACAGGTGCTCTCAAATACAGCCTTTTAACAACTTTAGAGATTGTAACATTGGAATAAAGGAAAATGTACAGGACTCAGAGAGCTGAAATGTTCACGAATGTCAAGCAAAATGAGTTAACTAAATGGACTGAACTCAGGAAGCTGAAGCAAATCTTTTTGACTTTTGCTTGGAATATTGCTGATCCTTGTTTTGTTGTTCAGAGTCAAGGAAACTTATTTTGAACTATTTACAGCCTTTAATAATTGAGTAAGTTATACCCCCTATGATCAAAATTTGAAGCATGCTTGTTTCTCTCTGCCTGGTTCCTCTAAAATTTGGAAACTGTCTGTGAGTATTCTCCTGGCAATATGGTTGTTTGCATCAGTACAATAAGAATCAATTTTTCTTTTGCAACAGAACACAATTGGAGAAAGTGATTATTTTACCAAAGCTTTGACTGGAAGGGTGTGCTTCCCTTTAAGGAGTCAAGCTTGACTTGCAGAGCCTGTAAATGCCCCATGGGGGAAACTGGCCTCATACCTTCATCTACGCAGTCCCTGTACAGGGCTCCTGACCTGTGGTCTGTAAAAAAATGTCACTTTCTAACAAGTCTAGGAGCTCCCAGTTTATCTTGGGTCCTTAAGAGGAGAGAATCACCCAACTCATACGTGTTTTGAGGTTACAAACCCATGGTTGGGCTCAGCTTTTAAAGGTCTTATCTGGCCGGACGAGGTGGCTCATGCCTGTAATTGCAGCACTTTGGGAGGCTGAGGCGGGTGGGTCATGAGGTCAGGAGATAGAGACGATCCTGGCCAACATGGTGAAACCTCATCTCTACTAAAAATACAAAAATAATAATAATAATAATAATAATAATAATAATAATAATAATAATTCCAGCAATCCGGGAGGCTGAGGCAGGAGAATCCCTTAAACCAGGGAGTTGGAGGTTGCGGTGAGCCGAGATTGCGCCACTGGACTCCAGCCTGGTGATAGAGCGAGACTCCATCTCAAAAAAAAGGGTCTTACCTGAGATTCCTTGTGAAACAGCCTTCCGTCAAAGCCAATCCAAAAGACCTATGTAGAAATAGTTATTCTTGCTTCACTTTATGCAGGTAATCAGGCCAAGTATAAGGCTAATGTCTATTTTGCAAACCACTCAGTCCTTATCATAATTTTTTTTTTAACAAAAATGGGGACTGGAGAGAAATTATGTTCCAAAACTTACCATACGTTTGTCATTACATTCTAAACTCATTAGTTGTTTTTAAGTTTTTGCCTACACTTTAGACTAACCTTACTTGCTCCTGTGAACCAACCATCAATCCCTGGCTGCAGCTCAGAAAGAACAAGAGGGATGGGTAATGTAGAAATCTGGATTAATATTCTAGTTCTGAACAATTATCCTGCAAATCCTGCCAGGTAATGGAATAAATAGAGAATAAATAGGGTGCCTGTTGCCCAGAGGTTTCCTTTTTGGGAAAGTAAGACCAAGGGAACTAACCAAAGCCAGCATCATGCACCCAAGTCCTAGCAACCATAACTATTGCTACCAGTTATCTGGGAGTGTCACAATGAGAGCCAGGTGGGAGGGGCTCCCTGGAAAAACCCCAACCGCCCTATGCACTGGGGTGGAGCCACAGAAGTTCATGCCCTTTGCAGTGGGGAAAAGTCGGCCTCCTCCTCTTCTTGTGTGGAATCTGGGATTCAAGCTGTGGGTGGGAAGCACTCTAGCAGGGACTTTGGCCTTGGGAGAGTCGCTGGTTCCCCCTTTACTTCCTTTTTACCCAATAAAACCCTGTTTTACCATTTACCATTCACATTGTTTGTGAGCCTGAATTTTTGTGGCTGTGGGACAAAGAACCCCGTCTTTAGCTGAACTAAGGAAAAGTCCTGCAACATTTTGTGTATATGTAGGATGGCAGGGGATGATATTGCTGCTTGGGAGAGGTTTGTTGTCTGAAAGTGAGAGCTCAAAGTAGATGGTAGGTTGGAAATAAATATGTTCTTTGTAAATGTGTCTGCGGCTGTTTTGAAACCTCATAAGCTAGCATATTAGGTATTTTTATAGCAGAGAACTTAAGGATAGTATAATGTGCTCCCAGCTTAATAAGATTCTAACAGTATTGTTTGAATATATGATATCATCATGTTTAAAATGTAATATTCATTCCATTTATGCAGTCTCTTTCCCCTGGTTGTTTGTGCTTTCCAAGATGATATAATAAGAAAATAAACAGCTCAAATGGTTTTTCCTTCACACTTTTATCAGTTTAGAGAAATAGGGTGACAATAAATGAAAAAAAAACTAACATTTATAAAGGGCTAAACAGGGGCTAGGTACTTCAGATATATATATCTGACACATATATATTTATATCTGACATATATATATCTGACATATACATGACACATACATATATCTGACATATATATATCTGACATATATATATCTGACATGTATATATCTGACATATATATATATATATATAAAATCTTGTTATATCTCACCACTCTCCTTCAAGGTAAATATAATTATCTCTATCTTATAGATAAGAAAATGGAAACTTTGAGATGTTAAGTAACTTTCTGGAAGTCATGTAGCTTATAAGGGTAATATTAGATTGCCCAGTTTCATAATCATGCTCTTTATCCTACACTGCATTTGGAGAACTTTAAAAATGTAGGGTCCTAAGAAGTCATTGACCATAAGTTTTTTCCCCCAAGCAAATTTCTTAAATATCCAGTGCCTGATAAATTACCCAAAGGATGTCTTTTTCACTCAAACAACAAAAGTGAAACAAAGTGGTATCTCCTGCCACCACCACCTTTATTAAAAGTTTTAGCATATGCCATTCCCATAACATGACCTAGTTAATATGCTGTCTATGGTGAATTCACAAGAACATGAAACAAACAATTGGAATCAGTTTGTTAACTGCCCCCATGGGAATGAAAGTTTGGAAGAGGAACTGCAATCTATGCTAGGTACAATAAAGGTCAGACCTACTTGGCAATCACCAAAACAGAATATTGGCAATAAGCCATTGCTTTTCAGAGACAAAGCTGTCATTTTAAAAGTTTTCTTTGCTTTATTGGGAAACTTGAGCCACTTCCTATTCAAACAACTGTTCTATGTAGGTCTGGCCTGGATCCTCTGCAAGGGTATTATGAAAACTTGCAACTCTTAAAATATGATCTGAGAGTGCATTGTATAAATTATCCCATTATAACAGTGCTTCTTAAAGTCTACTGCATATAGGAATAACCTGGGCATCTTGTTCAATTGATATTTTGCAGTCTTGAAAGGCTCCCCAGTGATGCCAATGATGCTAGATCCCATTTTGAGTATGATAAATCAAGACTATTCTGCATACTTACCTGTGGTGGTTGCTTTAAAGTAATTGCAAAAATTTTAAATAAAGCTGATCGATTTAGCATCAGTTTTTAAAAACAAAAGTATTTTTCCAAAGCTATCTTAAAAGTACCCTTGCCCACTGCTGAGCCACCTGGTTTTTGTTCCTTATGACCTAATTCAACTTACCTTGGTTTAACCCAGCGTGCTTCCAATATTTTCATTTGTAGTCAACGTGTGTCTTTATTCTTTTTTGATAAGTCGCACTCTTGAGACATCACATAAGTGCCTAGCTCACCTGGCCATTAGTCTATAATCACTACTGTCATATGTTTCTCTAGAAAGGAGCCCATTCAGAAACTTACCTCCCTTATTTTTTTGGTCCATAGAAAAGATCTCTTCCCTGATTTCTCAGAGAACAAAAAAAAAGTTAACAACAAAAGAACAAAAACTTTACCTTTGTCTAAACACAACTTTAGCTGTGTCTAAAGCTCCAAAAATTGTATATGAAGCTATTGAAAAATATGGGCAGCTGTCATAGCAGATTTAGAATGTAAGTAGGTTGCTATGCTTTAATACAAAATATACTGGATACAAAAAGTGAGTCTTGTCTACAATACCTGTCTATCTCTTCCACTTTGACCATAAGCAACATGGAAGAAGAGACTGCATCATCTTCATCTTAATCTCCAACACAGAGTCTGACAGATAAAAGAATGAAGGTAGTTAGTGTCCTCTTTTTTTTTTTGACTGAAAAATAAATAGACAGCATCCTAGTCTTAAATTTTGACTCACTGTCCTCATCTACAAAAGGAGCAATGTCAATCTGCACAAGCGCAAGAGTTCTTACACAGTTTAAGAAAGATAATAGCTATTATAGTACTTTAAATTAAAAGACTACATGTGCAAGTAATTTTTAATTACATTTGTTACTGTCTTACTAGAGTTTCCTAAAAGATGAAGAACTGAAGATAGAAAATAGACATATTATTTTAGTTCAGGCAAGATCTCCCTTAGTGGGTAAAATCCTGTGACTTCAGCTTGTTATTTGAGATTAAAAATTTACAAATTATTGTTTTTTAAATTTAAGTCTTCACTTGATGAAACTTTCCTTTTTCTTAGAGGAAAGCCTCACATTGAGTTTTATCAGGAGGATGACCATATGCCACATTCTCATGGACAGTGTCACTTTATGCCTTTTGTCCTAGTATCCCATTTGGTTTATGTCCCCACTTAATCTCAAAAGGGCTGTCATTTAGATGTTAAATTATATAATCATGCTAATCATTAGAGATATTTGTAACTTTGTGTGCAATAACTAGTGCTATCTTTTGCCTGGGCATGCAACTTCTGAATGAAGGGTTGGAAGCAAGGCAGAAAAGGATATTGCAATGGGTCCAGTGTAATGTGGTAGAAAGGTGAGGTTTGTGTGAGTTAAAAACTGATGGAAATATAGGAATAAAAAGAAGAAAAAATGGTTTTAGCAAGGGAAGTTTTGGATGAGTGAACAGTGTCGTGACTTTCTTCAATCCTAAGAGACCACTTTGTTATTAAGTGTTTAGGGCAGAAGGTGGCTATTTACTTGAGATTGGTGAGAGGGGGTATTTATTTAGAAAGGTTGTGAAATCAATATGTCTTTGAGGTTTGCTATCAGAGTCATTCAGTTACTAACACAGATAATTGCAGCATTAATCTGCTTCTGCAATTTGGAGAAGAGTCTAAACACAGAATGATTGATTTTAAAGAAATATAAAGTCAAAAGCATATGTCATTTATTCTTCCAATAAATAGACCTCCAGTGTAAAAATCCAGGGCCCATTTATCCCAGCAAAGTGTAATGAAATACCTAAATGTACCCTAATGTATTTTTTTGAAGATGCTCTGCCATTTGGAAGGAACAGAATACAAAATACTACATCATCACAAGTCTTCCACCTTAATGGAAATCAGACTTTTGTTGGTATTGGATAGATGGTGGGATCAGATTTTATACAGAAGTTTGACAGCCTGCCTCATTTGTATTGCAGTCGGCTACAGTATATGTCACAAGAATTTATGAAAGTTTTCTGCCCTTTGAGAAAGTCTTTCTCTCTCTCTCTCTCTTTTTTTTGAGGCAGAGTTTCGCTGTTGTCCCCCAGGCGGGCGTGCAATGGCACCATCTTAGCTCACTGCAACCTCCTCCCCTGCCCCCCCACGCCCAAGTAGCTGGGAATACAGGCATGCGCCAGTATGCTCAGCTAATTTTTTGTATTTTCATTAGAGACAGGCTTTCACCATGTTGGCCAGGCTGGTCTAAAACTCCTGACTTCAGGTGATCTACCTGCCTTGGCCTCTCAAAGTGCTAGGATTACAAGCGTGAGCCACCATGCTCTGCTTCTTTTTCATATTTTA
This sequence comes from Homo sapiens, assembly GCF_000001405.40. Classification (NCBI taxonomy): domain Eukaryota; kingdom Metazoa; phylum Chordata; class Mammalia; order Primates; family Hominidae; genus Homo; species Homo sapiens. Next base: position 52,820,621 of record NC_000017.11, on the reverse strand, counting down.
AATTTAATTTCAGTTTAGTTTATCCAACTAAATATGCCATTGGTTGCTTAAATTCAAGTTCTGATTAAAACACTAGGCAGGTAATGAGGTTCTTCCAGTAAGTGATGACTCTTGACTATTGACTTAATTAAGGGTCGTTCCCTTCAGGAAAAAACATCCAGAATACAACAGATTATCTTTGGGTTCAGAATATATCACTTTTTCTCCAAGGATATGGTGACCTAGTTCTTAAAAGTAGGTCTAGCACAGCCTAGTGAGGTTCTATTAATATGAGATTTTTGAATTAGAGGAGCTTAATATTTTGTTTACAAAAACATTTAAAATATTTTTAGGTTTAGAGGAGAGTTGTAAAGATAATTAGTAATGTCCTGTTTCCCCTAGTTTTTACATAATATAAAATCATGGTATATTTATTGAAACTAAAAAATTAATGTGGATAGAATACAAATACCTACATGGAATTATTTATTTGAATTTTACCAGTTTTTTCACCATGCCTTTTTTCTGTTCTGTGATTTGATCCAGGATACCATGCTGTATTTAGTTCCCATGGCTCCTCAGTCTCCTGTAGTCTGTGACAGTTTCTCAGTCTTTCTTTTCTTGTCATGACCTTACTTCCTTTAAGAGTACTGGTCAGTTATTTTGCAAAGCGACCTTCAGTTTGGATTTATTTAATGCTTTCTCATGTCTACACTGGGTTTATTGCTTTTGGAGAAGAATACCGTGGAGGTGAAGAGCCCTTTCATCACATTATGAATCTGGTGTTAACAGGACTTTTTACTGATCATGTTAAATGTGATCAGTTGGCTAAGGTGATGTCTTCCAGGTTTCTTCACTTTAGAGTTGCGAGTTTTCTTCTCCTACTTTATTTGTTACAAATGAGTCACCAAACCCAGCTGACACCTTCATAAGTGGTTTTTGAACAAAAGATAGAGTTATCACGTTGAGTTTGTGAGGTAGTCACTGCCAAGGATGCCAAAGCTGTAGGATATACTGGAATCTCTTTGAAAGAAAGATTAAAGACATTTTATTTTTTTTTGACCCAATCCCCAGCTCACAAGTATCTTGAGTCACCCTTGAGGTAGGGAAAACTACAAGCAAAAATTTAACAGTGGTTTCCTTCCTATGACTGTTATAAGACACTAGAGAATAAGCAGCTCTGCCTTGATAGTAAAATTTTTAAGTATAATACTAAAAAACAAACAAAAAACAGAGACAAGAAAAAAACATTTTTTTTTCTATTTTACATTAAATCTGTGCACAAACCAAAAAATCTAGCACATCAGTGCAGGCAGCAGGAACTTGCTGGATGTTAAGCACACTCCATGGCCAGTGAGAGAGGCAGAAGTGCACGGTGGGTGCATACCTTTTAAAGAAGCTCCATGTTGGTTGACGTCATGATGGGAAGGTAAGTGAAAGGAATGAAAGAAAATAAACCCGTAGGAATCATTACTTGGGAGGAAAAAGCAAGGAATGGAATAGAGGAGGTTAATTACTTAGGGGTTGGGGCTAAAACTTGCAGGCCCCTCAGGGTAACTGTTTGAAACCTTTTAGATGGTTCCAAAAATACTAAGAAGAAAAAAGCAAGGGAAGAGGGAGGTGGGTATGGCAGTAGCTGAAGTTCTGCATTATTAAGTAGGGACAAGAGATTCTAAATAAATTAATTATCCAATAAATGTGAGAAAATTTCATTTGTTATGTATAGTATTGTGTTCTTGTTAAAAACCAAGCTTATCACTTTGTCACACCTCATTTTTTTTTTTATTAGGAAATAGTGACCTTCAAACTAGACATGTACTCATAGGCTCAAGAAAGTTCAGAATTATCCTTGCAGTGGCTTTTTTTTTTTTTGCTGAGGGAATTTTAAAGCTCAAAACCTATTTTAAAACAAAAGTTTAAACTCTACCAGATTAATAATGCAAAACTATTTAATTAGAGACACATTTGGATGGGTTTTACTTTTCACTCAATAAGTCCAACAGCTCTTCATATTTCACAATAGAAATGTAAAATGCCCTTCCTAGAAGCTTTGAATATTCATTTAATATATTAGAATAACATATCTGGATACCCGACACAAGAAAAGCAGAGTCTTTATATTGTATAATATATAAATAATAAGCCACTTAAAACAAGGTGTATATTTTGGTTTGCTTACCTAGAAATAGAGAGGGATAGTTTTTCATCATCCACAGTTCTATACCTTATGCCCATTACTACTTATAACTAAATTCTTTGTACTTCAAACCAATGATTAGACTCAGGTGACATGGCCAACTCTGCTCACATAGTTAACTGTAAACACACAAAAACGATGCTTGATAACATTTAAAATGTGCAACCGAGGCAGATGAAAGAGACAAATCCCTGAGGTACTTGAAATAAATAAAATCACAATGGTAGATAGGCTGATAAATTGAAGACCTATGAGATATTTAGACAAGGAAGAGATTCTAAGGATATAATTATGGATGAAATTTAGACAGGAAACTAGAACTTTTCTCCCTGCCTAAACCTGAAGCCCCACAATTCTGTCTATCCTTATGAACTAAAAATCTCATCCAATCTTTCAGCAAAGGAAACAATTAAAAAGCTTTTCTTTTGTGTGGACTTTGGGCAGGAAAGTAAATATGAAAAGCCCAGGCATTCAATGTATGTAGGTATGGAGTCTTAATTTATACTACCTACAAGTTTAAGAGCCCCAAACTAAAACATAAAATTTAATAGTGCATTGAAATTCCTGAGATCCCTAACAAAATCCACTCTGCTTAAATGCTTTGGTAATTCAGGAAATATGGAACTCATGGAGAATGAAAAGCGAAGTTGAACAAGGGTACACACACACAAATGGTTATAAACTGTTTTGAGAAGATGTCCACACATAAACAGAAAAAGCACGGAAACTGAGGGTAACTCAAAAAACTGAAAGTGGGATTTTCCGGCTAGATGGCCGAATAGGAACAGCTCCAATCTGCAGCTCGCAGTGAGATCAATGCAGAAGGCAGGTGATTTTCTGCATTTCCAATGATGTAACTGGTTTATCTCACTGGGACTGGTTGGACAGTCAGTGCAGCCCACGGAGGGTGAGCTGAAGCAGGGTGGGGCATCGCCTCACCTGGGAAGCACAAGGGGTTGGGGGATTTTCCTTTCCTAGCCAAGGGAAGCTGTGAGACACTGTACCAGGAGGAAAGGTACACTCCTGCCCAGATACTGTGCTTTTCCCATGGTCTTTGCAATTGGCAGACCAGGAGATTCCCTCTGGTGCTTGGCTCAGTGGGTCCCTCACCCAAAGAGCCCAGCAAGCTAAGATCCATTGGCTTGAAATTCTCGCTGCTAGTGGAGCAGTCTGAGATCAACCTGGGATGCTCCAGCTTGGTTGGGGTAGGGGCATCCGCCATTGCTGAGACTTGAGTAGGTGATTTTATGCTCACAGTGTAAACAAAGCAGCTGGGAAGTTCGAACTGGGTGGAGCCCACCACAGCTCAGCAAGGCCGATTGCCTCTCTAGGTTGCACCTCTGTGGGCAGGGCATCTGTGAACAAAAGACAGCAGCCCCAGTCAGGGACTTATAGATAAAACCCCCATCTCCCTGGGACAGAGCACCTGGGGGAAGGGACAGCTGTGAGCACAGCTTCAGCAGACTTAAACGTCCCTGCCTGACAGCTCTGAAGAGAGCAGTGGTTCTTCCAGCACAGTGTTCAAGCTCTGATAATGAACAGACTGCCTCCTGAACTGGATCCCTGACCCCCGTGTAGCCGGACTGGGAGACACCTCCCAGTAGGGGCTGACAGACACCTCATACTGGAGAGCTCTGGCTGGCATCTGGTGGGAGCCCCTCTGGGACGAAGCTTCTAGAGGAAGGATCAGGCAGCAATATTTGCTGTTCTGCAGCCTCTGCTGGTGATATCCAGGCAAATAGGGTCTGGAGTGGACCACCAGCAAACTCCAACAGACCTGCAGCTGAGGGGCCTGACTGTTAGAAGGAAAACTAACAAACAGAAAGGAATAGCATCAACATCTACAAAAAGGATGTCCACACCAAAACCCCATCCATAGGTCACCAACATCAAAGACCAAAGGTAGATAAAAACTACAAAGATGGGGAGAAACCAGTGCAAAAAGGCTGAAAATTCCAAAAACCAGAACACCTCTTCTCCTCACAACTCCTCACCAGCAAGGGAACAAAACTGGATGGAGAATGAGTTTGACAGATTGACAGAAGGAGGCTTCCGAAGGTGGATAATAACAAACTCTGAGCTAAAGGGGCATGTTCTAACCCAATGCAAGGAAGGTAAGAACCTTGAAAAAAAGGTTAGACAAATTGCTAACTAGAATAACCAGTGTAGAGAAGAACATAAATGACCTGATGGAGCTGAAAAACACAGCACAAGAACTTCATGAAGCATACACAAGTTTCAGTAACCGAATCATCAAGCAGAAGAAAGTATGTCAGTGATTGGAGATCAACTTAATGAAATAAAGTGAGAAGACAAGGTTAGAGAAAAAAGAGTGAAAAGAAACAAAGCCCTCAAAAAATGTGGGACTATGTGAAAAGACCAAATCTACATTTGATTAGGGTACCTGAACATGATGGGGAGAATGGAAACAAGTTGGAAAACACTCTTCAAGATACTATCCAAGAAAACTTCCCCAACCTAGCAAGGCAGACCAACATTCAAATTCAGGAAATACAGAGAACACCACAAAGATATTCCTCAAGAAGAGCAACCCCGAGACACATAATCATTCAGATTCACCAAGGTTGAAATGAATGAAAATATCTTAAGGGCAGCCAGAGAGAAAGGTTGGGTTACCCACAAAGGGAAACCCATCAGACTAACAGCAGATCTCTTGGCAGAAACCCTACAAGCCAGAAGAGAGTGGGGGCCAATATTCAACATTCTTAAAGGAAAGAATTTTCAACCCAGAATTTCATATCCAGCCAAACTAAACTTCATAAGTGAAGGAGAAATAAAATCCTTTACAGGCAAGCAAATGCTAGAGATTTTGTTACCACCATGCCTGCCTTACAAGAGCTCCTGAAGGAAGCACTAAACATGGAAAGGAACAACCAGTACCAGTCACTGCAAAAATGCCAAATTGTAAAGACCATTGACACTATGAAGAAACTGCATGAACTAACAGGCAAACCAGCTAGCATCATAATGACAGGATCAAATTCATGTATTACAATATTAACCTTAAATGTAAATGGTCTGAATACACGAATTAAGACATAGACTGGCAAATTGGTTAAAGAGTCAAGACCCATCAGTGTGCTGTATTCAGGAGACCCATCTCATGTGCAAAGACATACATAGGCTCAAAATAAAGGGATCAAGGAAGATTTACCAAGTAAATGGAAAGAAAAAAGAAAAACGGGTTGAAATCCTAGTCTCTGATAAAACAGACTTTAAACCAACAATGATCAAAAGAGACAAAGACATTACATAATGGTAAACGGATTAATGCAACAAGAAGAGGTAACTATCCTAAATATATATGCACCCAATACAGGAGCATCCAGATTCACAAAGCAAGTTCCTAGAGACCTACAAAGAGACTTAGACTCCCGCACAATAATAGTGGGAGACTAACACCCCACTGTCAGTATTAGACAGATCAACGAGACAGAAAAATAACAAGGATATTCAGGACTTGAACTCAGCTCTGGGCCAAGCAGACCTAATAGACATCTACAGAACTGTCCACCCCAAATCAACAGAATATACAGTCTTCTCAGTACCACATTGCACTTATTCTAAAATTGACCACATAATTGGAAGTAAAACACTCCTTGGCAAATGTAAAAGAACAGAAATCACAACAAACTGTCTCTCAGACCACAATGCAATCAAATTGGAACTCAGGATTCAGAAACTCACTCAAAACCTCACAACTACGTGGAAACTGAACAACCTGCTCTGGAATAACTACTGGGTAAATAACGAAATGAAGACAGAAATAAAGATGTTCTGGCCGGGCGTGGTAGCTCACGCCTGTAATCCCAGCACTGTGGGAGGCCGAGGCGGGCAGATCACGAGGTCAGGTGATTGAGACCATCCTGGCTAACAAAGTGAAACCGCCCCCCGAACCCTGCCGTCTCTACTAAAAATACAAAAAAATTAGCCGGGCGTGGTTCCCGGCGCTGGTAGTCCCAGCTACTTGGGAGGCTGAGGCAGGAGAATGGCATGAACCTGGGAGGCGGAGCTTGCAGTGAGCTGAGATCCTGCCACTGCACTCCAGCCTGGGAGACAGAGCAAGACTCTGTCTCAAAAAAAAAAAAAAAAAAAAAAAAAAAAAGATGTTCTTTGAGAACAAAGACACAACATACCAAAATCTCTGGGACACATTTAAAGCAGTGTATAGAGGGAAATTTATAGCACTAAATGCCCACAAGAGAAAGCAGGAAAGATCTAAAATTGACACCCTAACATTACAATTAAAAGAACTAGAGAAGCAAGAACAAACAAATTCAAAAGCTAGCAGAAGAAAAGAAATAACTAAGATCAGAGCAGAACTGAACGAGATAGAGACAAAAAACCCTTCAAAAAATCAATGAATCCATGAGCTGGTTTTTTGAAAAGATCAACAAAATAGACCGTTAGCAAGACTAATAAAGAAGAAAAGAGAGAAGAATCAAATAGATGCAATAAAAATGATAAATGAGATATCACCACCGATCCCACAGAAATACAAACTACCATCAGAGAATACTATAAACATATCTACGTAAATAAACTAGAAAATCTAGAAGAAATGGGTAAATTCCTAGACACATAACACCCTCCCAAGACTAAACCAGGAAGAAGTCAAATCTCTGAATAGACCAATAATGGGCTCTGAAATTGAGGCAATAATTAATAACCTGCCAACCAAAAAAAGTCCAGGACCAGACAGATTCACAGCTGAATTCTACCAGAGGTAACAAAGAGGAGCTGGTACCATTCTGCTTGTGAAACCCTTCCAATTTACAAGAGTATCGTAACTATCATATGTTGAATGCTAGCCCTGGACCAAACACTCTTCTGAGCACTTTAAATACAGCATCACATTTAATGTATCACTTTGATGTGTTATGAATTATTAAGCCTGTTTCTCATCTCTATGCGTTCTACTTATATTCTTTATCTAAGTGTTCCTGGCCTTCCCTTTATCTCAAGTGCTCATTCTTCTCCTACTTCTGGATTTTAAAAGCAGCATACATGCACCCCTTCTGGGGCACTTGTCACATTGTAGTGTATTCATTTGGGCAGAATATGTTGCCTTTCTTCCTCCCTAGTCCGTATATTCACTGGAGGACATCATCACATTTGGTTAATGATATTTTTGAATAATCAAAGGACACAAAGTTGTAAGTGGCAATATGCAATATCTCTTTTGTTTGTTTCATTTCTACAATATTTTCCCAGGCACTGTGTGTCCCCTCCTTTATTTCTGAGAATATAAGTAAAAAGACCTTTATGTTACTGATTAAGATGTTGAGGCCTAGAGAGATTTAACTATTTGTCCCAGTTTACTTAAATATACTCTCTTTGAATCCAAGTCTGTCTGAATCCTAAATCTTTTTTTATTCCACATTTCACGCTACTTAAAGATTTCTTAATGAATTACATTTTGATTCACAAAGATATTAGAACTTTAATTCCAGTGTTTCTTTTATTGAATCAGGTTTCCTTGTACCTGTGTGTTGATTATTTATAGCACAAGGTGGGATGTACATATTAAGTAACCTTTGTAGACTAAAGAGGTGCACTAAAATACAAGTTATTGCTCCAGAAAGCTTGTTTGATAATTATGGCATCTATAGTAATGATCTGTTTATTTCATATATTCCCTGAGATTCCTTAGTTTCCTCTCACTACCTCTGGCCAATTGCTGTGAGTAGAAGTAAAGTATGTCCCATCTGTGTCAAACAATATTAAAGCAGTATGAGAATTCCACGTATGATCTTTCTTCCTTTGTCATTCAACAACGTTCCTCTTGGTGAAGCACCCATCAGCTCAGGTCCTAAGGGACTATGTGGAGTAAGCACTCTGCAGATTGAGTCACATATACAGCATGAATCAGAAATAAAGTTCACGTGTGAAGTCACTGATATTTCAGGGTTAATTGGTACTACCAAACAAACTAGATTATTTATGGCTAAGACACTAGTAATTGTCAAATGGTAACTTGATACCTTTAAAAAGTATAACAGTGAAGTATGTGTGAAAATATTATATGTCTCTTTCTAAAGAGTAAGACATTTTAGGCATCTGCCTTTCTGCTGGTTTTATGCAATGAGTTTTGCCCATAACAGATAACTGTGCCTTATTTTGCTTTCTGACAGTTTAAACTAAAAGAGTTGGTCAATACATAGTGGCATTTGTTATTCAGATTAATGAAGAGAACTTTTAACTATTATGGTTTCAGGCCTCAAGCAAATTTGTCCCAGAGGAACATGGTTCAAAGATAATTTTGCCAAAGAGTTGCTGTTGATTCTGGAAGTCAGGGTCCAAGTTATGACTACTGATGTCTATTAAGCAATAGGTATATGGGCCTTGGCAATATTTGGATATTTAATGGATTTGTACTGAATTTATCCAAATATAAATTTCAATAATAATTGTAACAGCCAATGGTATTTCTTTTCCTGTGACACATTATGTTTTTATTAGTTCAGTTTAACTCAATAAATAACATTAAATGAGCACCTGCTATATATTGGGAGTGTCACTATGGATTACATGTAATAAATTAATAATACTCTGTTTTCATCTAAGAGTTTATAGTCCAAAAGTACAGTGATATACATTAGAAAATAAGTACTAAACAATATAATATGCTGCACTTGGAATATACATGAAAAAAACATTATTTAGACTATGTGAGGAGAGGGATAATATAAAGCTTTTGTAGAAAAATAGCATTTATGCTGTAAAAGATCAATAGGAATTAGAAAGTATGTCAAGAAGAAAAGGAATTTTGAATAGAACAGCACAAATAATAGCAGAGATATTCAACGTAATATCCTATTCTGAATCTAAGAAACGCAATACTGTTGCAATATGACATTGAAGGCACAGATGTTAGAAGACAGGATTATAGAGGTCTCCTGTCATCCTGTAATCACAGGAAGCCCCTGAAAGATTTTATGAAGAGAAGTAGTAACATGATCAAATTTATGTATTAGGTAGATCAAACTGGTGGCATGATGGAATAAAATATGCCTTCATTAGAGAAACTCTTTTCATTTTTCACTTAAGAATGTTCTTAAGAATATAGTTTTGGGTGAAAAAAAACCTTCATGAAACACTAAAAAGTTTTATTGATTTATTTATAACACCTTGAGGTTTGTTTCATGAGTTACTGAAACCATGTGTTGTTCTCAGAACAGATTCACTAAGCAGATATTATAATAATAACCAACCCAAATTATCTCAATTATTTTAAATTCTAATAACCTGTAGTCTTTTTCGATACACATGCAAATATTTGATGAGCCAAAATAGATGAGGGGGTTAGACAATGTCAACATAGGAAAAGTGCAATAATAAAAGCTGTGAATCAGATCATCGTAGAAACCAAGCTGAATAATTCAGTCTCTTACCATAGTGTTTTCCTAGTCTTTTTTTAAAGCTTGAATTATTAATAATCTCTGCTTTTCTAGCTAGGTAACACCATATGGATATAAATGTCTACATATAAAAATATTTTCTGAATGAATAACTCATATAAAACAACACATTACACAATCCAATCGTTAAAATAACTTAGCCAGCAATTAGTAAGTGACTACTCTGAGGCCAGAAATATATAACATGATATGAAAGACTTAAAAGAGATAATGCATATGTTAATTAGCTTGATTTAGCTATTCCACAATGTATGCATATTCAAAACATGTTATGCTCAGTAAATATATGTAATTTTTATCAGTTAAAAATTAATAAAAAATAAAAAGAAAATAAAAAATATACAAATTTATTGAGGAACTTGCTCTCTTTCTTCTGAAGTATTTTCCTTAGTAGGAAATACTTTGTCTATATAAAGATAGTATCCAAATATCAGGGAATGAAAATATAGTATATGTTAAGATTCAAAAGGAAATTATCATCTCGAAATGTATGTGGAATGGATGATTTAGTATAGTCAAGTGTCTAGAACTCTCTTTTGTCATTGTGGCAGAGACTGTCTAGTTGTTGCCCAAAACATTTCCCTTCCCTCCTTGGCGTAAACCATTTTTCAGAATTTGTGAAGTTTTGGCTAATTTAGTGTAGATGAAGTTGATATATCTCATTTCCATTCTTGGTCCGTTAACAAATTCTCCCATGCTTTCATATCCCTTGTCTTCCAGACTAGTTTAGATATATGGAGAGAGAGAGAGAGAGAGAGAGAGAGAGAGAGAGAGAGAGAAAGATTATCCTGATGCTCTACAATTATTTATATTCAATGGTTGACATTCAACAAAAATCGCCAGACATGCCGAGAAAGGATGGAAAGATGAAACCCCTTTCCCAAGTGAAATAAGATAATAAGTAATCTTGAAATTGGAGATTAGACAGGAGTCTAAAAAATAAATATTTCAGGAAATAGAGAAAATATGAATAATTTTATTGGAGAACAGGAAACTATATATACAACAAAAAATTTAAATTATATATAATAACATTTTGAAAAGTAGATTTTCAGTAGCAGAAAAGCGAATCATTGAACTGGAAGATTTTCAATAGCAGAAAAGTGAATCAGAGAAGAGAACAGAAAAAAGAGACTTAAGGACAAGATTTGAAGTTTAATGTGTATGTACCTGGGGCCTCACATGAAGAGGAAAAAGTGAAACAGTTGTAATATTTGAAGAATACTGGCTGATGATTTTTCAAATATGATCGCAGACATCACTCCACAGATTTAAGAAGCTCCACAAATACTGTATCAGGCGAAATGCAAAGAAAATCACACCTAGGTACATCATGTATTTGCTCTCAAGAAATTAGAAAGTCCAAGAACAGGCTACACTGATGGTGTAGTGATAGAAATCAGAACAGCAGTTACCTTTATGGATGATATTTACTAACTGGAGCATAAAGGGAGCAGCTTCTGGCATTATGGCATCCTGATATTTCTTGATCTGGATAATTATTAAATGGAAACATTCACCAATTACAAATGATTAAAAAGTACTAATTAGATACTTTGTTCATATCAGTTATATATGAATATATCATATTTCAATGAAAAGTTTAAAATGAAGCCCATGAGCTTTTCAGTTTGAAAACAGACAAAATGATTCTTTCTCCATATATTTAAAAAAATATGGTGGTAAGAACACTAAATATGAGCTTTACCCTTTTAACAATTTTTAAATGTACAATACAACACTGTTTACTGTAGATATAAAATATGCAGCAGATCTCTAGAGCTTATCTTGCTTAACTGAAACTTTATGCCCATTGATTAGTATGTCCCCATTTCCCTTCCCTCCAGGCTCTGACAACTACCATTGCCCTCTGATTCTATGAATTTGATGATTTCAAAACCAGCCTAATTTTCCCGTGGAACTTACATTTGTGGTTTCTTTTGAATAAACTTAGAAATTGACTCTCCCAGTGTTAAAACTTGAGAAAGTTACATTTGTCTTATCCGAGTTCCTTTCTCGGAAAACCAACCGTCAGGCCTCACAGATAGTATAAAGGAACAGAAACTTACCAGTTCATTGTATCTGGACAATGAGATGCCAGATTCCTCACCCATGGTGACTGCCTAAGCTATCACCTGCTCCCCATTGACCAACTTCTCTTCCTTACTCCTTATTAATTCCTGTCTTCATTCATGGAGTCACATTTCTTCCCTGCTGTATAAACCACTGATTTTAGGTGGTCAGGGAGATAGATTTGAGACTGATCGCCCATTCCCTTGGCTGCAGCACCCAATTAAAGCCTTCTTCCCTGGCAATATTCACAGCCTTCATGATTGGCTTTCTGTGCAGTGAGTAGCAGAACCTAGACCGAATCCCTGGTTTTTCTGGTAACAATTTTAAATAACTTATATAAGTGGAATAATGCAGTATTTATCTTTCTGTGTCTGGTGGGTTTCCCTTAGTATACTGTCCTCAAGGTTCATCCTTTTTCTCGTTGCAGAATTAGCCTTCTTTCTAAACACTTAATATTTGTGTTATGTATATTCTACATTTTAAAAAATCTATTCATCTGTTGATGAACATTTAAGTTGTTTTTTTACATTGGCTATTGTGAATGGTGCTGCAATGAACATAAGAGTGCTATTATCTCTCTGAGGTCCTGATTTCAATGCTTTTAGATAAATATACAGAAATGGGATTGCTGTGTAAATAATGGTAATTATTTTTTGAGGAACTTTGACAGTATTTTCTGGAGGGACTAATTACCGTTGGTAGTAATTTTGCATTACTACCAACAGTTTGCAAGAGCTCCAGTTTCTCTACATCCTGACCAACACAACTTAAAACAAAAACAACAAAAACTATAGCCATTCTAGCAGATGTGATGTGGTATGTCTTTATGATTTTCATTTTCTTTTTTCTGATGATTAGTGATATTGAGGATTTTTACACTTACCAGTTGGTCATTCATATGCCTTCTTGGGAGAAATGTCTACTGAAATCCTTTGACAGTTTTTTAAATTGGGTGGTTAGTTTTTTCTTTGTTTGTTGTTTTAACTGCTGAGTTGTGTGAGTTAGTTGCATATTTTGAAGATTAATCACTTATCAAATATTGGTTGCAAATGTTTTTTCCCACACTAGAGATTACCTATTCACTTTTTTTTATTGTTTCCTTTGCTACGTAGAAGCTCTTTAGTTTCATATAGTCCCACTTGTTATTCTTCTTTTGTTGCCTATGCTTTTTATCCATGAAATCTTGCCAAGACTGATGTTGTAAAGATTTCTCTCTGTGTTTTACCGTTTGGAGTCTTACACATTTTATGTGTAATGCCTTTATAATGCTTTTAAGTTGCTTTTTATGCATGATAGAAGATAAGGGTCTGGTTTCATTTTTCTGCATTTGGACATCCATGATATATATCATGTAATCTGCAAACAGGCACAATTTTTCTTTCTTTCTAACATGGGAGCTTTTGATTTTTTTCTTTTGCCTAATTTCTCTAAGACTTATAGTATAATGTTGAATAGAAATGGTAAGAGTGAACATCCTTGCCTTGTTCTTGATCATAAAAAGAAGGTTTAGGGTTTTCACCTTTAAGGTTTAGCTGTAGGCTTTTCATATATAGCCTTTAAAATGCTCAGGTAATTTCTTGTTATTCCCAGTTTGTTTGGAGTTTTTATCATGAGAAGATATTAAATTTTCTCAAACACATTTTCTGCATCCACTAAGGTCATATAATTTTTATCCTTTATTCTGTTAATGTGATGTATCACATGCTAATTAATTTTTATTTATTGAACCATCCTTGCTTCCCATTGATACATCTCCCTTGATCATGCTGTATGACTTTTTTTATGGCACCATTGCCCTCAGTTTCTTAGCATTTTGTTGAGCATTTCTGCAGGTAAATTCATTAGGGACATTGATCTGTAGGTTTTTGTTTTTTTCTTGTGGTGTCCTTATCTGGCTTTGGTATCAGAATAATACTGGCCTTGTAAAATAAATTTGGAAATGTTAATTCCTTTTAACATTTTATAATAGCAAAGACATGGAATCACCTTAAATATCCATCAATGATAGATTGTATAAGGAAAATGTGGTACATATACACCATGGAATATTATGCACCCGTAAAAAGGAATGAGATTATGCCCTTTGCAGGGACATGGATGGAGCTGGAGGCCATTATCCTTAGCAAACTATGCAGGAACAGAAAACCAAATACCACATGTTCTCACTTACAAGTGGGAGCTAAATGATGCAAACACATGGTCATGTAAATGGGAACAACACACGCTGAGGCCTATTGAAGGGTTGAAGGTGGGAGGAGGGAGAGGATCAAGAAAGAAAACTAATGGGTACTAGGCTTAATACCTGGGTGATAAAATAATATGTACAACAAACCCCCACGACACAGGTTTACCTGGTAACAAACCTGTGCATGTACCCCTGAACTTAAATTTTCGTTTAAAATAATATTTCGGTGAGAATTGGCATTAATTCTTTGTTTGATTTTTTTTAACTTTCCAGCTCTTTATTGTACATATAATAATATCAACACATGTACAGTGAAAAATCATATAATCCTGAATCTCATAATGACCTCCACAGATGGTGAACACGTATTTGACAAAATTCAACAACTACTTATGATAAAAACAATTTAATTAAATAGAAATACATTGATGTTTCTTTACAATTATGCTTGGTAGAGTTAACCCATGAGGTACCTGGTTCTGGGTTTTTCTTTGTTGAGAGGTTTTAATTATTGATTCAGTTTTCATACTAGTTATTGGTCTGTTGAAACTTTCTATTTTTTATGATTTAGTCTTGTTAGGTCATATGTTTCTAGGAATTTACATATTTCTACTAGGTTATCCAGTTTGTTGATGTATGATTGTTCTTAGTAGTCCCTTATGATCTTTTTTATTGCTGGGGTGTCAGTTGTAATATCTCTTCTCTCATTTCTGAATTTATTTGTTTGAGTCTTCTCTCTTTTTTTCTTACTCTAGCTAAGGGTTTGCCAATTTTCTTTATCTTTTCAAAACACCAGCTCTTAATTTCATTGATATTTTCTGTATATTATTTTTCTGTTTTTGATTTTATTTATATCTGCTCTGATCTTTGTGTTTTTCTTCTTTCTGCTAGCTTTGGACATTGTTCTTTGTTCCCATTTTTCTAGCTACTTGAGGTATAAATGTAGGTTGCTTATTTGAGATTTGTTTTTTATTGTAGGTGTTTATCACCATGAATTCTCTGACTACTGCTTTTGCTGCATCCTTTAAGTTTTGGTATATTGGGTTTTTTTGTTTGTTTTAATTTGTCTCTAGGTAACACTTCATTTCTGATTTGATCTATTTTTTGGTCCAATTGTTGCTCAAGAATGTATTGTTCAGTTTCAATATATTTGTCAGTTTTCCAGTTTTCCTTCTGGTATTGATTTCCAGTTTCACTAAATTGTGGTTAGAAAAGATACTTGTCATAATTTCAATCTTCTTAAATATGTCAAGGAGGGGGTAGAGCAAGATGGTAAATAGAAGCTTATACAGTTTGTACTCCCTGCAGGAACACCAAATTTCAACAACTATTTGCAAACGGAAAACCACCATCACAAGAACCAAAAATCAGGTGAGTGATCATAGTGCCTGGTTTTAACTTCATATCATGGAAAGAGGCATTATGGAGGGTGGGAGAGACAGTCTTAAATCGCCAATGCCACACCTCCCCTAAACCGTAGCAGCATGGAGACAGAAACTGTGTACTTTGCAAAGGGAGCGCACAACAACTGAAGGACTTTACATTGAACTCAGTGCTGCCCTGCCACAGTGAAGAGAGATAAGTTGGGTTCAGTCACCACCCATGCAGGGAGAGAGCTTTTAGATCAGACCTAGCCAAAGGGGTACTGCCCATCCCAGTGACAGGAACTTGAGTTTCTCTATAAGCCTCACCGCTGTGGGCTAAAGTGCTCTGGGGTCCTAGGTAAACTCAAAAGGCAATCTAAGGACACAAGGACTGCAATTTCTAGGCAACTCCTAATGCTAGGCTATGCTTACAGCCAGAGAGCTAGGGTGCATGTGACAGGGAGACACCAGGTGGCACATAGCAGATAGATAGCTTTTGCCATCCCTCTCCTAACCTCAGGCAGTGCAGCTTGTAGCAGTGTCAGTTACTCTTTCCTTCTCCTAAGGGAGAGAAGAGCAAAAAGTAAAGAGGACTTTATCTTGCATCTTGGATACCAGCTCAGACATAGTAGGATAGGGCAGCAGGTAGAGTTGTGAGGTCCCCATTCCAGGACCTAGCTTCTGGAAGAGATTTCTAGGTACACACTGGGCCAAAAGGGAACCTGCTGCACTGAATGGAAAAATGCAGTCTAGACAGGATTTATCACCTGCTGATTAAAGAGACCTTGGTCCCAGAATAATGACCAGCAATAAGCAGGGAGTATGCTTTGGGCCTTGGGTTCTCAGATGTCCTGGCTTCAGGGGAGACCCTGAACATTCCCAGCTGTGGTGCATATGGTGAAAGATTCCTTCTGTTTAAAAAAAAAAAAAAAAAAAAAAAAAGGTAAAGAGGACTATGTCTTACACAGCATAGGTAACAGCTTGACTACAATGAGGTAGAGAAACAAACAGTCTTTTTGGGGTCCTCCAGTTCAGGCCTAGGCTCTTAGACAGCATTTCTAGACCTGCCCTGGTCCAGAGGGGAGCCCACTGACTTGAATGGTGAGTCCCAGGCTTGGCAGCATTCACCACAAGCTGACGAATAGACCTTGGGCTTTAAGCAAACATTGGCAGTGGCCTGTAAGAAGTCCCCATGGACTGATGGTAGTGGTGGTCACAATGAGAGGCTCCTCTGCTGTAGAAATGGGGGGGAAAATAGGAAGAACATTGTATTGTGGGTTGAGTGCCAACTTACCTACAGCAGATCAGAAAATCAGGTAAATTGCTAAGGTTCTTGACTCCAATCCCTGGTCCCCAGACAGCATCTATGGACATGCTCTGGGGCTGGGGGAATTTGCCACCCTGTAGGGAAGGAACTTTGGTAAAGCCCAGTTTTGTGCTGGCTTCAGGTCTGCCCCAGAACAGTCTCAGAGGTGATAGCCACAGATTTGCATTAACAAATCTCCAGTTTCAGGTGGCTCAGCACAGAGAGAAATTTCATGTTTGGGAGAAAGTAAGGGGAAAGAACAAGAGTCTTTGCCTGGTTATCCAGAGAATTCCTCTAGATCTTACCCAAGACCACCAAGGTGGTATTTCTATGAGTCTGCAAAAGCCACAACATTATTGTGCTTGGGGCATAAGTCCTTTTAAATACCTGGAAAGCCTTCCCGAGAAAGACACAAACAAGCCCACACTGTGAAGACTACGATAAATCCCTAACTCTTCAATGCCCAACACTGAAGAACATCTACAAGCATCAGCATCATGGAGGAAAACAAGATCTAACAAAATGAACTAAATAAGGCACCAGGGGCCAATATTGGTGAAACAGAGATTTAAGATCTTTCAGATGGGGAATTCAAAATAGATGTTTTGAAGAAGCTCAATGAAATTCAAGATAACACAAGAGAAGGAATTCAGAATTCTATCAGATAAGTTTAACAAAGAGATTAAAATAAATAGAATCAAACAAATATTAGAGTTGATAAATGCAATGGACATGCTGAAGAATGCATCAGAGTTTCTTAATTGCAGAATTGATCAAACAGAAGAAAGAATTAGTGAGTCTGATTACAGGCTATTTGAAAATACACAGAGAAGACAGAAGGAAAAAAATAGAAAATAATAAAGCACACCTAGAAGATGTAGAAAATATCTTCAAAATAAGAGCAAATTTAAGAGTTATTGGCCTTAAAGAGAAGGTAGAGGAAGAGATAAGGGTAGAATATTTACTCAAAGCGATAATAAGAGAAATTCCCAAACTTAGAGAAAGATACCAATATTCAAGTACTAGAAGGTTATAGAACACAAAGCAGATTTAGCCCAAAGAAGACTACTCCGAGACCTTTAATAATCGAGCTCCCAAATGTCAAGGATAAAGAAGGGATCCTAGAAGCAACAAGAAAAAAGAAACAAATAACATACAAGGGAGCTATTGCCATGTAGGAATCTGGCGTCCCCTTTGCCTTCTATTATGACTGGAAGCTTCCTGAGTCCTCTCCAGAAGCAGAAGCCACAGTACAACCTGCAAAATCATGAACCAATTAAAACTCATTTCTTTATAAATTACCTAGTTTCAGATATCTCTTTATAGCAAAGCAAGAATGGACTAATAAACTACCCAAAGCAATTCACAAATTCAATGCTATTCCTATCAAACCACCAATGACATTCCTACAGAACTAGGAAAATAAACAAACAAACAAAAAACCCCAAAAAACTACGTTACAATTCACATGGAACAACAACAACAACAAAAAGAGCCTGAATAGCCAAGGCAATCCTAAGCTAAAAGAACAAAGCTGGAGGCATATGGTAGCCAATTTCAAACTATGCTATAGGGCTACAGTAACCAAAACAGCATGGTACTGATACCAAAAACAAACAAACAAACAAAAACATGTAGACCAATGAAACAGAATAGAGAGCTCATAAATAAGACTGCATACCTACAACCATCTGATCAATAAAGCTGACAAAAACAAGCAATGGAGAAAGGAATTCTCTTCAATAAATGGTGCTGGGCTGTCTGACTAGCCATATGCAGAAGATCAAAACTGGACTCCTTCTTTATACCGTTTACAGAAATCAACTCAAGATTGATTTAAAAGACTTAAATGTAAAACCCAAAACTAAAAATTCTGCAAGACACCCTAACCCAGGCAATACCATTCTGGCATAGGAATGGGCAAAGATTTCATGACAAAGGTGCCAAAAGCAATCACACCAAAAGCAACAATTGACACATGGGATCTAATTAAACTTAAGAGCTTCTGCGCAGCAAAATAAACTACCAACAGAGTAAACAGACAGCCTAAAGAATGAGAGAAAATATTTGCAAACTATGCATCTGGCAAAGGCCTAATATCCAGCATCTATAAGGAACTTTAACAAATTTACAAGAAAAAAACCAAATAACCTCATTAAAATGTGGGAAAAAGACATGAACAGATACTTTTCCAAAGAAGACATACATGTGGCCAAAAAACTTATGAGGAAAAAAGCTTAACATCACTGATCATTAGAGAAATGTAAATCAAAACCATAAAGAGATAGCCTCTCAAACCAGTCTGAAGGGCTATTACTAAAATAGCCCTTCAGATGCTGCTGCTGATGTTGCAGAGAAAGGGAATGCTTATACACTGTTGGTGGGGGTGTAAATTAGTTCAGCCATTGCAGAAAGGAGCATGGTGATTCCTCAAAGAGCTAAAAACAGAGCTACCTTTCAACCTGGCAGTCCCATTACTGGGTATATACTCAAAGGAATAGAATACATTCTACTATAAAGGCACATGCACACGTATGTTCACTGCAACACTATTCACAATAGCGAAGACAGAGAAACAACCTAAATACCCAGCAGTAGCAGTAGCAGATTGGATTAAAAATGTGGTGCATATATACCATGGAATACTATGCAGCCATAAAAATGAATGGGATAATGTCCTTTACAGGAACATCGATGGAACTGGAGGCCATTATCCTTAGCAAACTATAACAGGAAAAGAAAACTAAATACCCCATACTATCACTTATAAGTGGGAGATAAATGATGAGAACACATGGACACAAAGAGGGGAACAACAGACACTTGGGCCTCTTGAGAGTGGATAGTGGGAGAAGGGAGAGAATCAGAAAAAAATAACTGTTTGGTACTAGGCTTAGTACCTGGGTGACAAAATAATCTGTACCACAAACCCCCATGATACGAGTTTACCTATAAAACAAACCTGCACATGTACCCTTGAACCTAAAATAAACGTTTTTAAAATTGGGCAAAAGACTTGAATAGATATTTTTCAAAAGAAGACACACAAATGGCCAACGGTCATATGAAAAAGTGTTCAACATCATTGGTTATCAGACAAATGGAAATCAAAACTACAATGTGATATCATCTAACCCCAGTTAAAATGGCTTTTATCCAAAAGTCAGGCAATTACAAATGCTGGTGAGGATGTGGAGAAAAGGAAACTCTTGTACACTGTTGATGGAAATATAAATTAGTACAATCACTATAGAGAACAGTTTGGAGGTTCCTCAAAAAACTAAAAGTAGAGCTACCATAGGATCCAGTAATCCTACTTCTGGGTTAATACTGAAAAGAAAGGAAATCAGTATATCAAAGAGATATCTGTACTCTCATGTTTGTGGCAGCACAGTTCCCAACAGCCAAAATTTGGGAGCAACCTAGGTGTTCATCAGCAGATAAATGGGTAAAGAAAATATTGTAATATTGTACATGTATGCAATGAAGTAATAGTCAGTCATAAAAAAGAATGAGATCATGTCCTTTGCAACAGTATGGATGGAACTGGAGGTCATTATATTAAATAAAATAATCCAGGCACAGAAAAACATACATTGCATATTCTCACCTATCTGTGAGATCTGAAAATCATAACAATGGAGATTATGGAGATTGAGAATAGAAGGATGGTTACTAGAGGCTGGGATGAGTAGTGCGGGTGGGGGAAGTGGGGATGGTTAATGGATACAAAAAAAAAATAAAATGAATAAGACCTAGTATTTGAAAACACAATGGGACAATAGTCAATAATACTTTAATTGTAAATTTAAAAAGTATTTAGAAAGTATAATTGGATTTTTATAATGCAAATTATGAGTGCTTGAGGGGATGGATACCCGATTTTCTAAGATGTGATTATTAGGCATTGCAGGCCTGTACCAAAATAGCTCATGTGCCCCCTAAATATAGACACTTGTCATCTACCCAAACAAATTAAAAATTAAAAATAAATCAAGACGCTTGTGAACAACTACATGATCTATCTTTGAGAAAGATTTGTGTGCTTTTATTAACAGTGCATACTCTGCTACTTTTTGGTGAAATATTTTGCATGTGTTTAAGTCTACATGGTTGAATGTGTTATTCAAGTCCTCTGTTTCCTTATTGATCTTCTGTCTTGATGTTCTGTCCATTATGAAGGTGGAGTATTAAAGTGTCCTACTATTATTGTATTGCTGTGTATTTTTCCCTTCAGTTTGTCAACATTTGTTTTATGTATTTAGGTGTTTTGATGTTGAGTGCTTATATGACTGTAATTGTTATATCTTCCTGGTATGCTGAACCTTTTATCATATAATGTCCTTCTTTGTCTCCTGTGATAGGTTTTAGGGACAATTTTTTTCTTATTTAAATGTGACCACTCCTGCTGTCCTTTGTTTACCATTTGCATGGAATATATCTTCCATTTATTCACTTTCAGCTTATTTTTCCTTAAATCTGACATGAGTTCTTTGTACATAGCATATAGTTGGGTCTTGTTTGTTTTTTATTCATTCAGCCATTCTATTGATTTGAGAGTTTAATCTATTTATATGAAGTAATCATTGATAGGGAAGTATTTACCACTGCCACTTTGATAATTGTTTTCTGTTATTCTTGCACTCCTTTTATCCTTTTTACTGCCTTCTTTTATGTTTCCTTGATATTTTCTATCATGCTTTAATTCCTTGCTTTTTTATCTTTTTGTAACTACTATAGTTTTTTGGTATGTGGTTAACTTTGTACTTACATAAAGTATCTAATAGCTATGATAGCCTATTTTAAGCTGATAATAGCTTAAGTTCAATTGTGTATAAAACTCTACACTTTAACTTCGCCCCTGCCACACACACTTTATGTTAATGTTGTCACAATTTATATCTATTTCATATTGTGTACCTTTAACATGTTCTTAGTTATAGTAGTTTTTTAATACTTTGGTCCTTTACACTAGAATGAAAATTATTTACCCACCACCATTTCAATAATACCATATTCGGTACTTGTCTATATATTTACTTTCACCAGTGAGTTTCATACTTTCTTATCCTATTTTGTTACTAGTTCGCATCCTTTCTTTCTACTTGAAGAACTCCCTTTAGCATTTCTTGTAAGGTGGTTCTAGGCATAATTAAATCCCTCAGCTTTTATATGAAAAAGTTTCTGTTATCTCTCTTTAATTTTTGAAGGAGAAGTGTTGCTGGGTGCTATGTTGGTTTTACTGAATGTACTACTCCTGGCTGGTAGTTTTTCCAACACCTTGAATATACCATCCTACTCCTTACTGGCTTGCAATGTTTCTGCTGAAAAGTCCACTGATAGTCTAATGGGAGTCCCTTTATATGCAACAAGTTAACTTTTTCTTGGTGCTGTCAAAATTCTCTTTTTGTTTTGAACTTTTGATAATTTGATTATAATGTATTTCTATGTGTATTTCTTTAAGTTCATCTTATTTGTTGTTCTTTGGGCTTCTAGATTTGGGGTGGACATTTTCTGCCCCAGATTTGGAAAGTTTTCAGCTATTACGGAATAAGCTTTCTGGTTCACTCCCACTCCATTCTTTTTCAGAAACTCCCATAACCTTCATTTTGGTCTGCTTGATGGTGTCCTATACCTCCGTTAAGCTTTCTTCACTCTTTGTCATTCCTTTTATTTCCTTTTGGATCCTCGGCTTGAATTATTTCCAGTGATTTATCTGAGTTTGCTGATCCTTCCTTCTCTTTGATCTAGCCTGCTACTAAATTCCTCTAGTGAATTTTTCAGGTCATTTTTTTTTCTTCCACTGAATGATTCTTTCTAGTTCTTAAAAAATAATAATTCTCTTTATTGAAATTCTCTCTTTGTACACACATTGTTCTCTTGACCTCAGTGAGCATCTTTATAAGAGTTATTTTTAATTCTTTGTCAGGTAAATCATATCTCTTCACTTTATGAGTGTCAGTTTCTGGAGAGCTATTGTTTCCTTTGTTTGCAACATGTCTGCCTGAATCTTCATTTTCCTTGACTTTCTGTTTCAGTGTTTGCACATTAGACAAAGCAGGTACTTCTCTCAGTCTTCATAGACTGGATTTGTACAGGAGAAAACTCCCACTAATTATTCTAGCCAGAGATTCCTGGGGCTTCTCCCAATTCTTTTCCTCCACAGGGAGAAGCAGGTACTGGTGTTTTATGTTCATGTCCTCTGTGCTAAGCAGGTGAGAGAGTGGGGGTTTGGGCTGTGGCATCTAT
Organism: Homo sapiens; assembly: GCF_000001405.40. NCBI lineage: Eukaryota > Metazoa > Chordata > Mammalia > Primates > Hominidae > Homo > Homo sapiens. Next base: position 52,797,826 of record NC_000017.11, on the reverse strand, counting down.
CAGCCTAAGTTACGTTTTCTACTCAGGTAGCTAGATTATGTGAGACTCATCAGAGCTTTAAAACTGATAAGCATAGTCTAGCTACCTTTGGGAAGCCCTGGAGAAGTTGTGATGCTGGATGCATGGGTCACATCCTTCCCCACCTCAGCGGGAAGCTGAGAGCCAGGATTATTTGTCTGGTTACTGTGTGTTGGCAGAGAAGAGGATGAGGGCATCTATCAAGCTGTTCTCCCCAGGATGACTAGACCATGCTGATTATATCAGAGCTCCAGGATTGGCAAGAAAAAAGTCAGTCCTCTGTGGAGGTCCCTTGGAAAAGTTGAATGCTTTTTCCCATTCCCCTCCCCTCCTCTAGTGAAACTGGCATGTTGGGACATCTCTTCCTGATCATATGGCACTGATCCAGGAGCAGGTCCTGAATCTTCCTACTAGCTTTGTTGAGTCTGCTTTCACATTCTCCTCAGGTGAAGCAGCGTTTCAATTGATTTCTCATTTCATTAATGTAAATTTTTGCATGAATTGTTGCTGATTGGATGTGTCTGTAGGGATAAAAGGGCACAGAGCTTCCTTCTTTGCCATCTTGTTCATGGCCCACTTTATGACAAGATGATTTAAAAATTTATAGAAACCAGAAGAGTTAAAGGTAGTTAAAATACATCTGAATAAAGAACAACTTGGAAAAATTTGCTCTACCAGGTATCAAGGCTATTATAAAATTGCAGCTATTAGGCAATAAGGCATTATTCAGAATTAAAGTACATAAATTTACCAATATTATGTTAAGTGAAAATAAGATAATAAATGACCCAAAATTAAGACTCATGCACATATAGGCACTTGATATACAGCAAAAGTTATGGAGACAGTTGTGAAGGTCAGTCTTTAAAATAAATGCTACTGAACAATAAGGTATCCATATAAGAAAAAAATAAATTTGACCCATACCTCACACCGCATCTAAAATTCAGACTACAGCAAATCAAATTGTGAAAGGATAAAAATTAAGCATCCAGAAGTTAATATAAAAGAATATCTAATACCTTAGATTGAGAGGATACTATTAAATAGGATTAGAAAACACCCATATCAAAAGTAAAATATTAGTCAACTTGATTTTATTGAAAATGTTAAGTTTTACTTTTGAAAAAAAGTTGCCATTAGAAGACATAGCTGGTATTCCACAGAGTAATGGAAGATATTTGTGCTAATATATCCACAAAAAAATTGTTTCCAGAATATGAAAAGATTCTCTGCTGATAACAAGGAAAAATGCAACCTCATGGTTAAATAACTACATATTTGAAAAAAGTCTTTCATAGAAGAGGGTATACAAATGGCCAGTAAATATAAGGTTTCAAATTCCTCAGCAAAGACAGTATTAGAAGTAAAAGGCACAATGAAATATCACCATATACTTATCAGAAAAACTAAAAGTAAGTAGAAAATAGCAGGCGTTGGTGAAGATATGGAGCAAAGACAACCCCCTTACAATTTTAGGAGGAAAGTGTATATATATATATATATATATATATATATATATATATATATATATATATAATTTTTTTTTTTTTTGAGACAGAGTTTCGCAGAGTTTCACTCTATGGCCCAGGCTGGCGTGTAGTGGTGCAATCTCTGCTCACTGCAACCTCCGCCTCCTGGGTTCAAGCAAATCTCCTGCCTCAGCCTCCCTAGTAGCTGGGATTATAGGTGCTCACCACCACGCCCAGCTAACTTTTGCATTTTTAGTAGAGACAAGATTTTGCCATGTTGTCCAGGCTAGTCTCGAACTTCTGACCTCAGATGATCTGTCCACTTCAGCCTCCCAAAGTGCTGGGATTGTAGGTGTGAGCCACCATGCTTGGCGAGAGTATATTTATACCATTTATTTGTATACTATTTGCCAGTGTTGAATAAACGCAAACCCACAGATCCAAAAGTCTCAATCAATTATTTAGTATCTACCTAATGAAAATGCATACATATGTGTACCAAAAAACATGGATATAAGTATTTATGGGAGCATTATGCATAATATCTCCAAACTATGATAACCCGTATATTTTTCCACAATACGATGTATATAAATTGTTCTATATTCATGTAACTGAATGCATATAGCAGTGCAAATGAACACAATGCAAGAATTTCACCAAAATTATGTAAGTAAAGAAGCCAGGCACAAAACACTGTTGTATAATTTAATTTACATAAAACTTAAAAACAGGTATAACAATAGTGTTTAGAGAACCATACTTATGTGGTAAAACCAAAGAAATGCAAGGAGACAATTAATGTAAAAATCAGGCCTGGGGCTGCCTTTTCAGGAAAGGAAAGGTTTAATGACAGGAGCATGAGAAAAGCTCCTGGGTCCCCGCAACATGCTGTATGATGGTGGACTTTGTGATAAATCATTGAACTGCACGTGTGTGTGTGTGTGTGTGTGTGTGTGTGTGTGTGTGTGTGTGTGACAAGGGGAAAAGTTTTAAAAAGACTGAGAGAATTACTGTAACTAAATATTAAATATTCTATTCCCATGCTGTGTTATACTTTGTAAGAAAATTTGTTCCAAAAGTTTTCATGTAATTTCTAATTATACTGACAAAGCTTAAAAAAATCAGTTATATGAGAAACCTGATTTATTTCTACCATGTAAGTTAGAGTACAAGGACTAATGCATCAGGAAGTAGTAACTGGTTTATATTCCAAGCTATTGTCCCTGATTATTTTTATATCATTGAGCAAATTATCACCTTCCTGAGCCTCACTTTTCCCTTTGGTCAAATGAAGTTGTATGGCAGGATAACCACTTAAGTTCTTCTTGTCCCTAATAATCTATGAGTTGATTGGTATATATCAAGGGTCAGCAGACAGAGTTCCAAGAAATCAATATTTTAGGCTTTGCAGACCATATTGTCTCTGTGGCAACTACTCAACTCAGCCATTGTACAATGAAAGCTGCTACAGACAGTTCATCAACTAATGAACATGGCTGTGCTCCAATAATATTTTATTACCAAAACAAGCTATGCTCTGGATTTGGCCCTTGGGCGGTAGTTGGCCAATTCCTGGAATGTATTGACATTATTATTGGTCTTCTATCAAGACTTGTGTCAAAATTGGGTACGGACATAAACTTGAATGAAGTGAGCAATTAAAATGCACTCACAAACAATGCTAACTCTTGTACTTATTAAGAACCTGGATTGGCCAGGTGCGGTGGCTCACGCCTCTAATCCTAGCATGTTGGGAGGCTGAGGCAGGTGTATCACTTGAGGTCAGGCTTTCAAAATTAGCCTGGCCAACATGATGAAACCCCGTTTCTACTGAAAATAGAAAAATAATAATAAAAAAATAGCTGGGCGTGGTGTTGGGTGCCTTTAATCCCAGCTACTTGGGAGGCTGAGGTAGGAGAATTGTTTGAACCCAGGAGGTGGAGGTTGCAGTGAGCTAAGATCACGCCACTGCACTCCAGCCTGGGTGACAGAGTGAGACTCTGTCTCAATTAAAAAAAAAAAAAAGAATGTGGGTTGTCAGGCGCGGCAGCTCAAGCCTGCGTGTAATCCCAGCGCTTTGGGAGGCCACAGCGGGTGGATCACTTGAGCCCAGGAGTTTGAGACCAGCCTGGGCAACATGGTGAAGCCTGATCTCTACAAAAAATATGAAAACCTAGCCAGGCATGGAGGTGCGTGCCTGTAGTCCTAGCTACTCTGGAGGCTGAGGTGTGAGGGTCACCTGAGCCCAGTAGTTTGAGGCTTTAGTTAGTTGTCCTCATGCCACTGCACTCCAGCCTGGGAAACAGAGTGAGACACTGTTCCCCCCTCAAAAGAAAAGAAAAGAAAAGAAAAGAAAAGAAAAGAAAAGAAAAGAAAAGAAAAGAACCTGGATTTATTTTACTTGCCTATTTATGCCAAAATCTTTTGTCAGTAGCTTTGCTATTGAGGTTTTTGAGCTCTTTTTTTGATTCATTTGATTGAGATTATGTTAACATATAGGGAAATGATGGCACAGAGCATAGAGAAATTGGAAACACTGTCTTTATTTTATGCTATACATTCAGTTATGTACGTATAATGCCTACATTTAAGCATCCAAAGTCAAGTAGAAGTTGAATAATCATCTGTAAAAATAAAATCAATGCATGCAACCCACAGGAATGAATCAGATTTCCCAACTTAGTTTCCCTCAAAAACAAGTTTTATGTTTTGACAATTTAAAATTGATTATGGAAGGTACGTCAGTTTAAGGACATTATGTCATTTTGTTTTTTATTTTCTGGTCTTTTCTACACCTATTTCTTTCTGGCTTTTGCATTACAGACTGTCTAAGAAACTACCATAACTAAGTGGTTTTAGAGTAGTCTGTGAGAATTTTCCGCATAAGGAAACTGAACAGAGGTATTAACATTTCTGCTTAGAGTTTATAATTTCTCAGGACTCAAATATAGAGGAAACATAAACACATACTATATAGGCATAACTGAACACCAGTCTATAGCATTACTTCCTATATTATCCATTATTTAATTATAATGTTAATCTTTATATTTCTTTGGGTATTCAAACAAGCCACTAATACATCAAGCTTGTAGGAAACAATTAGTAACCTTTATTCAGTAATTTGGATCTAAGCATTAAAAGACAAATATAGTATAATCTCAGTGGTAAAAGTCAGTACCAATATTTCAAGTAGTGAATGAGATATAAACTCTCATTGAGCTGTCTACAGTTTATCCAATTGCTTTACACTTTACAAACCCAATTCTGATTAAGAGTATGTTATAGATTATGTACATAAGAATATTTAGATTACAATTACTAAATAATTTTCACAGACATCACCACTGGCATTTGAAAAATTTCTCCCAAAATCTAGGATGATTATTTTGAAAGAATTACTTGTTAGGTAATGCAGCCCTCCTTGTAAAGATTCAGGATGTTTAGTTTTATGGCATTCAGTAAGCAGGCCCATTAGTCTATGTGCTTCCCTGCAATACTCACTTATTCTGGCATACATAATTTATACTGTTGTTAAGTATTTATTGACTGATATTCCTTCTTGCTGTTGAAGATTTATAGCATTAACACTCAGGAGTTGAGCATCCTCAGAGTAATAGTAAAGAATAAAGTTAATGCACTAGAAAATTTTACAAGAAATATACATTATTTCTGCACAATCAGTGTTTGGGGGATTCTTCTTTTATGAAGTCTCATCTTATAAGATTCTCTTTGAAGACAGTTTCACCCAAAGACTCATTCACAGAAGTTATATTTTTGATAAAAGATGAGATATTATACATATTACTCTCCTCCTTTACCTTTGCTTTCCTTTGATTAGTTAGATTTTTATTTCCTTGTGACCATATTTATCCAGACTTTGTAAGTCCTCACTCCTCAGTCATGGCCCAAAGAGCTTACAGTTAGCTTTGCTAAATATTTTGGTGGAGTCCTATCACAAAGGAAATTGGGAACAAGTGCAAAACAAAGTGTGTGTATCACAAGGGTACATTGTTTTGCTACAACATGTATGGACCTGGAAACCGTGACTTTAAGTTAAACATTGTGTGACAAAACCAAGTTTATAATAAGCTCATTGATATAAACAAGAGCTAAGGTCCTATGGCATATATTTAAGATGGACAAAAGATTAATAAAAACAAGTAAGATAATTATTTACCCAGTTATTTAAGTTAAAGGTCGCAGGTGTCCAGAACGTATTCCAGCAGCTCAGGATTTAAGGTGGGAACTTATCCTGTGGAGTTCCAAGTGGAGTGAGAGGGATGACAGAAATGTATTGGAAGAAAAAATAAAAATACATAATATGTATACATATATATACATTACATGTATATATACATAATTCATAATGAATATATATATAACATGTACATATATGTATATATAAGTATTTATATTTCATTCCATAACATGTACTATTTGTACATTTTATAATACACCTAGTTTGGTAGGTTAATAATGCATCTATATCATTTATAAATATATGCATATATATGTTAGAGATGTCTGCTGAAAAAAAATGTAATAATATTGATGTGTCCAAACGGCTTTGAGATCACAGCTATGGATGTTACTGTATTCCACCCCCAAGTTGCCTCCATAGTCACAAATATACTGAACAATTTGGAATTTTGTCAGTCATTTTACAAAGACTTATTTCATAAACATTTGTAAAACATTTCCTTACAAAGAATATGTTTTATTGGCTCCACAGTATGGACCTCAGAATGAATTCTCATGTGCGCTCCAGTGGTTTTTCTCAAACTCCCTCTCCAATGTACTTCACGAAGCCTTAGTGGTACCCATGATAGAGTCACATCATGAGGCATCAGCTTACTCTGGCAGGTCACTTTACTTTCATTCTCTCAGGAATTCTAGCTTATCTCTTATTTTCTCCCACACTCAATCAACCTAGTGTTTTCTTCATTACTGACTTAGAAACAGAGTTATAAGACCTTCCTTCTGCCCAAACTTACATTACATGCATGCCAGCATCCCTGTTATGTTTCTTTCCTTCCTAACACTGAGCATCCTCTTACTCTAATTGTTATTAATACACTTAAAGTAATATTTATATGTGTCCACGGTTCAGAGGACACAGTTAATGTCCTATATTTTCCAGTGTTTCCCACAGAGCCATATCACTTTCCAGCAGAGAAGATAACGAACCTTGGGTAGGATAGTTGCAAAGATTACTGAGAAAAAAAAGGAAACCAGGGAAGTGCAATAAAAATTGTAGTACAGGCCCAAATAGAAAGCCCAGTGGAAAACACAGGCAGTAATTGATTTCTCCGCTTGTGTGTAGTGGATGCTTCAGATAATAATAAAAAAAATTTTTAGAATCCCTCACTTCTACTTGACAATTGTCCTATTAACTGCTACAGGGAAGAAGGATATGGGTGGTATAGATATACAGCAATATCAGAATGTCATGCAAGCTGTGGTCTGTTGACGTGCCCGTGACTGAGATCTTTGCTATGACAGCAGTGTTGCCACCACCATTCCAAACAAAGACTGTCCCCTGGGAACTCTCATCAACTCGTAGTGCTCTGATGCTGAAGCCTGCCAGAGGGCTGACTTGCCTCGTCAGCTCGGCCTCTGCTGACTTGGCGACATCATGTACAGATTTCTGAGGTGAAGGGTTAAGATGGGTTTCTGCTCTATATTATGTTGGGAATGGTAGCTGTTCCCAGCTGCTCTTCCTTTCAAAGAATAGCAAAGCACAATCCACTTGATAAAGAGAATAGTTTTCTGCTTTGCCTCTAAACAGACCAGATATGACTCAGGACTCTGTCACAGGTTCTTCATTTGCCACCATTATTCATGAACAAATTCTAATTTAGAAGTATAGAACCACCTAAGGTTATATTTAAATTTTAGTTACATAATAGGTGAGTGGTTTCTCATGAAATTCCTATCAACATATATTGGGTTTATGGTGACGGAAAGTTTTCCCAGCAGTAGAAACAAAAGTCACACAAAGTTAATGAGCTGTATAAACACATGCAGGCACATACTCATTACACACACAATGCAGACAGCAACTATTTCAAAGGATAAGTCGCTAGGAATAAACATATATATATGTAGAACTGGTATCACTCATACTTTACCAACAAATTCATTCATGAAAGATTTTGAAAGTATTTGAATGGAAAAGAAAACACAGGTTAGAAATGGGGAACATCAAGGCTTTGGCCCTTCTCCCAGTGACAGGACTTGGTTGAATCAGTTATCTTCATGTGACTCATTGTCTTATCAAAAAAAAAAAAAAAAGGCTAACAATGCCTGCCTGAAAGTGTGATTATAAGTCCATAAAAAAATTAAGTCTTTTACTTGTGTTAATGAATGTGAAAGGTAGCATGATGTGAACGTGCTTTTCCTGTTATTTCAGAGTTTTCTCCGAAGCCCCAAAGCTAAAAACAATGAATGACGAATAGTTCCCTCCCATTTATAAATAAGTGTGCTAGATACATTTAGATGAGATTTACAGAAAAGAATAAAAGCAGCCCTGCAACCACTGGTCGCATCATTTATCCAGAATATAAAAGAAAAAAATATTTCAGGGATAATTCATTAAAGCAGGAGAATTTCTAGGAGGTGAGAGTTTCTTATTTTCCCTCCAGTACCCATGGGAAGCAAGGTGTTTCCCACTACCACCTTTAGCCAGCTGACAGGGTTCCCAAATAAATATTCACAGAGATGAGAGTATTTATAGGAAACAAAAGTCATCATCTTATTCCACACCCATACCACTGTTTGCCCCTGTGACACTAAGGGAATGAAGCACAGCTTAGTGAGCAACATCCTAGGACAAAGTAATATGTGTCTTCCAGATGTGGAGCAATATGGGGTCAGAGAGGTAGGTTAGGTGGCTGCTTCTCCCCAAGAGAAGCCTGAGGCCAGATGACTAGCTGGAGTAGACACATGGCAGAGTAAGGCAAGGAGAGAGGACAGCAGTGGAAGGAAGCAACCAAGACCTATTGTCAGGGCAGAGATATACAATGTTTCCCACAGACTGAGGAGACACTGAGAAAGTAAATGTGTGAGATCCCTTCAAGAGTACATAAAGAGAGTTGCTTGCCAGGGTAAAAGAACACTAGCATAGAGAAGCAAGAGATGGGGAGGCCCAGTGTGTGAGAGCAGAGGGTGTTGAGATGAGGGATAAAAGGGATCAAGTGGAGAGTGCACCTCTCATCAAGGAAGGATGCGGTATGAACGGGCATGCGGTCTCTAAAGGATCCTCCAAGCCCTTATGAAGCGTCAACAGTGAGACTAACAGAAGGTGTGATGGCCAAGTAACATCTGCCAACTAAGAAGTGGGTTTGATTCTCTTTTTTCAGTTGCCTCTGCTTATCTCTCCAACTCTACTGGAACCTAAGCAGGAGGTGAGAACTAGTGGACTAAGAGTTAACAATAAATCTTAGCTCATTTTCTTACTGCAGGCACCCAAGCTAAGGATCAGGTCTGAGTTCAGGGATGTAAAAATCACTATAATAGATGAAAAATAGAGTGGCGATTTCATGTAGTTTAGATTGTACTTTAAAACCTAAAATTGAGACTATTACTACATTCGAAAGGGACTAGAGTAATGAGATCCTCCCAAAATGTTGAGAGAGAGAGGATAAATAAATTCAACAGTTCATATGTGAAGGAAATGGTAGGAAAAAAGAAAACAACTTGTATACTGATTTAACAAGTTTAGTACAATCACTATATACAAATATACTTTATATCATCTATTTAAACACCTATTTGTCTAGAGAAAGAATAATAAAGATACAGATACAGAGAGTGTGCACATATAATTTAGTTACTATAGTGTCCTAAATACTTTTAATATTTTAGCATGCTCCTTCATTCACTAATGCTTTTTTCTAGTAGCACCTTAAGTTTCATGGGAAGCAACACTTATCTCCTCTTTGTTCATGTAATTTACATAGGTTGAATGTCTTCAAACTTCAGGGTTGGACAGTGTCTCAAATCTGTCCATTCAGTATATTCCCTAGAATCGTGTTCATAGTAATTATTTAGCAATAGGCATGTGATATAAGCAAAAACAATCAGAGCCAATAAGATTGAGTTCCAAGCATTTAGAAAAATAAGCTTTGGCCCACTGGACTTGAAGCAAATTGAATGTTAACATGGAGATACTGAGAACTAATTTGTGACCATATGAAGGTAGTACGTGTACAGATGCAGCAAAAACTTAGAAATGCAAAATTGGCAAAAGAATATATTTTTGATTACTGATGGATTGTTGAGCTCCTGGATTCAGTTGTGCCTGGCATCAAACTAATTCTGTAGTTTTATCACATATAAACTAAGCCAATAAAATTTTTTTTTTTGTTTAAGTGAGTTTCAGGTGTTTTCTTCCCACTTAAAATAATTCTTAACAATATCCTCCCTACAAATTGAGGACTTTCAGGTGAACATGATTGATGGTTGCAAAGAAATAATATTAAGTAATGGAAACAGAAGTGAAGTCGAGGAAGTGCTTATCAGTAAGAGTTCATTCCAGTTAAATGGACACCCTATCGATGTCCCTATCAGTACTCTTACCCTATGAGAACTCTTACCCTAATCAGTAAGAGTTCATTCCAGTTAAATGGACACCCTATCGATGGACACCCTATCGAAGCTATTTGAAAGACTATCTTTTGTTTTTCATAATAAGCTGTCCCTTTGTGACTAGTTTGTGAAACTAGAAGTTTCACAATCTTCTAGTCTATTCATTAAAATATACATCTTGTTTTAGGATTTTTAGGCAAGACATACTTTTGGATTATAGTCCTTTTTATTACATAAGTCGCTTTTAGAGTTATTAAATATTCTACACGTTGTGGTGTGAAAACATACTGAACCTAAGCAATTTGAACTTAATTTTCATACTTTTTCAAGGTTGTTTTGATGTTTGTAAACCAGGAAAATCAATAATTGGCTTAACCCAATCTATAAAAGTGTGATTCCGTTTTGCTTGGTAATATAGCAATTGCTGGTGGAAAAAGTAAGCACATCACCTGAGTAGAGAAAGGAAGCATTCAGCAATCTGTCAAGTTGAGCATAAAATTTGTAAATCCTCTTTCCATTGGAGCTAAATTTGGAAAACGAAATGCTGTAGCTATTCCTTCACACCCACTGATTTGAAAATAGAAAATAAATGGAAGAATTTTTGACAAGTGAGTCTCTGCTGGTTATTTATTTTTGTGATTCCATTATAAAAACATTACTAGTTAAAATATTTAAAAATATAATATACAAATGTAGATACTCCATTATCCATTTTATAGCTAGTATTTAAAGAATGTTTAATTTATTTTGAACAATATTCTAAATGTTTTGTATGTGTTAATTCATTTATGAAAACAATAATCCTAAAATTGATATTATCCCCCATTTTACAAAGTTGAGAAAGTTGAGGAAAAGTGACTTCATGTACCTTACTCAAGTATGAACACTATGAGTTAGAGATAAGATATATTGACTCCTTTAGATTCCATTTCCCACTCCATAGCTATTGTTTTGCTTTCTATCCTTCCATCCTCCTCCAAAGATGTATATTATTAATACGTTGACTTGGTAGATCTTTCTTATGAGCATTTTTTCATTATAAATTATAATTTACTATGTATAATCCTTTTCAACTTTATTTTGTAAGTGTTCTCAAAGTTACTACATGGCCTTTGTAAATATTTCAATTATTGTATTATACTCAAATGACTGGACAAGTCAATGAATTTAACTGTTGCCATTTCTTGGAAGAAAGAGTTGTCTTTGAACTTTTACAATTAAAAAATAATGTTGCTACAATAAGCATAATGTTTGGCATAAATATTTTTCTTCATTTCCATTTATTTCATCAGGAAACATTCTCAGACTGAGAATTGCCAGATCAAAGTATGAATACTTGTTTCAATTACATACCGCCAAAATGTTTATTTCAAAGTAGTTGTCCTAATTTATACTTTCACAATCTGTTGACATTTTCTTTTGTTATTGTTATTATTGTATATCAAGGAAAATATACACTGTTCCATACAATGTCTTTAATAATTATTGAGGGTAACACTGAGTATTATTCAAAAGACTAGAGATGGCTAGGCTTTCTGTGAATGTCTTTTGAAATTTTTCATACTCCTGAATGATCGACATGATGCTAAATAAAAAGTAGCTGTGCAGCTTGAATATCCCCATCCTAACCTCTTCAAATATTTTTACCTTCAAGCATCCCCCCCATGCCTTTACTTAATGAAGAGTTGCCTTAAAATAAAACACAAAACAAACAAATTACACATTCTACTATTTAACTATCTTGACTCTGTTGATTAATTATTTTTCCTAAAAACAAGTCTTCGTAATTTTTACAGAATTGTGTTCTTATTTTTTAAATTGTCCTTGGTGCAGTTGGTTGCTTTTTGAGTATTACATCACATATATTATTGACCCATGGATATTTTTACAATGTTTCCTCTTTCCAGATGTTCATTAGTCCTTATGGAATTTGACATGTGACTAGATGTTGTCTTTACTAAAGGAAAGTTTTGATCTCTAATATTAAATTACTTGAAACATGCATCACAGCAGAACATATATTAGATAAGAAAAGGCTAAAAAGAGATGTTTACCTCCAGAGGAACCCTCTCAAGTATTCACTTGGGTTCTGATCAGTGCATGCATCTGAGGAAACTTCTTAAGACATGGGAAATAACTACTTGAAAGGATTAGCAGAAACAGTGTCTAAAGCTCACATAGAGCTCAACTAGTGCCCATTTCCTATGAGCAGAGTAGAAACCTCTTAATTCATTGGACACAAGTTAGAATATTAAGAAAGGCCTTTCTCCTGTTCTGCGATAAAATTAATCCTCCACTAAATACTCCTCTGGCCCCCTTTAGCAAAGCTTAAGAAGAAAGGAAAGGATCAAACTACTTTCAAGAATATTTTTAGGAACATACAAATATGCAACAGCTGATTATGTAAAATATACATTGTCTGCCATATGATTAAAAAAATGAACAAAAACGCATGCAACGAAGCAGTAAAATAGAACCTATAAGAAGGAGAATCTACTCACTAGCCAATCACTAGTGACAGATGACAGAATTAAAAGGCATGGATATTTGTAGTTATTTTAGCAATATGTAATGTGTCCAAAGAGCTAGAAGAACAAAGACTAAAAAAATTTTAGTAGAAATATAGAAGATATGAAAAAGACCCCAAACAAAATTATAGAGACAAAATCGAGAATTTCTGAGATAAAAAAATACTGTATATGAGATCAATGACAGATTAGACATTGCAGAAGAAAAGATTAGTGAACTTGAATACATACCAACAGACGCTATCCAAAATTAAACAGCAAGAGAAAAACATTTTGAAAACATAAAACATCTTTGAATTATTAGCCAAATTCAAAAAGCCAAATGTATATGAAATTTTCATCTGGCATTATATTTCTTCTCTTTGCAGAAGTTCCTTGAATATACTTTACAGAGAATTTTTGTTGGTAACAATTTGCTTTTGTATATACAAAAGCATCACTATTTTGTCTTTTTAAAATAAATATAGTTTTTTAAATGTTCTATTTTCTTTTATTGTGCATTATTTCTTTATTGAACAAAATACTTATTTTGTTACTCTGTAGATAATGTGTCTTTTTCTTTCTGGCTACTTTTAAGATTTTCCCTTTTATCAGCTTTTAATCAATTTTAATATGATGTGAATTGGCATCATTTTTATCATGTTTCTTTCTCTTGGTCTTTCTGTTGCTTCTTCAATTTGGGGTTTCATAGTTTTATAAAATTTAAAATATTTTTAGATAACTGTTCAAAATATATTACCAGATCTCCCTCTGATGCTGCTTTTTGGGAACTGCAATTAAGCACATACTTGGCTTGTGGATGTTGGTCCATATAAACAATCATATTAAATATAAATGATTTTAATTTTCCAGCTAAAAGAGATCATCAGATAGGATTTTACAAAAAAGCAAGACCCGACTATATAATGCTTACAATAAACAGTTTATATGTAAAAACATTGGTTTGTTTTAAAAAAATGAAAAAAATGAGCCTGGCACGGTGGCTCACGTCTATGATCCCTGCACTTTGGGAGGCCGAGGCGGGCGGATCACGAGGTCAAGAGATCGAGACCATCCTGGCTAACACGGTAAAACCCCGTCTCTATTAAAAATACAAAAAAAAAAATTAGCTGGGCATGCTGGCGGGCACCTGTAGTCCCAGCTACTCCGGAGGCTGAGGCAGGAGAATGGCTTGAACCTGGGAGGCGGAGCTTGCAGTGAGCCAGGATCCTGCCACTGCACTCCAGCCTGGGTGACAGAGCGAGACTGTCTCAAAAAAAAAAAAAAAAAAAAAGTATACTAAGATTAGTCAGTAAAAACTGAAGTAGCTATATTAATATTAGACAAAGCATATGTCAGTACCAGAAATATTATCAGAGATAAAAAGGTTAGTTAATAAAGAATAAAGTGTTCAATGCATCAAAAGGACACAATCATTATAAACACTAATGCAGTGAATTATTGAACTTCAAAATATTTGAAGCAAAAAAATGAGACAGTTGCAAGGGGAAATAAAATTCAAAATTATTATCAGAGATTTTAACATTGCTTTCTCAATAACTGATAAATAAGCAAGAGAAAATAGTAAGGGTAAGAAAGAACTGAGCCACACTATCAACACCAAGTTGACTTCAGAGACTTGATGGACCACTGTATCCCAAACATAAAAATACACATTTAGTTGTACATGTAATATTTACGAAGGACAGATGTTAGCACACTTTTTCTGCAAAAAGCAATTAGTAGTGTTTTAAGCTTTTCAGGCCTTTGTAGTTTCTGTCACATGTTCTTTGTTTGTTTTTGCAATCCTTTAAAAATGTAAAAATCGCTCTTAGCTTATCAGCCACACAAAAAGAAGCCCAAGGCCATATTTGCCCTGCAGGTCATAGTTTGCCAACCCGTGTTCTGTGACATCAAATGCATCTTAAAAATTATAAAAAAAATTCAGCTTACAAAGTATGATCTCAGACATGGTAGAATTTAATTTGAAATCACAAACAAAAAGATATTTTGAAAACACCCAAGTAATTAGAAACAAAAAAAAAAAAAACTTTCAAAAACTTATGAGTCAAGAAACTATACAAAGGGGAAATTAGAACATATTCTGAACTGAAGAAAAATGGAGAAAAAAGTGCATATTTTCAAAATCTGTGGGATGTAACTATAGCCATATTTATTAGACAATATATAAACATAAATGCCTAATAAAGAAGAAACGTCTGAAATTAGCGACTTCACTTTTTTCTCCTTAAGAACTAGAAAGTGAGAGCAAATACAGACCAAAAGAAACATAAGAATTTGGGGCAAAAGCTTGAGGTGGAAACAAATGAAACAGAAAAGAGAAAAAAGAAAAAACAATGAATGGATCAAAGTTAATTATTTGATGATATCAACAAACTTGACAAAATTCCAGAGCCAGACCGATCAGAAAAAATAAGAGAGAAAGTATAAGTTAGCTGCTGTAGGAACATGAAAGGAGACATTATAGATTTAAAGACATTAACAGGATAACATTATGAATAATGTTATGCTAATAAAATTGACAATTTAGGCAAAACGAGCATGCATTGCAATGCATAAACTACCAAAGTAAATGATAGTTTACTCAAATGGAATTAGATTGCTTTAATAACCCTATATCTGTTAAATAAGTTACTTTTGCAGTGAAAAAAAATAAAAAAAAAAACCTTCTAATAACAAAAAAAACACCAGACCAAGATGACTCCCATGGTGAATTCTACCAAACATTTCGGGAAAATACTATATGAATTTTAAACAAACTCTTCCAGAAAATGTGTGACGAAGGAATATTTGCAAACTTATGTTATCAGGAAAGTCTTACACTATTACAAAAATTGGACAAGGACATGTTACGAAAAGAAAACTATAAATGACTATCCTTCATGAACACATACAGAAATTCTTAAGAAAATTTTAGCAAAGTGAATCCAACAATATATGAAAGAATAGAATACCAGGACCAAGTGGAATTTATTGCAGGAATGATGCATAACTTAGTTTATTATTTAAAAATTAATCAATAATATTGACCATATTAACAAACTAAATAAAATAGACACATGATAATCTCAATAGATGCAGAAAATATATTTGACAAATTCTAACATCCATTCCTGACAAAAATTCTTAGAAAACTAGAAATAGAATGATACTTCTCAAACTACAAAAGACATTCAAAGAAAGTCTGTAGGTAACATCATGTTTAATAATGAAAGCCTCTTTTAAATGATAATTGTTTTCCCCCTTAAATCAAGAACAAGGCAAGGATGTCCACTCTCACCAATTCTATTCAACAGTGTATTACAAGTGCTAGCCAGTGCAATCAGGCACGAAAACAAAATTAACTGCATCCATATTGAAAATAAGTAATTAAAAGAATAAATAATTTGGTCTTTATTCACAGATACATGATGATTTATATAGAAAATCCAGTGGAATCTACAGAAAAGCTGGTAATGAGAGTTTAGCAGAATTTCAGAATACAAGGGCAATACGTAAAATCAGTTGTGCTTCTGTATACTAATAATGGGTAATCAGATGTTGATATTTAATTGATATTCATTAAAAGAATTAAAATATATGAAATATTTGAGATAAATCTGGCAAAACAAATGGAAGACTTTTAGACTGAAAAACGATAAAATATTGCTGAGAGAAATTTTTACAAAATATCTTAGTAAAGAGAGACATATAATTTTCATCAGTCAGATAATTCGATATTATTCAGGTATCTTAGATATGACACCAAAGCATGATCTACTAAATAAAGTATTGGTAAATCAGACTTCATCAAAATTAATAACTTTTGGTATTTCAAAGACACTGTTAAGAGAATGAAAATACAAACCCTAGACTTGGAGAAAATACTTGTTAATCACATATTTGATAATGGATGTGTATTCTGAATATATAATACACTCTCAAAATTTACAATAATAAGAAAACAGACAACCAATACCCAGGAAGATATATGGATGGCAAATAAGCACATGAAAATATTCTTAACATTATTAATTATAAGTGACATGCAAATTAAAACTGATGAGATATTACCACTGATCTATAAAAAGAGCAAAAATTTAAATATGTGACCATACCAACTATTAATGAGGATGTAGAGTAACTGGAACTCTTCATGCATTGGTGTTGAGAATGTGAAAAAAAACAACAACTTTGGAAAATAATGTGGCAGTTTTCTAAAAAGTTAAATATAAACCTACCATAAGATCCAATTATTCTACTCCTTGGTGTTAGTACCAAATAAAATGAAAGTATGTGCCTACATACAGACTCATACACAAATGTGTTCAGAAGTTTTACTTGTGATAGCAAAAATTAAAAACAAGTCAACTTTTCATCAACAGATAAATATGAAAACACATTATGATATATGCATACAATAAATTCCACTCTACAATAAAAAATAATACATTTGGTACATTCCACTACACGAATGAGTCTCAAAAGAATTATTCTGAGAAAAGATTTAAGATTTAAAAAAAGTATCACACTGCATGAACAATTTCATGTATTTAAATTCTACAAAAAGACACAAACCAGTAGCGTGATTGTTGAGGGGAGGAGAAGAGGGAGGTATTACAAAGGGACATGTGAAAACTTTTTGGAGTGATGCATATATATATAATGTATTTATTATGGTGATTATGATGAGTATGTATGCACATTGAAACTTATCAAATTATATATCTTCAGTATGCAGTTTATTGTATGTTAATTACACCTCAACAAAGCTGTTAAAATAATTTTGTATTCTGACAACTATTAAACATTAATTATGGCATTCCCTTAACCTCTCACTAAATTTTAATGGTTTTAGGTAATAATAGTACACACTTTTCAATTGAATAAATATCATTAAAGAAGAAAACAAATGAGTATAAAACAAATTAATATATCTTTGTCTGGATCCAGAAAATTTAGAAACCTGACAGAAATCAAGGCAAGTTTTTTTTTTGTTTTCTAACTTTTATTTTAGGTTTGGGGGTACCTGTGAAGGTTTGTTACATAGGTAAACGTGTCATGGGGGTTTGTTGTACATGCTATTTCATCACTCAGGTGTTAAGCCCAGTACCTGATACTTATCTTTTCTGCTCCTTTTCCTCCTCCTACCCTCCACCCTCAAGTACATCGCAGTGTCTGTTGTCTCCTTATTTGTGTTCATAAGTTGTTATTATTTAACTCCCACTTGTAACTGAGAATATGTGGTATTTGGTTTTCTGTTCCTGCGTTAGTTTGCTAAGGATAACAGCCTCCAGCTCCATCCATGTTCCCACAAAAGACGTGATCTTGTTCTTGTTTATGGCTGCCTGGTATTCCGGGGTGTATATATACTACATTTTCTTTATCCAGTCTGTCATTGATAGGCAACAAATGGATGTAGACTGAATTATTTTGGTGAACAAACTAGGAAATATCATAACTGGTCTTCTGCACATGTCAACATCTTAGCACCTCTATTTGAAAGGAAGAAGCAAAGATTAAACTGATTCCTTAACATCAATGTATAATCCTAATGAGAAAGACATGCACATTTTGTACATTACATAGAAGGAGATGAGTGGGAGACTAAGAAATGGATTCAATAAAGATCGTAGCCCAAACTATTTACATTTAAGTCATCAGAAAATATTCTAATTTTTACATATTTTTGCCAGTTTCATTTATTCTGCATTTTTCACCTGTAAAGACCAGTACATGTTCATAAACAGAAAGTACAACTGTCAGATTCATTTATGTATCTCTTATTTAATATTCATGTCAAGAATAATCATGTCAGGAAGGATTTTTTCATTTCATGAAACAATAAATATTTCCATATTATGTGTTAGTAAGTAAGGCCTTGAGCTAAGTATGTGGCGGATAAACAAAACAGTATCACCTCTGCCTTCCTGGAATTTACAATCTAATTGAGAGGATGAGAATAATTATAGCTCAGTAAATTATTAGTGTTCCATAGTGAAGAAAAGTTCTAGAAATGGGTAAAATGATAAAAGCTAATATACCCTCATTTAGAACTTGAGTAGTCAGATAGTGGAAGAAAGCATTGAGAGTTTAATTTTTATTTTATATACTTGTTCATAATTAACACAGAGCACATTTTTATATTTATAAATTATCTTGGAAAATCAGAATGCATTCCCTCTGATATTAGAATAAATATCAAAACCCTCAGCATTGCTTTCAGGCCCTTTGCAATCTGACCTCTGCCTTCCTTTCAGTCTTAATTTCCCTGGGGGTTCTTCCTTGTCTTATCACAGCACTCTGTTATTTCCTTTGAAGCAATTTTTAAAACCTACAATGACTTTAAATCTATCTATCAATTTTTGAATATTCCCCATTCTTTCGTCATCATTTTTTTTTGCAACTGCTTATCATGGTGCAGGGAATCAACAAATACTTGTGCAATGAATGAGTGGCTAGCTACAAAGCTATTAAATTCCTATAGACAAACTTCACAGAAGTGTCTGTTAATTCTAAAAATATCTATACAATTTTATCAAGGGACATAAACAATTCTTTCATAAATAAGTATTCTGTAACATTCGATAGAAAGATGCAATATTTTAAAGATGGTATATCTCTTCAAGTAAATGTACAACTCCAATAAAATCACAATAAAAATCCCAAGTGGACCTTTAAACCTCAGGTTTAGTTTTTATATAGTTGATTTGGATGAATTAACTGGCGAAAATTATTAAATGCTCTGATATAGAGAAATTATAAGGTAGGGAGCAGTTGCTTCCTTTTTAAGATACTGAAACATATAACAAAAAAAATCAAATTTAAAATTTAGTTATTAGAAAAATAGAGTGACAAATGAATGTACCAGAAAAAGAGGAAAAAAAACTTCAAATTTTACCTAATAATAGTAATATTTCATAGCTACCATATGTATTATGCATTTTCTCAGTTACAAATATGAAAATATGTGAGAAATAACATAATTTCTATCTCACACGTTATTTCTGACTGAATTTCAAAATAATTATAAAATATTTATAAGTTGGACACTAACATATTTCAATATTTTTCCACTTGTCTGAGTATCCCTTCATGTGTGTATGTGTATAATAGTAAAGAAGAGTTTTTAAAATTTGAAGCAAGGGAGAAAACCATGTATTAGTACATAAAAATTATGTAGTCAAAAGCCAAATAAAATGGAAAAAAATAATAGGTGGAAAAAATACTTAACAGTATAATGATCATCAGGAAGCATTAATCCTATATGAAAGGGTTCTTGAAACCAACATAAACAATTAAGCATACCTATTAGAAAAAATATAAAAATGAAAGGAAATTTTCAAAAAAGAAATAAAAACTGGCCCACAAAATACATGAGTATACACAGAAATATATGTATGTATGTATGTGTATATATATATATATATATATATATATATATGAATCAAACTCAATGTCAAGTAAATATAAAGTATTATGACGGTAGTATTTCTCAGCTGTTACTTTTTCAAAAGTGATATATTTTTAATGAAAATAATTAGGGCTGGTTAGGAAGTTTCAGCTGGTCAGGAAGGCATTATGAATCTGATAACATGAGTCACTATTTTACACTGTTGGTCCTCCATATCTGCCGGTTTGGCGTCTTCTGATTCAACCAACTTCAGATCAAATATTTTCCTGAAAAAAAAAAAAACCAATAAGGAATAGCTACAGCAACAAAAAATACAAACAAAAATACAGCATAACAATGACTTACATATTCACATTGTATTAAGTATTACAGGTAATCTAGAGATAGTTTAATTTAAAGTATACAGAGGATGTACATAAATTATATGCAAATACTAAGCCATTTTATATAAGAGACTAGAGCATCCATGGAATTTGGTATCCGAGGGTCAGTCCTGGAGCTAATACTCCACCTACACCCAAGGACTGCACTTACACCGTTTTGAAGAATAATTCCTCTTCTAACATTTTTATGGAAAGTTATTTATCACAGTATTAATTTAATAAGACATTGAAAATCACCAAGGGACTAACAATATAGAACTGGTTAAATTGCATTACTCATGTAATATATTCATAGTCAGATATTAGAAATAATTCTTTAGATGAATATGTAATGAAAGGAAAAATTCTCAATTTTTATCATTGATTTAAAAAACTACAGAGTGGCATAGAATATACTCCCAGGTTTTTGAAAAATTGTTTGAAGGCATTATAAAAATTAAAACAATGCTTATTTCCAGCTAGTGTTTTGGGTGAACTTCATGCAATTTTGTGTTTTTTCTTTATTATGCAAATTTATACAATAAACTTTTATTAATTTTGTGAACATTATAGAACCTATAAAAGCTATTTTCTTAATAAAAATATTTGCATAGCATTTTTCTTGCTTGCTTCTTTTTGTTTGTTTACCGGGGGATTGTAGTAGATGGTATGTTTTTAATTTAATGTAATAAAAATTCACATGCCCTGGGGTATTTCATATTATGATTTTCACCCATGGGGCCATTATTTCCTTGTTAAGTGTCTTCACATAGAAAAACAGTCAGCGTATATACTGAGAAATGCCTTTCCTAAATAAACAGAATAACACTGAAAGTAGCTACTGGGCAGAAAGTCTCTCTTTGGGAATTCTGCTGTTAGGTCTCTAGGTTCCCATTCAAAGATGTGGTGTAACAATTTCACAGTTGGAATCCAAATAGTATTAATAGTCATTCTATGTTTCCCCA
The DNA here is from genome assembly GCF_000001405.40 of Homo sapiens. Classification (NCBI taxonomy): domain Eukaryota; kingdom Metazoa; phylum Chordata; class Mammalia; order Primates; family Hominidae; genus Homo; species Homo sapiens. The sequence continues at coordinate 52,776,493 of NC_000017.11, read as the reverse complement.
AAGGGGCCAGCATAACTTCTTTTCATAGTAAGGTCTGTATGGCATAGGAACAAAAGTATGAAAGAAAAGAAGAATCCACGACTACTGTGTCTGGCTGCTGCTTGACTGCTGGCTATGCTAATGAGCAACCTGCCACCACAGGCAAGCCGATGGAACTCTCTCAATCCGTTTTCTCCTCTGAAAATATATGAGTATACTGATTCTTAATTTGCATAATTTCGTGACAATTAAAATTAAAATGTTGAAAGCACCAGGCTTCCTATTATGTTTTATCATAGTGGGTCTTATGATATGGGATCTTTCAGCAACGCTGAAACTGTATAAAACTATGTATTGTTTCTAGCAATGGCACAGCAAAGTGCTGTGGTCAGGCAACATACTAAATATGGGTATGTAAATTCACAAGACTGTTTTCCTCTTGTGCCATATAGATACAATCTCATGACATTAAAGCCATTTGCAGATGACATTAAAGATGAGACTATGATTTTACTTTACAGTTTAATATATCTCCTGAGATTCTTCTCCATTAGCCATCACATTAGTAGTTTAGACATTTGTAAATATGTTTACTAAACAAATTAGAGAATGGCATAAAATAGCATTGCCCCAGGCAAAACCTCTGATTGATATTACCAGCCTCCTGATTTTCTCTTATTTAACTCAATAGCTTTTGGTTTGTATAGTGTTAGTCTTTGTGATGAGAAATGAAATTTTAAAACCATGGTGACAAGTGTGTCAGGAAACAAATATCTGTATCTATCTATCTATCTAGGTTTTTTTTTTTTTTTTTTTTTTTAGATGGAGTCTCGCCCTTGTCACCTAGGCTGGAGTGCAATGGCGCGATCTCGGCTCACTGCAACCTCTGCCTCCCAGGTTTAAGCTATTCTCCTGTCTCAAGCCTCCCAAGTAGCTGTGATTACAGGCACGTGCCACCATGCCTGGCTAATTTTTTTTACATCTTTAGTAGAGATGGGGTTTCACCATGTTGGCCAGGCTGGTCTCGAACTCCTGACCTCATGATCCGCCTGCCTCAGCCTCCCAAAGTGTTGGGATTACAGACATGAGCCACCGTGCCTGACCCTATCTATCTATCTATCTATCTATCTATCTATCTATCTATCTATCTATCATCTATTCACAAATGAATAGATTGGCATAAAATTTCAACAAAATATACATTAGTTTCTACATATTCCATCTACTGTCAATTCTGAGTTTAGCAGTATGCATAGTTGGCAAAAGTATATTACCACTTATAGACCATAAGCTATCAAACACACAGCTTTTCTTGAAGTTAGTGAGTGTGAGTTTGTTTGATATGGCCTTATAGAAATGTTCATACTGTTCTGCTTGCAGTTGGAATATGCATAAGTATGGTAGCCAACTAGTCCATGAATATTGACAGGGAGGGCTACGTATCAGTATCAGTGCTCACCATCAGAAGTGGGAAACACAATGTCTTTATATGTTTATTTATGCAAAACAATCTGTGACTCTATGATAGACGCCTGGATCCAATCATTCTTATGAACAGACGCTTCTCAAAAGAAGACATTTATGCAGCCAATAGACACATGAAAAAATGCTCAACATCACTCGTCATCAGAGAAATGCAAATCAAAACCACAATGAGATACCATCTCACACCAGTTAGAATGGTGATCATTAAAAAGTTAGGAAACAACAGATGCTGGAGAGGATGTGGAGAAATAGGAACACTTTTACACTGTTGGTGGGAGTGTAAAGTAGTTCATTGTAGAAGACAGTGTAGCGATTCCTCAAGGATCTAGAACTAGAAATACCATTTGACCCAGCCATCCCCTTACTAGGTATATACCCAAAGGATTATAAATCATGCTACTATAAAGACACATGCACACGTATGTTTATTGCAGCACTATTCACAATAGCAAAAACTTGGAACCAACCCAAATGTCCATCAGTGATAGACTGGATTAAGAAAATGTGGCACATATATACCGTGGAATACTATGCAGCCATAAAAAAGGATGAGTTCATGTCCTTTGCAGGGACATGGATGAAGCTGGAAACCATCATTCTGAGCAAACTATCATAAGGACAGAAAACCAAACACTACATGTTCTCACTCATAGGTGGGAATTGAACAATGAGAACATTCAGACACAGGGTGGGGAACATCACACACTGGGGCCTGTCGTGGGGTGGGGGACTGGGGGAGGGATAGCATTAGGAGAAATACCTAATGTAAATGACGAGTTAATGGGTTCAGCAAACCAACATGGCACATGTAAACCTGTGTAACAAACCTGCATGCTGTGCACATGTACCCTAGAACTTAAAGTATATATAAAAAAAGATCACTTTCATTCATTCGCTTATTTCATCCACTTATTTATTCATTCCTTCACAATGATTATCCCCTATTAAATGCAAGACACTGTATGGTGCTTTCTTTGTAACATATTATAATTAATTAACTACCCTTTCTAAAACACAACTGTGTCTTTGTTTACTTAAGCTTGTGCCTAATGACCCCAGCATTTTGTGAAATGGATTTTTGTTTACCCCAGTCACAACTGTATTTGCTTGGATGAGCAGAAAAAGGCAAGAAAGAGCGTGTTAAAAAATAAGAAACAATTTCCTGTAATCCTTCTACCCAAGGGTCGTGTGCATACAGACATGCACACACACACACACACACACACACACACACACACACACACGCATATTTCTAATGTTAGTAAAGTTTTTAGTACTTTTTTTTTAATCAGCTATTTAGTACTAAACCTGAATAAAGATGCCATGAAAACAGTTTTCATAATCTTGGCTATAGACTCTCTGTGCTCCCCCTGGTCTGAAGGACGACTGATTCAGACCTAGCACACAAACCACAACACTGTTAGGAGGTATTCAGAATGGCTAAGATTGAAAAAACTCTGGTGCATGAATATGTGAACAAGGGTGACTCTTTTTGGAAAGAGAGGTATATCTTTACTCTCAGTTAGAAGCATGTATTGGGAGAAATATTTTCTAATACAAAGGCCCAGGGTGGGAAGGAAATTTTGAAAGTTTAACCTACCCTGGCATATCTCGCAAACCTAGAACTAGTTTTCTTCCTCGTGAATTATTCAGTCCTTTTTCCTTCTTTTCCTCAAGGTTATTTAGGGTAAAAACAAGAGACTACTTATATTATGGATTCCAATACTGAGAAATGGAAGATAATGAAGGCAAGGAAAGAATCAATGATTATCAGGGCTGCCAGCTGACAGCATCCATGTCACCTGTAAGTGAATCTAATCCCTTCCCTTGTGTCTCTTCAAACCTTGCATCATTTGAAGGATCACAGAGTCTCTGTTAAACTTTTAGCTGCCATTGTGTTTTTGATATAGGTAAAACTGATTACTAAGTCACAAGCTTTTCTTTTTCACCATTATTCACAATTTTAACAGCTAATATGAAATGCCAATCTGCCACTAATTGAAAATTGATTTTGGAATCAATTAAACTGCCAACTCAGTTAAGAAGAACACATAGAGAAGTTTTATCAGCAGCCTCTGTTCCCAATGGAAGTCTCTGTTAAGTTTCTCTGGCTGAGGACTTAGTACTAATTCACAGCTCTCTTGCAATCCAAAGAACAATTTGCATGTTTAGCTATTGAACATGGAGGGATAATTTTACTATGAGGACTCTAATTTTAGGGGTACCACAAGATAAGATAAATGAGGACTCTAATTCCAGGGTTACCACAAGGTAAGATAAATTATACCTTTGGAAAGATAATGTAAATCGTATTTAAAAGTTATGGCCAAAGAAAAATACTTAAGTATGGCTTATTTTTTCCATCCCCAACCCTACGAATTTTATGATTCTTGGGTGTCAGACTAAATGTTTCAAATAACAATTTTTTTTAACTTTTATTCTAGGTTCTGGGGTACATGAGAAGGTTAGTTATATATGTAAATTTTATGTTACAGGGGTTTGGTATACAGACTATTTTGTCACCAAGGTAATACATATTGTACCTGATAGGTAGGTTTGTTTGTTTGCTTGTTTGTTTGTTTTTTGAGACAGAGTCTCACTCTATTGCCCAGGCTGGAGTGCAATGTGACCTTGGCTCACAGCAATCTCTGCCTCCTGGGTTTAAGCGGTTCTCCTGCCTCAGCCTCCCAAGTAGCTGGTACTACAGGAGCATGCCACAATGCCTGGCTAATTCTTGTGTTTTTAGTAGAGATAGGGTTTCACCATGTTGGCCAGGCTGGTCTTGAACTCTTGACCTCAAATGATCTGCCCACCTCAGTTTTCCAAAGTGCTGGGATTATAGGCGTGAGCCACTGTGCCTGGCCCTGATAAGTAGCTTTTGATCCTCACCTTCCTCCCTCCATCTACTCTCAGGTAAGCCCTAGTGTCTAGTATTCCCTTCTTTGTATCCATATGTACTCAATGTTTAGCTCTTACTTATAAATAAGGACATGAGTTATTTGGTTTTCTGTTTCTGTGTTAGTTTGCTTAGGATAATGACCTCCAGCTCCATCCATGTTGCCGCAAATAACAAGAACTCTATTTTTATGACTGCATAGTATTCCATGGTATACTGCATAGTTTGCTTAGGATAATGGCCTCCAGCTCCATCTATGTTGCTGCAAATAACAAAATCTCTATTTTTATGGCTGCATAGGATTCCATGGTGTATATGTACCACATTTTCTTAATCCAGTATACTGTTGATGGGCACTTAGGTTGATTCCATGTCTTTACTATTGTGAATAGTGCTATGATGAACATATGTGTTCATGTGCCTTTATGGTAGAATGATTTATATTCCTTGGAATATATATGCAATTATGGGATTGCTAGGTTGAATGGTAATTCTGCTTTGAGTTCTTTGAGAAATTGCCAAACTGCTGCCCACAATGGCTGAACTAATTTACATTCCCAACAGCAGTGTGTAAGTGTTCCCTTTTCTCTGCAACCTCACCAGCATCTGTTAGTTTTTGACTTCGTAATGATAGCTATTCTGACTGGTGTGAGATGGTGTTTCATTGTGGTTTTGATTTGCATTTCTCTAATGATTAGTGATTAGCATTTTTTTATGTGATTGTCTGCCGCGTGTGTGTTTTCTTTTGAAAAGTGTCTGTTCATGTCCTTTGCCCACTTTTTAACAGGGTTGTTTGGTTTTTGCTTCTTGATTTGTTTAAGCTCCTTATAGATTCTGAATATTAGACCTTTGTTGGATGCATAGTTTGCAAATATTTTCTCCAATTGTGTAGGTTGTCTGTTTATTCTGTTAATAGATTCTTTTAATGTATGGAAGCTCTTTAGTTTAATTAGGTCTCATTTGTCAATTTGTTTGTTGTGGCAGTTGCTTTCAGCATCTTTGTTATGATGCTTGCCAGGTCCCTTGTCCAGAATAGTATCTCCTAGGTTATCTTCCAGGTTTTTATAGTTTTAGGTTTTACATTTAAGTCTTTAATCTAATTTCAGTTGCATTTTGTGTATGGTGTAAGAAGTGGGTCCAGTTTCAATCTTGTGCACATCAGCTAACAATCTTAAGATGTGGGCTTGATCATTCTAATATAGTAGATGTGGAAAATGTAATAAAACATTTGACTAGGTATCAAATCTAGAAGAGTTTATCTCCTTCTGGTACACTAGGCTGTAACTTCTAATTACACTACATACTCTTGTTGAGAATTCACTGTTGCCATACTCTGCACTGTTTTATGTGCATTATCTCATTTAATGTTAAAATAAGCCCTATGGTGTAGTTACAATTATTCCTCATCATTTTCTAGATGATAAACCTGAGCCTTAGAAAATAAAATTAATATTCCTAAGGTCTCACAGCTAGTGAAAAAGAGAGCAAGATCTTTTAACCAGTCTTTGACTGCATCTTTTATTCTCATCCACTAGACTATGCCATTGTCACCATTGTCACTACTTTATCTGTACTTGCAAATAGAGTTTATATAGATTGTTATTAATAATAGAATGGGCATGTGGACCCTGAGAAGCAATAAGGAGGTTAAGTGGATGATAGTGCATGAGTATTGAGATTCAGCCTTGAGAAAGTCAATCAGATTCCCCAGAGTGCTGAGGCTCCTACGTGTCTGGTAGGGTGGAGAGACATGTGGTTAAAGGGGTGAGCTGAACAAGGGCCTGAATTTTCCAGTGAGTTCTATTCTATTTCCTCATGTTGTTTATTTGAGGGCTGTCAAAGATGTACAGCACTTTATGCAGCAGAGAGGAATTAAAGCAGACCTTGCCTGTGCACATACTTCCAAAACAAACAAACAAAATTTCTCCCTTATCCAGCCTTTTAAGTATGCCAATGAAGTCTTTGCAGAGCTTTTCCAGTGAGAGTATCCTAGATACTTGGGGTCATGGCATTACCTTTACATTAGGGCGACAGCAGCTGCAATCTAAACAAAGTAAACAAGTCTGCTAGTGCTTGCCTCTTAAACTAGCCAGGTAGTAGGGTATTTGAGAGTTTAGATAGCCATGCATGTTATATAGGCAGGAAGCAGACAAATGTCAGTAGTACTAAGGGTGGTCTGAAAATGTTGACTTAATAAATTCAGACAATCTCCTGTGAAATTTTCTAATATCCTCAAATATGGATCATTCCTCTTCCCACCCGCAATGGCTGAATCACCATCTAACACAGAGTAGAAAAGTCATAAATAATGCCCCCAAAATATACATTTCTCTTGATATACCTTATAGTTTGTGATGAAATAATGTAAAGTAGTGAGGGAGAAGCCTCGTCTTTTTGGGGTTTCCTATATAAGGAAATTAGATAGTGGCCTACAATGTTTGCTCAAGGGCTTATGAGGACCAAGAGCCTATTTGGAAAGAAAAGACAATGGTGGCAGGGTTTTTAGAAATATCATATATTGAATACATGTAAGTCTGACAATGCTTCTTTAAAATTTTGTTTATTTCAATGCCTTTTGGAATACTAGTGTTTTTTTGTTGCATGGATGAATTGTATAGTGGTGAAGTCTGAGATTTTAGTGCAACTATCACTCGAGTAATGTACATTGTACCTAATATGCAGTTTCTTATCCCTTGTGCCCCATACTCATACTCACCCTCTCCCTTCTGGGTCTTCATAGTCTTTTTTTTTTTGAGACGGAGTTTCACTCTTATTGCCCAGGCTGGAGTGCAATGGTACAATCTCGGCTCACTGCAACCTCTGCCTCCAGGGTTCAAGCAATTCTCCTGCCTCACCCTCACGAGTAGCAGGGATTACAGGTGCCAGCCACGATGCCCAGCTAATTTTTTGTATTTTTAGTAGAGACAGGGTTTCACCATGTTGGCCAGGCTGGTCTCGAACTCCTGGCCTCAAGTAATCTGCCTGCCTCGGCCTCCCAAAGTACTGGTATTACAAGCATGAGCCACCACACCCGGCCCTCCATAGTCTTTTATATCACTCTGTATGCCTTTGTGTACCCGTAGCTTAGCTACCACTTGTAAGTGAGAACATATGATATTTGGTTTTCCATTCGTGAGTTACTTCACTTAGAATTATAGCCTCCAGCTCTATCCAATTTGCTGCAAAAGACATTATTTCATTCTAATTTACAGCTGAGTAGTACTCCTTGTAGTATATGTACCTCATATTCTTTATCCACTCATTGGTCAATGGGCACTTATGTTGATTCTGAATTTTCCAGTGAGTTCTATTCTGCAATTGTGAATTGTGCTTTGCACCACCATAATACATGCAGGTATGGTTTGATATAATGACTTCTTCTCTTTTGGGTAGATACTCAGTAGCGGGATTGCTGAATCAAATGGTAGATCTACTTTTAGTTCTTTAAGCTATCTCCAAACCATTTTCCAAAGAAGTTGCACTAATTTACATTCCCATCAGAAGTGTTTAAGTGTCCTCCTTTCACCACATCCATGCCACCATCTATTGTTTTTTGACTTGCTAATAATGGCCCATCTTGTAGGAGTAAGATGATATCTTATTGGCAGTTTTAATTTGCATTTTGCAGTGATATTGAGCATTGTTTCATATGTCTGTTTGCCATTTATATATCTTCTTTTGAGAAATGTCTGTTTATGTCATTTGCCCACTTTTGAGTGGGATTATTTGTTTTCTTCTTGCTGATTAGTTTGAGTTCCTTGTGGATTGTGGATATCAGTCCTTGGTTGGATGCATATTTTTCAAATATTTTCTTCCATCCTGTGGGTTGTCAGTTTACTCTGATGATTATTATTTTTGCTCTACGGATGCTTTTTTGGTGTAATAATTTCCCATTTATTTATTTTCATTTTTGTTACATTTGATTTTGGGGCCTTCGTCATTAATTTTTGCCTAGGCCGATGTTCAGAAGAGTTTTTCCTAGGTTATCCTCCAGAATTTTTATGGTTTCAGGTTTTAGAATAAGTCTTTGACCAATCTTCAGTTGATTTTCGTATAAGGTGAGAGATAAAGATCCAGTTTCATTCTTCTACATGTGGCTAGCTAGTTTTCCCAGCACCATTTATTAAATAGGGTGTTCTTTCCCTAGTTTATGTTTTTGTATGCTTTGTCAAAGGTCAGTTGGTCTTAAGTATTTGGTTTTATTTCTGTGTTCTCTATTCTATTCCATTGGTCTTTGTGCCTGCTTTTATACCAGTACCATTCTGTTTTGAAACTATAGCCTTATAGTATAATTTAAAATCTGGTAATCCAGATTTGTTCTTTTTGCTTAGGATTGCTTTGGGTATTTGGGCTCTTTTTTTGGTTCCCTATGAATTTTAGGATTTTTTTTAATTCTGTAAAAAATGATGTTGGTATTTTTGATAGTAATTGCATTGAATCTATAGATTGCTTTGGGCAACATGGTCATTTTCATGATATTGATTATTCCAATCCGTGAGCATGGGATGTGTTCCTATTTGTTTGTCACTTATGATTTCTTTTAGCAGTGTTTCATAGTTCTTTGTTGAGATATTTCACTTCCTTGGTTAAGTATAATCTTAGGGTTTTTTTTGTTGTTTTTGTAGCTGTTGTAAAAGGGATTGAGTTCTTAATTTAATTCTCAGTTTTGTGTTTATTGGTGTATAGCCATGCTACTAATTTGTGTACATTGGTTTGTAACCTGACACTTTACTGAATTTGTTTATCAAATCTAGGAGTCTTTTGGAGAAGTCCGTAGGGTTTCCTAGGTGTATGATCATATCATCAGCACACAGCAATACTTTGACCTCCTCTTTTCCAATTTGGATGTCTTTTATTTGTTTTTCTTGCCTGATTGTTCTGGGTAGGACTTCCAGTACTACGTTGAATAGAACTGGTGGAATTGGGCATCATTGTCTTGTTCCTGTTCTCAGGGGGAATGCCTTCAACTTCTCCCCATTCATTGTGATGCCGGCTGTGGCTTTATCACAAATGGCTTTTATTATTTTGAGGTAAGTTCCTTCTATGCCTAGTTTATCAAGTGTTTTTATCATAAAGGGATGCTGGATTTCATTGAATGCTTTTTCTTCATCTATTGAAATGATTATAATTCTTGTTGTGTGCTATATCACGTTTATTTACTTGAGTGTGATAAAACATTCCTGAATTCCTGGAGTGAAACTCTTTTGATTATAGTGTATTATAATCATTTTGATGTGCTATGGGATTGAGTTAGGTGGTATTTTGTTGAGGATTTTTGCATCTGTGTTCATCAGGGATATTGGTCTGTTGTTTTCTTTTTTTAAAACATCCTTTCCTGATTTTGGTATCAGGGTGATAATGGTTCATAGAATAAGTTAAAGAGGATTCTCTTTTTCTCAGTCTTTTGGAATAATGTCAGTGTAATTGGCACCAGTTGTTCTTTCAAAGTCTGGAAGCATCAGCTATGAATCCCTCTGTCCCTGGGCTTTTTTTTGTTGGCATTTTTTTACTAATTCAATTTCATTGCTTGTTATTAGTGTGTTCAAGGTATCTATTTCTTCCTGGTTTAATCTAGGAGGGTTGTATGGTTCCAGAAATTTACCCATTTCCTCTAGATTTTCTAGTTTATGTGCACTGAGGTGCTCACAGTCGTATCAAATGATCTTTTTATTTCTGTAATGTCAGTTGTAATGTCTCCAGTTTCATTTCTAATTGTCCTCTGTCTTCTTTAGTTGGCTAATACAACTAATGGTCTATCAATTTTGCATATCTTTTCAAAGAACCAGCTATTTGTTTCATTCATGTTTTGTTTTTTTTTGTTTCAATTTCATTTAGCTCTGCTCTGATCTTTTTCATTTCTTTTATTCTTCTAGCTTTAGGTTTAGTTTGTTCTAGATTGTAGTTTAAGTCCATGTTTTCTTTGTTGACTTTCTGTCTCGATGATCTTCTAGTGCTGTCAGTGGAGTATTGAAGCACCCCACTATTATTCTGTTGGTATCTATCTCATTTTTTGGGTCTAGTAGTAAATGTTTTATGAATCTGGGAGCTCCAGTACTAAATGCATATACATTTATGATTGTAATATCATCTTACTGGATTGATCCTTATATTATTATATAATGACATTCTTTGTCCTTTTTTTTTTTTTTTTAGTGTTGTTGTTTCAAAGTTACTAGCTATTCCTGCTCACTTTTGGTTTCCATTTGTGTGGAATATCTTTTTCCACTCCTTTACTTGAGTTTATTTGAATCCTTACATCTTAGGTAACTATCTTAAGACAGCAGATATTTGATTTTTTTATCCATTCTGACAATCTGTATCTTTTAAGTGGAATATTTAGGCCATTTACAATCAATGTTAATATTTAGACGTGAGGTATTGTTCCAGTCATCATGTTGTTACCTAGATACTTTGTTTTTACATTGTTATGGTTTTATAGGCTCTGTAAGTTTTATTATATTAAGAGGTTCTATTCTGGTGCCAATCAACCTTTTGTTTCAGGATTTAGAACTCTTTTTAGCATTTCTTGGAGGGCTGGTAGTGTCTGGTAGCAAAAAAATTCCATCAGCATTTTTTTTTCTCTGAAAATGACTTTATTTCTCCTTCATTTATGAAACGTATTTTTGCTGAATACAAAATTCTTGGCTGACAGTTATTTTATTTAAGGAAGCTAAAGATAGGACTCCAGTCTCTTCTGGCTTATAATTCTGGTGAGAAGTGTCTTAGTCTGATAGATTTTTCTTCATAAGTTACCTTGTGCTTCTGTCTCATTGCTCTCATAATTCTTTCCTTCATGTTGCCTTTAGATAGCCTGATGACTATATGACTTGGTGAAGTCCCTTTTGTGCAAATCTCTCAGGAGTTCTTTGTGTTTCTTGTATTTGGATATCTAAATTTCTAGCAAGGCAAGGAAAATTTTCCTCAATCGTTCCCCCAAATAAGTTTTTCAAACTTTTTACTTTCCCTTCTCCCTCAGGAACAACCAGTTATTCTTAGGTCTGGCCATTTTACATGATCCCATATTTCTTGGAGACTTAGTTAATTTACTTTTCCTTCTTTTTTTTTTTTTTTTTTTTTTTTTTGAGACAGAGTCTCGCACTATTACCCGGGCTGGAGTGCGGTGGTGCAAACTCCGCTCACTGCAACCTCCACCTCCCGTGTTCAAGTGATTCTCCTGCCTCCACCTCCCAAGTAGCTGGGATGACGGGTGTCTGCCACCACTCCAGGCTAAGTTTATTTGTATTTTTAGTAGAGATAGAGTTTCACTATGCTGGCCAGGCTGGTCTTGAACTCCTGACCTCATGATCTGCCCGCCTCAGCCTCCCAAACTGCTGGGATTACATGCATGAGCCACCGCGCCTGGCCAGTTAATTTTTTTTATTCTTTTTTTTGTGTGTGTGTATCATTGGGTTAATTTGAAATCCTTGTCCTCGAGCTCTGAAATTCATCTACTTGTTCAAGTCTATTTTTAAAACTTTCCACTGCATTTTGTAATTTCCTAAGTGTATCTTTCATTTCCAGAAGTTCTAATTGGTTTTTATTTATAATGTCGATCTCTTTAGAAAATTTTTCATTCATATTCTGATTTTAAAAAAATTATGTTAGTTTTCACCTTTCTCTTGTATCTCCTTGAGTAACTTAATAATCTACCTTCTGGATTCTTTATCTTGTATTTCAAAGATTAGCCCTTAGTTTGGATCCATTGCTGAAAGCTAATGTGATATTTTGGGAGTGTCATAGAACCCTGTTTGGTCATATTACCAGAATTATTTTTCTTGTCTCTTTTCATTTGTGTGGGTTCTTTCTTTTAATTATTCTTGAATTTATTTTTTATTTGACTGTGTGGTTTTTTAAAAAATTTATTTTCTCTCTAAAAGTGTGACTTTAATGTTTATAGTTTATTATAGCTTAATTTGGCTCTTGGTGCTTTCAAGGATGAAGACTTTGTATGATATTCTTGGTTATAGAGAGTCTTTCTATGACTGTTTTCTCAGATACTGGTTGTAGAAATATACTTGGTGTGTGAGCAAGTTCACTGTCTACTATTGGGTTGGAATGGCAGAAGTGTCTTGAAGCTTATCTCATTCCCCTATGAAGTGCACTTTTTACTTATATTTTCCCTAGTATTTTATTTACTGGGTTGAATAGTTCAGATTTTGGGCCAATAGGGGAGGTGTCCCTAGGAAGAAACTGGTTGTGGCTAACTCCGGTGGGTACACGCAATACCCAATGGTGGGGAGAGGGTCCCAGCCTTGACAAAAGTGGCTAGGGGAGCTCGCAGGGAATCCCACTGAAGTCTTATGATGGGGAAAGGTGGGAGTCACCTCAGCTCCTCTGTCAGGCCAGCAGGAAATAGATCCTCCTCCCAGACATACTCTTGACCCAGTGTTTGGCTATTCAGGTCATATAGGTACCTTTTTTTATCTGCAGGAGTGTTGATGTTCCAAGTAGAGAGGAATTATGTTTGTATCTCTTCTGTAAGCTGGAACCTGGAGAATACTCCATCTGTGGGAAGGCAGTGTTCCAGAAAGGCTGCCTATAGGTACACACACGCTGAGCTTCTGTAGTAGAAGCACCAGTTGTTTCTGCAGTGGTGGATGAGGGGGAAAAAGCAGGGAAAAAAGGTCCAAGACCTTTCATGAGTACCAGGTCTGCCTGTCTGTTGAGCTAGAGCTGCAGCCTTTCCCTGCTGAGCCCAGCACAGCAACTGTGCCTCTGCTGAAGAAAACTTCTAACCAGTGGAAAGATCTGGGGCTTGAGTCCTACTGACTGGATTCTTTTGACCCTTGGATTGTACCCTTGATATGGTGCACTACTCCTTTCCTTAGGAATAGAAGTCCCTGAGAGCCAAACTACTGTGAATGCTACTACTCCTCTGGGTCTAGCTGCATAGTGGGGCTGCCACACTCCAGCCTGGAGCTGGGGAATGTCTATAAGGGATCCAGTGATATGTATGTGTCCTGTCCCCAAGTCTCCTAGCAGCAAGTACCAGCACCCACTCTGATTGGGATGGCAGGAGAGCGACATAGATTCTGTGAGATTCCTTGGTTATAGATAGCCTTAGCATGGTGGCTTTCTCAAATGCCAGTTGTAGTAGTAATGAACTGGTCACATGAACAGACTCAGGACCTCCTGGTTAGCCTCAAACAATGGTGATAGCTGAGGTCATGCATCAGCTGTAGTAGTAGCAGTGGGATTAGTGCTTTCCTTCTGTTATCCAGTGGAGGCACTCTAGTTTGTCAGGCAATGGATGGGGATATAGAGCTCCCAAAAGTTTCCATCTTTTGTGTTAAGCTACTAAGGTGGTTGGAGTGGCAAAGCCAGGTGGATGCTGAGTCAGGCAGGTCTGAACTCTGGCTCTACACTTGCAAGGTAACCAGAAGACCCTGTTGGGATCTGTGTGCATGGGGAGGCAGTTTTCTGGCCACTGTGATACTTTTCCTGGAAAGAGTATAACTGCTTCTGCTGCACAGAAGAGTTTGTGCGGGGGTTGTGGAGTAGCAGGTGGCAGTAAGCCTCACCCAGCTTTCATGCACTTGGCAAGGCAGGAATCTCACCCACAGTGTTTTCTAGCAGCAACTAGCTAAATTCTAGGCAGTCTACTCTCATCTACTCTAGAATTCAAAAGTGCCCCAAGCCATAAGCCTTCCTCTTGGAGACAGGAACCTCAGCTTTCAGGATATGCCCCTCCCCTTCTACTTGCAAAGCTGGGCGCCTAGTTTCTGTGCCTGTGGCTGCAGCACACTTCCCGCTCGCATGCTGGTTCTGGCCAAGGAAGTTTTTTCTTACTTGAGATAATATCATGAATTTCAATGGGAGCTTCTTTGAACCTGCCACCACTGCCTGAGTTAGTTGGCAGACATCCACGAGGTCCCCTGTGACATAAAATCAGGAATGAGTTCCCTCAGCCCACACTGGAGACTGCAGATGTGTGCAAGTCTCTTCTAGCTGCTGCTGCTACTTTTTTTTTTTTTTTTTTTTTGAGACGGAGTTTTGCTTTCTCACCCAGGCTGGAGTGGCGCAACCTTTGCGCACTGCAACCTCTGCCTCCTGGGTTCAAGCGATTCTTCTGCCTCAGCCTGCTGAGTAGCTGGGACTACAGGCGTGCATCACCATGCCCAGCTAATTTTTGTATTTTTAGTAAAGACGGGGTTTCCCATATTGGCCAGGCTGGTCTCGAACTCCTGACCTCGTGATCTGCCCATCTCAGCCTCCCAAAGTGCTGGGATTACAGGCGTGAGCCACCACGCCCGGCCGCTGCTCCTACTTTTATATTCCCCATGACTGCCTATATCAGTCCCTGCGTAGGTTTAAGGCCTTCCCCCATGGGCTGGATTACCAGGTTCCCCAGTGGGGATGTTTTAATGTATCCTGGAGGCAGTCTCTGCCACTCTCACACTCTGGGGACCTAAAGTTTTTCACTTGGCTCATAGTATAGGCTGCAGCCTGCCACTTCTTTCAAAGGGCCTGTAGTTTCTTTATGGTTTCCTGTTAAGTTTGTGCATTGCTTCCTGGAAAAAAGTTTACACTGTGAATCTCCACTCACTATTTGGTCTTTCCACGTGGGAGAGGCATGCTGGAAAAAATAAATAAAAATTAAATTAAATTTAAAAAAATGATAATGCTAACTTAACAACAGATTACATCCTCATACCACAACCACAGTCAGGTTGGTCTGGTCCAGATGCACCAGAATACAAACGAATGATTAAGTTTTAACATACTTTACGCTTATTCATTGAGCATTATCAAACATTGCTAATGAAATCATTCACCTGAAGAAGTGGTTGCATGAAACTCTCCTGCCTTGTGCCACAGATGAGATCCTTTCAAGTTTCTGTTGGGCATTCCTTATTTTTCCAGGAGAGTGCAAATTGCCATGTGAGTGCAAAGAAATATACTTGGCAAGCTGTTTTGATTCTGTCGATATCCTTATGTTGAATGTTGATCATAGCAAAAAATGTGTTCAGGTACATCTTTTTTTTTTTTTTTTTTTTTTTTATGAGATGGAGTCTTGCTCTGTCGCCAGGTTGGGTGTTCAGGTACATCTTGAACAAAAAGACTTGACTTTAAGTCTTTTTGCTTTAAGCTTTAAAACAACAGACTATCTTGGCCAACATGGTGAAACCCCATCTCTACTAAAAATACAAAAATTGGCTGGGCGTGGTGGCACGTGCCTGTCATCCCAGCTATTCGGGAGGCTGAGGCAGGAGAATCACTTGAACTCAGGAAGCAGAGGTTGCAGTGAGCCAAGATGATGCCACTGCACTCCAGCCTGGAAACAGAGCAAGACTCCATCCAAAAAGAGAAAAAAAACAAAAAAACAAAAAAACAAAACAACAGAATACTCAGTGACGTCAAGGGGAGGAAATAATAAACACTGATTTCAAGGTACTAGAAATTAAAACAATAAAAAATATTTATTGTGTACTATATTTCTACCAGACACAATGCTAATGTTTTTAGTGCATTCATTTAATTAATCTCACAGCAGCGCAATAGGATAGGAAGTATCATTGCCTTCAGGAAAATGAGGCTTAGAAAGGTGATGTTAACTTGTGTAGTCACACAGCCAATAAGTAGCAGAGTCAAGATTAAACCCAGGTGTTCCAGCTCAAGAATTCACAATCTTAAACAATACATTAATTTGAATCTATTTTCATCTTTGGGGCAAAAGACTTAGAGAGAGAAATGTTGTATTAGCTCTAAGATGCCATATCCCGACTCAATGAAAAGATGCTTGAAAATAATCTATAATCAAAGGACTTTGATGAAACTAAGTCAGTTTTACAGGGACAGAAATTATTAATAATTATTATTTCTGAGTCCTATTCTAAGGGATTTTATTTATAAAATGCCAAAGAACTATGTTAACTTGTTGATTGCCTTGTGAGAGGGAATAAAAGCCGGCGTATTTTTAAACTTCTAAATGCCCTTTTCAGAGGCAAATTAAAGTCATACATATAGAGCAACTGAACAAGACATCTATTTACTAGGTATATAATGTCAAGGAAATTGCTTAACCTTCCTAAAACCTATTTCCTTATCAGCACACACATGCACACACATACACACACGCCTCCTATTCCATTGTTTAACAATAAGGTTGCCATAAATGTCTGTGAAGGGGAATTCTGCTGCTGGCAATAGTAGAATGAGTACTTTGAACAGACCTGCCCACTGAAATCAACTAGAAAATTTGAATTTCAACAACCTGCTCAAAGTCATCAGGGCACTAATAAGATGATGAAGAATGACTGGATGAAGATACTGTAGATAAGAAAATGCAGAAAAGTAAGCTCAACATTTGGGGTCACTTTTCCCCTAGGTACATGCACATTTTGGAAGAGGCAGCCAAGCAGCTCAGAAATTGAAATCTTTTGAACAGACTCATGAGGACCAGAGGATAAAAACTGGAGCTAAGCTCTCTTGTGACTTTGGGCTAAGGACCCTAAAGTTTACATGCCAGGAGTAAAGGCAAGTCAAAGCAAGACTAGCTTTTATAGGAAGTGAATTTTAGATTGGATATAGGATGTCTGGGACTGCTAGTGCATGGAGGGCAGGGATTATGATTGGAAGAGGATTCAGCGAAGCTTCTGGGGTGAGTAAACACCATAATTCTTGGTCTGGGAGGTGTTTGCAAGACTTATGGACTTCATGGATCATTCATTGATTCATGCACTGATGATTTGTATGCTTCTCTCCACTGGTTTTGTATTTCAGTAAAAGCATATTTAAAACATTTATTTTCTGGGCCAAAAAATATAACCCTCTGAAATATTTTGTAGTGTGTTGGAGGCTCATATATTCTTTCTGTGGTATCCTCAGGATCTTTGTCAGTAGTATATATCTCATACATCTCATATATCTCCAATACCACATTTTTAAATAAACAAACAATAAATAAAATTACAAG
The DNA here is from genome assembly GCF_000001405.40 of Homo sapiens. Lineage (NCBI taxonomy): Eukaryota > Metazoa > Chordata > Mammalia > Primates > Hominidae > Homo > Homo sapiens. The sequence goes on along the minus strand of NC_000017.11, from coordinate 52,759,217 downwards.
ACTGTCTCTTGAGAATCCAGTGCTGTATAATACTGGTCTGAGCGTTCTTGTTATTCCCCAGTGTGTTTTTATAATGTGCAGCCAGACCACTTACTGATGACAGAGTAAAAAGAGAAGACTAAAGATTGTATCCAATTCTGCCAGATATGAAGGAAGGAAGGAAGGGAGGGAGGCAGGAAGCGAGGGAGGTAGGGAGGAAAATAAAATCACTGAAAAATAGATCCCTGGAGCACTGAAACCACTCCAGTTCCAGGAAAATGCCCAGCTATCAGTATCTTCATTTCCAAAGACTTCTAAACGATCTGGGTCCCTTTTAAATGGTTAACTCATGTGTTCATACACAATTGTTCAGGAATCTCATTGAGTACATTCATTAAGATGAAAAATTCTTGCCAAGGTTTCTGGAATACAATGTCATACATGTATTTTTCTTTTAAAAGTGCCTTTCGTGTTGTTGTTTAAATAGCCACAGTAGAGACAGGAACAACCTAATTTCCTAGAAGAATTTAATGTGAGGTAGAAAAGAAATGCCAGCTGTCCCTGCCATTCAAAAGAGCCAGATGACAATACTTCCTTCTCTTGTCCTCACTTCTAAGATTTTGTCAATTTTACTGAATTGAAACTTCAATGTCTTTAGTCCATAACTCTGTGTTTTCTGAAAGTAACATTCTTGAATGCTTTGAACCTGGTGTTTGGAAACCAAACAAAGTTAAGTACAAATGCCAGTTCTCCCAGTTATTCCACTTTGAGACATTAGGCAAGCCATATCACGGAGGCTCACTTTTCCATCCTGTTAACTAGATACAATAACATTGACTTCTTAGGTTAGTTTTAATGCATGAACAACACACAGTACAGGGCCTGGAACATAAGAAGTCTCAGCAAATCCTTTTCCTGTCTATTTCTTTCTAATTTTACTTATTTTTGCAAGAGACTGTGTGCTTATCAGTGCCTGTTCTGCTGCATCCCAAAGCAACCAGTTGATTTGGTCAATACAGATTTTGAATGACACTCAAACCATTCCTTATGTAACCTTTTGGCTCAAATAGAATACTTTGTGTTTTGGCATGGGGCTAGATGGGCTGCATAGTGACCGTGATGGAATTAACATTTCCCTTAGCCTGACTAAACATTAGACAGGCTTGTTCCTGACTCTAAGCTTCTGGCCTCCCTTTCCTTAGAGCATTTGTTTTAGCAAACTTGCAATTATAAATCAATCCCCTGCCCCTTGAGATGTAGATCATTTTAGAAACTCCTTGCTGGCTTTACAATATAGGAATGTGTTTCTCAAGGATTTGGGAAATCTCTCTTTAAAATGTAATCATCACAAAAGGTAATGCCCCTATCTTCCAGTTTCTTTGGAAAGGGAGGAGCCTAGGTTGCTCCAACTTGTAAACTACCTCCTGCCATGAAGACACAGAGTTTACATTTCTTTGGGTAGCACCAATTAGCACACACAGGTTGCCTCTGATTCTCCTACAGAGCTGGGTATCCGGATTTGACCTGTGTTTGCTCTTCTATTGCTGGCAATAGCATCAAAATAAAATCAACTTCTGTCTGTTCATTTTGTCCAGTATGATTTTTTGTTTAACACTGGTATATATATATATATATATATATATATGTGTGTGTGTATGTGTGTATATATATATATGTACGTAATTGATATTTGTCATGAATAAATAGATCCCTATAATGATTTATTTATATCTGTATATCTGTAAACTTATCAGAGTTCCTGGGACAGAAAGACTATAAAACATAATATTGGAGGAAGAGCAAAAGGCATAAATAAATCAATAAGTCATTGATTCAATGGATCAGTTAGTTGATTGATTAATCACGAAATTTTAAATAAATTCAGAGAATTTGCAGATAGTGTGAGTCTTTCCATCATGAATCAGAATCAATCTCTCTGTCTCCTTTTATTCATTTCCCATGCACTTATTTTCGAGGTCATATGTAAAGGGTATTTTAAAATAAATAAACATAAATAGGACACTGACAATCCAAGTGAAACACATATTTTAAATAGATATTAATAACAGGCTATTCAGTGTATGGCTCACTAAGTATTCAGCACCTTAAGCAGGATCTATTCTATTATTTTTGACAGCAATGTAAAATTTTTCCCTTTCTTTACTTTTTATGGAAGTGCTGATCTTCATCCAAAAGAAGAGTTTAGTTCTGCTTACTAAGCACAAGTATCATTGGCCACCTTTGATATGTCTGTTTAGCCAACTGCTTTCAGCTGTAACACTGTCATAAATATCTTCCACATACTTTTCTCTCTGGGAATCTATGTATTAATAGTTAGTGAGTTACACCTGTTCCATCTGTCACATCAGATTCATTATTTTCATAACAGGAATCTATCTACCAACAGACTGTGAAACAATCAGAGTCTTAATATATTTTTTTTAATATCAGTCTCAGTTAAATTCTTCACTAAGCAGGCAGGGCTGTCTTTATTATCTGTGGGATGTTGTTGCTTTTAAGAGAGAGATAGAAATCAATGCCTGTTTGTTCAATAACAGGGCAGAAGAGAAGAGAACACGTTTGCAAACAGCAGGTGAAGCTTTCAATTTGGAAAGCAATCAGAGTATCAGTTGTCTGCCTTCAAGAGCAGAGCTCATAGATATATACCAATACAGGGGAGGAGATCCAAACACAGCTCTTCTTTGAGATTTAGGCATTTACAATGAAATTCCTGGACCTCCTACTTATATTCTGATTCTGAAAGCTTATACATTGAGGGTCAACCTTGATTCTTAGCAGTCAGCCTAGTTTTATTGCTTGCTTCTGGATATATCTTAGGACAAAATTATGAATTTACTTTAAAATAAATAAATATGATTTCAAACTATACGCATATGCTGGCTATCAACAAAAAAAGCATAGCTAGCATTTACAGAATTCCTATTATTTGGCAGACATTGTAGAAGGCACTGAGGATATAGAGATGTTTTGTTCTTGAGGGAGGCCAATGGTGTATTCTCAGAAATCAAACTTGAACAGAAATTATAACACCAAAAGAATATAACCCTGTATATTAAATGTCAGGAATGCCATACTTTCCTAATATACTAACATAAACTTATTTGTTAACATAATGCATATGAAAATAAAAATAGGCTAAACTGTATTTAGCACAATATTGACTTTTTATTAGACACACATGCATCATATAAGCACCATGGAAGCCATGAGTTAACTTGGTGAAGAGAACAGTGAAGGGCTGCTGTGTTTCCTCAAGTTCTTCATAAATATAAGAAAATGTCTGGTTGGGCTGAGAATAAAATGTGTGAATTAGACATTGATTTTCTTCCTGTAGCAATTTGAGAATGTTATTTTCAACACTGTTTGCCAAAGACAGCCTCTGGTTTCCTCTGCTAAAAAAGATGCAACCTTGTGATTTGAACCCAGAAACTCTGAGATTGATTCTGTTATTTCTGCATATTGAACAACAACCTAGCACAGCAGACTGTATATGTTCATGTCTGGTAAATATTTGTCAATGAGATTTATTCTGAAAACAACTCCCCTATTTCTTATATGTACTTACAGTATTTTATAGTGACCACTTTCAAATAAAATGGGTTATAAATATTCTGTTCAGTAAGTAAACTTAACACAAATACACAAACCCTTTTTCCCAGTCAAGTTATGACACAAACTAAATGCAAATTAAATGCAAACAGCATTAAGTAAATGCTGTAAAATAGAGGCATTTCATCTTGAGATTGTTTTTATGCTTGCAGGTCAACTTTGTTGGGACAAGAAAGAAGCAGATATTCTTTAAATGAGTTACAGATGTAGTGGTAATAGTGGTTCACTGCTGCCTATATCTGTTGATTCCTGGACTAAGCATTTGGGCTTAGGTATTACTGTGTATTGACTGCTGATTGAAGGCCTGTATCCCATCCTGTGGGATAGCACATCAACTTCACATAGTGTTGCCTCCAAAATGGCACCCCAATTGATCTTTTGACAGATAATCTACTATTTCATCAAGCTAGTATTTTCTACATAATGAGGTACATGGGAAGACCCATTATTTCTATGAGCATGAATCTTTTGCTCCATTTCCATTGCCATTAAATGAGTGGTCAGCGGAACCGTAGTCAATGAATAATGCCTCTGCAATCCACAAATATTAGTTGTATGCTATAAGCAAAGAGGACAAGTCTGTACCTGACGGTTAAGTGTCTATTCCTGTGATGACAAATCACTGTCCTACCCATGATAAAAATAGTACCGATCTAGTGCTTAACATTGGCTTTCACTTTTCTTATTTTTTAATAATGACCTTATCTAATCAGTTACTAAGTCCAATAATGTCCACAATATTTTCTCCAAAACATATTATCTCTTTTTCTTCCTTCCTTTCTTCCTTCCTTCCTTTTTTCTTTTCTTTCTTTTCTTTTTTCTTTCTTTCTTTCTTTCTTTCTTTCTTTCTTTCTTTCTTTCTTTCTCTTTTTTTCTCTCACTTCTGTATTGCTGGAATTTATTTTAAATCAGGCATATATAATTTTTTTCTTTAAAAAGTCACAACAATTATCTATCTTTTAAAATGTACTTTTAAAACAACCACAACAACAAATCAATGTACGAGTAATGCCTTAGCTAACTCAGTAGAAGAAGGCAAAAAGTAAGACATTATAGTGGCCTACATTATACCTTTATTCTTTTATTTATTTCCAGAAAAGTCCATGTTGTCATGAGTTTTACGCTAGCACAATCAAACAGATCATAGACTTTTTAAAATTTATGTTCAAAATTTTCCTCACAGGCAGTTGAATTATATGGAGTTTACAAAAAGGATACCCCTAACATCTTAGGGATATATGAGACACTCTTTCCAACCAGAAGGATGCTATTTAGTATGCTAAATTATTAAATTATTTCTAATAAGAGTTATTGGATCTTCCCATAATATCTAACTCAGTCTGCAATGGAAACTTAAAATAGTAGAATAAATTGATTCACCATGTACACAAATGATGTGTTTGATGTAACTAATTTCTCCTTGAGGCAACTTGAAGGCATGTCTTATCTCTATTTTAAGCTAGGCAAACTTTGATCAAAATCTGATATATCTATTTCTAGTTATATGTAAAAATGATAGTGATTTCAACAATTATAAATATTCCTCCTTTTTTTTTTTGTTTGAGACAAAGTCTCACTCTGTTGCCCAAGCTGGATTGCAGTGGCGCAATCTTGGCTCACTGCAACCTCCACCTCCCAGGTTCAAGCATATAAATGACCATTTTATGGAATATTAATTATTAAAAGAAATCACAATTATAGTAACTGACAACTAACATAGAAATTCAAATAGTATTTTATTAGTGCACAGAAGGCATCAAAAGAGATGATGTAAAGAAAACAATTTTTATCAGTGCACTACTATTATGGGTTAATTATGTCCTGCCGAAATTCATATGTTGAAGTTCTAACCCTCAGTACCTCAGAATGTGACTTTATTCAGAAATGTGATCACTACAGATAAAATTAGTTAAGCTGTAGTCATAATACCACAGCGTGGGGCTCTATAATATTGTGATATAATTAAACACATATGTTTTGGACTTTGTTGAGAGTTCCTGATTCATGGCAACTAAAGTCTATGTGATTTCCTAAATAACTATTGCAATAGAACTGTCTTTTTAAATAATATTTGGTCCTGTGTCCTCTGTTCCTGAAACCTCTCTGCAGCAGCTCAAGAGAGGAAGAAGTGAAAAAACTATCTTGCTTTATTCATAACAAGTACCTTTCAACCACACCTGACTTTATGTGACTGAACTGGTTTTTTTGAAAGCTCCTACGTAACCACAGGATGGAGGGCTTATTGCCAGGGAAATAAGCACATAATTACAAGGTTGGAACTTTCAGCCCCATCCCTGACATTTGGGGAGGGGTGAAGAGCTGAATGCTAAGTTGATCACCAGTTGCCAATCATTTAGTCAGTCATGCCCACATAATATTAAGTCTCTATAAAAACTCAAAAGGACAAGGTTCAGAGAGGTTGGTGAACAAGAACACAACTGTGTGCTTCTGTGTTTAGAATCTTCTGGCCCTGGCCCTGGCCCTTGCCCTATATATCTCTTCATCTGGCTGTTCATTTTATCCTTTACATCAATCTGTAGAATATGATGCTATCTCAAGATAGATATTATCAGAATTGGATTAAGTTGTAGGACACTCAGGTTATGTCCACAGAGAATTAGAAAATTGCTTGTTGTGCTGAAAGCCCCAAATATTAAGAAAACCTGGGTTTTGTTTGTTTTGTTTTGTTTTTGAGATGAAGTTTCACCCTTGTCACCCAGGCTGGAGTGCAGTGGTGCGATCCCAGCTCACTGCAACGTCCACCTCCTGGGTTCAAGCAATTCTCCTGCCTCAGCCTCCCGAGTAGCTGGGATTACAGGCATGCACCACCACACCTGGCTAATTTTGCATTTTTAGTAGAGATGGGGTTTCACCATGTTGGTCAGGCTAGCCTCAAACTCCTTACCTCAGGTGATCTGCCCACCTTGGCCTCCCAAAGTGCTGGGATTACAGGTATGAGCCACTGGGCCCAGCCTTATACCTTCTATTTCTATATGTGCATGACAAATATAAAAATTAAAAATTAAAAAAAAAATAGGCATTTAAGAAAAAAACAGTGCTTTGGGAAAAGGTGTATTTGTCTTGTGGCTTCTGAATCTGCTGGCATATTGCCCTATGCATCTGAGAGTATTTGTGTTCTATTTTTAAAAACAAGAGTTTATCCATATTTTATAGCGAGTATAAACTTTATCTGTGAATTAATGCAAAGCATAACACTGTATAATTGTTTTCGGTAAATTACCCTTGGCATTATGATTTTGCCTATATAAAAGGACAATACAAGAAGGAATTATATAGATTTGCCGTTATTCTAGGCAGGAAGGAGATGACAGATTTCAAAGGCTTAATGGACAAGAGCCTGATTGAAGAATGATTAATAGAGGGTTAGGAGAACCAACAAAGGATAGTAATGTATCATCTGGACCTGAAGAAGCAAGAGCAAGAATGGTCTTACCACAACTGTGTAAAAGTTGTAGCTGTGGTAGAGCCTCCATTCACCAGAAGTTCTTGTCTAAAGTAGAAGAATATAGTCACTGCTGAAACCAGGCCTGGAAAGGTGGGAGAAATGTGAATAAACATCTTACACTGTCTCTTCTCTCTTTGGTCTTCTGTTGGTTTATCTCAGAGTGCAAGATAGTCCAAAGAAGGCTGCTCTCCAAAGGCACAGAGTGGGCAGAAAGGAGTGAGGAATGGATATAGTGTTACAGGATCTCTGGGGTGTTGATTTTTCAGGCCGGAAACCTCTGTGGCCATGGTGCCTTTGCCCAAGTTCTTGTCTTGTGTCCAGAAAGAATGAGGTATGCAGACAAGTGAAGGATGAAGAAGAGTTGTATTTAGTGTTAGAACAGCTCAGAGGAGTGGGTAACTCCTCTGTGCCAGCAGGTCATCTCTGCAGCTCTCAGCAGAGAGAGTACTCTTCCTCTCTGCAGTTGATTGTCCTGTCCCATTGTCTCTCTGCCCTCTTCATCTTCTTGCCGTCCTGTACCCTGCTTGGGCTGAGCCAAGGGCTTTTATGGACCTCAGAGGGGAGGAAGTGCATGCCGATTGGTCCATGAGTGGCCACGGGCTGGCAGGAAGAGGCACTAGGAGTTCCCACTCCTGTTTGTGGGACTGGCAGCCCAGCTCCCAGCCTTCAGGCCCTCCCTGGCCTGAGGGTGGGGCCTTACTGGGGACCCCACCCCCTTCCACCCAGGAATCAATTTGCCTCCTGCTAGCATTCATGACCTCAGGGCTCAGCCCCAGCCCTGGCTCTGAGATCAGAGCAGACATCAAGCGAGAGAGAGCAGACACCCATGAGCCTGCAGAGATTGCAGTGGGAGGGAGGTGTCCTTCCTTGGGCCCCCGCAGAGATGCCTGGTTCCTGTCCCCAGGGAAGCTGCCATGGCTACACTGAGCTCCTACCCTGCCAACTCAGAAGGGGCCGGGCTCCCACTTGTCACCAGATCCTGCCTGCTTCCTGGAGTGAGAGGCCCAGGTCTGCAGCCACAGGTGCTGCAGCTGCAGCTGCATCTGGGAGGGCAGATCCTGCCTATTCCTGGCTCCCTCAAGAGCACAGGGAGGCTCGGATCCACAGTTGCAGTTTGGGTGGCTGTAGCCTTGACCAGGAGGGCAGGGCTCCTGCCTGCTTTGTGGAGCAGGAGGCCAGGATCTGCAGCTGTGGTTTGAGTGGCTGCAGTGGCACCTGGGGAGCTTCTGTCCCAAATCAGAAGAGGCAGGGCTCCCACAGGCTTCATGGAGTGTGCAGCCGCAGCTGTGCTGCAGCCGACATGATGGCAGCAGCCACTGCCACAAAGCGTGCTGTTGCAAATACTCCTTATTGCAGTGTTAGAGTATCATCTTTATGAGGAATCACTGGGAGGAACTTTCTGTAAATCTCATGACCAGGCATAACTCTCCTTATCATTTATTTCTCTTTAAGTAATAGTAATTGCAAGCTACTTAACTAATTATATTTCCTCTTTGGTTTGGCTTATAGGTAACTTAACGGAAAGTGTATGGTCTATGTCTAGCACACTTTACAGACATCAGATTGCTACAAGCCTTGTCCTTGCTTTTGTTTCTAATTACCTTGCTTTTAATTTTCCCATCATTTTTCAGTTGATATGATATATTGTATAAGCCATCTGAAATCCTATTTTGAAATAAGGTGGTTGTATTAGTCAGGGTTCTCTAGATGGACAGAACTAGTAGGATAGATAGATAGATAGATAGATATAAGGTGAGTTTATTAAGTATTAACTTACACGATCACAAGGTCCCACAATAGGCCATCTGCAAGCTGAGGAGCAAGGAGAGCCATTCTGAGTCTGAAAACTGAAGGACTTGGAGCCTGATGTTCAAGGGCAAGAAGCATACAGCCCTGGAGAAAGATGTAGGCTTGGAGGCTAGGCCAGTCTGGTCTTTTCACATTTTTCTGCCTGCTTTATATTCTAGCCACGCTGGCAGCAGATTAGATCATGCCACCCATATTAAGGGTGGGTCAGCCTTTATCAGCCTACTGACTTTAATGTTAATCTTTTTGGCAACAGCCTCACAGACACACCCAGGATCAATACTTTGCATCCTTCAATCCAATCAAGTTGACACTCAGTATTAACCATCACAGTAGTGTACTAGTCTGTCCATGCTACCATAACAAAATACCATAGACTAAGTGGCTTAGACAACAGACATTTATTTTCTCACAATTTTGGAAGTTAGAAGTCTGCGATCCTGGTTGGGTTCTGGTGAGAGCTCTCTTCCTAGTTTTCAGGTGGCTGCTTTCTAGATGTGTCCTCATGTAATAAAGAAAGAGGCAGGGGGATAGGGGGAAAGCTCTATAGTATCTTCTTAAAAGGGCCCTAATCCAACCATAAGGACCCCATACTCATGACTTCATCCAACCCTAATTATCTCCCAGAAGCCACGGCTTCAAATACTACCACATTGAGTGTTGAGGCTGTGACATATGAATTTTGAAGGGAGATAAACATTCAATCCATAATATGTAGTATATAGAAAAATAGAAACATATAATTTGGGATTTTTAAATCCTATTTGATGACCTTGAGGGTTTGATTATGGTATAGGGTGGATTCAGCCAACTGGCTTCACTTTTGAGAGATTTCAGGGGGCTAACGCTTGGCTCTCAACTCCTGGACTACGTGCATTAACTCTGGGTAACTTGTTTTGGGCTTTGAAGTTATGTAACAAACTTGCACATACAATAAAAGTTAATATGTATATATTAACTTTTTTATGTTTTTCTGCCTGCTTTATATTCTAGCCATGCTGGCAGCTGATTAGATGGTGGTCACCCAGATTAGGGTGGGAACCATCATATATAAAATAAATATATACATATAAAATATATATATATGATTTTTAATTTAAGTGGATGCACAATTAGGAAACACAGGATGCTTTGAAGCAAGGCAGTGACAGGGTGAATTATAAATTATAACAACATAATTAGGGTTTTATTTCACATATTTAAAATACAATGTTTTAACTCATATAAGTGAGAGATAATTTTATGGAAGCTGTCAGTAGATATCAAAGACTATTTTTAAAAGATTAAAATATTCTAAAGGAGAAAACGTCTTTTTTTCCCATAATTTTTAAGTTAACAAAAATAATAGTAAAAATATACTTGAAGCAAAAGTAATTTAGATTAGAAATAAGGAACACATTCTTTACCATGAAGGAAATTCTTATGAGAGAAACAGACAATAGCAAAGACCAAATTAAATATTGTGAAATTCCTAGAGAAAAGCAAAGAGCTATATTCTTAGAATTGTTTTTGCAGCTGGATTATTTTAATTATTTTTAATAACTTTATCTGGGAAAATAATATGTGAATATAGTATTTTTGCACACTATTAATTTGCAAATCTTGCGGGATATGCTTCTGATAGAATAGACCCAATAGTTTCTCTGAATTGGGAGTAATGTCTTACTTTAGAAAGGAGAAGTCTGCTAGCTCCTGCTGAAACATAGGTGATGGTGAATTTAGGGTTTCCTATCTCACTGACTATTACTACATGTAAATATCACAATCGTCATGAAAAAGTAAGAGTTCAAAGACCAGAAGAAGATATTTCAGATACAATTGTCAAATGATTTAGGATTCTGTTAACCCCAAAGATGGGTCTTATAAAGAAAAACAAAAACAAAACCAAAAGAGAATCTGCTCTCTTGGGATACTAGAGAACCGATTCACTCTGAAAGGCAAGTAGCCCAGTAGAAATTCCTATGATTGACTGTATCTTTGTTTATAATATAATTTTAGAACTTACTCTAGTTATATTTAAATCATTAACTTCCCTGTTGCATATGTATATGTATGTACCATGCACGGAGATTTTTATATTTTATATGATTAGGGGATTTCTTTTAAACCTAGAAAAGCCAAAAAAGATGTGATTCCTAATACTTCAAACTCTATAACAATAAAAAATCTTTCCAACAAGCTAGGCAATTTATGATTTAGTAAAATAAATACTATAGTACACTGTAATGACAATCAGTAATCATCATATCTATGTTGCTCAGTTTTCTTCAAAATGTGTTTGGTCTGAGTGAAGAAAACAAAAATAAAACTAAACTAAGATATATATTAGGTATGAGATAATCAGAGGGAAACACCCAGAACTACTCTTGCTGCAAGAGTATCTTAACAGTGTTACTCTAGAAATCTCAAGATTCTCATCTTCCTGGATATGGATGGAAAATCTATTTTAAACTCTCATTCCAAGCCAAATATATTTCTTTCCACTGGAAGAGACCTAAAAATTAATACAGAGAATTGTCAAAATTAGAGAAATCTACAGAATTAGATCTTACTGTATCTGATTTGTGGAAAAGACTTTTGCAAGAAGTGGTGCCTAAAATGAAGCTAATCTTCATTAGGCTATTACTATTGATGCAAATTTCAGATTATTCTCTTCTTAGCATGTTTTTATTCCCCTTTTTTTTAAATGAGTTTTAAATAATATATGTTAACTTCTACATTTTAGATAAACATCGCTTATTTATTCATTTACCTGTTAATGTCATAGGTATTATTTGGTAACCTACCATGCAAAGGTAGTCAAGAGGTATTAATGTAAAAGTAGACAAATGAATCAATGGAATATTTGAATCCAGCAATGCAAACACATAGAAGCAGTCAATTGACTTTTGATAAAAGCACTAAAACAGTTCAGTTGTGGAAGTTTTCAATATATGGTGCTGAAATAACTGAATGAACATGTAGATTATAAAACAAACTAAACCAAAAATGAACAAAATCAACTTTGACCCCTGTCTCACACCATACACACACATATACCCAAAATAATTTAAGATGGTTTTGAAACCTAAAGGTAAACAAGTTTCTTGAGGAAAGTGGAGGACAGTCTCTTCTTGACATTAGGGTAAGCAAAATTTCTTGAAGTAGAAAAAGCAGTAACCATAAATGGAAAAAAAATTCCTCATCAAAATTAAAAACAAGTTCTGCTCTCCAAGTGATCATTTAAAAAGTGGAAAGGCAAGTCACAAACTAGGGGAAAATATTTGCTATATATATATTTGGCAAAAAATATGCAGAATATTCAAAGAACTCCTACAAATCAATATTAAAGACACACCTCAAGAAAAAAAAATAATTCAATAGATAGTTCAAAAAAGAAGATATGGGAATGACCAAAATTGCATAAAACAATGTACACTGTTATTAGTCATCAATGAAATGAAAAGTAAAACCACCAAAAGATACTACATTGAACCCATATGAATAGTAAAAAAACAAAAACAAAAACAAAAACAAAAACAAAAAAACCTGATAATACCAAACATTGCAGAACATGTGAAGCACCTAAAACTCTAGTTCATCATTGATGAGCGTGTAAAATATTGCAACCCTTTCAAAAACTGTTTGACAGTTTGTTTTTCTTTTCATAAAATAAATATATGCCTATACTGTGACTCACTTTTTCTATTTAAATGCATTTGCCCAAGAAAGGTTATAATGTATATTTCTAAAAAGATTTGTAAGGAAATATCCTAAGAGATTTATACACGATGAGCAAAACCTGGAAATAACTAGAATGCTCTTAAACAGGGGAATGAATAAACACATAGTGGCAAAATGTGGTGTAATAGAATAGTACTCAGCAATAAAAGGAACAAACCACTGATACAGCAGCGTGAAAAAAATTCAAAAATATAATATTGAGTCAAAAAAGTCTTACCCCAAATAGTACATACTATCTAATTCCATTCCTGAGAAATTTTAGAAAAGGCAAAACAAATTTATGATGCTAGAAATTAGATCAGTGAATGCTTTGGCCAGGCTGGAGGGGCAGATTTTGTAAAGGAGCAATAATGAACTTTCTAAGATTATGTCAATGCTGTAAATTATAATTGAGGTGCTGGTTAGAATGGAGTCTACATTTAAAATTTAGTGAACTCCACACTGAAGGTATACAAATTGTATCATATATAAATTCAGTGAAATATACTGGAAATAAAAATTGAAGAAAATGATACAAATACGTGGTAAGAACCTTGAATATACCTATATAAAGCTAAATTGCTCATCTATCTGCCCAGACCCTCAGGCTCCTATATACTTTATAGAATATATGATAGTAATTTTTGCCATCCATTAGCCATTATTGGAGGTCAATGTCTTTTAATTCATTCCAACAAACATATATTAAGTAATTACTCCTTGAAAGACACTGAAGGATACTGAAGAATTTCTACAAAGATTTAAGGTTTCCTATTATCAGGTAACTTATTTAATAGATTTGGAAGACTCCAGAGGGAACTATTTCAAAGACAATTAAAAAAATTAAAATATTAGCTAGGACAGGTGACAATGTCACAATCATGATAGTAGTCCTTGTACTTAGTATAGTGTCTAAGATACAGGGTAGGAGAGACTTATAAAAGCAAGTGTTATTAGTGAGTAAATAAGATCTTATAGGACATAATTAGTAAGCAAAAAATATAGCTAAAACTGAGTTTTATTTGGTTCTTTAGTATGTCAGCCTGCCCAAAAACCATTGATTATGGTATCTTAAGACAGCTATAAGGTAGGAGAATAATACAATAAATCTGTGCCCTTGAGGCTTTTTTTTTTTTTTTTTTTTGGTCATAAGTGGATAAGTAGATTTTGGGAAAGTGGAATTGAACTTTCTAGGAAACGTTTTAGGTAAATGGGAATGTACATGTTTTCCTTTGGTGGACTTTGATCTGTTACATGCTTACTAGATAGTAATACAAAACACATACAATGCATATAGAAAACAATGCGTATAGATAAGTTTAGTGGTAAAGAACACTTTGAATCCTGACTCTGCCACTTGCCAGCTGTGATGAAGTAATTTAATTTCATCTTTGCCTTCGCTTCTCATCTAAAATTGAGAAGATAATTATAGTAACTATATCATAGGGTGTTTCTGAGGACAAAGTATATTCTCCATATAAAACTTTCAGAAATTTTCTGGTCTCAATACATGCTGATTATTTTCATTAAAATAGTTTTAAGTCCTTTATCGATTGCCTGGCACTTGGTGACAACTTACTATGTATTGCATAGAAAAATATTCACTATTTTTAATTTCATTAACCTCAGCACTGTCTATCATGTCTGGCTCAACAAATAAGTGTTCAGTGAATGAGTAAACACATGTCAAAAGAGAGATCAAAACTGTCAAGTGGACTGACTTTTTTCAAAGCAAACCAACACTTTTCAAAACAAACTCTGGAGTTATAATTAATGCTCTACAAATGACAAATAGAGCAAAGTGAAATAAAAACAAAGACAGTTTGGGTGGTAAGAAAGAGGGAAAAATTCTCATGCAAATGGACTGAATTGATCAGAAGAGATAATGGAATAGGGAGGCCTTTTTAAAAGCAAAATCAATACTCTGATGGGAGAAAGACTATAGCCCATTTTAAAGTGAGAAAAGGACAGAAATAATAACCTAGAACATATGTGACAGTGTTAGAAAACAAATGGTGACTTTTCAAGGAAAGAAAATAATAATGATGGACTTGTAACATAATGGCTTCCCTAGAATTTAGAACAAAACAGCGTAAGGAAGTAACAGAATGCTGAAAAAGCTTTAAAAGGCACAAATGCAATGGCAGGGATGTGAAAGCAAGGCATGGTGAGTGAGGTTTGTTTGATGCCAGATTACCCAGGTTTTTATTGATCTTGACACTGTCAATCAATATGTTTTCTCTGTTTACCAACCAATTCCTGCAAACCACGTGGTGCATTCATATGAACACAAACACACACACCCTTGAAAAGAACGTGAAACCCAGCTTCTTGAAGGCAGAAACCACTGTATTGACAACAGGACTGTGAGACAAGCAGCAAGCTGCTTCCATTTGTTGACATCAGCTGTTTTGATGTTGATTAGGAGACATATCCTATTTTATTTACTGAAATTCTATGAATTTATGAAATATGAATATTAACACTTGCCTTGACTCCCCTGCTTCAAGGTTCTAAGATGATGGACAAGATCATGGATGAGATCATGGATGTTGTAAAAATACTATGTAATGCATTCTGGGAAACTAGAAAATCAGGGCAAGCAAAAAAGAACAAAAATACAAATGATCTTTATTAGGCACTTCTCTTTCATTCAGGAAATGTGCTAAGTGATGGGCATGCATTAACATTTTGGTATAATGCCTGTATATTTACTTACCTACTATAAATGTTATTTTATAACTCATTGGTGTCTTTTCTCTTTAAAGTATGTCATAAACTTCAAAGTATTTTCAGAGGCGTGAAATGTTATGCAAACATAAGAAACCTTGAGTGTTGGTGAATGAAAGCACAGAATTTCCTCAGAATTATGAGATTTGAGGGCAGAAAGCTCTGCCTTGAGTGCTGATTCTGTCACTTAATGGCAACATGGCTGGCATAAAAGTACCCAGTGTATTTAACCTCACAGATATTGTTTCTTTTTTTTGTTAAAATAGGGCTACTAATGTTACTTAATTACTGGAAATATAAATATTGTAAAATTCTGTCTCAGTACCGCACTCATAAATTTTCCATATATGTCTACATAGATTATAGGCAAGTATTTCTCCATACTGTTTTCCTAAAGATTCCTATCACAGCTATTTTGTTTAGAATTTCTGTTTTTAAAATTTTTACTATTTTGCATCATGTCCTCAAGGGAGAAGGCACCAGAAAAGGTAGAGAGAGTAGAGGAAAGTAAAGAGGATGAGTAAGAAAATAGTGAGTCCTGGCTATCGAAGGCTCACATAGCTGCCTAGTTAGTTGAAACATGTAAGCTTTTTTATCTGGGGAGCTAGGAGCACTGAAATGGTTACTAGGTATTATACTTTCCATTAATGCAATATTTACCATTAGTAACATTTCTTGTGGTTAAATGGTATTTCTTATATATTAGCCATTTCTCCCATTCCTTCTACTTCTCCCATTCCTATTCCTTTTCAAAAGACGGTCTGTTCTAATGAGAACACATGGACACAGGGAGGGGAACATTACACACCAGGGTCTGTCAGGGGCTGGGGGGCAAGAGGAAGGAGAGCATTAGGACAAATACCTAATGCATGCAGGGCTTAAAAGTTAGATGACGGGTTGATAGGTGCAGCATACCACCATGGCACATGTATACCTATGTAACAAACCTGTACGTTCTGCACATGTATCTCAGAACTTAAAGTAAAAACAAACAAACAAACAAACAAACACAGTTTGTCTCTTCTGTGACTACTTGCTTGGAAAAGAAGTGACAACATGAACCAAAAAAAATGCCTTTCTAAAATGTACTTTGTGCTTCTGCTCATCTGTTGCATTTTTCAAACTATTTGACTTTTATAATTCATCATTGATCTTTTAGTATCATAGAGAATTAAATTAGCTATGTTTAATTGGAAGTTAATGGTATTGATTTCTAGTTTCAAAGGCCTAATTAAGTTTCTTCAACTTTTCTCTTATAATTATCTTTATTTTTTTATGATGATGATTTTTTTTTAATTCAACAGGCACTGAAAGTAGAAACTGACATTATATAGTAGTTTCTTGTTTGCGAAAGAGCAACTTTATTACAGCTTCACCTCCCCACCACCTGCCCCTTGCAACACGCAGTTTTAGACCAAGACACTCAGAAAAGTTGGAGGGAACAGGGAAGTGAGGGAAATGAATATGTGATGGTTCGCTCATGGCTGATTTGATTAGCAGCAGACAGTGACACAAGAGGTCAAAAGAATCATGGCTTAAGGCAAATATGTGTGAAAAGTAGAGCACTCTGATATAAACACTGCCCTGGAGCTTGAGTTTGTTCTGCTGTTACTTCCTATTAGCTTGTATCCGCTAAATTAAGAGTATCTGTGATGGAGATTTGATAGTCATAGATGTTGTGATGATTAATTTTGCTTCAACTTGACTGGGCCAAAGGATGCCCAGCCAGTAATTTCTGAGTGTGTTTGTGAAGTTGCTTTTGGGAGATACTAGTATTTGAATAGGTAGACTGAGTAAAGAACTTGTTACCTTCATCCATACCAGTGGAAATCGTCAATCCACTCAGGGCCCAATCCACTCACAAAAGGCTATCCTGGATAGAACAAAAAGGGCAAGTTCACTCTTGACGTTTGGGCTGGGACATCATTTTCTTCTGTCCTCAGACGTCAGCACTTCTGGCTTTCAGGCCTAGGGACTCAGGTCCAGATTTCCACCATTGGCTAATTGGCTACCCTGATTCTCTGACCTTAGGGCTTGTCCTGAATTACACCACTGGCTTTTCTGAGTTCTCCAACTCACAAATGGCAATTTGTGGCACTCTTGGCTTTCACAATCACCTCAGCCAATCAATTCCTATGCTAAATTATCTACTTATATATACATATATGTGCATGTGTGTATACATGTATTCTGTATACATGCAACAAGATGGCAAGTCCCAGAGAGAGTACATTTAAAGTATTATGTTATGGCAGTAATAAATGATGAGTTAAAAAAATAACTGTGGAGACCTAATGAGATCAAAGGTCTCATTCTTTTTTTTTTTCCTTAACACAGGGAGCATCCTATTTATTATGCTCAGACATCCCAGGAATAGAATCCTTAGGATGGTTTGACAAGGGAAGTATTATCTTAAAAAGTAAGGTGCAGAGGTAAAGAGAAACTTACTGTGATAGTGCATTATGCTACACAAATGGATGGGAAGTCCCCCTCCACTTGAAAGGAAAGCAGAAGAGGCAAAGATTAATGAGTCAAAGCTAATTAAAGGAGTAATTGCTTCTGGGGATGTGCCCTAGGTAGGGAGGTAACTGTTCTGGAAGCTAAAAATATCATAGCTTGATCAAATAAAATTGCACAAATGAAAAGTAAGTAGAACAGTAAAATGCCAAACATATTAAAATGCACTCTGTTTATTAGAAAAATAAATTCTATTCTGCAATTCAATAAAAACCTAGTTAAGGTTGATTTTGTCTGAGCTTCACTCTTGTTGTAACTGTTGTTACTTACTAATTATTCTCTGGGGTCCAGAAATCTTTTTACAGCTTGGGACATCTGAGATCCTAAATTTCCTAGAGAGTAGTAATTGGATACAGGGTTTTAAAAATTTTTGAAAATGTCCAAAATGCTAATGGAAATTCTACATTTATTCAAGATCAGGCTGTATGGACTAATTAACACATTGGGTTTCTTTGCTTTGGAATAGAATTATAGCTATTCACTGTGGGAAAACAGTCTACTTTAGATATTTGCATTATAGGACTTCTATTAATAAAGAGTAGAAACAAATTAAATATTCCCTGAACAATGCAGTTTGGCAGTCAAGATTTTTCTAAACATGGAATCCATTCATGGGTGGGAATAACAAAGGGAATATTTGCTAATGACAATATTTCTAATTTTTCTAAAACTTGTTCAAATTTCATGTAACTCAGATATTTCCAGCTACTTGCAGTAACTTTGATTTATTTCATGCTACAAAAACTTTGCCTTGTACTGTTTACAAGAGTAAAATTTCAATAAAAGATAATTAAATACTGAATATATTTGATTAAGCAAATTTTATCAAGGTAATTATTTTGTTAATGTATAAGTGAACTTTTATTTCTAAATTATTTGGATTGCTTTGCTTGACTCAAATAATTTTACAGTATATAGCCTGTGTCTTCCAGTTCTGTAAATAAGTTAATAAGCTCAGAAGACAGATTAACAAAGTTACCAAGCACAGTGATATATTGTCAATTCCTAACAAATTATAAAGAAATTTCCACTGATTTTCTTTTATTTTTATATATGTATTTATTTTAGAGACAGGGTCTCACTCTGTCACCCAAGCTGGAGTGCAGTGGTGCAGCCATAACCCACTGCAGCCTAGAACTCCTGGGTTCAAGCGATTCTCCCACCACAGCCTCCCAAAGCCCTGGGATTACAGGCCTGAGCCACCATATCCGACCCAATTTTCTTTTGGCTATAACCTGAATAAAGTTCTTTGTAGTTGTTTTTCCACTCCTTCCAGAGACTGAACACACACACTCATCATAAAACCCTGTCTTTAGCAAAGACTTCAAATTAAGGTTTGCATTCTATCAATGTCTTAAAAATAAAGTTAGAATAACCAGTATAAGGTACTAAGCACTAAGGAAAACAGAACAAAACAACAACAATTATACCACAGATAACTAATTTTTATAAAAATCATTTTAAAGTTTTTTCAGGATGCAACATCTCCCTGTTTGTTTCCTTGCCGTTAGTGGAAACACTTTTATTCTGATCTTGACAGTCCCCCAGCTCCAGATTTGAGGTATTTACCTGCCATGTTACTTCATCTGGCCTGTGACTCTTAATTAGAAGGTTCATTAACGGATGATTAATTTGATAAACATTGATTCATCCTCTGTTACATCATTAGGTTCACATGCCAGGCCACTGAGATTTGTTTTCTGCTAGCTTGGTATTTACCTGTAAAGCTTCTAGTCTCCAGTTTCCAAAAGAGCTTTGTGAGTCTTCCCTGCACTTCATTTTCCTGTGTTCTTTTTCTCAGCTGAAAGAGCTGATGGAGTTTTCATTGCACTTTTTTTTTCTTTGCAACAAAACATCACCAACTTCACACTGAGATCTTTCTTTTTAATTTGCAGTAGCTTTACCAAAGGGGAAGTGTTTTTCCCACATCATTTCTTTTCCGGGGAGGACAAGTTTCGTTTTGTTTAACCGTAATCTTTTGGTGCAAGTTTCTCCAGTGGCCTTGTGTCAAGGAGGATAAACAATTCAGAAAGCGTGCACATCTTAAAACTTACAGCTCAGTTTTGGGCTCAAAATATGGTCTTTTAGAGCAAGTGCTAAATTGATAAAAAGTCAACTTTCCAATCATCAAAACAATACTCGATATTCCCCAGTGAAAAAGAATCTGGGCCAGCAAGTGAGACATTAAGAAAAACTCTTTTCTTTTAAAAATCTTTTTGCAAAAATCTCTGCTATTGAACTTTTTTATTGAGGGGAATTGTTGATGTAGATTCCTTTATGGTTCAGCTTTCCAACCCTGTAATTATGAGAATTTTTCTGTTTATTTTATGTTTTATGAAGCATGACAAATTTGCTATGACGATCACAGAAAATAAACCTAAACAGAAGATTCTAATCTTAGTTAGGAGAATTACCAACAAGGAAATTGGGGAGGGAGTATGAAATCTCTTAGCTTTGTAAACAAAAGTGTTAAAAAAGAACAGGGTAAGCTCCTTTCCAGATGTTGGGCAGATCTTGGATTTCCAGATCTAGAAGAGGATGAAAAATATTCTACAGATGGAACAATGAAGAACACTCAGAACAATATAAAACCATGTGTGTTATAACAGGGATACAAAGAGGATGAGTAAAAAGGGATAAAAGACAGATTATGCCAAAAAGTAGAGATACAGGAGAAGGAAAGAACTATGTTTAATCCACCAAAAAAAGGAACTCTAGACCGTTTCATGTTCATTCTCTATGAAACAACTCTAGATCAGAGCCTAAGATATTATCTTTGAAATAAATGAGACATACACATCACCATGTTTTACTAGAAAAAAAATCAGTTTCAGTTTATTTTATATACTTAAAAAACATAGATTTGGTGGTGCTTTGCAAGTTTTACCAATTGATTAATAAGTTCCCTAGCCTATTCAAATTCAATATACAGTATTTCTGGAGAGTATTAAGTATGATAATTACTCTGCTCCTATATTCTCCTTTAATGTTTGCAATAACCAAAGGAAAATTAATGCAAGAGAAGAAATATAGATAATAATACTTTTCTTCATAAGATACCCCTTTCTAAGAGATTCTGCTCACTAGCTATAAATTACTGTACCCATTTAAATTGTTATAAAAATAAAAACTAGTAGGTAGCAAATAGAGGTTGTGCCACACAGACTGTATTGCAGAAATAAATAGCTTCTCACAATCGGGGAAGTCTCGTTTAGAAAAAATAATTGCAAACTATTTTTTCTCTTTATTTGATATAGCAGTGTTGTCATGACCTTCATCCACACTGAGAGTTTGGTAATATTTTCATTTATATCTTCTCTCTATAGGGATAAATGATTCTAACCTTGAAATCTCAGTTTCTATGTGAAAAATAACTTTATGAATACTTCAAACACTTACACTTGTAGCAGTAAATGTTTAAATATGAATATAAAAGAGCACTTCCTGTCAAAAACAGCAATACATAACTTGAACCCAGAATACAAGAGCCCTGGGCACATATAGTTAACTGTCAATGCATGGAAGTAGATTAAATATACCATTGCTGAAATTAAAGCATGCTAAGGGTCCCCCAAAGAACCTGTGTAGAGTTGTCAGTTATATTCTTCAATAATGCTATGATTATACATATTTCTTATTACATTTTAGCTAACCTGAAACAACTTGGAATTTCTACAACTGTTAACTACCAATTGCAGGCATTTGTTGATTCAGCTATAACCTTTGACACACTTATCATCAATATAAGTATATTGGTGATATAATATCATCAATTTTAATTTAAAATAACTTAAAAATATCCAATTTATGTACTTCTACATTTATTACACCAATATTCATTGAAAAATTCTTATTTGCCAGGCACCGTCCTGGGCCTAGAAAATGTAAAAATAAATTATGCCTTGTATCTTTTGCTCTTAAAAACTCGCATTCAATGCTTAGACACTGTTGGTAGGAATGTAAATTAGTTCAGCCACTGTGGAAAGCAATTTGGAGAATTCACACAGAACTTAAAATAGAATTACCTATTCACAATAGCAAAGACATGGAATCAACATAGATACCCATCAGTGATGGATTGGATAAAGAAAATGTAGTATATGTACCACATTGTAATATTATTCAGTCACAAGGATAAAATCATGTCCTTTGCAACGACAGGCATGCAGCTGGAGGCCATTATTCTCAGCAAATTAGTGCAGGAACAGAAACCAAATACCACATGTTCTCACTTATAAGTTGGAGCTAAACATTGAGTATTTATGGACATAAAGATGGCAACAATAGAAACAAAGGACACTGGACGCTGGTGGGAGAAAGGAGCAAGGACTGCAAAACTACTGGGTACTATGTTCAGTAGCTGGATGACGGAATCAATCAAACCCCAAACCTGAGCATCACACAATATACCCAGGAAACAAACCTGAAAGCATATCCCCTGAATCCAAAATAAAAGTTGAAATTATTTTTTAAAAAGCCAAAAATCCCCTCACATTCACGTAAGGAAATCAAAATTGCAAAAATAAATTATAATTCAATGCAGCAAATCTTCCATGAAAGCATATTGTTAGGACATATAAACACATTTTCTTAACTTGAGTCACCTCCAAGGCAGACTCTGAGCAGGGATTTGGTTTCAAGTAACTTATCAAAGTGGTGAGCATAGGGAAATCCTCTGAAGGATTGACTGTGTACAGGAGCTATCTTTAGTGAATTCCAGTCTAGAAATAAAGCAGTGGTTCTCAAACCTTAAGCTGCCTCAGAATTACTTGGTGAGTTTGCTATAGCAAGATGGCCAGGCTCCACATCCAGAGTTTCAGATTCAGTAGGTCCGCTATGGAGTTTGCATTTTTGTAAATTCCTACCTGATGCTGATGTTGCTAGTCTAAAGACCACATTTTGAGAATCAATGACCTAGTAAATATGAGCAGAGCACAATAGCATAAGCCACATGCATATATATTTAAATATTTTTGAAGCCTTTATTCTTACCCAACATTACAATTTTCTCATGCAGTCAACCATTGTTTTATCAACAGTCGACTTATATGAATTTTAGCTAGTTATAAACCTGGACAGCCTGGCCCTATCTTAACTATTTGTAAACTAGGTGACTAAATCTAAGTGATTAATTACAAAATCTTTGGATGGTACAATGCATTTTTGTATTTTTTTTTTCTGGGATGCCTATAACTACAACTAAATATCTATCTCTTATTTGGAAGAAATAGAGTACAAAGGTTACATTTTTTTGCACTAAAAATTTCCTCTTGGATAATTCATGTGAAATAGCTTTCAGCT
Source organism: Homo sapiens (assembly GCF_000001405.40). Lineage (NCBI taxonomy): Eukaryota > Metazoa > Chordata > Mammalia > Primates > Hominidae > Homo > Homo sapiens. The sequence goes on along the minus strand of NC_000017.11, from coordinate 52,736,086 downwards.
GTTTATCTAGATCAGCATGTGTGAGGAACGAAAGTGTGTGTGCCTGAGTATTAATGATATGTGCATGTATCACAGGAATAACTACTTTCTGTTTCTAAATATTTGATAAAATTCTTCCAAGCATGAAATCAGAATTTTTTGTGCACAGACAGGATATTTCTGTGGGGTTCATGGAACTGGAATAACAACATAAGCCTCGTAAAACAGTTTGATAAAAAAAAAAAAAACTATATCTCTACCTTACTGGTTTTGAATAAAAAACATTTCGTGGATAAATCTTTTTACTCTGGTTCTTGCCTGTGTCTACACTACAGGTAAGAAAGCCATTTCTGGAGGGAAGTATTTAAAAAAAGTTAATGTTTGCACTTACGTGGGATGCATAGTAACAAAGAAATGTATTTAACTGCAGGATGTTACTTGTTTCCATAGAATACACACGCAATTTTGTATTCTGAGTGCACATTTAAATCCATATTAAAAGGGCACTTTATTTTCCAAGGACTTTGAGTGAAATAATGTAAACTGACTGAAAAGAGATGAAACTCTATTGCTGCATATATGCAGGGCCTTTGCAGTCATCAGACTCAGGAAAGCTAAGTAGATCGTATCAGCTGCATAGTATGTTTATTCTAATATATTAGTTTAGAAGGTAAGGGTCTGAGATCATATGTATCCCTTTTCACTGAAGATTTCATTATCTCAGTAAAATTTAGTTGGGAACAACATATAGAAAATAAAACATTTGAACAAGAATGCCCTAACTCTAAACAGTAATGTATGTTATTCCTTAAAGACCACAGGCTAAGCAGCTAAGGAGTAAAATAAGTCATTTTTCTTATGATTAGAGGGATTCAATTTAAATGCCTAGCCTAACAATATAATTAAATACTTTTTTAGGGACAACATATACATATGAAATAAAACCTTTATTTTTCTTTTTTATGTTACCTCAAGTTCTGGGATACATGTGCTGAACGTGCAGATTTGTTACATAGGTATACATTTGCCATAGTGGTTTGCTGCACCTATCAACCTGTCATTTAGGTTTTAAGCTCTGCATGCATTAGGTATTTGTCCTAATGCTCTCCCTCCCCTTTTCCCCTAACCCCTGACAGGCCTTGGTGTGTGATGTTCCCCTTCCTGTGTCCATGTGTTCTCATTGTTCAGCTCCCACTTATGAGTGAGAACATGCGGTGTTTGAAAACCTGTGTTTTTCTTTCTTTGCTTTTTCCTGATGCTCCCGTTATTTTAGTGCTCTTCTTTTCAATGATTTGCCATTTTCCAATTCAACCACATGCTTCAAACCTGGTGTTCCTTAAGAGACACCTTTGTGATTTTCCATGCCTTCTCTGGTTTTAATGGGATTCAACTTAAGCCAGGTTTTTTAAAAGCCTGGCACATGGATAACTTCATTGATCGTTCATTTAATGTTGAAAACTGATAGTCAAAGATGAGGGGAAAAACGCTGCAGAACCTAAGAGTTAATACATAGGTTCATTCAACAATTACCAACCCCCTGCTCTGCCCCAGTTGCTGTAGAGCTCTTCAGCATGTGTTATCTTATGTGATCCAGATAGCACCACTCCAAAGTTGTTGTTATCTTCTCATAGTATATTCATTAATGTGTTCATGGCTTTTCAAACTGCTGCCTCTTTCTGGAACACTGTTTTCACACACCTCTCTCCCACTGTCAGCCCTTTAGGCCTGACAAAAGAAAACTCTAATTACAAAACCCATTGAAAACTTCCCCTTTTAAATAAAACATGCTTAACTTTTCTGCTTCCCATTATAAAGTATTCCCTACTCTCTATGCTCAGTGAAACTTGTTACAGGTTCAGTTCTCTATTATTGCACTTATCACTCTGAATACAGTTCAAAATATACATACAAAATCTATAAACTACTGGGAAAATGCTAAAAATTGTGTCTGTTTCTTATTAGCTAACAAGGAACTGAAGTTTCCATGGACTGTCCTCTCCCTTGTAATTCAGTTCTGGTCAGTTCATGTAATATATATTGAGTACCTACTGTTGTGCCAGGAATTGTGATACACTTCAAGAATTCAAATATAGATAAATACTGAGAATTTAGGGTAGATGTAACAGAAATGTTTGTAGCCTATATTAATACAACAAAAATATGGTGGAGTTTTCCTGGGCAAGAAGTGTTATATATCCTAACACAAGAAAAGAGGATGGAGTCAAGACTGAAAGAGGAAGGGCCTTTATCAATTCTAGGTATGGGGTGTGATATGGTTTGGCTTTATGTCCCCTCTCAAATCTCATCTAGAGTTGTAATCCCCACATGTAGAGGGAGGGAACTGGTGAGAATTGACTGGATCATAGGGGTAGTTTCTCCCATGCTGTTCTCATGATAGTTAGTGAGTTATCATGAGGTCTGGTTGTTTGATAAGTGTCTGGCGCTTTCCCCTTCTTTCTGTCTCTCTTTCCTGCTGCCATGTAAGACGTGCCTTGCTTCCCCTTCACCTTCTGCTATGATTGTAAGTTTCCTGAGGCCTCCCAAGCCATGTAGAACTGTTAGTCAATTAAACCTTTTTGTTTATAAATTACTCAATCCCAGGTAGCATCTTTATAGCAGTGTGAGAAGACTAATACAAGGAGGCATAGGGAGACAAAAGGGGTTACTCCTAATAGAGTGTGTGACTCCTAATAGAGTAATAGAGGTTGCTGGGGCAACCTCATGAATCCACAAAGTGTGTGTCTGTGTGTGTGCACCTGTGCATGTATAGAAGTGCACATGTGTGCACATATGTGTGTGCATGTGCATATGTGTGTGTGTCTATAAAAAGAGTTATATACTAAAGTTTCATGCAGATTCTATAACTGAAGATAAACATTGCCCAATGATACACTATTGCTTTGTCACTGAAAAAATAGTAGTCCTAGGCCCCTAAAATACTCTTATCCAGTGGACACAGCAGATATCCAGCATGCCACGTTTCAGGAGCAATGGCCATCTGAGGCTAGTTCAGTCCAGTGAGCAATGGGCAGGAACAAAGGCACTGGGTAGCCAGACCACCTGTGTACCAGACCCTAGGGTTAAATGTCTTTTAAGACAATTGAGTGGTATAGTTCTTCCTTGTTCCATTTTATATTGTTATTTATTTGTGATAAGAGCAATGAAGTCCAACCATTTGGACTGAATAAGTACTTTACAGCTTAGGTGATAGGAAGTCTTATGATAACTAAAATCAGGATAAGAGTCATTTACTTTGAACAGGGAAGAAAGTTCAAATTAATTGGTTTTAAACTGGGAAAAGGCCACTCTCATTTCTGTCCAGAGGATTTCTATCATTGCAGTACTGTGTCTTTCCATTTTTCTACAATAAGGGGGAATCAAACATTGCAAAAAATAGAGAAAATGAGATGAAATTATAGTAAAATAGCAGGAGAAGAGAAGTAGTAGAGGACAACAGGTGTGTGGGCCAGGGCTAGGCGGGGTAATATTACTACTATTAGTTTTTAAGATTTTGAAGAAAGAGGTACCTGGGAAGCTTCACAAGTGAAGCAAATAATAATTGCAAAAAGAATAAAAATGTTAAATGAGGACCACATATCCTCTTTACTGTGCTTGAGAAACACAAATAATTTCTTTTTCAAATGTATGTTTTAATGTTGGACTATTTTTCTTCAATGCCAGCAATGCTTTCAACCTCAATAATATCGGTTATGGTTTCAATAAAATTGTATTTTTATTTTCTTTCCTCAGATGTTCCATATTGAATATATGACCTTACATACCTACCTTGCCAATATGAACAAAAATTTCACAGTAGAATCCAGAGACTTCCCAAAGAGACCTCTATAAAGAGAATGGGGCAACTGGCAATGGTTTTGTTTACTGGAAAATTGAATTAACCATTGGCGTCTAATAACTCATAGAATTGATTTTGCCACAAACTTACAAGTATTGGTAGAATCCTTGGTAATCCAAATCAGAAAACTAAATAAAATTATGGTATTAATGAGAGAATATTCAGTGGTCAGGATACTTATGGTTGCTTTGACAAAACTTTAAGAGTGTATTTGTCATGTAAACCTAAAAGAGATGGATGGAAAGAAAGATAATATAAAGTATATCTTATTCTGTCTGCTTCTAAGGCTACCTTATGAACCTACAATTTAAATAGTTGAATATGCAATAAAAAGTTAATATATATTTCTGTTTCATGGTGTCTGGGGTTTATTATTATTATTGTTATTATATTTTTTGAGACAGGATCTAACTGTGTCACCCAGGCTGGAGTGCAATGGCGTGTTCTCGGCTCACTGCAACCTCTGCCTCCCGGGCTCAAGCGATTCTCCTGCCTCAGCCTCCTGAGTAGCTGGGACTACAGGCACCTGCCACCACACCCAGCTATTTTTTTTTTTTTTTGTATTTTTAGTAGAGATGGGGTTTCACCATATTGGTCAGGCTGGTTTCAAACTCCTGACCTCAGGTGATCTGCCCACCTCGGCCTCCCAAAGTGTTGGGATTACAGGCATGAGCCACCGTGCCTGGATGGTTTATTAATTCTTTAAACAATACTTTAATTCATGCTCAGTTTGATTTCTAGAAATATTTATGCATGTTTGTTTCTTTAACTTTTTTTTATTGCTTAAGGTCAGGAATATTATTTTATATACCTTTGTCTCCCTAATGCGTATCACCATGCCTGGCATTGCAATCATTTGGAAATATGATTGGCTTATATGTGAATAAATAAGTGAATAAACACTAGTTCACTGTATTTTTTAAGGAAGTGTGTGGCAGCACCTAGGTAGATTTTTAAGTGGCCCTTGTGCAGACTGCAACCTCTTGGTCTTAGAGATTCAAAACAGTTGTGGGTGACCATGAAAGAAACACTTTTCTATTTAATATTGTTGAAATATTTTGGAGTTTACCTTGTCCAACAATACTAGCTCATATATTACATGGCTGATGCCTTAAATTATAAGTCTGTGATGCAACAAAGAGAATTCTCTAAATTGCCTTTGGTAACTCCCAAGTGGTACCTGAACAGTGAGATGTCAGGGACATGAAGGCTCACTCCCATCTGACTGTAGGAGCCATAACTAAACTGAGCTTCTCATAAGACCAATGATTTATTTACAGGCCCAGAGGTCTTGAATTTGGAAGGATAGCTTTACTATTAATAGACAGTTCTCACAGAAACTGGCATCTAAATACAAACTGCCAATGTCCAAGTAGAGAGATTTTTTTTTTTCACTGACAAAGTTGCCTTCATGCTTGTTCCAATGAGAGAGAAATATAGAAGCCGAGTTTCTTCCTTCTCCGGTCTTTTACCCACAGCATAGTGTACTCTGGCCCTAGAATTTCTCTCCAGTTATACAGGGGTATATAGGAACTCTCTGCCTTTTCTTTTTGTCAGTGCTGGCTTTATAAAGTTCCCCCAATAAATCCAATTCCCTATGCCACATTTTGTGACATTGTATAAAATGGACCGATATTCTATGTCCTCTTGCAAGATAGATAGTAACATCAAACAGCCCACCTTGCATGACAAAGTTATTCCTTAGATACAAGTATTGCCATTGTACTTTCCACTGGACAGGACAGGTGGAGGGGATAGGTAGAGAATTACCTTTTAAAATGCAAATCCTTCTGGGAGAAGTTGCCACCATACCCTGAGTGAGACTTTCAAGAAATTATTTTACTCTGGGAAAAGGCAATTCAGTTCATATGAAGACTTTCAGAAAGTGATAGCTAATCATTGTTATCTAATAAGGACTTTACAATAATACGGCATGGTAGCTAGCTCCAACTCAGAGAAGATAAATAAATTGATCAGTGCCATCATATTAAGATTTTAACTTGAACCCATCTGGCTTTGACTTTGATTTCACTACTTCTTGTTAATGGATAGCACTTAAACAGTCATTATACAAATAATAACAAATGGTTCCTGAAGAATCAGGGTTATTTTCCTCATGAGAGCATGCTCTGTGTATTATGTTTATTAGATGTTTACTAGTATATGTTAAAATTTATACATGTAAAATTATGCATAAATCCTCAGGTGGATTTAAAGTATTTTTCTAAGATTTTGGCCAGGGAGATAAAATGGGATAGCAGATAGAATGTACTCTTGGAAGTCAGAAAGATGTCTTCAAGTTATTTCTCAAGCCTTTACGAGTTGTAAAGTAGTGCAAATTTTTAACCATTCTGATGCACATTTCTCTGATAATGTCACCATATTCACGACCCCTATATTAGTTATGCCAGGCTGGACCACCGTGAATTAATTTAAATTTGCACACACACCCTCTGGGAATATTTTTAGAATAGAGATTATGATTCAGTAGCTCTTGGGAGGAACTTGAGATTCTCCATTTCTAACATGCTTCCAATTGATGCTGATGGTGGTGGATTTTTTTAACTACATTTTGCTACAAAGGCGAGAGAGTCTGTTATCCTCAGCACTATTGACATTTTGGGCTAGATAATTCTTTATGAGTGGTTGTCCTGTGCATTGTAAGGTGAGTAGCTTCCCTGGCACAGTTTTTGACACATAATAGGCATTACATGAATATTTTTTTCTTTACTTTCACTCCATATTTTACTATGACTTGGCAGTGGCCAAATAATTTAAACTGATAGTCATCTTTCATCTTCCAGATGAAAATATTATCTAGAATGGGAGTCAGCAAAATAATACCTGGAGGCCAAATCTAGTCTACCACCTATTTTTTAAATAAAGTTTTCTTAAAGCACATTCACAGCCATTAATTTACCAGTTTTCTATAGCTCCCTTTGCACTACAGCAGCAGAGTTGAGTAGCTCCATCAGATACTTTTTAGACCACAAAATCTAAAATATTTACTACCTGGCCCTTAATAGAAAAAGTTTGCCAAACCCGATTCTTGAAATAAAAATCCTGGATTTTTAACGCTTCCAAGTTATAAAAACAGTTGTACAGCAGTTTTCTGAGTATAATTTAATATACTAAACAATTTCCTTTGGGTTAGTCCCCAAAACAGTGACTGGATCCTTTCTGTTTTTCGAATAAAATATTGGTCTCCACAAATCAGGCATTATGCAACCTCTTTAGAAGCAGTGGAAACAAGAACAAATCCCAGATGCCAGAGAGCACTGGATAAGTTTCCTTTTTCAAAATCTTTTTTCCAAGCACAGAGAATTTACATGCCTAATTATAACTGACGAAAGTCAATCACAGGAGGAAAAAAATGTATCCCCCATGGCCATCAAGTTTACTTAACCTAGTGTATTTATGTTGATGCTTGGTGATTTGCATGCACGCAAGGTCTCATAAGTCTTATAGGAGCCGGATTGTTTTTAAAAGCAAACTCAGAGCTTTTTTTTTTTTTTTTTTTTTTTTTAGTGGAAGCCATGTAGGAAGGGAATTTTTTGAGTGGAGATGAAGAATATTTTATTTATAAAGTAAGGTTTTTTATGTGAAATTATTAAGTTGCACTTGGTTGCCACTTGCAGAGCAAATATGGAATGGGTAGCTTTAAGTGCAATTTATTTATGTGGGACCTCTAGATTTAATCAATGCAGGTGATCTTTATTATAACTGCTTCATACACTTCTGTTTTTTTTTTTTTTTTTTTTTTTTTTTGACAGAGTCTCGCTCTATTGCCTAGGCTGGAGTGCAGTAGCATGATCTCATCTCACTACAACCTCTGCCTCCCAGGTTCAAGCGATTCTTCTGTCTCAGCCTCCCGAGTAGCTGGAATTAGAGGCATGCACCACCACATCCGGCTAATTTTTGTATTTTCAGTAGAGATGAGGTTTTACCACGTTGGCCAGGCTGCTGTCAAACTCCTGACCTCAAGTGATCTGTCCGCCTTGGCCTTCCAAAGTGCTGGGTTATTAGAGGCATCAGCCACTGCGCCCTGCCAAACTGCTTCATACACTCTTATGCTTACTCTGAAGCAATATCTGTATTAGGATAGACAAAATCAGGGTTTGTAAAACTCAGCATTGTTAACATTTTGGACCGGATAATTATTTGTTGTGGAGTCTGAACTGTTCATTGTAGGATGCTTGGCAACATCCCCTGGCTTTATTCATTATATATCAGTAGGAACCCCCTTCCGAATTGTGATGATCAAAACTGTCTCTAGACAGTACCAAATATCCTCTGAGAACAAAACCATCCTTACTTGAGAACCACTGGTATATATTGTGCCACAAAAAGAAATAATTTCACAATCTCAGTGGTTTAACACCCCAAGCAGTTATTCCTGGTTCACATAAATTACATTGGGCAGCTTTCCAGAGAAATTGTCTTCTATGTGGTGGTTCAGTATTCTGAGATACTTTGATTTTATGGCACTTTATCCCATACTTCCTATTTCTTCATAGAAAGTAAAAGGAGAGTGTAGTTGAATAAAGCTCTTAAATATTTGTGCTCATAAGTGACATAGTCCACTTCTATTCATGTTCATTGATTGGAGCAATTCATATGACCATGCCTACCTGGCAGGAAGTAAGATTTCCCTCCAGGAAGACTAACAGATACATTGTTGAGCAGGGTTACGTCTAGTACACTATTATCTGTTCATCATTCACATCTCCAATGAACTTTTGCTGCTACTGAGACCTATATCATTGTCAAAGGTAGAGAGCTAGGATAGTATCATGGTTGAAAGCATAGGTTCTGGAATCAAAGTACGTGCGGCTGACCTCTAGAGGCACAGCTGTGATCTTAGATGAATGGGGTAACCTCATTGTGCATAATTTTCCTCATCTATAAATCATCTAATAAAATCGCCTACCTTGTAAGGATGTTGCAAGAAATAAATGTGTTAGCATTTGTAAAGCCCTAAGAAAATTGCTTGGTATATAATAAGAATATTGTATATATGTTTAAAGTAAATAAAATAAATAATAGATATGAAGAGAATAATTGTATATATTTCATATAAAAAGCATGAATAGGCTGGAATAAGAACTCACATGATACATAGAGGAAGCTCTTGGTACTCAAATATGACACTACCATGTCTGTACATTAGAAATATATTGTATAAATTAAAAATATCCAGAAATGCATGCTTTCCAATATAACTTGCAGTTGCTTACCTAGTTCAGGAAAATAAATCAATAAATGTTACAAAACGTTTGAAAGTATATTTTAAAAGTTCAACCTAGGCAAAATGAGATAGCAATATACTCAGCAAAATACTTGCTGTCTATTCATCAAAGCCCAGTTAAAACTGTTTAATGTTAACTATAGATGAAAATGTATCTTTTCTTGCTTATTATTTTCAGTGGCAAGCACATAGGTAGAAATTTGTTTATTATTAGAACTGTATTGGAATATTTCCCATACAAAAGTATTCAATACCATATAAACTATTAAAATATCATGAAAGTACTAAGTACCTAACTGTTCAATCTTTAGTGGCATTTGTTCAGCATTTTCTTTCATGTAAATTCTTTAATGTTCTTTGACCATTCAAAGAGAGTGCCACCCCTCACTCTCACCATTTTATCACTTGGGACTGGGCACCACTTGGGACTAGGCTGCAGGGCCACTGCTATAAAAAAAACAGCTGCATCAGACTTTTCTCTTGTGGTGATTGTATATCCTTTAGAAGACATTTGAGAAACTGTTTCCACTCTGAGTGTATAAAAAAATAAAGAAGCCAGGCGCGGTGGCTCACGCCTGTAATCCCAGCACTTTGGGAGGCCGAGGCAGGCGGATCACGAGGTCAGGAGATCGAGACCATCCTGGCTAACACAGTGAAACCCCGTCTCTACTAAAAATACAAAAAATTAGCCGGGCGTGGTGGCGGGCGCCTGTAGTCCCAGGTGCTCAGGAGGCTGAGACAGGAGAATGGTGTGAACCCGGGAGGCGGAGCTTGTAGTGAGCCGAGATCGCGCCACTGCACTCCGGCCTGGGCGAAAGAGCGAGACTCCGTCTCAAAAAACAAAAACAAACAAACAAACAAACAAAAAATTAAAAAAAAGTAAAAAATAAAAAATGAAGAAAGAAAACATTGTTTTTTCCATATGACCAGTAAATGTTATTTGATTTATTAAATCTCGCAGACTCAACTACTTTATAACTCTTAAACCATCAACATGCTTGGATATTGGCTTTTATTTTATTCATTATGTTGTCTTTATGTCTCCCTTTCAACGTAATTCTGGTCAAGTCCCGCTGATCTTGATTTCTTCTTGTCCCTTATCTCTTTGAGTGTTATAATCACAGAAGCCTTCAGGTGAACAAATTCCCTGTTGCCACCCAACTTCAAAACTCTTACTAACATCTGTCTTCCTGAGCTGAAAGGCACACTCAGGAAAAGTAAATATTAAATATTTCCTCTCATTATATCATGTTTTTCAAACTGTGTATCAAGTAACACCTGTGTGAGAATCATGTGATAAGCTTGTTAATAATGTATATTCTCAGATTCAGCACAGACGTGGTAAAATATCTGGGATGAAGCCAGAAATCTGTGTTATTAGCAAACTCCTCAGCTGATTTCTGCATACACCACATCACTATAGCCAAATTATTTTAAGAAGCTGTGTTTTAATAGGATTATGATGTTTCTACATTTAAAATTCATTTGTAGAATAAGAAATATGAGCAAAATGAATGGAAGTATTTGTCCTTATGCATAGAAAATCATTATTACATTTCCTTTCAGAATTGCATATATATGTCTTTGATAATGACTAGTCAAAGTTTGAGTCATGGTTTGACTTACTCATTTTTCTTTTTACCAGGGTTAGAAATATGATCAGTGGAAAAACATCAGATGGATATGCTTAGAAAAAAGGAATAGTAGTAATGCTTCTGTGATTGTGTACATGGAGTTTTTAGTATCTTTCCCACTTCCCTGTGGCTTTATCTTCACAAAAATTTCAGAAACATTTCTAAATAATAGATTATAAGCTCTTGTAGAGCAGAGACAGTGCTTCCTTCCATCTGTAAAATATCCTGGTATGAGGAGATGTCCTGCATTCTCATTAAAAATTAATGATGATAAGCAAACTCCTCTAAACAGTCCTACTCCAGATCATTGTTTCCAGAATTTCCTCTTAAAATTATCATCCGTGTTCCATTTATGTATCAGTGTAATTGGCAAAGACAAAGAGAGGGCTAATCTCAATTGCATATTTGGTATTATAATGGAGACTCGTATCTCTTTTAATACTTGAGGTCTCTGGTCTTGGCATAAATACTTTAAATAGAAATAATCAGGCTGTGTGTAATGGCTCACCCCTGTAATCCCAGCACTTTGGGAGGCCCAGGTGGGAAGATTGCTTGAGCTCAGGAGTTCGAGATAAGGGACTCCTTATCTCAAAACATGGTGAAAATCCGTCTCTACAAAAAATACAAAAATCAGCTGGTCATTAAAGACTCTTGCTTGTAGTTCCAGCTACTTGGGAGGCTGAGGCTAGATAATAGCTTGAGCCTGGGAAGCAGAGGTTGCAGTGAGCTGAGAGTGCACCACTGCACTCTAGCCTGGGCAATAGAGTGCCTTTTTGAGTGTCTCAAAAAAGAAAAAAAAAAAGAATCAATAGTTTCAAGATCAGCTTAACAAAGTAGATTTGAACAAAAGTGTATTAGCCAGGGTTCTCCAGAGACACTGAACCAATAGCATACTGACAGATAGGTAAGCAGGGATTTATTAGGGGAATTGGCTCACATTATTATGGAGCTGAGAAGTCTCGCAACAGCCCTTCTACAAGCTGGAGACCCTAAAATGCCAGTAGCATGGCTCCGTTCAAGTCTGAAGACCTGAAGTCATAGTAGAGGGTGAGGTGGAGAGTTGACTGGTGTAAGTCCTGAGGTCCAAAGACCTAAGAGTTTGGAGTTCTGATATTGAAGGACAGGAGAAAGAAGTGTATCCTAGCTCCAGGGGAAAGCTAAACCAATTTGCCTTTCCTCTGTTTTTGTTCTCTTGGGGCCTACAGCCAATTGGATGGTGCCTGCTCACACTGAGGGCAGATCTCCCCCACTTAGCTCAGAACCGTAGGCCAGTCTCCTCTGGAAACACTCTCACAGATACACCCAAAACTAATGCTTTACCGGTCAATTTGATTCCTAATATTAAGCATCACAAAAGATAGAAGGTTAGGACTTTTCCCTATATTACAAATGTTTCCACAATCAATTTGCCTTTATGTTAGCATAACAATCACAGCCCATAAAAGCAGTGATGACATTATTAGAAGTAGGAGAATGAGACTGTAAATGAAATCCATCCTCACACACTGAAGGAATTTGTCCTTGGACATCTTTTTTGGTTTGTATCTCCTTACAAGTTCGGTTTGTTGTAGTATACAACCTCAATCCAGTAGCTTTCTGAAAATCCTCTGAAGAGTCTAGGGGCCACTAACATCCTTACACAAAGGATTTTATTTAGATCTTCACAGGCTTTTACTGATAATCAATATGAATATATCAAATGTATCATAAAAACATATTAATCATAGATATCAAATATGAAGAGGTGAAGGATCAGACTCTGTTTCACAGTAAATACAAAAATGTCCCAAGACAAAATAAAATATAGGTTAGATCTATGTTGAATCTATCAATGCATGAGAAAATGTAGAGTGTCAGAGATGTTTTTCCCCTCAAGAAGCTTGATCTAAGTATTGTCTTAATGAGTAGACCTAGATTACCCCCAGCTTCACCAAAGTTATTTAATATTTGGTAGCATCTACCAAAATACACAAGTATGATTTGTAACAGTGACTGGCACATAATGAGAGCCTGTAAATGTTATCTTGCTAGCATTGATGTCATTATTGTCAAAGATTCTGCCTTTCAAGAATAAAAAGAACTACAGCAGTTTTAAAACAAAATTAACATCCATCAATCTAAACATGAAACATAATTTACTCAATTTTCAATTGATTATCTTTCATTTAAACACACACACACACACACACACACAATTTGAGTCAGCTCTCAAAAAAGTAGAATAAGTGATTGTCTATGGGATGCAATTGAGACAGCAATTAAGATTTTTTATATCTAAAGATATCACTGTGGCTAGCTGTAAGTTTAAAATTTTAATCATTACTTTCATTAAGGACTTGTAACCAAATATCCTCCATTAAAATTCAAGTATAGTAGGAGGAATGTATGATGTATTCTTAGCAAACGGCCCATGGGAAGACACTAATATCTTTGGCAATCTGCTTTACTACCATGCTTCTTCTTTTTGTATATCTTTACTGTCACTACTGTGGTTGGGTTCTTCATCTTTTCTTCCCAGGATGTCTATAATGGTCTTTTCTGTCTCTCTGCTGCCAGTCTTTATTTTCACTACACTCGTATCTATATTTCTGCTACATGATCTCCACTGCTTAAAACTTGTTGTGTTTCCCTGAAGTCTTTAGTAAGAAGTCCCAGCTTCTTAATACAATTAAGAACACCTTTTATAAATCTGATCCATGCCCAACTCTGTAGCCACATTGCTCAATCCCTCCCTACCCAGCAGCCACACAGACCACATGCACACAGACACACTTTTGTATCCTAGTAAGTCACTAAAGCTTTATGCTAAGTGCTCTGTGGTTTTTCATGTCTCCATGCCATGTCTCATGCCATTTTCTATGCCTAGAAGCCTCTATTTTTTCTCATTTATGTGTTAAATGTCACTTGTCTTTTGCCACTTAACAAGCACCACTGGAAAAATTGTGCTGGCTTCAGGGTGAATTAGGTGCCTCTTATTAGTCTTTAGGGACTTTTGATGCCTCTTGTATAATATTTATCTCATCACAGTAAAAGATTTGGCAAGCTTGTGTCTCTTCCACTAGATTATAGGTTTTACAAAGGTAAGAAATAAGTGTTGTTGTGTTGGTGTCTCCAGAGGTTAGCATAATGCCTCTCAAATAATAGAAACTCAGTGAATGCTTGCCAAATGAGTGAATATAAAAGTGTTTGATTCTTAGGGGATGAGAAATTGGGAAGGAGGAGGGATGTTATGATGACACAGCTGAATTTGCAAAGGCAGTGTCCTTTATTTCTCCCCAGAGCAATTTAGTTACCGTGATAAATGTTTCCTGGTACTTCTGGGCCTCACATTTATGCTGACTATCAGATCAAGGCACTTGAATCACACATAAATTTGCAATCTACCTCTCTTTCAAACCTTTCTTTTCTGTTTAAATAGTATGATAGGTACTAAAACATTTAGAGTTGCCATGTGCTCCTTTTGCTTAAAGATAATTATGAATATCAGAAAAATGAATATCATATGATTAGTTTTCTAACTAGCATTTCTGAAGTTGTTTTCTGTGGAACAATAGCTGCAATGTTATTATTACTACAGTTAAAAAAGGAAAGTGGTGAGGTATTCTACCAAGTATATTTGAATAATATTTACTTAAACACAAACTTGTTACTTTACTGCAGTATTATACAGTTATTGCTATATGACCCTGTGACTCTACAGTTAAGTATACTGATAAGCAATGATTTAAAAATTTATTCAATCATAGAACATGTTTTGTTTTGGTTGTTTGTTTTTCATCTAGAAGAAATCTGGCAATTGGAGATTCTATGGACATCTTTTAGATCATTATAGAAGTATTCTCTCAAGCATGGATCAATGAGTACAGTATAAAGAATCCATTTCAACAAAACATGATCCTTTCTAACAGAATATGGCTTCAAAAAAAGGCTTGATTAAAGCAATTCTATAAATACAGATTAAATTATATTAAATCATATTTCCATAAACCTGGAGGAGAAAATGCCATTGAGCAAGAGAAAACTATTTTACCATGGAAGACTCAAACTGGTGCTTTAGCTCTAATTTTTACTTTTTAATTATTCCAGTTTAACTTAAATTATTCACTTTTTAACTGAAGTTTTGAATTTTTCTTTCTAATCTATGCAAAGGAAACCTATTTTAAACGAGCAGCTTCTCATTTCTGAACTCATCCTCCTTGCCTTGCTGTGTTGGTAAAGGATGAAGTCATTTAGAGAAGATGTCAGAGGACCTAGTCAAATCTCAGTTCTACCTATATTTAAATTTGTGATATAGACAACATATGAACTCTTTCTGAGCTTCAGTTTTGCTTCTTTTGGTGGGGACAGGGGGGATTTAAAGGAATCGGGATGTTAGAGGACTCATTGAGTTTTGGTGGGGATAACCTGAGGCATGATATGGTAATGTGGCAATGTGTCTAGTCAGTGTCTGGAACATTTTAGGGACTTCATAGTCATTTAGTCCATCAGTTAGTCAATGATTCAACAACCTGTGAGGACAGCTCTTCCCAGTATCTTGTCCCCACCACTTTTCCAGATTATCTGCACTATGATAGATCCAAAAAGAGCCTGCCATCTCCACACCTCTTTGTCTGCAGTGATGATCAACAGCCGTCTCAGTTATGTTTGCACAAGCATTAATTTCTCACTTTCTTTTATACCCTCTTTTCTAATGAATGCCTCTTTTTTATCAAATGGATTTTATGGGCAAATTTTATAATTTAGCATTCTACTAAATTTTGCCCTTTCGAGAGACTTTGCAGATTTGTATGTTTTCGAGTAAAAATGAAGATAAATCTGCATTTTAAAGGAGTAATCATTTCCCTTAAATTTCTTGTTTACCGTTTTTTGAATAGAAGAGAGCTAAACAATGTAATTCTTGCTTACGCGGCTGAGTGATGTTTTCCATAAGGGAAAGGAAGTTGTAAGTGATCAGGAAATAAATATCCCTTGAGCACACTCTTGCATAATGGAAGCATTTTACATGCAACGTTTCATTTGAATCCTTCAATCACATTTTGCAATAGGTATCATCATCCCATTTACCAATAAGGAAGCTCAATATTTGAGGTTCTGAGAGTTCAAATAATTTGCTTATATCACATAGCTTGTCAATGTCAAAGCTGGCATCTAAACTCAGATCTATCTGATTTAAAACTGCAACTAGAATTTAGCTTTTGCTGAGTCTAACTTCAACTGATAAATTTTACCAGAAGTTACAATTGAAACATTTCTAAAACAGTCCTGGACTCAAGCTGAAAGATAGAGTTGAGAGGAGAAAGAATCAGGAAAATTGAGAGCAAAATGAGAAATTGGAGGGGGAAAAAAAAGAGAATTCTATTGAGAAGCACAACAAAAGCACAAGTGAATTATATCCTAGAGAACAAACTCCTTTGACTGGTTGGCTTTAATAAAAATGCATCATTTCAACCCTCTTTGCTATTTCAAGCTTTGTATTTGTAGAGCTTGATTCTTTGATCATTCTGCAAGCCACACTAAATCATGTGCAGATTTCAAATTTATGCAGCTTCTGTATAGTTAATCAAGTTTTTCATACTTTGGCCTTAGTATAATTATTTTAATGGCTGTATAAAAATATAGACCTATCAAATATGATAGCTTTATAGGCTGGATAATATCTTAAATTGAATATTGTGTCACATTAAATTTCAAGAATTTTTGAACTCGAAAAAAAATCACTCAACTTTTTATGTTTGAATGCATACACTGGCAACCTGAGTTTGAAAGTACTATAGCTTATTGCAGGTTATTGTCTTGGGGGTTGTCTTAGTCACAAAGGGAAATTAAGGAAGTGGTCCTTTATAAAATAAATCACAACTGTCTTGCTAAAAGAAGAGCTTACAATAAATACCAGCTAGAAGAATTCTAGAATGATACAGAAACCATTCAACCTTTATTGTTATAATATATTCTGCTATTTCAGTGGAAAGAAGGTGAAAAGATAACAGAGAATTTAATAGAGTTGAGAACAAGGGTGGCAAGGAAGGAAGCTTTTATGCACATCCTGCGTTAAGCCTGAAGCAACAGCCATATGGGGCCAAAAGCCCAGTCCTACAGACAGAAAATCACTGAAACCTGAGATCTACTGCTGTCCTCCCATTAAAAGCCATCAATATTACGTCCACCAAATCTTATGTCCCTTCCTACCAGAATTATTGCCAAAAGTATAAGCCTCTCGATATTTATTGTATTCTAAATTTTCCCAAATTCTCATGCCCATATTACTCCTTATATCCTCTTTATTTATGAAATGGTCTCTTCCCTCCCAAACTCTTCTGCTGGGACCATTTTCTTGTCACCCAGTAATCATTATTAGCTCCCTTGTGTCCTCATCCTCTTTTTCAAAGGTGTCCTCCATGTCCTTGAAGTGTGGATGTCATTTTCCTTCCATGAAGTGAACTTTGATTTTTTCTCATATTTGAATTCTAATATTCCATATTTCTAGGACTTAGGACAGAAAAATAAAATCAGAGTTCTCTAAGTTTCTTATTGCTCCTTTCAGACAATGAAGGACTCTTACCTCAGTGAAATGCCTTGTTCTTTTGAGCTCATCTTGCTATAGCTCACTCCCTTCAAAATAGCAGTCATTTATAGACCTACTTACCAGCCCTTCCCTCTTCCTTCATTGAAGACGTTATCATTTAGCTCACAGAAGTCATGTCCTCTCCAACTTCTGTAATCATTCTAAGTGTCTTTGATGGGAATCCAGCACCTGGCATCTGGCTCCCTGATGCCCTTCTACCTCACTAACTTCCAAGGTTATTCCATAGACTTTGTCATCACCAGAAACTTCTTTGAAGTCCTGAAATAAAACATCTAGTCCTTAATCATAACCGTCTGTCCTCTGACTGAGTTTGCTCATGCATTACAATGTAACAATTATTCAACCTTATACAGTCATCAAGTTTATTACCTTGCTATTCTCTTTATTCTTTAGCTCTTTCTTATATATTCTTCCCCTTGCCCAGCTTAATATCTGTGACTCAACATTATAATCACCCCACTGTTAATAGCTTCAATTACCTGTTACTCCCTTATTTCCTTGAAACTGTTTTCAAATCCTTGCCTCAAATAAAACGTAGTTATCAGCTTTCCCACCTGCATTTATGAACCCAGACATGACGATAAAAAATTATAAAATGAGACATACCAGTATAATTAATAATTTAAGGTTTACTTTCTCAGACTCTAAAATTCACCTGAAAATGTTTCAAAAATTATAATAAACTTATTCTCCTGTATATTCAATGACTGTTTGATACCTTCTACTGCTTTGATTCACATTTTATTTTGATAAAATGAGAATATCTCAGATTCACCCACCTGTCTTTTTATAACCTTTTGCTTTTATTGTTTTTTCCTTGTGTTTCACTAGGAGTAGTTTCCCGCCACCTGTAAGAGTCTAATTCTTCTTTATACCCTCCCCTCTTAAGTAAAGGTAACTAGATTTATCCCACTGGTGTGATAAAAGGAAGGAGATACATCTAGTGTGGTTTTTGAAACATCAACATTTAAATAATAATTTAAAATGATAGACTATTTGTGAAGTAGAAAGTAAATCAACAACAGATAATTCCAAAAAACATTAATCAAAGTGATGAAAGAGACTGAAGAAAAATTAGAAACATTAAAGCCAAGTTGAAAATGTCTTTTAAGAAGGAAGGAGTAGGTAAGTCACAATCTTTGTAGTAATTAAGAGGACTAAAAAGTGTCCATTGGATTTTCTAATAAATAGCTATTTTATTTAACTTTTATCAAAGAGTTTATGTGTAGAGTCATAACTTGATTTTGGTAGCATGACAAATACATGAAAATACTCCAATAAAAGATACTTGTATATATAAAACAAAACAAAACAAAAACCCTAATTCAGTCAGCTTAATTGTGTAGGGGAGGAGAAGGTGAGAAGGTAATTGAAATAAATATACGTGGAAGGACTTTTTTCCTTTCCCTGTAAATGACTTGAGGATATGTGATTGCTAATGGGAAGAATTCAGTAAAGAAGGAAAGTTTGGGAATAATTGGAAGATTAGGTTATTGAAGAAATATTATCCCTAGGGGTACAGCAAGGAAGTTGATACTAGTGAGAAATTATTTTAGAATAGTGGTCCCTGGAGGAGAGCTTCAGCATTACCTGGAACTGTTAGAACTATGTCCTTAGTCCCCACCCCAGACCTACTAATTCAGAATTTCTAGGTGTGGGGTCCATCAGTCTATGTTTTACCAATGGCTTTAGTCATTCTGATGCATATAAGGCTTGAGAATCACTGTGTTAAAGAAATGAATCTATTTCTTCTATTGTAATAGAAGGGAAGAAAAACGAAACAGTAAAAATGATGGTGAGTTTGAGATGTCATAGGAAGTTGGAGGAGTTCTTATAGGAGGCTATGTTTCCTCAGTAAAGTGGGTGACAAAGTCATCTTCTGAAAGTGGAGGGATCTCATTGGAGTTTTGAGGAGACTGGAAAAAGTTTGAAATAGCTGTTTGTCTTAGTTCATTTTCTGCTAATAGAATACCACAGACTGGTTAACACCCAAAGAAAGGAAAATTACTTCTCACAGTTCTGGATTCTGGGAAGTCTAAGAGCATGGTACAAAAATTTGTCAAAGGTTATTCCATGCCAGAAAGTGAGAGTGAGAAAACCTGCGTACATGAGAGAAGAGTAGGGGCAAACTCACTTTCATAATAACCCACTTTTGTGATAACAGCATTAATCCATTCATAAGGGCAGAACCCTCACGATCTAATCACTTCTTAAAGATTCCACTTCCCAACACTGTTACAATGGCAAATAAATTTCAGCAGGAGTTTTGGAGGACATGTGAGTGTAAGAGAAGAAGTGGCAGGTTGATACTAAGTGAAAAATTGATAATGAGTTACACATTTTTCGAGATGCCTCTGAGGGAAAGACAGTAGGTTTAAAATCTGAGAATACTGGCAAGAGAGTAAAATAATGGATTTCTAATCTTTATCTGGCTAGAGAAAAAAAAGAATACAAAAGGACCCTAATAGATTGAGAGAAAATAGAAGAGCCAATGTACTGACATTCTCAGTGAATGCCGGAAAAGGTAGAGTGAAAACATCAGACAAAGTGTTGGAATGATTGGAGGTGGTAGGCAAAAAAAGTGCATTGCAGAGAAACTAGTGTCTTCAGGTAGGAGGCAGTTTTGAATGATGGGTGCTTTCAACAGAGAAGCTGAATATGTATGGGATTATTTTTACATGGAATGGGACCTCCAAA
Source organism: Homo sapiens (assembly GCF_000001405.40). NCBI lineage: Eukaryota > Metazoa > Chordata > Mammalia > Primates > Hominidae > Homo > Homo sapiens. The sequence continues at coordinate 52,716,089 of NC_000017.11, read as the reverse complement.
GGGGTGCAGTGGAAATATTTGAAAGGGAAAGGAACAATAATATTCAGGTGAGAAGAAAGAAGCCTACAGCAATGTGGGAACTGTGAAACAAAGGGAGATGGAAGTTCAAAGAGATTTACAGTTTGGAAAATGAACAAGAAAAGGGACCAGGTAGAATGGTGGAAAACAATTAGTCAATATGACCAATTGACTAGAATGATGGAGTGGTCAGAAGTGAGTATTTCAAGGCTTTGTTTTCCAGAAAGGATTGAAATATTTCATGTCCCTTCTAGTAATTTCTAGTACTTTCTTACATTTGATTATTTTGGAGGTTTTGTCTTGACTTCATTTTATCTCGGCATAATTACTGTCCTTATTTGATATACTTTTATTGAATTTTAAAATTTTGTCTCCTGCATGAATTGAGTTGTCTGAAATCAAATTTGTGAAAAATGAATGTTTCCAACAATCAGTATATACCTTAAAAGCCTTTGTGGACACATTGGAAGTTTACAAATTTTTCCTGGTTTTGAAAATGAATCCGGGCCAGGTGCGGTGGCTCATACCTGTAATCCCAGCACTTTGGGAGGCCGAGGCGGGCGGATCATGAGGTCAGGAGATCGAGACCACGGTGAAACCCCGTCTCTACTAAATACACAAAAAATTAGCTAGGCGTGGTTGCAGGCGCCTATAGTCCCAGCTACTTGGGAGGCTGAGGCAGGAGAATGGCGTGAACCCAGGAGGCGGAGCTTGCAGTGAGCGGAGATTGCACCACTGCACTCCAGCCTGGGCGACAGAGCCAGACTCAGTCTCAAAAAAAAAAAAAGAAAATGAATCAGTAAGTTTTCTAAATTATTTGCTTTTATATTTTAAATTTATTTTATATAGCCATGACTACCTTTTAGGTATGTTGTCAACTTACTCAATTGTGTATTTATATTTCAAATGTTTTGATGAAACTTCCTCATACAGAAATAGTAAATAGAAATATGTTGTTAATGGATAGGAAAATTCAGTATCATAAGGTTGTTTTTTTTTTTTTTTTTTGTCTCATTCTGTTGTCAGTCTGGAGTGTAGTGGCATGATGTCAGCTTATTGCAACCTCCGCCTCCCTGGTTCAAGCGATTCTCCTGCCTCAGCCTCTGAGTAGCTGGGAATACAGGCGCGCGCCACCACACCTGGCTTATTTTTGTATTTTTTAGTAGAGATGGGGTTTCACCATATTGTCCAGGCTGGTCTCGAACTCCTGACCTCGTGATCTGCATGCCTCAGCATCCCAAAGTGTTGGGATTACAGGCGTGAGCTACCGCGCCTGGCCATAACTTTTTTTTTTTTTAACTTTAAATTTATCTGTGGGCTGGGCACAGTGGCTTTCGCCTGTAATCCCAGAACTTTGTGAGGCCAGGGCGGGTGGATTGCTTCAGTTCAAGACCAGTGTGGGCAACATGGCAATACCCCATCTCTACAAAATAAATACAAAAAATTACCCAGGCATGATGTCACGGGCCTGTAGTCCCAGCTACTCGGGAGGCTGAGATGGGAGTATCACCTGAGCTCCGGAGGTTGAGGCTGCTGTGAGCCGAGATTTCACCACTGCACTCTAGCCAGGCAATCGGAGGGAGACCCTGTCTCAAAAAAAAAAAAAAAAAAAATTACTTGTGAATATAAAGCAGTTTAGATAACCATCCTAATAGATATGTTTTAGTAATACTTACACAATTCCTAAAATATGTTTAGAATTGTAAAAAGCCAAAAATCAGCAATAGTTTTTTGAAGAAGAATGAAGAGGACTTTGATTATTAGGCACTGATAATTTTAAAAAGCTAAATTAATTTTAAAAATATGGTCTCAGGATATAAATAAAAAGCTCAATGAGAAAAAAAGACACACATGAACTTAGAAATAGGCTTCACAGATATGGGAATGAGTGCTTGATAATTGATAGGGTTTCGATGGATGACAAAAAATATAAAAAAACCTTTCATTAAGGTTTCACAAATGATTGCATTTAAATTTATTATTTCTGACAAATAATATGTCAAAGAATACCATAAATGCAATGAAGAAAGATGATAACAAAACATGCAACGAACAAACGATTTGTAAACAAAATACAAAAAGGAAAACAAACAGAAATGATTCAGTAGAAAGAAACTGGTAATATATGTAAATAGGCAGTTCACCTAGAAAACGTGGAATTTCCAAAAAAGAAACGGAAAAATGCCTAACCCATTTCTTAATCATGTATGTACAACTAAGATAACATTTTACCAGATCGTAACCATAAGATTGTTAAAAATTAATATATATTTTAACAAGGGTTAACAATAAGAATTGGAAATTGGGCCTGTTATACATTTCCAATGGGAATATAACTTGCTAGTACCACTTTGGAGAAGAATCAAGCAGTCCTGACAAAAATAATATATGCATATCCTAGGACCAAGCAATTCTATTTCTTTCTGCTTTCCCTAAAGACATTTTTAAGCATGTGTCCAAGGATATTTATTGCAGCGCTGTTTGAAAGCAAGATGCTGTTGAAGATACAACTTTTTCAGTAAGGGAATGGATAAATATACCATGATTGATTTATAATAGAACACTTCAGCAATAAAAAAATGTTGACTCTTGTAAAAGCATGGGAAAATTAAGAAATACAATTCTAGTAAAAATGCAAATTGAAAAAATGATTGTAATAGCATGATATCATTTATATAATGTTTTAAAGTACACAAGAAAGTATGTACTATTTATGCACAAACATTTGTAATAAAAGCATAAAAATATATATGAATGATGTATGCCAATATCAGAGTAGCAGCTATCTCTAGGGAAGAAAAACTGAAAACTTGATTAGGGAAATGAGGTTTGGCTCTATGTTAACACTGTTTCTTATAAAAAGAGGGATTATAAACTAATAACAAAAATGATGACTATCACTAGTGGTGAGTAAATACGTGTCTATGTCCTTTATATTCTATGTGTTCTTCATCCAAACTAATGCATACTTGATGTATCTAAAGTAAAATAATAAATGGTATCCCACTCCAATTATTCACAATAGTACAATTAGTACTTAAGCACTGCTCCATACACCAAGGTTGAAGAAGTCAGAGAATAGAGCAAAATTAAGATTCTGCACATGGTGTTTTATAGATGAACTTCATTCACCTCAAGCTATAGAGTTAGTATAAAGATTAAATAAATTAATACCCACAAAGAACTTAAAACAATGCCTGGCATAGTAAAGAAACCATAAATGTTGATTATTATACTATTATAATATCAGAAACAGATCATAGGAGTGAGCAGTTCTCAAAATTACTAAGAACAAGCCGGTACAACCTAATGAAGTTAAGAACTGAGGTCAGTTATGCCACTCAGGAATAAGCAGTCTATACTTACACATCATTTAGTTTACGTATCTCAGGTAAATAATTTTGATAAACAGATTCATGCCTTTGTTATCTTATAAATTACTAAAAGGAATTTAAAAAAAAAGCATTGACATCAGCAATGAATAAGACCTAGTGGAATGGTAGATTTCCTTCTTAAAACACTGTGTATATATTCCTCCCAGTCCTGGCAAAGTACAAGTATCAACAGCCTTGAAAATTAGAAAACTTAGAACTTTGGAGCTGATCAGTGCAAGATTCAAATCAGGGTCCACTTTACTAGGCAAATAATATTGAAAAACAATGTTAAAATAATCAGAGTCTCAGAAAATTCATCTTATAAAAAATAATGCCATTACTAACTTCCCAAGGTTGTTGTGAGGTTTATAGTAGAGAGCATAAATATAAAGCCACAAGCCTAGAACTTGGCACTGATGTAGGTATAGTTCTCTATTTTAAAATATGATTTGTCTTAACAATATTTAGTGTTCCATTGCTTAATATTTCCCATTACTGCAACTCAACCATTTTGTAAAAATAACTTATCAATCACAGTCAACTTAAAAAATATTCTTGTAAATCACTGTAGCTGCACATTTTCATGTATTATTAAATATTTATTACTATGATCACCTTTTCAAATTTAAACCATTCAATGCACACACACACACACACACACACACAGAGAGAGAGAGAGAGAGAGTAATTAGATTAACTGGAAGTATTAAGAAAATATAACTTCACTGATGTAATTACAACCCATGCAAACTTCTTAATGCTTGAGAGATAACATGAATTTCATCTAAAAGTATTTTTTCATTGCCGTGTATGACAGCAAAGAAAACCAATGCTCTGGCTGTTGCTCTCTCTTAACATTCCCTTCCATGCTCCTCACATGAGTTCCTCACCAGAGATCGGCAGCTGATAGAGGAGAGGACCCATTCCAGTGGTTGACATCAACTTACAGTTGAAGTTTCATTGCTTCATTGTTATGGCAAACAGACCATTAATTGAGAATATGGGGATATTGCCTTCTAATGTAATTCTTAGAAAAAAGTAGTAAGACTTTATGAAGAATGATCATATATTAATAACTTAGCAAAGTCATATTAGTTGTCTTCTTTCTAACCCTTTCAGCTCCTCTCTGGCCCCCATGTCATTGTATGGACATCAATTAGAGGCAAATAGTTTTACAACTGTAACCTTGAATAGGAATTTTAAAAATGCAAAGAGTCATGCTTTTGAGGTTTAAAATACAGCAATTTAAACGTGAGTTGTATTAAAAATCAAATAGAAGAATCATAGGGAACCAATGAGGGAAATAAAATAGAAGGATCATAGGGAACCAGTGAGGAACTAAGAACCAATGTAGTAGCTTAATCACACATTTGTTTTTCCTCAACTTGAAGCTTTGAACTATTGCTTAAACTTTATTTTATTAAAAAGAAATGCATACTCTAGATAAATGTGTAGGCAGTGCAGTGTTCTTGGGTGAACCTATGTTCTGACAATAATGATTAATTAGTTAATGGCTGTGGCTAATTTCATTTTAGCACAGTTTTAAAATACAGTTTTGTGACAGACATACCAGCCTACTTGTAACTAGGAAAATCACAAAATATTAAATGTTGAAGAAACTCTAGAGGGCATCTAATGCAAGGTCATTGGCAATGCAAAATACATTCTTTAGTAATATGACAGTGCCTAACATGGACTTGGTGCGTAGTTGGTGTTCAGTAAGTATGATTTCCCTAGTATGTTTTTAACTATGCCAGTGACATTGTGTTACAGGATCTTTAGGGTGTTGCTTTTCTGGCCAGAAAACTCTCTGGCCAGTGGCACTTTTGCCCAAGTTCTTGTCTTACATCCAGAAAGAATGAGGGATACAGACAAGTGGAAGGTAAACAAGATGAAGAGAAGTTTTATTGAGTGTTACAACAGCTCAGAGGAAACCCACAGTGGGTTTCCTGCCTCTCTTGTGGAACGTCCTCTTGTGGAATGTTCCCAGCTGCCTCTCTGTAGGCAGGTCCTCTTGAGGAATGTTCCCACCTGCCTCTCTATAGGCAGGTCCTCTTGTGGAATGTTCCCACCTGCCTCTCTGTAGGCAGGTCCTCTTGTGGAATGTTCCCACCTGCCTCTCTGTAGGCAGGTCCTCTTGTGGAATGTTCAGCTCTCAGCAGAGAGGTGGCCCTGGAGACAGGGCTCCTCTCCACAGGCAGGTTGTTCAAATTATCTCTGCAGGTCCCTGAAGCTCTCAGCAGAGAGGGTAGCTCCTCTCTGCAGCATGTCCTCCAGTCCTCTGTTCATCCTCTGCCCTCTGCCCTGCTCTGGCTGAGCCTGGGGCTTTCATGGACCTCAGCAGGGAGGAAGGGCATGCAGATTGGTCCATGGGTGGCCATGGGCCCCCAGAAGAGGCATGGCGAGTCCCCACTCCAGTCCATGGGACTGGCAGCATTACCTCCAGCCTTCAGGCCTTCCCTGGACCACCCCTGTGAGCCCAGGATTCTGCTTCCAACTGCCATTCAAGGCCCTGGGGCTCCCCCCGCTCCAAAATCTGAGCCAGGGCCAGAAGAGGAGAGAGGCAGTGAGAGCAGACACCCCTGAGCCAGCTGGGAATTGGGGGGCCTTCCTGGGCCCCCAAGGGTGCAGGCTGCAGAGATGCCCAGGTCCTGTGCCTGGGAGAATGGCTGCAGCTGGATCTGGGGGAGCTCCCGCCCCACCAACTCAGAAGGGGTGGGGCTCCTGCATGTCCCTGGCTCTTGCCTGCTTGGTGGAGTGGGAGGCCCAGGTCTGTAGCTGTGGATGGGGCAGTGGCAGCTGCAGCTACACCCAGAAGGGCAGATCCTGCCTGCTCCAGGCCCCGTCAAGAGCACAGGGAGGCTGGGATCCATAGCTGCAGTTTGGGCAGCTGTAGCCCCACCCAGGAGAGCATGGCTCCTGCTTGCTCTGTAGAGCAGGATCTGCAGCCACAGTTTTGGGGGCTGCAGCGGCACCCATGGAGCTCCTGCCCCAATTCAGAAGGGGCGGGGCTCCCACCCGCTCCATGTAGTGTGCAGCCCCAGCCGCACCTCTGGGCTGTGGCCATCGTGATGGCAGCAGCCACTGCCATCAATTGGACACTACAACTTTGATCTGGTAGAACTTTCCAAAAGACCTGAAGAGAGTTAGACCTGTTTTGGGGAAACTTATGCCAGTTGATGGAGATACCATTCACTTTACCAAGAGTTTATCATTTAGATGTTTTATAATTCTTTCCAAAATTTGTGGGTCTCTGTTCATCAAGGCAAACCAAGAGATCTTTAGTGTTTTCAGATAATTTATCCTCTTTCACATGAAAATTTAAAACCCTTCCTGGTCAACATGTCTTCCTGCAGTCATTATCCTAATTCTTCCTCCTCATTCACACTGAAACTTCTTGAATTGTTTATTCTCAGTCTCTAGTTTTCACTGTCTTTCATGCTTTGTGCCCCCCCACACATACAAAAAAACATTGTCATCATAGCCAGTAATAATAGTGCTTTCTTGTGATTTGTTGACTTTCTTTTTGCAGAGTGACTGACTGGTTAAGAAGAGAAAACTGTTGATACTAAACCATTCCCTCAACACTGCCTATCATGTCCATATTGCTATTTTTTACAGTGACTACGTTCACCTTGTTAATTACATCTAACTGCCCCACTTGGGGACAAAATCGCAGACTCATTCCACCCAAACTGAGATCAGAAATCACAAGCCTTTCATAGACATTGCTTATGAAATGTCTATGAATGAAGAAAGAGCTTACAGAGGACAACCAGGAGGGCTCTACTTAAAAGATTTTGGTCAATTGTTTTACCCATCTAAAGAGAAAGAAGGGTGTGGAATGGCTCATAGGCCATGGTGAGATGCTGAGTATTCTGACATGGAATCTAGCACTGCGATTATCTGTAGTTGTTGAATCCCTTACCTTGTATCACTCAAAGGCTTTCTGGTAATTTAATGTCTCCTAACAGGGTCATTGGTTCTGATTGTGTTAGCAAATTCAAAAAGTGTCTTGATTACTGACAAGCATGCGGCAATTTAGCCCAACCCCCATTACTTTCCTTTCTCCTTGTTTGACTTGTACCCAGAAAATCAGTTCCCACATATTTAACCCAAATTGTTGATAGAATGAATTGCCAAATTCCACTGGTTAATTCTAAATGCAATTTCTTCTCCTGCACTAATGTCTTTTTACAACACCATTCAGGCCATATTGTGTTCCAATTACAATTACCTATTGAGAAACGATGAGGAATAGCATATGGAAACAATTGTCTTGTCTCTTCTACTAGGGGTGGGTAGTGTTTCAATGTGGTTGGTTTTTGTTGTTGTTGTTGTTTGCTTGTTTTAATTATGTTTTTATTTTTAAACATTTTTGTGGGTACATAGTAGGTGTATGTATTTTGGGGTACACGAAATGTTGTGATACAGGCATGCAATGTGAAATAGGCACATCATGGAGAATGCAGTATCCAGCCACTCAAGCATTTGTCCTTTGAGTTACAAACAATCAAATTACCTTCTTTATTTTAAAATATACAATTTTGTTATTATTGACTATAGTCACCTTGTTGTGCTCTCAAATAGTCGGTCTTATTCATTCTTTTTATTTTTTTGTACCCATTAACCATTCCCACCTCCCCACCAACCCCACACTACCCTTCCCAACCTCTCATAATCATCCTCTACTCTCTATGAGTTCAATTGATTTGATTTTTAGATCCCACAAATAAGTGAGAATATGTGCTGTTTGTCTTTATGTACCAGGCTTGTTTTATTCAACATAATGATCTCCTGTTCTATCCAAGTTGCAAATGACTGGATCTCATTCTTTTTCATGGTGGACTAGTACTCCATTGTGTATATGTACCATATTTTCTTTATCCATTCATCTGCTGATGAACACCTAGGTTGCTTCCAAATCTTAGCTATTGTGAACAATGCTGCAACAAACATAGGAGTGCACATAACTTTTCCATATACTGATTTCCTTTCTTTGAGGTATATACTCAGCAGTAGGATTGCTGGGCCATTTATTGGCTTGCTTAGCTTTATCAGTCCTTCCAGATAGCCTCCTTCCAATTGGTAGACTCTCAGTCTTTGCTGATGAATGCCTTAAAGTATACAGGCAACATAGCAGACTTGTCCTGTAAAATCAAATTAAAATTTAGCATTTCACAGAAACCATTTCTGTATATTCCTCACATGGATCCAGCTAATTATGCACATGGATCCAGCTAACTATGCAATCAGTTAAATCATTTTCCTATTGTTTCTGCTGCTAATTTTCCATGTGGGAATCTGGATTGACAGGAGAAGTTGTCTTATCACTCCTGTCTCATGTCAACCCAATAACCAATTCCACATACATACATATCCCTGAGCATCTGTTCTCAAAATTTCAAGCAACAAAAAATAACACTGACACATAAGCACATACACACACACAAAAGACAGCTCACAGCATCCACAAAAGTACTAAACTGTCAAACCTCAAGGTGCGATAAACATGCAGGCTGTCAGTTGCGTTTGTACAACTGCAGGTAGATTGCCTTCTCTGTGCATGGACCTGCATCCTTTTTGGTATCTTAGGTGTCTTGGAATACTGTTTCAGTTTATTTTATTAATTGACTGGCTGAACTTGTGATTTTATCCTGGGGGTAAACAGTGAGAGAAGGAGGGTTTATTCTGAGAATGGGGAACTTCTGCAACTGTTTCTATCTCTTTAGTTAATTTCTCTACTGACTACACCATAGCTGGCTTCTCCTTTGCTCCATTTCCTTACATCATGAATTATGCTTAGATTCCTCTGCAAAACAACCCACTCTTTTTCAATAGTCTATTCCTTAATCTGAGTAGGATTTAAAGTGTTCAGTCATGGTCTTTGGTTGTATTTTCATCTCATCTTCAAGAAATTCGGTACCATTTTCAGTTTGTTGATGGGATCCATCGGGATTTGGTAGCACAGTCATGGGTTCACCTTATTTGTAGATTTATTCTGTAATTGGAATGCAATATTGTTGAAGAGGATTAATAAATGTATTGTTTAACTGCTAGCCATCTTAAATTAGATAGAAATACAAAAATAATTTCTAAATCTTGCCTAATTGCTAAGGAATTAGATCACACTTCATATATGTGAACTCCTGTTGGTTGATTTTTTTTCTCCTATTTTGAAGATGTCAAAAGTAAGAATATTAATCCCAAACACCTTTCACCTAAACAAGAATAAGACTTGTTGAATTGTCAGAAATGATTTAATTATGTCAGCTAGACAATTATTATCAGCCCCAGGGATCTTTGCTGAAGAAAACTTCTCATAATTACTTATCACTAAAGACCAGAAACCAATTACCTGGCTACAGAGGACCATGTTTAGAATAAAGGTAGTATGAGCATGTGGATGCAAGACAGCATCAAATGTAAGTGAGATGCAATTCTGAGATAATAATTGAGACATATTTATGTTAAAAATAAAACTCTTCATCATAGAGGGATTTTTTTAGAAGATTAAAAATTGGACTTATAATGAGGGCATTTTAAAGATGATAAAGGAGAGAAAAAAATCAACTGTGTTTATTTCAGAGAGTACTCCCCTTACTGGCTGTGCTAAGGATGTTCAGAGAACAAGTGACTGACTTGGTCGCTGGGATACAGAGTCAGGCTCTTCTCCCTAATTTCTAGACCTAAGTTAAAGCAAAACTTATAGCCTTTCAGACCCCTGTGGCTATTGGCTTGGTAATGCCACTGAAAAAATAATAATTAACACAAAGTTTTGTACCATTTGAATCTTAGAAGTGGAAATGTATCAGTCAGAATGGGAGTTCAAGAGGGACTTGGTGATAAATGAAGTTCTCACTTGCACTTACCTAATGATAGGCTCAGAGGGACTCCAACCAACCTTGGTGATCACTTCTCCAGTTCTTGTGTGTATAGAGACAAGAAAGAGCCTCAGCAACTGGCAGAAACCTAGCTCCATGAAATTACTTAAGGGTTAAGATAGTAATGATGGCAAGTTGAAGTCGTTGGATTTTCTCTCAATAGCAGTAAAAAAAAAAAAAAAAAGAAATATTTCACCCTTGATGAAATTGCAAAGATATCTTTCAAAACTTTGAATGATACAGAGGTGGCAATTCTGAATAAATTCCTATTTACTTTCTGAGTTTTTCCAGTGCATATGATTGACAGTTCTTCAGAATAAAAGGATTATGGATAACTTATTCAGGTGGTGACTTCAATTGAAATGAGTGTTCCATATATGAACACTCTAATGGAGCAAATTAATAAAGACCTTAGCACATAATATGAAATTGTCGATCTGGCAAATGAATTCCTCTTCAAATTTTAGAGTTTATTTTCACCTAGGCAGAGCAGTAGGATACTGTTAAAATCATGACTGAAGGTTGTATCAACTGTCTTCCTTTTCTATCTCAACTGAAACAACAGGGACTTTGACTAATTTCATCACTGCCAAGAAGGACTTTATTCTACTATATTAAAACTATCATGTGAAAATCTAGAGAGTAGTAAGTAGCAGACACCATAGATTTCTTAGTAAGATATATGTATCAGATAACTAGAATATATGTCTTTGGAAAACATGCTAACTAAGGAAGTTGTCTGCAAATCCAGTGTTCTTCAACATAACAGGATATATCCTTTAAAGTGAAGGATATATGCCTTAAAACAGATATTGTACTTTGCACCTCCTTTCACTAAGAAAGGGGTGGAGTACCTACATGGAATTCTTTGGATTTTGGAGGCAGAATAGATCAGTGATTATGGGGTTAAATATACATTTATGTATATATATATAAATATATTTATGTATATCAACAATCATATTTATATATAATTTTATAAATATAAGTATGTAAACATACTTATTAAAAATATTTTGTATCAAAAAGATTCTGCTTGTTTACCCTGACAAATTTAAATATTTTCATCATGAGCTTGAAAAGTTGCAAAGGATGCAATTCCTAGTGAATTATAGATATTGTCATTTCAAAAAAAACTTATATAATTCTTTTACTGTTATTTTTTATTTCTTTATAATTGACAGATAATAATTGTGTATATTTAAGGGTTAAATATGATGTTTTGATCTATGTATACATTGTAGGAAGATTCAGTCAAGCTAATAAAAATATACATCACCTTAACAATTTATTATTTTGTTTGTGGTGAGACTATTAAAAATGTATTCTATTAGCAATTTTGAAATATGTAATACATTATTATTAACTCTGGTTACCATGCGGTGAATAAATCACTACAACTTATTCTTTTAGTGTAACTGAGAATTGATACACTTTGATCAACACATTTTCCTTTACCAATCCCTCCCCCTATCCCACAGCTTCTGATAACCACCTTTCTACTGTTTGTTTCTATGATATGGATTTTTTAAAATTCCAAAAATAAAAATAGCATGCAGGTTCCTTAGAAACTGAAGATAGAATTACAGTGTAATCCAGTAGTCCCAGTTGTAGGTATACATCTAAAGAAATTGAAACTGGTATGTTAAAGAGATATCTGCACTCCCATGTTCATTTCAGCATTATGTACAATAGCAAGACATGGAAGCAATCTAAGTGTCCAGCAATGAATGAATGGATAAAGAAAATGTGGCATTTATATAAAAGAGAGTACCATACAGTGCTTCTTTAAAAAGAAGGAGATTCTGTCCTTCACAACAACATGGCTAGAACTGAAGGACACATTGCTAAGTGAAATAAGCCAGGCACAGAAAAATACCATATGATTTCACATATGTGTGGACTCTAAAAAGTCTGCCTCATAGAAACAGAGTACAGAATTCTTTTTTAATGCAGCCCATGGAATCTAAATACTACAGTGACTTGATACGCATGATTGGCCACTTACAAAAAATCATGGGCTGGGCAAGGTGGCTCACGCCCGTAATCCCAACACTTTGGAAGGCTGAGGCAGGAGAATCACTTGAGGTCCGAGTTCAAGACCAGTCTGGACAACATGATAAAACTCTGTCTCTACTAAAAATAAAATAATAATAATAATAATAATAATAATAATAATAATAATAATAATAATAATAAATACAAAATTTAGCCAGGTGTGGTGGTGCATGCTTGTAATCCCAGCTACTTGGTGGTGCATGCTTGTAATCCCAGCTGTGGTGGGAGGATTGCTTGAAGCTGGGAGGCAAAGGTTGCAGTGAGTCGAGATTGCACCACTGCACTCCAGCCTGGGTGACAGAGAGAGACTCCATCTAAAAAAAAAAAAAAAAAATCATGAAAAACATTTCCCTTTAGCAACCATCAATTTTACATCTCCCCTTATCCTCCTTGAACTTATATTTGCATTCTACTTATTCTAAGGATTGATTGCTAATATATCTTTTATCCTTGATTGATTTTACTGATTATACTCCCACAGTTCTCTGCTACAAAAATATTTTATTAATAAAAAATTATTGTGATTATATATGTATACATTAATTCCTCCTACTATATATTGAGTCATTATAACAACTATAATTAATAAACAATTGAACACAATTACACACATATGAAGAACTTCAGAAATTATTTAACATATAATGTATAATTTTATTTGAAATTTATCTCGATACATTTCTTTACTGAGATAAATTTTCTTCTCAATGTGTTTAGGTATCTGGGGAAGAAGAGTGCTTAGTGCAAAAATGAGACAGGGCTCAAAACTAATTTTACAATTTTTGTTTGTACAGAGAAACATTGTTCATATGGGTGAGTATCTTGGAATGAACAGAATGTTCTAATTGTATGTCAATCAATTTTTTAAAGCCCTTCTAAAGTATAAATTCCCCAAAACAGAAAGATAAAACACTGCTATGTTATCAAAAATTATTCTTAATTATCTATCAGCAAGCAATTGAATTATGTCCTTCTTCAATTTTGTTAACAGCAAAAAATTAGAAACCCCACTGCTTGCAAAAAGATATTTTTAAAAAGCATAGTCATAGCAAGAACTCATTTTCTAAATTTTGGAGAGATATAAAAAAAGGCTTTTCCAAAACTTACAAAATGACTATTGATAATAACACTCTTACTGAGAAGCACTTTATTTCAACCTGATATAGTCAGAAGGAATTGAAAAATTTTGAATTGTTAAATTAAAAACATTCCTTTCAACAAATATTTTAATTAATTGTTTTTATATTACTAAATGCATTAAATGTATTAGTTGGAAAACTTTACAGAAACAGAGATCGGGGATTGAAGAAGAAAAAAAAGAAAAGAAACACGAAGAGGAGTAGAAAGAGGGAGAAGACAGACGAGAGGGTAGGCAAAGGCAGGGAAGCAAGAAAGAAAAGAAGACGGGTACAGAATTGCGTTTGACAGTGAAATGTTACCTTTAATATGTCTTAACAATGCTTTATTTATTTTGATTTCACAGTGTTCTCCCCCAGAAAAGATTTATTTATTTTTATCTTGGTTTGTGGAAAGGAGACTTGAGGTTGTTAAAGAGAAACCGTCATTGTTCTTAATACCACATTCTGTGTGCAAATTCAGAAAATAGCAAAGCATGCAAAATTATGCCACTTATGATGCTATACTTGGATTTCAGCAGATACCTGTACAGGAAAATATTCTATAGGTTTCTGGTAGCTTGATTAAAACATATTTCCAAGATATGGATATTTTAAATTGCTTCTGTGTTTAGTGTCCCTAGGAAAAGTGAGAGGTATGCCTTTGTTTTATAATGTGGAATAAGTGGTCTCATTAATAGTATGGCTGGGGAGGTAGGAAGGGAGAACTGCTTGATTTCTAAACAGAAGATGCATTTTCAGGCACATCCATGTCTTAGAAGAGTCGCATGGACTTGATGAGAAAGAAATTAATTATCTTGTCCATACCCGTATGTCCCTTGGTAACACAGTGTACCTCTTACCAAGTACACCAAATATAGTGTACTCTTTGGATCACATGTACCCCAGTTCACATCTGTCAGCTTTCAGAGTTCAAAGCAAGTGACACTTCTGTAGGCATTTGCAGCTACACTCTAAGTGGCTTTCTTACTCCACACACATATATCCCATCAGACCCAATAATATTTGAAATTTCTCCAGTAGCCTAGAATACAATAGGGAGCCAATAGCATATATGATAGAGAAAATGGAGGAGATAACTCCCTAAAATTTTGCATCAAGTTTATACTCTTAAGCAAGTATTTTTTCTCCTTCAGTACATCCAGCATTTTGTTCATCTTTACTCTTAACTTCTTAGCCCAAGCCTCTGTCACCACTCATCTGAACTTGCCAAAACCTCCTAATTTGTCGTGCATCCACTCTGTCTTCCTAAGGGCTATTCTCAGACAGTAGCATATTTTTTCAAAAGCTCGATCAGGTCATACCAGTTCCTTGCTTATAACCTTCTAATGGTTCTTCATTGTACTTAACATAAATATAAACCTCGTATTAAGGCTTCCAACTTCCTAAGTGACCTGGTTTCTGCCAACCATTTCAATCTAATTTCAGTTTTTCACTCTAGACATTCTATCTACATGAGCTTCTTTCTGTTCTTCAGATACTTCAGATTCATTCCAGCTTTAGAGCACTTGCTGTATTATATGCCTAGATGATTCAATTTAAATATTTCCTTCTAGTTCCCTACCTTTCATTTTCTATTTCCCATCCCAAATTTATTTTTCTTTATATGTTAAAGGGTGATATGATACATGTGTGCATATATATGTAGGTGTATGTATGTTTGAGAAATTAATGAATTAATGTGTTGACTTCTGCATAATATATCTTCCACTATATTTAATACAAAAGATATTTGGCATAGTTTAAATCTTTATTTCCTAGCACTCAGAACATTGCCTGCGCAATTAAAGGAATCAATAAATGGGGATAATAATCATAATAGCTAAAATGTATTTAAGGCAAGGCACAATTCTAAATGAACTGTCTGATTTAATCCACACAACCTTTAAAATAGGTCCAGTTAGTATCCCCATTGTTGAGGAATAATAGAGGCATAGCGTTAGTAAATGTCAAAGCAGAAATTTGAACTCAGGGCTATTTTTTTTTGTGTAGCCAAGACTTCAACCAGTTTCTAATGTAAGAAAGATTAAATGTTGGTTGTTGCAGCAGGTGTACATTCCTCTCTTGTCCTGTTTGGATTCTAATCATTGACTACAGACTAAGGTTTGATAAGAATATAAAAGTATAGTGTCAGTATCATTAATGATCTAGCTAGATTTCCGATAATCTCCCAAGTTTGAGGCATCTCAATCTTTTTAACGTTGGATTGGAGAATGCAGCTTTTGTGTAAGCCAAGAACAAGAATTTCTAATATTTCTTCTCATCTATATCTTAAAAGCCACCCATGGCAAAGTAAGGTCTGCAAGGCAGATTTCACACATTACCAGCGAGAAATCTGGCAAGGCATGGCCTAACTGCAACCATTGCAAATAGGGCAGAAAATACAAGGGAGCAAGATTGGTTAATATTGCCATTTTTAGTGTAGTATCCACACCTTTTTCAACAATAAGATGAGGCCCTCAACCTGTCAATAAGGGATGAATGAAGAATTTCAGGGAAGAAATAAAATGCTGAAAAGAATTTTATGGAAAGAATATGTAAGAAAAAGGGCCTGTTACTGAAACTGTTCTAAGAATGTACATGTTGGATTGGTATGGAAAAGTGAATGTAGCCACAGAAGGAAAGTAGAACAAGGCTTGGAAGAAAGAAGTTTATGACACTCACGACCATGCGGAGTCACAGCACTCCTGTTGGTGAGGAATGAGGGAAAAGCCTAGGTCAAGCTTTTATTGGAGCTTCCAGGGAAAGACAAGGCAGGAAAGAGTGAACATTTTAGAATTGGATAGTTTGCATAATTCTGAGGGCTCCGGGCTATGGGAGTGGCCTCTTTTTGACTGGTTTCTTGCCCTAGGACAATTTAGGGCAGGAAAAATATTGGCTTGGTGTGTGCAAATTAGATGAAGAAGCAATTGAGGGTAGAGACTCTGGATTGGTTGGTTTGCAAATCAAAACTATGCTCCTGGGCAAATTGTTATTAACTTCAGGAACAAGCTAGCCCTGGGAGAGGTAGTCTCTTTCTCCAGGTCTGTTAAAACCCCAAATGCCAGAGCATCAGGATATGGCAGATACAAAAATATGGTTAATATCATTAACCTGGTGATAAATGAATGTCAAATAGACAAATATAGACTCTTAAAAAAACAGTTTAAATAAAGCAAACTTATCTCACATGCAGCAAAAGGAGCAAATCTTTAGCTTCATTTGGGTTTTTAACGATATTTACCCTTATAGGTAGTTTATGTAGTTTGTAAACTAAAAGCAAAATATAAAATACAAGCCATTATATTATCAAATATTATGTCAAAATTGTTACAAGTAATTTTCAGAATTTATAGAAATGATTAGCCTTCTGAGAATGGAATTACTTTATGACATGTGTATATGTTGTTTAGTTTTCACATATTTAATTTCTGTTGGTGTTTCCAGCAAGCACTGTCTATTAAATTAGGAATTTCACTGGGAAAGCCATGGTCTTCTGCCTTCAGGCACCTTTTCAACTTTTATAGAAAGAAGAAACTTCATAAAAGAATGTGGATGATACAAGGGAAAAAATGTATTATGAGAATTAAAACTTGCTGTAATACCAAGATGGAGTGTGGGAGAGGAGGTGATTGCTCTGAACTTTGAAAAACAGATAGTATTTGATAGGCAGAACATCACACATGGAGGACACATGAGCATGGGGAGGGGCAGATGCAAGGTATGTCACAAGAGTAACATGCAGTAGGTGTTCCTGTAGTATGGGACCCAGCAGAAGAGCTGTAGGAAATTTGGCTAAACGGCGGTGGAGAACCAATGTGTATACTCTTAACTATCGGACTAAAGATATTCTATATTATGAAATGAATGACTTATAAGACATGTGACAAGCGCTTTCACCCAAGTCAAAAAGCAAAAACAAAACCCGGAACTGGGAAGGTGGAAATGGAGATCAACTATTACTAATATAATTTTTTGGCTACAATTTGTTTTCAAGTAAAATGAGAGAAACTTTATAATTAAAATTGAAGTTCTTTCTTCCCCTCCCCATTATCATAGGCAACTATATAATTAATCAGTGTATATCCAAATGTTCCACAATACTTCTAGATAGATCTGTATACATTGATGCTATAAATTGTTTTCTGAAATTTATATAAATGCTACACACACACACACACACACACACACACACACACAGACACACACACACACCAATGCTCATTATTTGAAGTTAGACTTCCATAAGCCTCTGGTCACAATCAATATATAAACTTGTTTTATAAGTGTTTTAGTTTAAAGGTACATTATGTAATATATATTGTAATTTATTAATATTGAAATCATGGCCAATAGCACTATAACTCACGCTGAATGGAACTTATTAATATATATATTTTCTCTATACAAGACACATCACAGTCTGCTTGTGCTTAGAAACACTAGACAGCATTTTAGCACTACACTTGGAATCATTTTAAACTGTGACATCACCAAGAAAAAGCTCAAAAATGTGAAAGATGTGACGCTAAATATTCTGTGAAAAGGATACTTCTTTACAGGAGGAGAGCTAAAGCAATAAGGCAGATAATTATTTTGTTTGACCGCAGATGCTGAAAACATGTGAGTGAGGTTAGGGGACTCAAATGTTGCTCTGCACATTTCTACAAATAACTGTGAGTATTGATTTAAGAGTTACAAATAAATGTTACCAAGTGAATTAGTAAATATAAAATCCAGAAATAAGGAGGATAGTCTCTCTCTCTCTCTCTCTATATATATATACACACACACATATATATACATATATATACACATACATAGAGAGATGTATATGTGTATACATAGATGTGTATATGTGTATCTATGTCTCTCTATGTGTGTATATATCTATACACATATGTATGTATATATGTATATATGTGTATAGATACATGTATATATATGTGTATAGATATATATATACACATATAGAGAGAGAGACATAGATACACACACACAAACACGTATACATATATAAGCATGCCATGTATATGCTGGTACTATAATTATAGTATTTCCCTCATTTAACATTTTATTTTTCTATCTATATGCTATTCATTTTGATGGCTGTGTGGTATCTCCATTTGTGACTCAATTGGTTTAATATCTTCCATATCAATGAAATGAGAACTTTTACAGTATCTAAAACACCCTCACATACATGTATCAGCTCTCTGTAGCCTCCATTCACTAGAACATAATAGAATAAATTTTTTGTTATTAAAACATTTTTGAGAAAGTATTAAGCTTGCTAGCTAGGCCTAACTATAGACGGAAAACCCAAACCCAAACCTGTATAAACACTTCTAAACTCCCCAACTTTAGCTAAATTAAACTAAATATGTTAATAAATATTGCCTACAACTTTTGTTAATTAAGTCGTTTAAATTAGCATGGAGTATGTGTAACTTGGATAAATACTACAAACAAAAGAAAAGTACGATATAATGCTACCTTCATGGAATTTCTGGTCTAATATGGGTAAATGGACCTACCTTCATGTAAACCAATGGGTTCAGTTAAGCAGTATAGGTTCTATGATTTGGGGAATATAATCTGGCAAAAATGTAGGGGATCAATTAAAAATAACAAGAAAAGTCATTAAGAAATAATAGTTGAAAAGTACCTAAGGGCATTCTAGATACAATAGGGTTATTTAGACTGAAACAGCTTCAGAGACTAAGGCATTGAGGTGAAAAAGATCATGGCCCCCCAAAAAAATCTAAAATAGTTCAATATGGTGGGAGCATAGTTGATGAGGCACAGCATGGTAAGTGAGGAGACCGGTGGGGTAATGGAGGGCCAGATGATTGAGAGCATTTTATACCATGATAATCCATCTGGATTTTATTCTTAGATAAAGGAGAGTTTTTGAAGTGTTTTCAAGCATAGAAATGGCTTAAAATTGGGGCCTTTGGAAGATTACGCTGGTGACAGAAAAAATAGATTGGAGGGGTGGTTAGACGAGGAGACTGAATACCAGTTAGAAGGCTATTACTGTAGCCTAGGCAAGAGAAAATGAGGGCCTGCCTAAAATGAGGCAATATTCTTTCCTGATGGAGATGCATTTAGCCTAATAGCATTCTCAAAGACTGAAGAGTGTCAAATTTAAGTTATCACTAGATCACTCATTTCTTGGTTTTGTAAGTAGTCTGGGCAGCTGTTCCTTCAAAATTCTATTTCTCTATTAAACGGACTCTTATTTATCTCCACAGGTGGAAACTTGACATCTCTAAGGGCCATGGCAAACACATTATCTCTAAGTTATCATTTCTTTATTGCATCATTTAAAGATTTATTTAGTCTTCATGCTTGACTGCCTTTGCCCTCTTTCTTTTATGAAGAGTAGGTACTATTTTTAATGCCTAGTCCACATCATTCAATTTAGTTTAATTCTCCTCGCCATCAAAAATCAAAAATAAAACTAACATCAAAATGAAAGAAAATGCATTTTCTCTTGAAATAGCCACCAACCAAACTCAGATGGTAGCACCATTGATTCTCTTTCCTTTTCTTATTATGAGATGCCTGAAACTATTATCCAGTCTTTGTGGAAAAAAAACATTCATTTCCCATTAAGGGGTTTTTATATGCACACATAATTAATAGGACCTTCTAGATAATACCAGATTGGGCTCAGATCTCAGAGAATTTGTAATCATAACTTGTTTGAACTATTCCCAGGTCCTTACCAGAACACTTTTTTCCTCACATCACTGATCTGGTCAAGAATTCAGTCCCTGGATTAAAATCTGAAGCATATACCAATAGGCTTTTATTTTTATATTTAACTATCTGTAAGATCCAATAATCCATTGCATATTGGTATTACCCATTTTTATCTTCTATGTCTGTCTTACAGGTTTTTAGTAAGTATTCCTTATGACTGCAGCTGTAATTATTATCCCTTGCCAACAAGAAATTCAGTTTATTTATAAACAGATCACATGCTAATCTAATAGTTCAGCCTCCAAACTATGATCAGACTTTAAACTCTATAATAGCCCAATGTAAAATGCTTTAATTGAATCACAAAGGGGGAAAGCTGTAATCCTATAAATCAGCCTCAAGAATTTGACATACTGAGAATGCTTTTCTGGAACTTTTTAATTGCATGACACAGCAGGCATCATAAGTCTATAAAAAGGGATGTATTTCCTATAAGCAATCATGTTATATAATTTAAAATGCCATGCAAGTAATACTAGTTTTTGAGCTCAGTGCATCATTCTCATTAGTCAATACAGATCTTCAGGCTTATAAAAATATCTGTGTGAGCAAAAGGATAAATGGTTATCACACTACAGTAAAGTGTTCTTGTGATAAGGTCAAACTCCCAAATTCAACAAACAAACAAGATGATCTTTGGAGACAAAAACCCAGGCCCACATCTGAGCTCTGCTATTTTTCTACCATGTGGCTTTGGCTATTATCTACCTTGTCCAGGCAGGATCTA
Organism: Homo sapiens; assembly: GCF_000001405.40. Classification (NCBI taxonomy): domain Eukaryota; kingdom Metazoa; phylum Chordata; class Mammalia; order Primates; family Hominidae; genus Homo; species Homo sapiens. Next base: position 52,695,142 of record NC_000017.11, on the reverse strand, counting down.
CCTTGTCCAGGCAGGATGTACCTCAGAAATTCCACAAGCAGTTAATAAAGGTGACAATTTGGTAGAAAAGAGAAAATGCGGGAATTGAATTAATGCTGTCTTTGCACGACAAATTTGCTTTTGAAATTTAGACTACTAGTTTGTTTTGGATGCCTTGATGGAAAATATGATGTGTTTTATAGTCAAATCATTTAGCCATCACTTCATCATAGGCCTTAGTTATAAAATGTCACCCAGAGTGACATTAATGTGTTCTATGCCTAACACAGACTGTGAGCTCACCACAGCTCTGTCTTTTTCTTCTTTGCCCTTCTCTTCTCTACTCATCCTCAGTCCAGGCCCCAGGTAAGGCAACCATATTAGTTTTGTCTCCCACCCAAAGACATACTCCTTTGTCAGCCACCCATGTTGGAACTTGAGATAGCAGTCGCCAACAGTTCACTGTGTGACTGGATTTCTTACTCTACTGATATAACTACTCAAGATCGCCAGTCCTAAGCATTGGTCTCCTAAATAAAGAATAGCACATTTTGGAAAGCCATCTTAAGTTTTTTTCCCTTGCTTCATTAGTGTCTTAGTCCATTTGGGTTGCTATAACAAAATACCATTGACTGGGTAGCTTATGAACAACAGAAACTTATTTCTCACATTTCTGGAGGCTGGGAAGTCTACAATCAAGGTGCCAATGGATTAAATGCCTAGTGAAGGCCAGTTTTCTGGTTCATAGATTATGCCTTCTTTCTGTGTTTTCACAAGGTGGAAGGGGCAAGGCATTTAGCTACCTTGCGTCTCTTTTATATGAACCCTAAACCCACCTCCCAGAAGGTTCTACCTCAGAATAACGTCACCTTGGGGGTTAGAATTTTACCATAGCAATGTTAGGATACAAAAAAAAATGTTGACTGTAGCAATTAGGAATTTGGAAAATTAGACACAGGGCAGAAATCCCTGAGGTCCTCATATTTATTTACTTTTAAAAAAATGTACCAAGTCACCTAAAGCTTTATTCAATGATTGAATCATATTAAAAGTGATTTTTTAAATGCTGAACAGTTATGACCAAAAGTAGATCCTAAATAGGCCCCTTTTTCGTATCTTGCCCCATAACTACTCATGATGAAACAGTGACCTTAAATGGATGGCTCATTTGTGAATGTTAACTACAATACAACTTTCTGTTTAATGAGATTGGTCAAAATTGATTGGCAGTCACTTGAAGGGATGCTAATCATAGTATTGATGCTATTTAAATACTCCACATGAATCAAGCTTTGTTTGGGTTCAATAACATATATTATGTATCTCTATGGATACAGACACAGACACATACATGGACATTTTATATACAGAATATACAACCATAAATTTAAAGAAACTCACTTGGCCACCTCTGAATAGAGTTAATCTGTTGCTGATTTTCTTCTAAGACACATTTTATCCCTTCTTCTCATAGAGATCTTTTTTTCTGGAGACAGCATCTCACTATGTTGACCAGGCTGGCTGACCTCGATCTCAAATCATTCCCCTTCCTCAGCCTCCTGAGTAGCTGGGACTATAGGCAAGCACTGCTCTACCCAGCTATTCTCCTAGAGATCTTATTGTCCTACCTCATGCCTAGTTCCAATGTCACCACCCCTTGAATATCTACTCTGTTAATATTACCTTTTTTTCATACCAGGCAGAATTTGTCTCTCTTTTCTATATACTCCCACAGAAATCTGTAATTACAGTATAGTACTTATCACATCATTTTATAATTGGTTACAGATCCTTCTTCCCCGGGGTTATGTTCCCTTTAAAAGGATTATTCATTCAGTGTGTAACCATTTAGTACATTCTAGGAGGGAAGCCTTCTGAAAGGCACTATTTCCTGACTTCAAGGACCTGATCCTCATGGAAGAGAAATGTTAATCAAATTACCAGACAACTCATAATAAAAGTACAACTCTAATTAGTGCCACTATCATAAAAGATAGATTTTCTATGGATGCACAAAAAAGATAAATTGGACCTAGTTAAAGGGATGAGAAAAGGGTTCCCTGAATAACAGACGATTGAATGGATGTATGAAGAATGAGTGGGCTAAGAGGGAGGAGGCTCCCTCTTAAATAGGCTAAGAAGGAGGAGGGGCATAGACCTATTCCATCTAATTTAACTGTTTTTCAATGATAAAAATTACATGCACCTATACATATATAGATACATGTGTATGTACATACACATATCGAGCTATGTGTGATCAGACTGCTTCAATTGTTTTGACATACAGAGAGTGCAACAGACACATATGCCATTGACCCTTTCTGTGCTTGCCTGACTGTGGTAAGTAGTCCCTATTCATCCTGGCTGCTTTCCATTTCAAGCACACCTGTTTCTTTACTTTTAATCCCAAGGGTTTTCTCTAGCTCCCTAGGAGTTTGCTATACCACAGCAAAGCAGCCTAGAAAATGTTGGGTTGAATGTTGCCCCCAGAGGCAACCATCATCGAATGAGTGACAGGACTTCGCAGGTAAATAGCATACTTCTTTAGCCGTTCATGAGACAATTATGAGATGTGTTCTAACCAGTTCCTCAGAGGGTTCCCCATGGGATTGAGCCTACCATGGCAACCTGCTTATTACAGCACCTCTTACTGTATTCTCTCCCTTTCTGGCGCTACTGTCCTCCCTTCTTCACTTGTGCTTCAGCAGACCATCTTGCAGATAAATGACCTGTTCACAAGTCCTTGTTAGGGTGTGATATTGGGAGATGAGGAAAACTCAAACTAAGAATGTAAAGTGACTGTCAATCAAGGCAATGGACAAATTCTAATGTCTATCACATATACTGTGAAATGCTTCTTTTAGTGTCCTGAACTTTGACATAGTCACAAGTGATAGTAATCATTGATTACCCTTTGCATGAGGGCTTATTTCCATTGTGATGATAGTCTAGAAGATTGCTAATTTCTTCACATTTCAGCCAGTGTTCTGTCTCTGTCTTCTGGTCAACTCGGAGAAGTCAGAGATCTGGTTGCTTCCTTAATATGTGTGGCCTGTGGTCTCTTTAATGTGGGCCAGACAGAATCTGAGTAGGAAGGGTGAGACTTGGTAAGATGTAGGTTGTAGGACATGGACAGTTCTCAGAAGGGAACTTTATTTTCTCTGAACTCTTCTTTTGTGTGTGTGTCATTTTACTATGAGATTTACTGCAGGTGACTCTGTTCCCTTGGACTGTATTCTGGCAGTGGCAAAAGGGGCTACTCTGTAATATTCTAAGACTATTCCCTGGACTATGAGGGATAGGAAGGACAAAAGTCCTGATATAACACAATTCCTCCCTGACATGATAAGGGTATGCTCAACCTGCTTAAGGGGTATTGATACCCTTTCCTGTGAATCACTCTGGCTGTTGTCCAAATAGTGCCCTTTGCACTTCGTGTATTTGCACCTTGGGAAAGTTATATGCGGTAAATCTTGCTAGTAAATCTTGACTTTTTATATAATCAAATTCAGCATTTGTGGAGTACCTGTTCTGTGCTGAACACTGTGCATAGGCAGTTTCTTTACCTTATTTAATTTTTACATGCATCATGCGACAGACACATCACCATCTCATGTTACACATGAAGTGGATTTAGAACAGTTAAGGTGTCGTAGCTAGCAATAACAATCTAAAGAGTTAAATGTAAACCCGGGGCTCTTCCTAGCACTTCATGATTCCAAAGATTTGAAGACATATGATCTGGTGAAAAATTAATAGCGGGCATAGTTGTTATATTTTTCCCATTATGAACTCTTAGAAGATTGTTTCTCTTCTTAATTATTCTCTTTATCTTCTGATGAATATAATAATTCTTAAAACAGCATCTTGCACAAGGATTCTGTGGCAAAACAAATGATGTAATTTATTCTCCCATATCCTTAATGTGGAACATAGCAGCATTGTATTTACTAATGTAAAAACCTACAATTTTGGCTATCATACTCATATTGAAGCCCAATCACAAAACCCAGCTGATGGTTAGTCACAGAAAATGAGTGCTATTCAACCATAAGAGCTGAATAGCAATTCCCAGCATGCCACACAGACCTTCTCCCATAAAATTGCAAACTTGCTCTTCCCCCTCCTTCCCTACCTCCAAACAGATTCAGAAGGTTGAAAAGAGAGTAATTGTGTCTAAATATTCTAATATACTTAGATTTATAATTATGTGCTAAATGATAGCCCCATAAAAAATAAACATCTTGTTTATGGAGATTAGTATAATGTGCTCTGTAGAATTTGATGACAATAGGACTCCTAAGACAATAATATATTATTCAGAATGGCATTGTGTTCATGTTTGCTCAGACGGTTGCAGAGGATTAGCTGGAGCTCAGATTTTACACTCATTTTCTCGTATTATTAGTATGAAATATGCAAAATCTGCGTTAAATCCAATCTTAGAGTCTCCTTTTCCTTAGTTTCATTAATCTTGGAACCTTGTGTTCCAACTTCCTACAAATCTATTTTTAAAGCCCTCAGCTATTCTTTCATTTGCAGGAACAAACAGCAGATTGCTGAACAGAGATGAAAATTAGGGTAGTTTTTCTTGCTACTAGAAGAGCAAGCAAAGTTTACTAACTTGTCGTGTTAACCCTTTCTATTAAAAAGAAATGGCCTGGAAATAATTAAAAGAACTGTTTAATAAGGATAATTTGCAAATTATAAATTTATATATGAATTAAGACAAAAATCACTAATTATCAGACACAATTCTATTAGGGGAATTGCATCTATTTATTTTAGGATATAACATTTGGAAAGTAAAAGAGCTAATCCATATTATGTATTTTTGTGGAAAGGGATTTGCTACCAAAAAGAATCAGTTCCAGATGGCTAGGCATTTTTGATATGTCCTTGAAGGCTCATACCCATTGCTTTATTAGAAGCACATGCTGGTTATTAGCATCTAAATTTTAAATTGATGGCTAAAGTAGATTCATGAGTGAGAAAGCCTAGTGACAGAAGAAGCATTGCTTTAAATGTCAGTGAAATGTCTAACACTAAGAGGATATTTAGTGTTAACCCAAAACCTTATGTATTCACAAATTTCTATCTTAATGTCAGATATTCAAAGTATCTCAGCACAGCTGAAGTTTCCATGACCCTTTAGGAATTTTAATTCTATAAACAACATGCTAATACAGCACTGGAGATAAAATGTTCAGTTCTCCAGTAAGAACCTGGGCCTAATCTCATCTCTTCATTTACTGGTGATGAAGCCTACACTGAGCCACTTTCTGTTTCAGTTTTTTAATCTATGAAATAGTAATAGATACAGTACATATTCCATGGGGTTGCCGAAAGAATAAAGTGAGATAAAGGACACAAAGCACTTTATGTAATAAAGCTCTCTGTTTCCAATTCTATTTTTAAGAAGTGGTTATTCCTATATTACCCTGAGGCAAAGTGGGGGCAGGGATTATGAGGGCTAATTCTTTCTCTAAGGCTGTCAAAATTCCATATGTTTGTCAATAACAGCCCACTTAATATAGAGAAATACTCCAAAGTCATAATGTAAAATACTAAAACAGAAGCAATTTTTTTGGCTGACTCAAACATGTAATGATTCGATGATGTAAGTGAAATTTCCATATATTTACTTAAAACACAAGCTTTACCAATTTACTTACAAAACTGTATTTCAATACATTAAACATAAAGGACACATATGTTAATTTTTAAATGTTTGTTTCTTTTATTCTCACACTCATCTTCAGTATCAATGCCATTTTGTACCATTCGTGTTACACTTTGAGTCGTCTGGCAGGTCTCTAGAGCATGTTTTCTTTTATTTTACCTATGTAATATGAGATATGGCCTGGTTTACATCCATGTGTATGGCCATTGGAAAATTTTTCCTAAGCCATAAGAATGCATTTAGATTTTATTATAAATTTTTGGTTTTCATTTGTCCTGTAGGTTTATGTTTAAAATCACCGCAATATAACCATTTGCTACATTTCTTTTAAAACAATCTTTTTAAAGTCTATTTTAAAGTCTCGAGTGAAGTAGTTTGGAGCAACTGGTTTAGTCTAGAGAGACAAAGACTTCCCAGAGGAGGTAATGTATAAATTGAGCCCCAAATCGTGTGAGTGTTTAGTGAAAGATGGTGGCAGTAGTTTCCATAGTACATTAATGACAAGGAGAGCAGCCAAGGGCTACCACACTACCCAGTAGTAAATTGTAGGCAGCAGATAACTAAGTGAATTAGTCAAATCAAGCAGTGAGCTCAAAGATGAAGCACAAAGATTTCATCGAAGAGAAAGAATATGGGTCGATTAAATATAAGAGTTGAAGTAGAGGTCATAACAGGTACTCAAAAATTGTTTGTAAAATGAATGAGGAAATGATCAAAAATAAGTTCACAGTTTCAAGCTAGAAATGGCACAGTTGGCAAAAGAAGCTTTTTCAGTGCTCAGGAAGGTGGGATTTCCAGTGAGGCATGGAAAATAAGGGATTGGATAATAGAAATAAGTGAAGAAAGCTACTACTCATGAAGATTTAGATATGGAAATCATCCATGGCAGGGGACAGGTGCAAAAAAATGTAGCATGGCTGAGATTAAAAGCAGTCTATGTAATGTATGGCTTGGGTGTTGCCTTTTACTCTCTTTATGCTTGAGTGGTTGTGTTACACTTATAGAAAACAACTGTAATATAGTAGAAGCAGTACTGGACATGAAATCAAGAACTGAGTTCACATTTTTCATGTACTATCTATTAGCTACGTGACCTTTAGCAAATCATTTAACATATAAGATGGTTTCTTTTGAAATTATTTTAAAAACACCATCTGTTTCACAGAGTGTTTGTGAGAATTAATGAAATAATCTAGGGAAAATCTATAGCAAACTGCCTACTACATAGATATTCAGTGACCAGTTTTAAAATTACACTTGACAGTTTTCACGACAATTGTAATGGTTCCGAAATAGCAAATAACAATTTTCAATTGTGATTAGACAATGGCTTCTCCCAAGCAAAGTGCTAATGTTGTAACAGAGGAGCAGGTCTTGTTTATTTCTGGGTTGAAGTGCGTACACAGCATCTTGTATCTTAGAAGTAAAACAAGAATGGGGAACTACCTAGCTTTCCCCTGAAAGTACCTGCTTAACTGAATAACTCAAGTTTAGCCAGTGTAAGTGACAAAAGGGAAGTATCTAAAACAGGAGAAGCATTCGGTCTAATCCTCTTTGAGTCTTGTCAGAAATTGTCATTGTGACATCTGAGTTTGTGATTTCCTCATAGTGACATCTCCACTACTGTCCTCTGCCTGGTTAAAACACGACTCCTTCTCCCGAGCGGAAGGCACTTAATCCACATTTGCCCTCTTATAGACTTTTCCCATGATTTTTTAGATTAAGCTAGATGAAAAGGCTCATTTTGTATTCTGATTGCTGAACTGGAACGATGTAAGCCCCTAAATAAACAAAATGTTTTCTTATATACAAAAGATACTTTGCATTGGGATATACAAGGTGCTTTAGCAGTCTTGGAGATTGGTAGAGGGAAATGGATAAAGTTTGGCAATATCTATAGTACGGCGTATATCTATGTGGATGAAGAGGCCATTACCAGAAGCAGCCGTAAAGTGTGTTGGGTCAAATATAAAGCAGAGAGAGAATAATAAACGGCCTAGGAAGAAGTGATGAGATGATTAATGATAAAGACCTGACACACATAGTCCAGAATTATATCTGTATTCTCCATACAAGGTCACTCAACAGGCTTGTTTGGCAAACTAGCCAGTATACTAGTACCAAGTGTTGGGCCCTGAGAGACTGTCTTAGGTATTATTGCTATTCCAAAGTCAACCTTAAGAAGCAGAGGTATTCAGTAAGATTTGCAAACACCAAAGCCAGTGCTCCTACAGCTCTACTTAGAGGGAGAATGAAGAAAAGGAGTGCCTGGTGGTTAGAGCCTGACTGAGCAGGTGGCCTATAGATGACAGCTCCCTGGGTGCCTGCATTCAGCTGAGGGAAATTACAGTAGTAAAGCTGGTCTCCTTGGCTGCAGAGTTTAGGATTTTCCATAACAGTAAAGTGGGTTCCTGGAGCAGAGTCAGGATCTGCTTTGGTGTCTGCTAAAATATAATTTACTGAGCCCTATCCAGGCCTATGAATCGATATTTAAAGAGGCTCTGCTGGTTAATCTTAGGCACACTGAAGTTTTGGAACTCTTATTCTATAGCTGCAGGTAATGAAAATGTCCTGAAAGATAACTAGCATGATGTGTATTGAATCTCTTCTAGTTTATTGAAGAAGGAGCAGAGTTGGCATTCTCATTAGAACCCAACTCAGAGTTTGGCTCTCCAAAGCATTGTCCTGGGTACTGTGTTCTCTGGAAAGGCATAGACTAACTAGGATATCTGATTTCTTGCCTTCTTCTATAAAATAAAAGAAAAAAATTTGTGTTTTTTCTCATTCTGATTCAACAGAAAAAGACCTTTTATTTTTCCTTCGTACCATTTCTACTACATGGAAACTAAGCATCATAACTTTCTCAGGTTAGCCTGGCCTTCGTCATTTATTCATGCCTGGGAGGCATTGGTATACCCTATTCAACAGCTGGCCCCGGGATATATCCACACTTACTCCCAGCAATCAAAGCCCTGTTTGTTCAGCATCTTTATAATCTCCTCTGTTTTCATTCAGATAGGCATGAGACTCTTCTCTACCTGCCATTTAGTAATAGTAGCCAGGCTGAGTGACAAACACTCTAGTCCCTAACCCTTCTTATTTTGACAAGCTTTTCATCAGAGTTCACCTTTGCTTCACACCTTTGCAAAAAGGTGAATACATGTTGACATCCACATTCTTTTTGGACATCTCTCTAACAGCTGTCAGGATGAACTTGTATTTTCTGCTTGTCTTACACATTCTGTCACAAAGCCCAGGAGAGTCTTTGCTTTCTGGATGTAATGCAATCCCCATACTTAGAGTTTTTCTATTTCTTTCAGGTACTGATAACCTGGTTACTAAAAATGCTTCTCCATTTGTTCAAATTCAGCATTAACTTGAAAACATTTTAAGATTCCTTTACCGTTTAAAGGGATGTACAATAAAATCAGAACAAACCACTCAAATATTTCATGCTGTTTCTGGGTTTTGAATATATGCCAACCAATTATTCATTATTCCATTTTATTATATGAGCAGTACATGCTTATAACATAGTCTATAGCCAGACTCCTGTTGCTGAGTTTTTTTCTACCAAGATGTAGCTGAAGAACTTGAAATAATTTATGGGATAGGTCAATATGTATTGTTCTTAGTGTCAGAAGATTCCTGAAATGACACTCTATGGCTAACAGGGATTTACAAGCCTCTAAGTATTAATCTAGAATTAACTTTGGTGAATACATGCTAAGAATAAAAACTACATTGCTTATAAGAATTTGATATTCTTGGCCAGGCATGGTGGCTCACGCCTGTAATCCCAGCACTTTGGGAGGCGGAGGCGGGCAGATCACGAGGTCAGGAGATCGAGACCATCCTGGCTAACACGGTGAAACCCCATCTCTACTAAAAATACAAAAAATTAGCCCGGCGTGGTGGTGGGTGCCTGCAGTCCCAGCTACTCGGGAAGCTGAGGCAGGAGAATGGCGTTAACCCGGGAGGCAGAGGTTGCAGTGAGCCGAGATTGGGCCACTGCACTCCAGCCTGGGCAACAGAGCAAGACTCCATCTCAAAAAAAAAAAAAAAAAGAAAAAAAAGAATTTGATATTCTTATTTGAACCAAAAATTATTTAAATGGAAAGGAGAAATCTTGAGAAGAGGCAAAAAGAAGAATAAGAAATATAAAAAAGCATAGAAAGGAAATACCTATCCGAGATGAAAGAACATTCATTTTTGAAAGACATACGTAAGGGTTTTAATCCTGGCTGAGCTGTCTACCACTTGTATAACACTCAGTGAACACATCAACAGCTTTGGTGAGGATGTCACTGCAAAAGTCTAACAGAACAAAAACATAGGTGATAATTCCTATTGCACCAAAGTTGTTGGTGACAGAAGCAGAAACGACTTTCGCTAAATTAAAGAGGAGGGTAATTTATTGGTAAAATATGAGGGAACCCCTAGAAGCTTTAGGAAGGTGGGAAGTAAAATGGGCAGGAACCAAAAGAAGCCAGGTGCAACCACGATCTGACCTCACTAAGTTTTATGGAGCAGTGGATGGGTTATTATTGCAGAGTCTCTGCCACAGCAACTGCAAACAGTCCCTGCACCTTTGAGTAACTCCCTCAAGATTCAGTTTTGTAGGCAGATGGACAAGCCTAAGTACCCTGGCTGTCCCTTACTTAGTTTCTAAGGGACAAAAGACAGGTCTATCTGATGCCCCATTCCCCAGACTTTGATAGAGAGAGGTGAATCCTAGCTTCCTCTTATCTTGAGAGTCTCCCAAACTAAGAGACATGTTCAGATGCTGGACAGACGGCTACCACACATCTCCCTCATGGCACATCACAGATTAAAGGAAGTTGTATTAAAAGAAATGCTTTGGTAAAAGTACCTGACACTTAGCATGTGTTCAATCAACATGATTTGTATGGTTCTTTTTCCTTGTATTCCATTCAGATTGTTACATGTAGAATGGGGATTGTTATTTGCATGTTAATTATAAGAAAATTGAGGTATATGTAGAGTTTTTGACCTAGGACTTATGCTGCATGGCAAACTGATGATGGACCTAGGAAAGACCTGCTGCTGAGAAGTGCTTAGACCTTCTTAACGTCAGGGAGAGGGAGAAAAAAATAAATAAAAATCTTTATGTGATTCTCCCATTTGAGGACAGAAGGGAAGGAATGGCCTGCCCACCCCCCACCCATTCGATTGGAATTCAGATTGAATTATTTAGTTTCAACTTTTACCCCTCAATGCTTATTCAGTGGAGTCCCAGACTTCTTGTAATGAGTAGTATAGCAGGACAGCAGCAAGAGAGGGTTAAAATTCAGTTGTAATGCCACTGACTGCTGAGTGAGTCACAGGGTTGGTTCATAGGTGTACTTGCAAAATCTCCAAATTCAAAATATTTCCTAGATTATCTTAGGTGTTTGGAGTTAGATGATAAATCTCACCTCAATCTACCATTGTTGAATAATTTATTCTTTACCAGCATTTAAAATGTCCAATTATCTTAATGGCAAAATGTGGAAGTAAGAAAGAGAAAGGAGGAATTACTTACATAACAGCCATTTATTTCCTACCAAGGCTTTATTGTACAGACATACATAAATATCAGTTCATTTTAGTGTAATGATGCCTTAAATTAATATGTTAAATTATTATGTCCATTTCAACTATCCCAGGAACTATATATTCAAATAATAATATATGTATTAAACCATAGTCCTTCTCTGATGGAAAGTAAAATGTATCATTCTTTTTTTTCATAGTAATAAGCACTGAGAAGTGGTCAGCATTTCTTTGTATGGCATCTCTTAACTTCCACCCTGTGCTATGAGGTAACTAGATGCCACTCCTGGTCTTTGTGTTTCCTGCCAGGCTCTAGTGCAGTTGCTGATGTCCCAAAGCTATTATTTCTTTATGTGACCAGGGTTCCAAGGGACACTGTATTCCCTCGCTAACAAATGGTCTTGTTCTCTATGGTCTGTCACAGACAGTTATCCAGTTTCCCCAGTGCCTAAAGCATATTGGTAAGGAATCCCTGCTTTCTTTAGTAATATACTCCAAGGATCCATCCTAGAAGTCCGTTTCTTATGTCCCATCATTTTATAAATCTTGATAAGCATGTCTTCCATTTTTTATGAGTAACTATCTCTCCCCTAAGGAGCCTGCATTTGCAGGCCTTAACTCAATAGCCTTAAATTTCATCTACAACAGTGTTCCAAATTATTCCCTCTCCTTCCATTTCTATCACCTCCATGTATACTAAACATACTCTCAATAATGAGACCCTCTTACTGTCCCTTTCTTAACTGGATCCTTGATTCCTGGTGCAAATAAATATGTGGAGGGCCCTTGGAATTCCACTGATGCACATGGATTACACACAAGCCAGAACCCTGTTACATCCCATATCCTGTAGCCTGATAAACATCTGATAAGCCTGTCTCATTATAAGGATGTTTAGGGGATTTTCTGGGTGTTTGTTTTGGTGACTCTCTATTACAGTTCTTTATGAAAAAACAGTTGCTTCCTCATGTAGAAGAGACCCTTGAGGCAATGTTGTTAAATAGACCTTTCTGCAGTGAAGATGCAGATGTTCTACATCTCTGCAGTTCACAACAGTAGCCACTAGCAACATGTGACCATTGAGTATTCGATGCATTCCCAGTATTGTTGAGGTGCTCACATTTTAATTCTGTTTAATTCTAAGTAGAGTAAGTAATTTAAATAACTACATGTGGGTAGTGTATTGTCCATCTCCATTGGACAATACAGTTGAAGAAAAGATTAAGAGCAGAAAATTCTCATCCTCAGTTTCATTAGATGTGCCTTCTAAATTTTAAAATCATATACCTACTGAAGCAACAGTGAAAGGATAAGGCAAACAAACTTTAATTTAGGTAGGTCCCTAACAACATTAAATTACAAATGAAAGCAGGAAACAAAATAAATAGAAGAGAATAAGATTGCCAAAAACACTGTCAACAACCCATAATTCAAACCACACACTGTCAATAAAACTAAAGAAGTGACTATTTGGGTTTAATGTCACTGTGCAGAGCATAAGACAATTAGGAGAAACTGTTTCAAGTACTAAAATAATTTGGTCTTGAAGTGTAATGGGTAGAAGTAATTGCCTTGGCTGGCAGGCATCTATCTAATGTTCTGATTTTAACGTCTTAAATACAAGGCATGCAAGCGCTAAAGCCAATTGAAAATAAATCCACTTTTTTTTCTTCTCTTGGGTTTCAAACACATCTTGAATGGAGAGATGAGAAAGAACATGGTAGCAAAGGTATTACAGACCACCATGTGACATGAACGTAAAGCCAAAGTAAAACTAAAACATACATAAACGCATAAAGGAGCAATTGCTTATCCCCATCCACGGCATTTTCAGATATTCCTCAATAAATATTATTTGTTAGAATCATTTTAAATTTTAAACTAAGGTCACATTATTTTGAAATGTTGAAGTGGAGAGATACAAGCAATTCAAATATTGAAATCTAGGGCTCTCGTGTATGCCTGGGACACTAGCCTTGTTTCCAAAGAAGAGCTATGCTAATTTTTCTTTTTATAAATTCTGTCATTGCCACTATAATAGCTCTGGGATGCTGTGAGAATTAGGTGCTTTTGTGCTTGAAATTCATTATGTCCTTAGTAATTTTTATGTGGCAGGGAATTATAGATGTGGTACATTGTAAAGTGTTATATGGAAAAGGAGTTAGCAGTGGGAATAAAGAAAGGGAAAGATCAATCAAGCCAGGTGGCTTTGTTTGCTCTATCATTGTCCTTATTGACTTTGTTGCATTGTTTTTGAATCCCAACGGAAAGTGAGAGCATGTAAAGGTCGTGAGCAGGGGGAGTATTATTCACAGCTATTTGCAGTTCTTCAGAGAGTAATTTATGAGAGAGACCTCAGTTCTTAGAATTCAAAATGCAAACAGAAAAATATCACAATCCTTGAAGGATAATAATAGCCAATCCTTAATTCTGGAGCTAGAAATTCTGCTTAAAATATATATTTCTAAATATTGTATTTTAATTTTCTATTTAATGAAAATTTAAAACAACAGTCACATGATGTACAAAATATTAGGCAGCATGGTATAATGAACATAATTGCTTCAGAGTCAGACATACACAAGTTTTGACACCAACTCAATAATTATTTATTGGAAATCCTTGAAAAATTCACTTAAACTCTTTGAGTCTCAGTTTACTGTGCTGTAAAACAGGGCCAGACACCACTTTTACAGGCTTATTCCGAGTCTTAAAAGATAAAATAGCAAAAGCACATTGCTGACCCATACTAGGCACTGAACCAAGGTTAGTTTCTCCTTTCTTTCTTTTTTTTCCCCCGCTCTCTGTTCTCTGTCCTCTAGACCCAAGCCCAGTGGAGATCAAGTTATTTGAGAGAAATGCGTAATTTGTTATTCTAGTCAGGGCTGTTGCCCTAAAGTGTGGCCTTCTTGCCTAGCTTGGTGAATCAAGCTACAGCAACTAAAAGGAAAGCTGAAGGTCTCATTAATCGATTTCTTCTTAAAGCAAGAAGCTAGGAGCAGCCCTAAGCAGCCAGCCATGCTAGCTTTCCCCTTCAGCTCGGTGGAACCAACACTGAAAAGCAAAGCAAATTGTGCTGACAGCCTCCAAAAGCACTTATGCCATTCTTCCCAAACCCTAGATGGAGCAACTCATCAGGCATTTTAAAAATCATTTTTTATTTGACAATAATTGTACGTATTTATAGGTATGTAGTGATGTTTGGGTACATATAATGTATAGCTCTCAGATCAGAGTAATTATTATCCATTGTCTCAAACATTCGTCCATTTACATTCAATGATATTATTAATAGGTGAAGATTTACTCCTGTCATTTTATTGTTGTTTTCTGGTTATTTTTTATATCCTTTGTTCTTTCCTTCCTTTCTTATTGCTTAGTTTATTTTTGTGGTTGGGTGGTTTTCTGTAGTGATAAGCTTTGATTTCTTTCTCTTTCTCCTGTGTGTATGAGCTCTACAATTAAGTTTTATGCTTTCACATGTTTTTCATGATAGTGGTTATTATCTTTTCACTTCCAGATGTAAGATTTTTTTTTTTTTTGAGACAGAGCCTTGTTCTGTTGCCCAGGCTGGAGTGGTGCAATCTTGGCTTACTGCAGCCTCTGCCTCCTGGGTTCAAGTGATTCTCCTGCCTTGGCCTCCTGAGTGGCTGGGACTACAGGCATGCACCACCACACCCGGCTAATTTGTGTGTTTTTAGTAGAGACGGGATTTTACCATGTTGGCCAGGCTGGTCTCAAACTCCTGACCTCAGGTGATCCACCCGCCTCAACCTCCCAAAGTGCTGGGATTACAGGTGTGAGCCACCACACCCTGCCTGTAAGACTTTCTTGAGCATTGCTTGTAAGGCTGGCCTAGTGTGATAAATTCCCTCAATTTCTGCTTGTCTGTAAAAATTTAATTTCTCATTTATTTCTGAAGGATAGCTTTCTGGGTATAATATTCTTGGTTAACAGCATTTTTGTATTTTTTTAGTTTCAGAACTTTGAGTATATAATTTAATTCTCTCCTGGCCTTTAAGGTTTCTGTTGAGAAATCTGTTAGTCTAATGAAGTTTCCATTATATGTGACTTGATGCTTTTCTCTTTCTGATTTTGAAATATTTTCTTGGTCTTTGACTTTTGACAATTTGACTATAATATGCCTCAGAGAGGATTTATTTGGGTTGAGTCTATTTTTAATACTTTTAGCTTCCTGGACCTGGATGTCTCTCTCTTTCTCAAGACTTGAGAAGTTTTCTGCTATTATTTTATTCAACACATTTTACTCACCATTTCCCTTCTCTTCTCCTTCTGGAATATCCATAATATGAATATTTGTTCACTTAATGGTGTCACATAAATCCTGCAGGCTTTCTTCATTCTTTTAAATTCCTCTCTCTTTCTCTCTCCCTCTCTCCCCCACCTGCCCCTCTCTCAATATGTCTGCCTGTGTTATTTCAAAAGACCTGCCTCGAAGTTCAGAAATTCTTCCTTCTGATTGGTCTAGTTTGTTGTTGAAGCTCTCAATTGTATTTTTTTTTATAGTTTCGTTCACTAAAATCAGATCTAGAATTTTTGTTTTGTCCTTTTAATGATATCTATCTCTGTCAAGTTTCTCATTTAAATCATAAATTATTTTGCTGATTTCTTTGAATTGTTTGTCTGTATCCTCTTGTATCTTACTGTGTTTTTAAGGTTATTATTTTGAATTCTTTTCCAGAATTCAATATTCTGGATTTTCATATATTTCATATATTCTGCAATTTCATATATTTCCTTATTATTGGAATCTATTACTGGAGAATTATTGTTTTTCTTTGGTGGTGATATATCTCCTTGCTTTTTCATGGTTTAAGTGTTCCTATGTTGATTTTTATGCATCTGAAGTAAAAGACATCCCTTCCAATTTTATGAAGTAGGTTTCATAGGGGAATTCTTATTTGTATGAATATGTCTTACAGTATTTCTTTGGTGGGATGCGTTGGCCTTGATTCTAGGTAAATGCAGTAGTGTAGTCTCCATGTAGTTTCTTCACCTGTAATCCACATTAGTGGCATTTATGAGTTTCTCAGTGGCCCAGGCTGAGAGAATTTGTGGTGATGATGGTGCAACTTTGCCAGAATGGGACTCACTGGGCTGTTCTCAGGTTGGAGTATATGTGTGCACGTTGTATATTAGCTAACTTAGGGTCTGGCTTGCTACGGCTGTGACCACAGGCCTTTTACTCTGGGAGCAATGCACACACAATTGCTCAGCTGGCCTAGGAGCATGCCTACCAAGAGCAGCTTCTGGGGCTATGTCTCAGTCCCAGGAGGCAGGCACTCAGCTCCTTTGTTGGCCTGGGGTCATGCCCAGGGCCTGAGAAGCTATTTCTTAGATCTGATATGTGGTGACATAGCTGCTCAACTGGCCTGGGAAGCATGTCTGGTGAGGGTGACTCATGGGGCTATTTCATAGGTCCATGATGTGGACACAGGACTGCTTAATTGTCCTGGGAATGTACAGCTGCTTGGCCGGCCTGGGGTCATGTCTGCTAGGAGTAGCCCCTAGGGTTATTTCTCAGGTTTAGTACATGTGCACAGGGTTGCTTGACTAACCCACAGGTATTTCTACTAGAAGGAGACACAGGGCTCTTTCTCAGGCATGTGAAGGCACAGGGCTATTTCTCTGCACAACTTCTTGTCTGGCCTGGGGTCATTTCTGCAGGGTACAGCCCATGGGGCTGCTTTGTAGGCCTGGGACATGGGAGTGCAGTTGCTCAACCAGCCTGGTGGCATGTCTGCTGTGAGTGGCCCGTAGGTCCGTTTCTCAGGTCTGGAACACAAGTGCAAGGCTGCTTGACAAACTCAGGGGTGTGTCTACCAGGGGAGGTTCATAGGGCTGTTTCTAGGTTTTGGATGTGGGCTCTTGACTGGTTCCAGGATTAGGGGTATGACTACCAGTAGCTGCCTGTGGGGCTGTTTCTCAGGCCCTTATTTGGGCACAAGGCCATTGGATAGGCTAGGGGTGTAGCTACTGGGAACAGGGATACTACAGAGCTGTTCTCAAGTCCTGAAAATGGGTGACTAGATTCCCCACTGGCCTAGGGGGTATATCAGTTACTCAGAGGCTCAGGGAGCGCTCATGTTTGGGAGAGGGTATGCAGTAGTTTGGCCAGCTCAAGGGCAGGTTCACCCTGGTCAGGACTGGCAGACTGTTCCTCAGGCTGAAATTGCAGCAACAGGATTTGTTTCCTTGCTGTGCAGGACCAGAGTTGCAGTCGCAGTGAATCCTGTGCACAAACTCTGTGCAGCTGGGATTGTGGGTTTTTTTTTTTTTTTTTTAGACGGAGTCTTGCTCTGTTGCCCAGGCTGGAGTGCAGTGGCATGATCTCGGCTCACTGCAAGCTCCACCTCCCGGGTTCACACCATTCTCCTGCCTCAGCCTCCCGAGTAGCTGGGACTACAGGTGCCCGCCATCACCACTGGATAATTTTTTGTATTTTTAGTAGAGACAGGGTTTCACCGGGTTAGCCAGGATGGTCTCCATCTCCTGACCTCGTGATCTGCCCTCCTTGGTCTCCCAAAGTGCTGGGATTACAGGCGTGAGCCACCATGCTCAGCCTGGGATTGTGGCATTTAAGCACTTGTATAGGCTTGGCATAATGAAGATGGAATCTCTGTACTGGAGAGGTGCAGGGGCTATTGGCGTCAAAGCAGGACACATTCCAAAGGGGGCTCTACTCTCAAGGTGGCACTGTCCTGCAGCAGCTTGGCTCACAGGCAGAGTTGGAAGTGGGGAGTGCACACTTTGTGCTCCTAATCCAGGGCAATGCAGCTGTGTTAATGTTCAGTTTCTCTTCCAACTAGGAGACAGTGGAAGTCTCCTGTTATAAGGATTGTAGATGCTTACAGTGATAATGGGAGCTGGTGGGAATCTTCTGCTTACCTTTTCATCACAACAGGAAGTTTCTCCTGACTCCAGGTAGATCTGATCTAGGCCAGAAAGATGGGAGTTGCAGAGGTCAGGCACTTCCACACTGCACTACTGGACTTGTAATCACCACAGGTGTATCTCCCCTTTCCCACTGCACTCTAGCACTCTCCTTTCAACACTCCAGTCAAATCTTAGCTGTTTATTTGTTGCCTTTGTTTTTACTTGTGGAGGATGATGAATGCCAAGTATCTGTAGTCAGCCATCTTGCTGACATTACTGTCCCTTAATCAAGCTTTTATTAAACCCCTCAGTGCTTCTTACAAAGCATTCTCATCCCATTCCTGGAGTGGAGGCTACCTCTGTCTTCCCAAAGAGAGGAAAATAATACATGCCTGACTCTCTGCCAAACATTCTGTGGAATAGCACCCTGGCTTACTGCTGTCTTCTCTTTATCTGTGCTGTTTTACATATCCCTTGCTCCCTTCATAATCATGGTGATAGTGACAAGTATACTACAACCAGCATCTATAGTAAGTGATTTCAGGATACTTGGATAGGTGGTTTATATGCTTTACTTCTCAAATATGTAGGATATTAGTTTGATGTCTGTTTTACATGGGAGTAAATCTGAGCCTTACAGTTTAATTTGCACTTTTATATAGTTAGTATACTGCAGAGCTGAATCTCACATCTCAATCTGAAATCCAAGTCCATGTTCTTATTGTACTGTCATTTCTAGTCTTTTCCCCCATAATGTTGGCTTCTGAAAATCAGATACCCTAATTGATTGGGGTTGGAGTTAACAGTGAAGATAGGATGCCATCCTCAGAAAAGATAAGGATACGTTCTGGGACAATGGACAGAATTAGAAAAAGTAAATAATTAAAAGTCTTGTCTCTGTCAATGCAATCTTGAAAATCTCTCTCCCTCTGCTTTTTTTTTCTGAGCCATCCTGCTGTCATCTATAAATGTAGCTGATAACCTCTGTCCTACCTACCACAGAAGTTTGTTGAAAGAATCTAATAAGACGTTTTATATAAAAACTATTTAAAAAAAACTATACAACCGTATGCAATTTGGTGTCATTATTAAAATTAGATGTTTTTACATTTTAATCCTCCCTTTCCCTGGGATGGGACACTCTGCCATCCTCCACAGATTATATTGAATAGAAGTATGCCTTTGTTCTTGTTTCATTTTCAATCATAAGAAATCTATTTTGACCATGAAGCTAGAGGCCGTTATAAAAGGACTGAAAGGACTGTGGGGTTTTGTAGCTTGGCAAACTTAGGTTTGACAACTCCATCAGTTACTTGTACTTCACTGCTGCAAGTATGTATGTAATCGGTGTCTTATTCTCCTAGTTTCTGTAATGAGACTAACACTATTCCCTCTTTCATGAAATTTTTGTTAGAATTAATGTGATAACCTTGCAAAATACCCTGCCGTGTGCTCTTATGCAATAAGTGTTATTAGCTGTTGAGCCTCACTGTGGTGACCTGGGAAAACTGTGTACTAAACAGGAGGACAGCTTCCTTGATATTATAAAGGACTTCCATTGTCTAAATGCATGATTTAAGGAACTACGTCGAAACTAATGCAAGTCCAGTTGCATCAGATAACAGGTGGGGATTTTTTAAAAAAAGAATGCCCAGGCCCCACATGGGGATTCTGTTACTGCAGATCAGTGGTGATCCTCCATAATATGAATTTTAAATAGGCATCTAAGGCAATTCTTAAAGTAAACTTGAGAATAACCATGTTCTTCAATAATATGACTGATTTTTTGACATTGATGTTTGTAGTTCTGTTTAATATGTCTCATACTGATAAAACTTTAGGGAATAATAAATAAGTATGCCAATTAATGGCTTATAAATAACTGTAAGAAGATTTGGAACCTATAATGGAACTTATCAGTTTTGAGAATCAGTGAGAGTTAACATAAAACTTATTTTTACCTCGTGGTTTCTTGAGGTCTTAGAAGCCAATTTTATGAACAATTTCCCCTTCACCTCTTTGGTCTTGTTGGAAAAATGAAATTCCTTAAGACACAAGAGATCCTTGTTACTTCCGCAGTCAGCCCCTCACTTTTACATGCATGATGACTTATGAGGAACAGCGAAGGTTACTATGGAAACCATGACTCTTTTTTAGTTGATTGACAGTTTCCACTTACGTAGCTCCTTTGGTAGTGTGAGTTAAAGCAATAAAAATAGTGTAAAATAGGAATAAGGTTTTCCAAGCCTTAAAATTAAATGTGTCTCAAGTTGACATACTCAGTAAATGACAGCAAGGAAAAATTCACTTCAATTTCTCCTTACTCCTGCTTTATTCCTTACCTGTTCTTTACTTTTTCTTTGCAAAATAACAGTATTTAATGAAAGACATGGGTTTGCATCTTTTCATTGTGGGCTCCTGACCACCCTCATATCCTTGAGAGTCTAAAAGATAATTGGCAAGGCATGAAGTTTCTCTCAATATTTTCTTGTGTTAACCGAAATCTTTTTATAACTCCTCAGAAAAACTTCCCCTTTGCCCAGGATCCCAGTAAGTTAGTAGGATGACAAGGGTAGATGTATTCATTTCCTAGGGCTCATATTAACAAATTATCAAAAACTGATGACTAAAAAAATCCCATAAATTTATCCTCTCACAGTCCTGGAAACCAGAAGTCTGAGAGTGACATGTTAGCTAGGGTTTTTCTTTTCTTTTATTTTATTTTTCTGGATACTATAAGGGAGAATCCATTCCATGCCTTTCTGCTAGTTTCTTGCAACTATTGGCAATCCCTGGTGCCACTGGGCTTGTAGACACAGTCCCTGCCTCAGCTGTCACATCAACTGACACAGTGTATGTTTTCTTTCCTGCCCTTCTCCTATAAAGACACTTGTCACTGGAGCAAAGGCCCATACAAATCAAGTATGATCTCATCTAGATATTCTTAACCTAATAATATATGCAAAGGCTCTTTACCCAAATAAGGCCACATTCACAGGTTACAGGTAGACATACCATTTTGATGGTCTACCATCTGACTCAATACAGTGAGTCATCTGGAATTTCCTAGGATGCAGGGCTTAGGAGGACATGTGACATCAATGCAGGGGGTCGGGGGAGGCGGTAAAAGAACTGATGGAAAAAATAAAGTAGTACTAGGACAAAGCAGGGACTGAGAAACCAAGGAAGAAGAGGCACAAGAAATATCAGAATTATAAATGGAAGGTCTCAACAATTTCTTGACCATTAGCCAATATTGACTTCATACTCACATGCATTAATGAACTAGAATCTAACCTGGGCCTCTGTAAACGCACACATTAACACTTTCCTTTTTCTAACTTTTCATTGAGGGATAAAAACACCTTTAAAAAGGGAATTACAAGTAAATAAACAATGAAACATCTCTTTCATGTGCATTTTCCCTCTCACCTTTCCCTTCAACTCTATTTTTTTAGGAATTCAATGAGCTAACATAACAAATCACCCCAAGGTGCATATGTGAGTTCTCATAAGATCAACTTGGTTTCCAATATTAAGTCTCATGTCAGATCATGTTTCAGATCATAAATACAGTTTAACTTTGGGCTTAGAAAATAAGGTGACTGGTAGTATGTGACAGAAGAAATAGCACAGAGTTTGTCAGGGAAAACGAGCGCTCTTCTTGAAAGTGCTACCATTGGGGACTTGAATGTGCTATTTTGTATCTCTATCCCCTTAAATATAAATAAAAAACGTTGAATTAGATTTATTATTTTAATATTTAAAGATCTAACCCCCTTTTTTAAAGTACAGAAAAGAACGGCTAATAATAGAATACTCACTTTTGGAGCCAAATTAAAAATAATAACTATCCATTTATAGTTATTTCATGATATGTCAGAAATGGTTCATGTGTTTTGTTTATATTAACTAATTTAATCCTCACCAAAATTTCATTTAATCCAGATATAGAAACTGAAATACGGGGAGATTGAGTGCTACAGGTTGTAAATATAGCCTGGGATTTGGATCTGAAAAACTTGACTCTACAGTCTTTGAACTTCATCAGCTTGCTATGGTTCTTCACATATTTTAACATATTTGCTTCAGATATTTTTGTTTTAAAAATTAAATTTGAAGTTTCTGTTTCATTCTCCAGAGAAAAGAAATATCATGAATGTGGTATGTATTTCACTGATGGACATTTGAGCTTTTTTATTACAAATAATTTTATCAACATTTTTATATACTCCCTTCTGAATATGTACAAGGTATTTTCCTAGAAATGGAATTGCAGTGGCAAAGTATATTTATATCTTCATATTTATCAAATATCACCAAACAATTTTTCAAATGTTGATATTCTGCCAAAATCAAGGTATAAATGTCACTGTTTAATATCTGTAGCAATATTGAATAGTACTTAATTTTTAAAATATGTGTTATGTTTGCACTCCCAAATTATTGGTGACACTGTATATTTTTTCATAAGTTTATTGGCTATCTTTATTTTTATTTCTATGAGTTGTCCTTTCACAATCTTCCTGTTTTTCTTTGTAATTGTTTTCCTTTTCTTAAATATTTGTAAGTGTAATTCATACCTTGTTGGTTTTATGTTTTGCAAACATCTCTTAACAATCTGTATTTTGACTTTTAATTTTGTTTATTGTCTCATTCTTAATAGTAGTTTTATTTTTGTTGTGATCAAATTTTGTAAGGTTTTTCTTTATGCTTTCTGATTTTTGTGTTTTCTTTATACAATTCTTTTATGCCTCAAGATACTAACCATATTCCTATATATCTCTAATTTTTTTGTTTCTCACATTTGAATACATACATCTTCTGAGATACATGTTTTGTATAGTGTGTTATAGGGAGATTTAAGGCCAAGTGTACCAACAATACTAGTTATTGAGTAATCTTCAGTCTCTAAATTAAATTCTAATACCTCCTCCATTCTCAAAAAGTTCTCATATATGCTGTAATCTGTTTCTGAAACTCCTGTTCTGTCATCCTGGTCTATTTACTTATTCCTGTGACAAGACCACATTGTATTAACTAGTAAAGCTTCATAAATTTTCTTTCTCTGTGGTGAGACCAGCCCTCCTCCTCATTTCCTTCTTCAGAATTACTTCAGATACTGTTTTAACATTGTTCTTCCATAAGTTTTTTAAAATTAGTCTATTATATTTAATGAATAGTTTTCTTCAAATTTTGCTACAACTAGAATTAAATGTACGCATTAATTCAGAGACAACATCTATATATTTGCAATTGATGTATCAATCCATTACCTGGGGTTATCTCACTTTGCAATCAGGTTTTATTTCAGTTAAATAAAACACATTTTTATTATTCTACACATTATATTTATGCTATTATAGTTATTTGGGGATCATAAACCATTAAAGTATTTGCTACTTTTAATCTTTAGCATCCAAGGTTATTCTGGGCAGTGATATCTAGCTGACAGATGGAAGAAGAGACCAAGTAATGAGTGAAAGGATTTTATAGGCTAGATTCAGGAGTGGTGCACATTTGGCAGAACTCGATCACATGGCCTCACATAACTGCAATGAATGCTGGGAAATATCCACCTGGGTGCCCAGAAAGAAAAGACATGGGTTTGGTAGGCACAATTTATGCTTAGCCGCTTTAGGGAAGTTCCCTTCAATCCATATTTAACTAAGAATTACGATAATTTATTAGTCATTATTTCAAAAGCTTTTATCTTCGCCTATTGAGATAATGTTGTCTGTTTTCTCTTTTTATCTGTAAGGAGGTGAATTTCAATGACAGATTTTCTTCATTTTGACCCATTCTTAAAACACTCGTATGTGAAGTATTATTTCATCAATACATTGTTGGATTTCATTTCCTAATACTTTAAGATTTTTTATCTTGGTAGTGTCAATTTTTCTTTCCTTGAATAGTACTTGTTTGGATTTGTTAATGAGGCTTACCTCACAAAATACATGCTCTTATTCTGTTTGTTGAAACAATGTATATAAAACAATACATACTGTGAAATCAAGGTAAACCTTAACAGTTACTCACTAGGTAATCTCTTATGATGGAATATTTTATTATTACTACTGATTGAATTTATTTTATTTTTATTGATTTATTACAATATTTTTTACTCATTAATGTTGATTAAATTTTGTTTCTTATTTATTAGTTTCTGTTTTTATATTTCCTTCCTTTAGTCTCCTTTGAATTACTATTTCATACATGTATATTTTTTGAGTTGAAAGCTTAATTCATCTTTATAAAATTCTTGTTCTCAGTATTTTAAAGACTATAACATTCCCTGTAAGTATTGCTTTTGGTGTATGCTATACTTTTTAATGGCAATTTTTATTATCTGTCTTAAATTGTATACTTTTAATTATGATTTTGTTTTACCCATATGTTTTGTAAACCCAGTTTTGAAAACTGTAATGTGTTTTCTCTGTAATCAGAGAAAATTGGCTGTGGAATATATTTTGGTAGTTACTTGAAATTTTCCTTGAAATCTTCATAAATGTTTTTAAATTCTATGTATGGTTGAAAAATGTATGTTTTTATTGGTGTATTTTTTAAACTCAAGTACTATTTTGTCTGATATTAATTTCTCAAAACAGCTATTATTATTTAATATTAGTGTGACCTGTCTTTCTATGTGAATTTGTTCTGGATGTGGTTCTTACAAGTACACATTGATGAATTTTTTTATTCTTCTATTTGACATAATAAGTATTTGTCTCTAGAATAAAGTATGTTGATATATTAACAACAGTTCTAATGAAGTTATGTTGTTTGGCTTTCTCACATCATCTGTTTACTGTTTCTCAAAGCTTTTCCTAGTTTATTTTCTTTTTCTTCATTCTGCAGCATTCAGAAAATTTATATACTTGCCCTATCTCCTTTTACTCCTCAGTGTTTTAGAAAATATTCATTCTTATTTTTGTTTCATTAATGATTACACTTAACATTTTAATATCAACTATAAATATTCTTAAGTGTGAATATTAAGTAAGAATATTAACTATAAATATTCTTAAGTGTGAAACTAAGCAATAGCTTGTAATCTTCCTCCCTAAAAAAACTAAAACAAAATTAGTATGTATATTCAATATTCCTCTCTCGTTGCTTTATATGGTCAAAACTTTTAATTCTAAACTTTTACAACTTTGAAAAAATTAATTATTTAAAAGCTATTATTAATTAAATTCATCAGCATGTTTCATCAATTTATTATCCATTTTTTCTTCCCACTGCTCATGTTCCTTTGCTCATGCTTCTCCTGCTAAAATTTAATTGTGTTTTCATGAAGTTTTAGACTGACAAAATCCTCAAAAATTATTTTTATTTTGTCTTCTTTTTAGACAACATGATATTTTACTTGAGTTGGACATATATTGACAGGTTTTGTACTTTTATTCTCTCTCTCTCTCTGTCTGTCTCATTGATATTGGACAGTTTTATTCCATTGTGCCCTGATATTTATTGTTGCTGATGAGAAGTCAGCAATAGTTCTTATTGTCATGTCTTTGTAGATAATTGGGCTTGTCCTCTGATAGTTCTAAAGATTTTTCTCTTTTTATAAATTTTCATGTTACTAATTAGTGTTATTTTCTTTCAGCTTGAAATGCCCCCTTTAGCATTCTAGTGGTTATAAACTCCCTTAGCTTTTGTTTATCCAGAAATTTCTGTATTTTTCCTTTATTTCTGCTTTGCTCGGTATGCCTTTCTTGGTTGGCAGTGTTTTGGTTGTTGTTCTTGTTGTTTTATTTTGTTTTAGTACATTTAATATATCAACTCACTCTCACCTGCTCTGCCAGGTTTCTTTTGTGAGATTCTCTAATAGTCTTCTGAGAACTTCCTTGTATGTGAAAGTTAATTTTCTCTTGCCACTTTCAAAATTCTCTTTTTGTATTTGACTGTTGACAATTTAATTACAAGTTTCGTTGTAGACATTTTTGGGTTAAACCTATTTAGGATCTTTGAACCTCGTAAATATGAATGTCCATTTCTCTTCCCAAACTTGAGAAGCTTTCAGCAATCATTTCCTTAAATAGACTTTCTGTCCCTTTTCCCCTTTTTTCTTATCTGGTATTTTCAAAGTGATTATATTTTTCTTTTCATTGCGTCATCTAAGTTCAGTAAGATTTCTTCATTCTTTTTATTTTTTTTCTATTTGTTCTTCTGCCTGGGTAATTTTACATGATGTGTCTTTTAGTTTCCTGATTCTTGCTTCTGTTGATAAAGTCTTCTCTTGAAGCTCTCCATTGAACCCATTTTCTCAGGATGAATTTAATCAGTTTGCAGAAATTTGTGTAAATAACAAAGAGCTGAATGTCAACAGCCAAAACAATGGAGAAAATGTCTTCAGGCCATGTCAGAAGCCCTTTGAGGAAGCCCCTCCCATCACAGGTCCAGAGGCCCAGGAGGGAAAAGTGGTTTCATAGGCCAGGCCCAGGGCCTGGCTCCTCTGTGCAGCTTCAGGACTTGTACTGTGTATCGCAGCCACTGCAGCTCCAGCTGTCACTAAAAGGTGCCAAAGTACAGCTCGAGCCATTGCTTCAGAGGACGCAGGCCTCAAGCTTTGACGGCTTCCATGTGATATTGGGTCTGCAGATGCACAGAAGGCAAGGGTTGAGCTTTGTGAACCGCTGCCTGAATTTCAGGTATGTATGGAATGCCTGGATGTCCAGGCAGAATTCTGCTCCAGGGGTAGAGCCCTCATGGCGAACCTCAGCTAGGGCAGTGTGGAAGGGAAATGTGGGATTGGAGCCCCCACACAGATCCCCACTGAAGCACTGCCTAGTAGAGTTGTGAGAAGAAGGCCACCATCCTCCAGACCCCAGAAAGGTAGATCCACCAACAGCTTGCACCATGTGCTTGGAAAAGCCACAGGCACTCAACCCCAACCCATGAAGGCAACTGCAGAGCTGTACCCTGCAAAGCCACAAGGGTGGAGCTGCCCAAGACCATAGGAGCCCACCCCTTGCATCAGCATGCCCTGAATTTGAGACATGGAGTCAAAGGAAATTATTTCAAAGCTTTAAGATTTTATGACTTCCCAGCTGGGTTTTGGACTTGCCTGGGGCCTGTAGCCCCTTATATTTGGCTAATTTCTCCTATTTAAAATGGGAACATTCACTCGATGTCCATATCACCATTATATCTTGGATGTAACTAATGTCCGTACCACCATTGTATCTTGGATGTAACTAACTTATTTTTTATTTTACAGGCTCATAGGCAGAAGGAACTTGTCTGATATGAAACTTTGGACTTGGACTTTTGAGTTAATGCTGGAATGAGTTAAGAATTTGGTAGACTGTTGGGAAGGCATAATTGTGTTTTGAAATGTGAGGACATGAGATTTGAGAGGGGCCAGCAGTGGAATCATATGGTTTGGCTCTGTGTCCCCAACCAAATCTCATCTTGAATTGTAATCCAAATTGTAATCCTTAGGTATTGAGGGAAGGACCTAGTGAGAGGTGATTGGATCATGGGGCAGTTTCCCCCATGCTGTTTTCATGATAGTGAGTGAATTTTCTTGAGATCTGATGGTTTTATAAATGGCAGTTTCCCCTTCTTTTTCTCTTTCCTGCTGCCATCTGAAGAAGGTGCCTGCTTCCCCATTGGCTTCCACCATAATTTTAAGTTTCCTAAGGACTCCCCAGTCATGAGAAACTGTGAGTCAATTAAACCTCTTTCTTTTATAAATTGCTCAGTCTCAAGCATTAGCAATGTGAAGACGGACTAATACAGCAACGTAGCAAGACCTCATCTTTACTAAAAATAAAAAATACATATTAACCAGGCATGGTGCTGCACACTTTTAGTCACAGCTACTTGGGAGGCTGTGGTGGGAGAATCACTTGAGCTCAAGGGTTTCAGGCTAGAGTGAGCCATGATTGCACCATTGTACTCCAGCCTTGGCAACAGCATGAGACCCTGTCTCAAACAAATAAACAAAAATTTTAATTCCATTCATATGTTATTGTTCTAATTTTATTCATGTGCCTATCTGTGTATTATAGTTCATCAAACTTTCTTAAGAGGATTCTTTTGCATTGTTTGCCAGTACATTCAGTAGTCTTCATTTCTTTGGGGTCCATTATTGGAGCTTTGTTAGTTTTATTTGGTAGTGTCCTATTGGTTTCCTTTGATTGTTTTATATTTCTCTGATTTTTCATGATTCCGTATCCTTGCACCAGTCTGTGCCTTTGAGGAAGCACTCACCTCTTCTTGTCTTTATAGATTTGCTTCAGCAGAAATAGACAATCACCAGTTATTTCATCCTGGGTTTTGGATGAACCAGTTGACAGTGTTGGAATTTAGAAACTGTTAGCCTACAATGTAGTGCTTTGAAGGAGAGGCCTCATGGTCTCTATGACATTTTATCCTCCCTTATTTCCCAATTCTTTCTCCTAAAACACAGGATGAAGTTGTTCTCTAAAGTCCCCTTATCTGCCTAAAGTTCACACTCGCCAAAGCAAGAAACAATTGCCTGTAGTCCTTTCCATGAGTTTTCATTAACTGATCTCATTGCACAAGAAGAAAGACTGAAGTCTGTCAACACACCTGAATAGACTTCTTGTCACAAACTATTGCCTACTCTGTGGACTCAACAGACTTTGACCCAGGCTGTTGTATGTTTTTTAAGCCCATTAAATTCCCTTAAAACTCATTTACTACCCCCCTTTAAAATTATCCACATTTCTCAATCTCCCTCTCCCCCAAGAAGAAAGGTATAAACCACCTGTACTCAATTCATTGCACATTAGGATAATCATTCTGTACATTTCCCTTGTTTACACCAATAAATCTGTATGCCATTTCTCCTATTAATCTACCTTTCTTCAGTTGATTTTTCAGTGAACGCTCCAAGAGTAAATGGGAAGTTTCCCTTCACTGCTACAGTAGAGACCTAAGGAAGACAGGGCTTCATGTCAGGTTCTCTAGTTGGGCAGGACTGTCACCTCTGCTATGAGTTCAAGTGCAACTCTTGGTTTGCTTCTGCAGTCACTGAGACCAGTGTCTTGGTTCTGTGGTCATCCAGGGTCTCTGGCCCAGGCTGCTTAATGACTTCTGGTAGGGCTGAATCTTAGGCTGTGTTGCCTGGGCAGGTGCTGCTGCTAATTGGACTCTACAGTTGGGCAGGGCTGCCTTTAGGGTACACAACCACCCTTAGTCATGTGGGGTCTTAGGTTACACTCCCCAGTCAGATGGTATTGGTGGCTGGACTCCATGTTGAAGTGATACTCCCCAGTCAGATGGTATTGGTGACCTGTTCTTTCACTGTGACCTGTATTTAAGTGAGGTTGCAGATTAGGACCTGTGATGGGGCAGGGCCATGGGCTGTGCCCTGTGGTTGGGCTGCTAGTTTCACTCCATTGTCTTTTGGACCCAGATGTTTTGCCCTGCAAATATGTAAGATCACAGGTCTGCTTCTTTGCCCAGGCTGGGTCTTAGGCTGGGCTCTCAGCCTGGGAAGAGGTGCTTTTTGGTCTTCTAGTCAGGCAGGACCAAAGGCTATGATCTGCAGAAATGTAAGAGCACAGCATGCCTACCTGTTTGGGCAGAGTCTCAGGCTTGTCTCCAAAGGCTGGGTGGAGTGGCTAGCTAGGGACTGTAGCCAGGTAGAACAGCCAGCCATGTTTTTGGGGTTCACTAGCTAGGCTCTGTGGTTGAGCTATGCCATTGGCTATTCTCTCTGATTGGGCATCACTGCTGGCACAATAGACTTCTGTCTATTGTGTACAACTGCCAACATCTGTGCACTGGTTGCCGTGAGCCTTACCCCACTTGTTTCTAGATGACCACAGGTGGGCTAACCCTGCTGATTTCCTGAGTATTCCCCATGAAACAAGGTAGAACTAGGCCTCCTGGGAAGCACCTCCAATTACTGGAGAAACTGGATATCCACCTTGGGCTCTCTTTTTTAACCATTAGTGAAACTAAACCCAGGGGAATTCTCTCATTGGGGCATTGTGTAAGCTTGGGAGATTGGCAACACAGTCAGAGTAAAACTGATCCCGTTAACCTTCTAATGTGCTTTTTTTTTTCTTTTTTTGGTGTCCAGAAAGGTGTTTCAGCATCATCTCTGGGTTCTTGGATTTTCACAAGGTGTTATTATCTGTAGACAATTGCTAGTTTTACTTTCTGTGAGGGGGCTTAAAGCCAGAGACATCTTGCTGACATCCCATAGAAACTTTAAAAGCATGACCACAGTATCATTCAGATCACAATGACTGCAAATCTTTTTTTCTATCTTAAATATGGTTTCAAAACTCAATATTGTGCATATTTGGAAGTAAAACTGCTTTGAATTGAACTAAAGGCTGGAGAAACTGAATACACCCCAAGCAGCCCTGTGGTTGCTCCTGAAGCACCTTTGAGGAACCCTAAAGCATCCTACAAGATAATGTCAAAAACAATACACTGAGTTATAGATTCATTCATTAATTACTTCATTGATTCAAATAAATAGCTCTTTAGTGTTTCTTGTTTACCAGTTCGTAAAATAAATTATCCAATTAAGGATTCATTAAGCTTCAACATTTTTATTATGTAATTATTTTCAACTCATTTTTTAAAAACCTAGTCTTACCCAACTATTCAGAAATAGTCTATATTGGTCATTCACACCTTACAAAAAATTTAATGCAATGCATTCTCCTTTCAGTGAAATTGTAATGCTAAACATTTTCTTTCTTGGTATTTTTTTTTGTAATGGAAAAAACTAATTCATTAACTATTAATAATAAGATGGATTGTGAAATGAGGGATGGGAGCAGGCTTGATGTTTTTGAAATTACCCACCCTAATCTATCTACATGTATGTCCAATCCATTCAATATAAATGATGTGTTGGTCTCGTTTGGAGAAAGGCACAAAAAATTTTTGGAATATATAAAAACTACAGACAGGCTATATATCAATGGCTGTTTTCCATGGATCCCTGAAGTTCTACTACCATATTTCAAGAGTTTCTTTTACTTTTGATACAGATTTCATTTGATTGGCATGTTTTTAATATTTTACCTACTGTCGCTAACTACTGTGGTAAAAATTAGCATATATACTTATATGGTTAACAGTTTTTAACATGTAAGAGAGTAACAAAACCTCAATTGTGATGCCAAGCCACCTTAGAAAGGAGCTTTGCATAAAAGTTCTTTAACTATCTTTGTGCATGCATTAGAATTTTTTAAATGAAACACTGAAAAGGATGGCTATGAATCTGTTTTTTTTTTTAATTT
Source organism: Homo sapiens (assembly GCF_000001405.40). Lineage (NCBI taxonomy): Eukaryota > Metazoa > Chordata > Mammalia > Primates > Hominidae > Homo > Homo sapiens. Next base: position 52,663,780 of record NC_000017.11, on the reverse strand, counting down.
AAGGCTTCCATATTTAGGAGAAAAAAGAAAATAATACCTACTATTTATTGTTTCTGTTATTTTTAACAAGTTTATATATCATCTTATACGTATTCACCCAATTGAAAAGGCAAAAAACTAATTCTTAAATTCTTCCAAAGTCCACTCTCAAATTCTTGGCTTTTGGCATACCCATACTCTAGCACAGGACATAATATTATACTAAATGAGTCTCTGTCTCCATTTTATCCTTTGTTGTACTACAAGAGAAGTGAAGACTATCTCAATAAAATGGAAAAAAATTGTGCACATGGAGATTTCTAATTGCTGATTTATTTCAAAAGATTCATTCTGGCAGTCACTAACTGGCATGATGTACCTCACATTGTTTGTTTGAAAAGGAAAGTGGTTTATCTCATACATTTTTCTCTTGGCTTTAGTACTTTCTGACAGCAGAGACAAAGATTACTGTAACCAATCAGTAGTCAAAAGCCAACTAGGCACCTCAGGAAAGAATTGTTAGGAAAAAAAAATGTGTAATCAAAATTTTAATATTAGTGATTTTAAATTCTGGCAGAACTATTTTGGTTTTTGTTGATGTTTAGGAATGCTATATTAGCAGTTGGTCAAATTGCTGCTCACTGGCTTTTCTTAGCTCCCATAATCCCATTTGCCAACTAACTTGCTGACTCTGACTTCTATCTGAGATAGGCACTACCTTGGATGATCGAAAATGTGGAAGAGAAGAGAATGTTCAATGTGTCCTTTCTTCTCTGCTAAGATAGTCTAACACTGAAAAACCACCTGCTGAGAAATGTTCCTCTGACTCACAATTTACATGTAAATTATGATAACTGACTTAGTCTTTTATGTAAGAGAGAAACAAAAACACATTATCTAGTATTTTTTTCTTGTATAAGATAAAAATGACCAAAATGGAAAGATGAATTTGGACTGTGGCATTTAAAAAAAATTCTGACCCTTTTAAAATATCACTCTTACAAATACGATTTGTGGGACCAGTGAATTTACTGACAATAATAAAGGAAGAATTATTTCCATGATTTATCAAATGTATTCCAAGAAAATATGTGGGAAAAAAATCTGATGAGGCATCCTCCAGCCTCAACATCAACATTTTCCCATATATTGTCATTTCTATGAAGTATTGATATCCTAATGTCCAGTGCAAAATTAAAAATATTATTTCAAAGCAAAACCTTCTAATAACATAAAATACTAATACTTCAAATTGCAATTTTCAAAGTGGGTTTATGTTGAATTACAACTTCAAGCCTCAATGGCCCATTAAATTTTGTTGCAACAGAGAACTCATGGGCCCAGCAGTCTGTAACACCAAGTTCTTCCTCGTCAACTCTATTTTATGCAGTATATCTGCTGATATACTTGGCTTTAAAACTAAACAAATCCTGCTCTGCATTAGAAAGATGTCTTCATACCATGCTGCATTGTATAATGCTAGCTCTATTGTCTTTTATCATAGGTCTCTAGAAAATGAGTCGTGTGTGTTTCTGTCTTTAATGGCTCTGAAGCTTCTTGGATGCTTGGCAATTATTGCAAGGCAGAGAAATACTAAGTACAGACGGAAAGTCATCCCCAGTTGTGGCATAGGCAGATGGTCTTTGGAATCTAATTCAGGGAGCTGTGAGACATGCATGAGAGCTTGTTGGCTGTGTAGCAGTTGCTGTTAAGGATGCAGAGCTGCTCATCAACACAACAATTATGTTAGGATGCTTCTGATTGACTTAGGTCTTCTTTAGTTCCTTAGGATTAGAGCCTATCTAATGTTACCTGGAAGAACACTGGGTAGAAAATAGCTTTATCCCTATCTTTGTAGTGACCATTCTTTCTGGAATCAAACTCTTAAACAAATAAAAAGAAAGGCCATTTTGTTACTGGAAGTGTGATCTGTGGACAAGGTGCACCGCCATTACCTAGAAACTTGCTAGAACTGCAGAAGTTCAAGCCCTACCCTAGACCTACTGAATTAAAAAATCACTTTTTAACAAGATCCCAAGGTTATCTTTATTCATGTAAAATTTGAGAAGCAATGCCCTAGAAATTATCTCATTGATGCTCTTCCTTTTTTTCAAAAGTAAAAAAAACCCAGTTATTTCACATGTCTAAAGTCACATAGGTCATCGGGTAATTGGCAGCAGAATGGAGACTAGAACTCTAGGGTAAGAGTGTAACCATTGACTTTGTAAACAAACAGGCCTTGTTCAAGTCAGAGGTGTGCCACATATTAACCTTATCATTGTAAGCATGACGTGTCCTGTGACACTGACAGCATTAGCTAGCTTCCTCTTCTCTGAAGTGAGAAAAACTTTAGGTAGCATACCGTAAACAACAATCCAAAAAGTCACAAAGTAAAGTCAAAGAAATGAGAAAATTGGAGAAAGGCGACTATTTGTGGCCTCATTTTGCAAAATCCACATTTTGCAAAGTGATCACGAAGATCACATGAGGTGATACATACGAGAGCTCACAGCACAATCCAGATGCTGACCTGACTGTCAGTCCAATGCACTTCCTTATACGTAGAACTTCCTTTCAACAGCCAAAACTTAGATGTAATCAGTGGCTCTTCATTCAGGGACATTGTTGGCAGTGCACACTCAAGAGTGAGATGATGAGAAATAGATGGAGGACTTCCAGTATTATTCTGACCTCCTGGAGAGAAAGAACAGATGTCAGAGGTTAGATTGTGTTTTTGCAGCTCCTTTTTATTTTAGGAACAAATGTTTCCAGGTATAGATCTTTGCAACCATCCCCAATATCCAAATGAGAGAAGAGCTACAAGATTCCACAGAAGTGAGAGGGAGCTCCTCTGCAATGAGGGATGCTGCCAAGCACTGTGACTTGTAGCATTGCCTAGACTTTCAGTTCAGTCCACACAGAGTTACACAATACCTGCTGCATGCCAGACACTGTGCTCACGACAACAACAGCTCATCATACGGAAGCAAAGAAAGCACAACAAAACAAAATTAAATGCCATTGTGCATAATTAAAGGCATGTACAAAGTGCTCTTGGAGCAGATGAGGATTTGGGATAGTTGATTAGGGCAAGTTTCTCAACACTATTATCTTTGATCAGAGGTTTGATGAAAACTTGTTCTTAATGAACATTGGTGTCATAGTAGAGAGCAGCACAAAAACTAGCTGCTGAAATGGCTAATTGTTCTCCTGGTTTTCCTTCTCCCCTTTAACACCTACCTCTTCCTTCTCCTTCTGCTCCTTCTCCTCATTGTAACTAGTACACTTAGAAATTTAATCCTAAAGAATTTTATGAAAGATAAGTCTATTGTATTTTTTATTAATAGCTGGTGGGGCTGAAGTCAGAAATCATGAGACGAAATAATAGGGGTAGTTTATTTCTATTTTTGGAGATAAAAAAATAAAAATAATCACCCTGCTTCAGCCAACTTTCAGAATTTAACTGAAACCATGTTCAGTTGTTTGAGCCAGAGCAGTAGGTGTGTGTCTGTCTTTGCCTTCAGCTCCTATGCAGCATAGAGACATTCATCCCCCACTCATGAAGTAGGCTTCAAAATCCCAAATTTTGTGCCAAACCTAAGATTCATTTTTAAATGATAGCCCAGAAGTTTCAATTCAGAGCAAAAGAAATCATTGACAAAGTTGCAAGCGTCAATTAATTAATTTTAAAAGTCTCTCTTTTGGGGGTCAAAAGTGAGACATTCTTCCATCATTACACAACCAAAAACCCCTGGAGGGAAACTGGAAATTCCATCAAGAGAATTACCATATGGTTTACCTTGAAACACTCTGGTTTATATTTATTTTAATCGGTGTGCAGTGATGCCTTCTGCTTTGTAATCAGATAGTCTATATAAATTAACATGTTATTCATTCTTTTTAAACATTGGTTTATAATATTTAAATATCTGTATGCATCATTAATGATCTTATTTGATATACATTGCCAACCAAAATTAAGCCTGTCGAGGGAGAAATAATTTGATACAGCATTATTAAAAGCTAAATGTGTGGATTGATCAGGAAAGACACACAAAGTTGGGCATGTTCCAGAATCTGCTACAAGTTGGAGGGGAAAGTTTACAATAAGGGAGAAGGACTCCTCACACTGCAGTTTCCTTTTAATTGGAGGGTTCACCACAGAAGTTATAATCATTGGCTACAGGTTGCAACATAACAGGCTGAAATATTCTAGGTGCAAGACTATCAGTAAAACTTTGTGATCCAGAAACAAATCAGCGTCATTTTCAATGTCAGTAGATGATGTATTAATCGGTACCTCAACAGTTTGGAGAATCCATGATAAGATTAGACTCAGGATAAGATTCTTTAATCAAGGACAGGATATAAGTCATAAATTGTAAGACCTCCCCTAGATGGGTTAATTTGGAAGCCTGCCAAATGTGACCTGTGAGTTATCAACATTAACTATTTTGTCAACAGCAACCAAAATACTATATAGAATTAAGTCTTCAATACCAATAATCTGGAATCCAATGAAAATATATCATGTTTTTATTTTGCCAATGGAATATATGTTCTGGCTTTGCCTTTCTCTTATGGGAATTCACACTATATATATATAATATATATATATATTATATATATATATATACTTTATTTTCTAGCTCTTGTAAGTTTTTCTATAAATACTGATAAAATATAGATAAGCAATGCTCATGTAAGTAAAACTATTTGGGCCATGAGCCAGTATTAATTGATTTGTTGAAACTCAGTTCAGTTCTTAGTGCTGTTTTTCATATTCTCTTGGGTTATGCATCCTTAAAAGGAATCTCATGAGTAACTTAAACATATGGTTATACCTTAGATGTCTCCTTTTTTAACATAAGATGTTACATCATTAACACAGCTCTACATTTCAAATATCTTATAGTAATACATCTAATACATTTTTTGTCACTTGGTAAAGATAACCTTTACATTTCCACTTATTTTACAATTTCAGAAAAATTGTGTCCAAGGGTAGCTGACAAAAAACAAGGCATATTTTAACTATATAAATTATTAATAAATATAATATAGAGGAAACATTCTGGTGAGTTTTCCCAGCCCTTAAAATTTTAATTAAAGGGAATGGACTGAAAGGTCATAATAATTTTATAATATCATTACTAACATTTGCTTTCAGAGAAGAGCAGTTGTACTTATACACCAAGTTGGGGAAAATCAAAGCAAAATATATAGATTGAAGTCGGTTCATCAGAGAACTAATTAGACATGAAGTCCTTGCCTGTGCCTATGTCCTGAATGGTAATGCCTAGGTTTTCTTCTAGGGTTTTTATGGTTTTAGGTCTAACGTTTAAGTCTTTAATCCATCTTGAATTAATTTTTGTAAAAGGTGTAAGGAAGGGATCCAGTTTCAGCTTTCTACATATGGCTAGCCAGTTTTCCCAGCACCATTTATTAAATAGGGAATCCTTTCCCCATTGCTTGTTTTTCTCAGGTTTGTCAAAGATCAGATAGTTGTAGATATGCGGCGTTATTTCTGAGGGCTCTGTTCTGTTCCATTGATCTATATCTCTGTTTTGGTACCAGTACCATGCTGTTTTGGTTACTGTAGCCTTGTAGTATAGTTTGAAGTCAGGTAGCGTGATGCCTCCAGCTTTGTTCTTTTGGCTTAGGATTGACTTGGCGATGCGGGCTCTTTTTTGGTTCCATATGAACTTTAAAGTAGTTTTTTCCAATTCTGTGAAGAAAGTCATTGGGAGCTTGATGGGGATGGCATTGAATCTATAAATTCCCTTGGGCAGTATGGCCATTTTCATGATATTGATTCTTCCTACCCATGAGCATGGAATGTTCTTCCATTTGTTTGTATCCTCTTTTATTTCATTGAGCAGTGGTTTGTAGTTCTCCTTGAAGAGGTCCTTCACGTCCCTTGTAAGTTGGATTCCTAGGTATTTTATTCTCTTTGAAGCAATTGTGAATGGGAATTCACTCATGATTTGGCTCTCTGTCTGTTATTGGTGTATAAGAATGCTTGTGATTTTTGTACATTGATTTTGTATCCTGAGACTTTGCTGAAGTTTCTTATCAGCTTAAGGAGATTTTGGGCTGAGACAATGGGGTTTTCTAGATATACAATCATGTCGTCTGCAAACAGGGACAATTTGACTTCCTCTTTTCCTAATTGAATACCCTTTATTTCCTTCTCCTGCCTAACTGCCCTGGCCAGAACTTCCAACACTATGTTGAATAGGAGTGGTGAGAGAGGGCATCCCTGTCTTGTGCCAGTTTTCAAAGGGAATGCTTCCTGTTTTTGCCCATTCAGTATGATATTGGCTGTGGGTTTGTCATAGATAGCTCTTATTATTTTGAGATACGTCCCATCAATACCTAATTTATTGAGAGTTTTTAGCATGAAGGTTGTTGAATTTTGTCAAAGGCCTTTTCTGCATCTATGGGGATAATCATGTGGTTTTTGTCTTTGGTTCTGTTTATATGCTGGATTACATTTATTGATTTGCGTATATTGAACCAGCCTTGCATCCCAGGGATGAAGCCCACTTGATCATGGTGGATAAGCTTTTTGATGTGCTGCTGGATTCGTTTTGCCAGTATTTTACTGAGGATTTTTGCATCAATGTTCATCAAGGATATTGGTCTAAAATTCTCTTTTTTGGTTGTGTCTCTGCCAGGCTTTGGAATCAGGATGATGCTGGCCTCATAAAATGAGTTAGGGAGGATTCCCTCTTTTTCTATTGATTGGAATAGTTTCAGAAGGAATGGTACCAGTTCCTCCTTGTACCTCTGGTAGAATTCGGCTGTGAATCCATCTGGTCCTGGACTCTTTTTGGTTGGTAAGCTGTTGATTATTGCCACAATTTCAGATCCTGTTATTGGTCTATTCAGAGATTTAACTTCTTCCTGGTTTAGTCTTGGGAGAGTGTATGTGTCGAGGAATTTATCCATTTCTTCTAGATTTTCTAGTTTATTAGCGTAGAGGTGTTTGTAGTATTCTCTGATGGTAGTTTGTATTTCTGTGGGATCGGTGGTGATATGCCCTTTATTATTTTTTATTGCGTCTATTTGATTTTTCTCTCTTTTTTTCTTTATTAGTCTTGCTAGCGGTCTATCAATTTTGTTGATCCTTTCAAAAAACCAGCTCCTGGATTCACTAATTTTTTGAAGGGATTTTTGTGTCTCTATTTCCTTCAGTTCTGCTCTGATTTTAGTTATTTCTTGCCTTCTGCTAGCTTTTGAATGTGTTTGCTCTTGCTTTTCTAGTTCTTTTAATTGTGCTGTTACGGTGTCAATTTTAGATGTTTTCTGCTTTCTCTTGTGGGCATTTAGTGCTATAAATTTCCCTCTACACACTGCTTTGAATGTGTCCCAGAGATTCTGGTATCTTGTGTCTTTGTTCTCGTTGGTTTCAAAGAACATCTTTATTTCTGCCTTCATTTCGTTATGTACCTGGTAGTCAATCAGGAGCAGGTTGTTCAGTTTCCGCGTTGTTGAGCAGTTTTGAGTGAGTTTCTTAATCCTGAGTTCTAGTTTGATTGCACTGTGGTCTGAGAGACAGTTTGTTATAATTTCTAAAACACCAAAAGCAATGGCAACAAAAGCCAAAATTGACAAATGGGATCTAATTAAACTAAAGAGCTTCTGCACAGCAAAAGAAACTACCATCATAGTGAACAGGCAACCTACAAAATGGGAGAAAATTTTCACAACATACTCATCTGACAAAGGGCTAATATCCAGAATCTACAATGAACTCAAACAAATTTACAAGAAAAAAACAAACAACCCCATCAAAAAGTGGGCAAAGGATATGAACAGACACTTCTCAAAAGAAGACATTTATGCAGCCAAAAGACACATGAAAAAATGCTCATCATCACTGGCCATCAGAGAAATGCAAATCAAAACCACAATGAGATACCATCTCACACCAGTTAGAATGGCAATCATCAAAAAGTCAGGAAACAACAGATGCTGGAGAGGATGTGGAGAAATAGGAACACTTTTACACTATTGGTGGGACTGTAAGCTAATTCAACCATTGTGGAAGTCAGTGTGGCGATTCCTCAGGGATCTAGAACTAGAAATACCATTTGACCCAGCAATCCCATTACTGGGTATATACCCAAAGGACTATAAATCATGCTGCTATAAAGACACAATGCACACGTATGTTTATTGCGGCACTATTCACAATAGCAAAGACTTGGAACCAACCCAAATGTCCAACAATGATAGACTGGATTAAGAAAATGTGGCACATATACACCATGGAATACTATGCAGCCACAAAAAATGATGAGTTCATGTCCTTTGTAGGGACATGGATGAAATTGGAAATCATCATTCTCAGTAAACTATCGCAAGAACAAAAAACCAAACACCGCATGTTCTCACTCATAGATGGGAATTGAACAATGAGAACACATGGACACAGGAAGGGAAACGTCACACTCTGGGGACTGTTGTGGGGTGGGGGAAGGTGGGAGGGATAGCATTAGGAGATATGCCTAATGCTAAATGACGAGTTAATGGGTGCAGCACACCAGCATGGCACATGTATACATATGTAACTAACCTGTACATTGTGCCCATGTACCCTAAAACTTAAAGTATAATAATAATAATAATAAATTAAATCCATAAAAAAAGAAAACTAATTAGAAATAAAGAAAAAACTGATTAAATCAGAGACTGTTAAGTACTCTGAGTCCATGTTAAATCAATTAGTAATCATATAATTAATACTTGCTACTCCATTCCTTTTGACCTATCATACATATTCATGAATAGTGAAATAACCCCATACTGTGATTAAAACCAAACCCCATTGTTATATACAAATGCACATGCTATAAATTTGAATTGGTATAAGATCTTAAATCAACAAGAATAAATTGGAAACATCTGAAATGGTGATAGTGATATTCTTATTTCTAGTAAATGACTGATTTCTCACCCAGAATGATTATTAATTGAAAAGCGAAATATCTAGAGTGATAGCTGAGGCCTGTGTCGAAAATCAAAAGCAAAAGAAAAGCAATACTGTAGGAAATTATTGGGTGGCAGCTTGGAACTTGATATTTATACATCATCAATTCCAATTGCATGCCAATACCACATGTAACACTGGCCGTTCTCTGCCATATCACTTCCCACTTTACTGTCCACTTCCTGGGTTAGCTATAAGGAGTGGACAACTAGTGGTTCTCTGAATAAAACAAACCTGTTTATATACCTCCACTTTTATGTTTGCTTTCCTTTAGACTAAGACACTCACCTCATACTTCCCCACTTCCTTATTATTGACTTCCTAGAAAACTCCTTCCCATTTGGTGATGGTCAGCTCAGGCATCATTTTCTCTAAAAGGTTTTCCTTTTATTTCTTTATATTTTGGCCCTCCACTGATGAGGCCTGATACAGGCAGAGAATACCATCTTCATTTATTTAATTGTCTTTCCCCATTTCCCTTTCTGTAAGCTGAATGGAAAGATTTTCCTGTCTCCTTGGCTCTACTCATCGTTTTTATCCCCATTATCTCAAAATTACTGAGTCATAGTCAGAAATCAACAAAAATTTGAACTTGAGCTTTGAATTAATCAATTCACTAAATACCAAGTCGTGTACCTATGTGTTAGTTAGGATATTTTTTTCCTACAAATAATAAATAACCCTATTTTAAACAACTTAAAGAATGAGGATAATATATAAACTTACATAACAAGGAAGTGGAGTAGGTAAACGCGTGTGGTAAAGCTTCCATCTTTAATGGTCAGTCTATAGGCTTTGTAAAGGCATTGCTGTTTAAAATAAATATTCTATGAAGTATTACACTTAGTAGTTAAAATTCTAAGAAATAACAGTCTTCCAACTTATATTTGATTCTCTTCTTGGGAACAAACTTGGCCATCACAACATTTTACAGTTTCTCTCAGAAAAATGTGGGATCAATTACTCTAACTGTGAAATCTAAGCTCACCTTGTGACATATTTTGACCACTAGAATGCAGCAAAAGTGCTGTTGTTTCAGCTTAAAGCCTGGATGTCCAAAAGCTTTGCAGTTTCTACTCTTGCTCATCTTGGAATTCAGCAATCATCAAACAAAGTGTTGAAAGACTACAGAAAAAGGTATCAGCCATCCTAGCTATCTGGGTAATGCCATCATAAACCAACCATCTCGGTCACCAAATGGTAACAGATGTATGAGCAAGCTCAACCAAATCAGCCAAGCTGAGCCTGACCAAAAGAAACACCAAACAAGCCCAGGCCTGATTGTTAACATGTAGAACCTCGTGCTACATAAATGGCTATCATTTTAAGAACCTATGCTCTGGGATTCGTTAATGCAGCAAAATTGCTGAATATAAATTCTACACAGCTCATTTTCCAACTTGTAATTTTCATTGTACTTATATAAGATAAATGTATCTTTATGATGTATTACATTTTTATTCATTTTTGTACATAGTGGCTGAATACAGAAGTTGAACACTTGAGTAATATATTTTTATTGATCCTCATTATAAAGGGAAAAAATAGAACTTCTTCTGAAGCTAGTCAGTGGATAATTTGTAATTGTGGATCAAATACTACTTCACTGTAAAAATTCCTCACAAAATTCTAAGCTCATAATGTTTCTTTTCTTCTTTTCTTTTCTCTCTTTTTCCCTCCCTCCCTCCCTTTCTCCTTTCTCTCTCTCTCTCCCTCCCTCTCTCTTTCTCTCTTTTCTTTCTTCTTGTGTTTGCACTCCATTCTTTCACGTCAATTTTTCTGAACATTGCTTAAAGCAGATGCATCTTTACAAAGCTCTTATTCTCTCCCTCAAGGATGCTGGGGAGCTTTATCTCTATAAAGAAAGACACTCAATGCCATCTGACTCATTTTTACATGTTTCTTTTTTCCCTCCTCTGATATCTGTTTGCAAAGTTTTAACCTGTAACATCTGATTAGGAGTATTTGCTCAGATTGTTTCATCAAATGATTTACTGCTTCTGAACTTTCTTGAAATTGAAGACATCTTTGGAAACGAAAAAGTTTTATTTTCATGTAAGTGCTCTCAGGTCTCCGTTTACACATATACACTGTAAAACTTTGCCTATAAGCATGTCCTAATTAGTATTTCAGTGTCACACTTGGTCTTAAAACTTTGATTTTCCTATCCCCCGCCTAAGCCAGCTTTTCATTACTAGGCTAAACTTTAGTTCTCAGTGACCTAACTGCTTTTACAATTACTTTATTGTTTATTTCAAATTTTCTTCATCATGTTATCAAAGTATTGCCTAAAGATACAGATTTTACCTTATTGTTTCTATGACTAAAATGGCCCATATTTAATCTTTTTTATGTTTTATAATCTGAATGTCTTAGCCACTCATTCTAGAAACACATATTGTGCTTCTGATTGCTTAGGATGTGTTGGGCTGTAAGTAAATAAACACATAGCAGTCACTTGTACTGTCATTATTAAATGGAAGTATTTAATGATCCACTGTAAAGCTTTCAGTTTTTCTTTTAATTTCTTTTCTTCATTCCATGATGACACTGAGGCCCTCCTTAAACTGTACCTACTGTGCCTAACCCCTCAATCATAAACTTATCTTTATTCTCCCAGCTCTTACATGTTAGTTTCTGGAATGCTGTTGTTTGATCATTTTCTCTCTTAATTTTGTGTATTTGTTCTGATAGATCCCAGCTACCCATACAACTTCTACCTCTTTAATCCAATGACTCACAGTTGTACTACTCAAGCCCAGTGTCCTCTTCTGAATTCAAGAATCTGCTGTCAATTGAACATCTCCAGTTGGAGAACTCATTGGTCTGTGAAACTCAGTATGATCATATAGAACACATCACCATCCTCCATCCCAAACTGCCTGTTTTCCCCTTTGCAATGAGTAGTCACCATCATCATCTCAGTGGGGACAGATACCCTTCCTCTTCTGCTGAATCCCAAAATTGAATTGCTTATTTAACTAATTAAATATACTTTTTATGGAGCCTATGCATCTATTCATTCCTTCATATAACTACTGCCCTGAAATAAGACCTCATTATTTTCCTTTGATTGGACCATTTTAACAACTGCCAGAATAGTCTCCTTATCGCTAGTCACACTCTACTTTGAAGCTTCCTCCACAGTTCTGTCACAATGCAACTCCTAAGCTGTAAACCTTGCAATATTACAGTTGTCTTCAAATTTTGAGGAACTCCTGAGAACTTCAGGAGAAATTCCAAAATTCTTAGGACATGTTGGATAGTTCATCCTTTTCCAGTCATGAGTTTCTGCCATAATCTCATGTGCAAGCATCTCTTGTCCCCATTCTCATGAAAGTATTTGCAATCCCTAGAACATAAGGATGTAGGAGTTAAGAAGAAATCGTTTAGGCAGATAGTAAGGATATGGGGGTCCTCAGTAAGGCTTTTCTCTTTAATGAAAAGCAGCCCCAAATCATTTTCTAACAAGCAGTAGCCTGTAAAGTCAAGCTGCAGACATAGACAAGCAAGCTGGGAGCTTGCAGGGGTGAATGCCAGCAGGAACTAAGAACTAGACATGTTCAAGATGGCGGCTCCATCTTCCCTTCTCTGCCAGCCACGTGTATTGTGAGGAGCAGATAAGATGGCACCGATCAGTTGGAAAACTCATTTGCATGAGATTAGGGTGGAGTGACTAGCTTTTCCCCTGCCCTATGTAAATGTCTTACCTGATTGAACCAATCTGTGAGCCCCATGTACATCCAGACACCACCTCCCCAAACTAGACTATAAAATCCAGTACTTTCGCCTCCAGCGGGTCTTTTCCTCTCAGAGACCCCATCCTCTATAGAAAAATCTGTTTCTCTTTCTCTTCTGCCTATTAAACCTCTGCTCCTAAACTCCTCGTGTGTGCCTGTGTCCTAAATTTTCCTTGCATGAGATGATGAACCCCGGGTTTATATCCCGGACAACATAGCCATTTCAATAGCATGATACTGGTGTTTCTGTGACTTATCAGGTGTTTTCTCTCTGTTTGGAAAACCATTCCCCACATGGTCTGCCTGAATAACTCATTGTGTTTGGAGAAAAAATAAAATGAAATAAAAAATAAAACTTTGAGTACGTTTATTCCTTTTATTTGTAGAATTTACTATTGATTGCATAATGGCACTAATGCTGATCTTCCAAATATTATTTGTATGTTATATATTATATAAACTGAAAGTTTCTCTGTGTTCTATAGATTATGCTACTAAATAATTATTACATATAGTTAGTCACAGCTAAATCTTTGGAGGTTAAAGACTTTCTAGGAGCCAATTTATGTCACTTACTAGTTTTTTGAAACTAATAAGTTATTAACAACTTAAACTTGTTTTTTCAGTTATTAATTGTGTAATATTATGGGTCCTGTTGGGAGTGGGGTTTCTGTTCCTCACTTCTCATATTTCTTTTGGGGAAGGAAATAAGACCTTCACTTTCAAGAGAGGGAAATATTGGAGAAACATTTCCAGCTACTCTCTGCCTCCTCACTGATTCTTTCTCACAGAGGAGAGTCTAATCTGATTAGCAAATTTGGAGAAGGAAATAAGCTTGCCCAGCTCAGTCCTTTCTTCTCTCTTTAGAGTCACCTTGTCTCCAGGAGGCACACATTCTGCTATGTTGTAAACATAATGGAGAAAACATTGCCACTTTTGGGAGAGCCCTCATATTGTCCAGTTCAACCGGTGACCACTAAACAGTAAACAGTAAACCAGTAAACAGTGATGAGTCTGTTTTCATTGAAGCAACACATTAACTATACCTTCTGGCTACAAATCGAAAGCTGCATTATACAATAAGCTTTATCAGTGATAAAAACAATATTTTGTTTTCCATTTGCCCTAGTCTTGTGTGCTGTATCTCAATTAATTCTGAACATGGACAGCGAAACATGGTATTGTTGATTAATACCCCCAGTAGTGCTGACTACAATACTGATTATGTAAGAAAATGTAGTTAAGATGCCTAGCATATGATATAGTAGTATATCCTAAGTGCTTAGTTAATGTTAGTTATTATTATTGAATCTAATTGGTCATTTTCACTACACATTTGTTAATAGCACAAAGCACCCCTAACATGATAATGGAGACCAATGGGAACACTATGTTTTCTTTAGCAATACCAAGACTCCTTTAAATAGGCATTGATTTCATTTGTGATGGCAGCCTGTATTTGAAACTAGCCAGACCCTAGGTGCTTGATGTCATATAGACAAAATATCAAGACAATAAGCTCAAGGGCTTATTGTCATGTGACTAAATTGGCATTGTGGAAGTGGCACAATCTATGAGAACTTACCTTTGGAATAGATTCTATTGGTTCATTTCCACCTAAAATCAATACTTCTCAATCAGAACCAGCTTTTTAGAGTTGCCTTTGCATTTTACTACCTCTTCATTTTGTCCTTCAATTTTTATTTATTTTTTCTGTTGTCCCAAACTTGGACTTAGTTTCTGTTATTCAATACTATGAACGTCAAGTACCTCTGGCAGTTATCACTTTGAAGCAGCCTTTCCTATAATCACCATCAGGAGCAGTAAACTCATAAAAGGTGTCAAGATGATGGATGACTCTCCTCAGCGGCCTTTGATGTCTCCAACATACTGGGCTGTGTAGAGACAGGAAATGAGGAATCTGCAGGTAAAGCAATCCGGAACAAGAGTGATGCAGACTCATTCTAACCAGAAACTGAAAAACTCTTTTGTTATAATAAGTAAATAAAAATGTTTTTAAAAAGCAAATGTGAACAATACAGGCCAATTCTAAGTAAACACTACTTGTAGAAAAAGGCCAAGGTAACACAAGAGAACTAAAGGAAGGACTGAAATGAACATTGTTATTGGCAGCCACTATGTGAAGGGCACCAAATACTTATTGTTTACTTATCACAATCATCCAAGATGCCTGTATTATCCCCTGTATTTCTTTTTAGTATCTGCTGATGCTGAAGTAAAGAAAATGTAAGCAACTTTACCAAAGTCCCCATCAAATAAGTGTCAAGAATAAGATTCAAAATCAAAATATCTCCTTCCCAGGGTGGTTATGAGGAATGAATTAGTTGACATTTGTAAAAACCCAAAACAATACCTGGCACATAGTCTGCGTTCACGAAGTTGTAGTTATTATCATTACTATACCTTTACCTGTAATATGTGACTGAGAATTCCTCCAATATTAGGATATATAACCACCAGGCTTAGCAAACAAGAAGTGCCTATTGGGTGCCAGAAAATTAGAATCTAATACAAGGTCCCTCCTCTCATGCAGTTTACAAACTATACAAGATTTATGTGCAAATGTATACATCCTACACCTGAACACTGTATAAAAATCATCTTTGGGATCCATCTTTGGCTTATATCTTCTTTAATATGCAAATACATTCATATTAGCATTGATTCTATATTCTTCCTGACCACACAGAACTATAAATCCCTGCCAAATTCTCTATCAAATATCTCCGAGAAGTCTCATGGGACAGTCACTAACATGCTTGAACAATATGAATTTGCTTGTTGTGGCTACTTTCCCATCAGGTTTCTATTATTTCTCTACCATATTCACTTGACATTTATTTAAACCACTGATAATACCGTTCTCATAGATCACCCATCACATGGGATATAGTCTCTCCAGGGGCTTCCAAAGCTGCAGAGCATTTTGTGACTGAAATGACACTGTGTTACTATGGTCCTAACTGAGCGTGAGATAAATGTCTGTTCTCCTCAGATACAGTGAACATTTGTCTTTTCTTCACAAAGACCTGCTATGGTCCCTGCAATTGAGCTGGGGACCCGAGTCATATCCTCCCTCTCTTTTCCTCCTTTATCCATCACTTAGGAGCTCTTGGCACTGCGATGTCCAGTTCTCACATATTGCCTAAGCCTGACCTAGAGTAGGCTTTGTAGTAAATATTCAGTGAATAAAAGTTCTGTGTTTAGAGAAAAAGTAGAAGGTAAGAAATAGAGACATATTTAGAACACTTAGAGCTGTGGATATAATTTCTGTCTTCAAATTCTTATGAAAGTCCAATTGCTGAGTGACAGTGAGGAAAAAGGTTGATTACCTAAAGCTCTCTTGGAGACTTCCACAGTAAAAAGATTGGATTGAATGATAAAAATGGAAATGTGGAGCTTCTTTATGGTTTTATAACCCCTAAAGCCATAGGGATATTTGAAAGGTTGTGACCTGCAATTGTAATTACGGTTGCCATCATCCTGTGAGAAGGAGGGTAGCCACTGTAAATACTTCATGGGCTGTAATGCTTTGGAAATGACTTTTAGAAGACCTATTCAAAGGAAAGGAAGTGGAATACTAATTTTTAAAAGTGAATATTTTTTAAAAGAATAAAGAATTGTTCCCATATTCTGATGTCTGTGCAATCTCAAACATTACACCATAATCATCTGCTGATTTCTAATGCTTTAAACTCAAACAGCACACCATTCCAAGGAACTCACCTTAGGTTTGAGACATGAGGGACTAAAAGAAATACTAAATTCTAAACTATAAGTCACGTTCTTTTCCTGGGCTTCAAATATTGCGGTGTGAAGTATAAAACTGTAAAACTCTCATACTACTTTATCAGCACTCCTCTTCTGGCAGTTAACATTTTCTATTTTGTATACTTTGTATATACTTCATCTCTTCTACTTAGCCACAGGCAACAGAGTATAGTAGAGAAGACAAAATAAGGGAGGCTTTTAGGAGTTAGCTCCTGGTTCCATGCCTACAAAATGTGCAAACTTGTATAAGTTAATAATTCAGTTCACTCATTTATCAAATTTTTAAAATATGATACCTCATCATAGTGTTGTGCAAATCAAATGAGTATATATGTGAAAACACAATACGTCTGCCTGGTTTGCAATTAGTATTTATAAATATTTGTCCCCTTTCTCTCACCTTTGTCCCCTGTAAGAAAATACCTGTATATAATTCATCGTGATAGCTATTGTTAATACCCACTCTTGTGATTTGGAAGTGTCTGGTACCCAACAATATTTATAGATTGAAAATAAATGAACAGACGACTTTCGAAAATCCAAAAAAAAAGGTTAAAGAGCAAGTTAAGGGCAGTATTATCTTCAGAATTCTCTGGGGTTGAAAGTTCAGCTTAGAGTTCATGAAATTTGAAAATTTTACTTCATGTAAACACTTTACATGAAAGCAATAGTTACAAATGTCAGAGAACTTAGTGCATAACTCTATTAAACAATTAAAAATTTCCCCCTAGTTTTCCTGCGTATTTTGTAGTGATTTATTGCCATTAGTTTAATGAAAAGAAAAAAGCAGCAAAAAGTGATGGCACGTTTTTTCCAAAACTCTCTGAACAAATTATAATAATCTATCTCACATCAAAATGAATTTAATATATGAATAACATAATTGGCGCAAGCTATACACCTAAACAGCTCAGAGCATCATAGTTTCTGGAAATACAATCTCTATATACACAGGGGATGCTGGTGAATTATATAGGTAAAACAATCATTCAAGTCAACTTGCAGTATATACAATTCAAATGTTACATTATCCGAAGTCTTACTATGAGTATGAATTATTCAATAGAGGTTATATGCATATTTTAACATTTCCTTGTAAACATTTTAAATGAATTGAAGATATTAACAGTTTTATTACCATAAGATATCTCCTAAAATCTAAACTATTAAAACGTAAATGTGTCCTTCATGTTTCTGTATATATGGAAAAGATTGTTGCATGCTAATACTATTATTTCTACTACAAATAACCATGAAGAAAAAATGAGAATCCATATCCTTTTGGAGATGATTCCATTTTTTTTCTACTTGTGAAACATACACTGTGGATAATAAGGGTGTCTCTGAATTCAAATTAATCCTTGAAAGTTGCTGTTTAATTAGCTTATCAGAAAGGCCAACATTCATGTATATGCATTTGATAATATAACCCCAACAAGGCAATTCTGGTATTTTACTGCTATTGTATTCAAGGATACAAAAATGCAGAGGCAAATTTTGAATTCTATGCTAAATGCCGAGAACATGAAATAAGATATAAACTCTGCTCTCAAGCATCTCACAAAACTGGTAATATATAGAATACACATTACAGCCAGCACACTTGACTATTAATTTTATAGAAATGAATGAAACTAATGAAGAATTGTAGTATGATTTAGAACAATATGTTGTTCAAATCATAACACTTCTGAAAAGGGTAATTTTTCCTTTACAAAGGTGCACTTTGATAAAATCAAAATAATTTTTCAAGCATCTATGTTAGTAGAGGGGAAAAGATGGGGAATTTGAAGTTTGCTCTTTCATGAGTATATACTGTTTGAGGAAAATGGAGAATCTAGTTTTCTGTTTTGTCTGCTGTGAATAGTTACAGTTATCTTGCCCAGCTTGTACTGGTAATAGGCTTCAAGCACAAATGTTGACTATTTAACAAAAAGGATAAAAACATTGAAAATGACTTTCAAACCTTTCCCAATCTGTGCTCCTTCCCTTCTGAAAGCTCTTAAAATTCTTGGTACTCATACCCATATGCCTTACAGAAGCCCCTTTGGTCAATGAAAGTCAAGTACAGAAAAACATATTGCAAGACATCTAATTATCTCTTTTTGTTCCCTTCCTCAAGTTTATTTCATTTAATACTTACACGACCTAACAAATGTATCTCTGGGATCACCCACATAAGGGAGACAAAAGATACCCTGCTCCCTCCCTAAGAGCCATAGGAATCAGGGATTGGCCACTGTGAATGAGAATCATTTGAATGGTGCAAACTGGCTCACAGCACATAGGTCGTTGAAAATTCCAGGAAAATGCCCCCTCCTCTTGACATTGGCTAAAAAAGAACATGATAAAATAGAAAAAAGTATTGAAAGTCAGACTCTCATTTTGCTAGACTTTCATTTTTGTGGTGTTTCACAGAGAATATGAAACCCTCCAGAGCAGAGAATATAGCCAAAAAGAAAGCAAAGTAAACTCCCCATCAGTACCCATCTCCTACAATGAACCCAGGTTTAAAGATTTCAACATCCTAATGGAAAGTAACTGCTTGCAGGTTGCAGGTAAAGCTGGTGTGAACAGGTGAAAAATTCTTTGTAAACATAGCTTTCTATGAGCTTTTGTAGAAATCATCTTCAGCAAAGACTGAATCAATAAAGAGTAGCTTGTTAAATTTAAATACTTGTTTGGAGTTGTTATGGTTATATTAGTGAAAAATAATTATAGCGAGTCTATCGTATATGACAATGAAGCAGTTTTGTCAGCAATTTGTTCTAAGCATGGAAAACAGGCAGTTTTCGCCATAATTACTATATTCTAGAATTGGTTTGCATAAATGAACAAGTATATATTCCTGAAATGTTCAACAGATATGCATACATATATATGGCTATGTATGCTAATCGCTGACATTTGTTGGATACTATGTACCAGCTGCTGTTCAGAGTTTTCATGGATTAAGTCATTTCAATCTGAGATTGGGATAAATTATTATCTTCATCTAGTAAATAGTAGAACCAAGAGTTTTATCCAGATAGGCTTGCTCTAGAATATACACAGACTTACAGATACAGAGTCAATCACACACACACACACACACACACACACACACACACACACACAGATTAAGTTCTCCAGAAGCAAATAATGATGAAGTTTGGTGTCTTGGGATTCTCTGTGTTTGTTAAGAATCAATATCTGTGAAGGGAAAGAATGTGTAGCAGGATTGAGCAAAGGAAAATTGTGACTCAGGCCCAAGAAATCCTCATCCAGTTTGGCAAAGAGCAATGGGACATGATAATGTCTTGCATCTGGCCAAAATGACTAGAATTTTATATCCACATTTCATTCAGTCCTTGGATCTGAGCTGCTTTGGGAAGATCATAACCTTGGGTGGTATGGAGGTCTGCAGTTGAGGTAGACCCTGAAGTGGCTGACCCCTGGAGGTTATCTGCTGACTGTACTCTCCATGAGTGGGCAACAAATTCTTCCTTAAAGAGGAATCTGAGAGACACATCTATATGTCTATGCCGTGCTCCCTTGACCCACATACACATACAGGGTGAATATTCATCTAGACATGTTGTACCATATTCAACTTATAAATGCACAAAACGTGGTAGTATTACATATATTTGGGGGTGGCCTGCCTAGCATTTTGTCCTGTGAAAAACCTTTTCAAAAAAAAAACTTTTCCCTAAATCCATGTAGTTGGTTTGAAATTATAAGTTGGAAGTAGATAGTTCCTATCAAACAATAATTTCAGTTGGCATTTGTCTAGATATTGAATTAAAAGTTCCTAGTGTACATTGTGTCAAGACCTAACAAAGCTTGTAACTAAAAGCACTAACTTACTTCTCTGTCTCTCTTTCTGATTTGATGTTGTAGCTCATTAGTATTTTGAGAACTCTCTACCCTCCATAATAACATCTACCTACCCTCTAGGATAATATACTTGCTGCCTCTCACTGCTGCCAGGTCTTGGTTAGTAACCTTCTGTCTAGTAGTTCCCCATAAATTCCAAATATCAGGGAGAACAGGTTGGTAGTATTAACATCTTCTCTCCCTGGAATCCTCATAAAATTGGACCAACCCCTTCTCATTGACCTCCTCTGGTCCACAATTATTTACTCTGTTGACTTGGCACAGAGTAGATCTACACTTACAAAAGAAAGGGGAACTAAATAACTGTTTGTGTTCCTTCATGTTAAGGCACACCACTAAACTATTTACTGGTTACTGGTGATTACTGCTTTCCCCTTCCCCACGTCGTCATCTAGAAATTGGTTGATTAAATTATAGAATGTTGTCCCTTCGTTAGTATAAGGAATGTGTTTTCTCTGCAACATTTATTAATATGACAGAATTCTATCAGGCAAAGCATCCATTTGAACATAATTAAAAGTGACCATTTATTGCAGAATATCAATATTTCAGACTCATTTATCACTATTTCAATAAATAATTATGTAAGTTATGCACTGAGGAAAAGCTGAATGATTTGCTGGCATCCATTATCACCACCTTCAAATAGCTCAACATTTTGTAATTGCTTAAGGTGACAGGTGAAGAACCCCTCCCCTTAATTTTGTTACAGTAACCTGTATGGTTTCTCCATTATGGTTTTATTTATTTCCTAAATACTACACCAATACAATACCTGTAATTATTCCAGTATATGTTTATGGAGTTGGTAAGATTTAATGTATCATCAGTTTAGAATTATGTAGCACAAGGTCATGTTTTACATGGTACATGTTAGTCTTGATTGACTCTTTAAAGTATAATCCTCACTACTCCCATCATTGTGCCTGCAAGAAGAACCAGGGAGAAAAGGATCTGTGATTGCCCCTTGCATAACATTCTTGTGTCTAAGGAATGGAACTAAAAAAAGAGAACATGGACTCCTCAGGTCACTTCCCTTATGCTGCCAGGATTGGCTTACAGCTAGAGGGTATCTCTATTAGGATACTTTAATATCGACATAATTGAAATCTAAGCCAACTCTGCTTAAAGATACAGGATTATCTCACTTATCTGCAAGTGCAGAGATGAGCGAATGTCAGGCATGTTTTGACCAAGACTACATTTCTCTCAAATTCTTATTGTTCTGCCCTTCACTTCTTTCATGGTCACAAAATTAATGCCAACAGCAACTTAGTAATGCCTTCCTTATTATGTTTCATAAAGCTTGTGATAAAGTGCTTATCTTTCCATTTGATTGGACCAAATTATATGATATATTTATCCCTGCTCCAATAACTTTCACCAAGAGATGGTTTTGTGCTAATTGACTTAAACCTGGATTTTTTTAAGACAAACAGTGTCAAGGGGAAGAGAATTAAAGGAATTAAATTAATTGGATTAGACTAATCAATGCCCTTTCCTGGGCATAGGGTTAAGTCTTAGGACCACATTGCTGTTTACAACCAGCCTTAACAAGGAGGGGATAGAATATATATTGGGACACTAACCACAATGTTCAAATGAGTGAATAACATCTTGTTAATATCTATCTCAGCATCTGAAATTCTGCCTGGATGTTCATCCCCATGAAGCTAATCACACCTCCAAGTGGAAGTTGACTAACCTTATATTTAGACTACTTAGGTGTCTTTATTTCTTCAATTTCTTATAAGACTGTGCTAATTCCGACCCAAGATAAGCTGATTATTAAAGGATGTGTTAACAAAATAATTATTTCTGAAAAAAATGTTGCAGTCTTGTGTTCATTGATTTATAATACCTTGTGAAATTACTATTAAAAGAGACAATAAGGAATTACCTGATAATATACAGTCTATTAAATCTCCTGGAAATTCTAAAGACTGACCTAATTATAACTAGAGGAAAAACAACCCTGCCTCATCTTAATGCCTATAAAGTGTTTAAGGATGACAGATGTTCCAGAATTCCAGAGCAGGAACAAAAGGAGTGTTTGCTTAAGGCAGAGTCTCTGCATTCATTTTCTTGGTAACATTATGTTTTCATTAACTGCAGTTTGTGTTTCATGCTTCTGCATTGTACAAGACAAGCACAGTAGCATGTCTAAATGCCCCTGGATTGTATTTCTTATCTATTCTCCCAATCTTTATCATCTGCACTTTTGTATTTTTTCTGAAATTATATTGCTGTGGTTTGAATGTGTCCCCCAAAGTTCATGTCATGGAAACAACTCCCAATGCAATGGTATTAAAAGGTGGGGCCTAATAAGAGGGGATCAGGTCATGAGGGCTCTGCCTCATGAATAGATTAATATCATTATCTTGGGAGTGGGTTAGCTATCATGAGAATGAGTTCCTTATAAAAGAGAATTTAGCCTCATCTTCTGCTCCCTCTCAAGTGTGCCATCTGGTCCTTCTGCTTTCCACCATGGGATGATGCAGCAAGAAGGTCTTCCAGATGTGGCCCCTTGATCTTAGACTTCCCATCCTCCAGAGCTGTAAAAACTAAATCTCTGTTCTTTATAAATTACCCACTCTCAGGTAACTCTCTCTGCTATAGCAATACAAAACAGAATGTGACATACATTGTCTGCATTTTGTTTCTAAGTTAATTCTACAAGTTGAATATCAATTAAAAGATTTTATTTTATTATGACTTTCCAATTATATTTTGCTACAGAGTTAAAGAGTATCTTGTAATGAAATTTTCTTTTTTATATAGCATTTAATTTTTATGTAGAAGTTTCTAACCATTGTTTTAAATCTAGCACTGTCTGCCTTTATCAAATTATTTCGTTATTTTAATGCCTTGGTAACATTTTCTAAACCATGTGATATGTTCTCTTTCTCTTTCTCTTTCTGTCTCTTCAGATACCCTATTCTCTGAATTATCTGTTCTATTTCCAACATTTACTAATTGTTATTTTTGCTACATTGTAGGTATTAAATTAAAACTTCACTTAATTTTTCTTTTCCTGGATCACTGGCTCCCATGTTCAATCTTCCTTGGTTTCTGCACGTATTTTGCTAGAATACATTCTCAGGGAAACTTTTTAGTTCAAATATGTCTCACAATAACTTTCTTTGACACTTCCACTATATCGATAATATCAGTAGGTTTAGAATTTTAAGTTGAAAATAATTTTCCTCAGAGCTTTAAAGGCATTGATCTAATGCTTTCTAGCATCAATATGTTAGTAAGATATATGGTGTTGATCTGATTCTTTTATCATATAAAGTATCTGTCCTAACATAATATTCTCTCTCCTCTTTTCTATCTTCCTTTCTCATCTCCTCCACCTCCTTCATATATAATATATATATGATTATATATAATATATATATAATCTGCATTCTGTCTCTAAGTTAATTCTACAAGTTGATTATCTATCATCTATATTTTTTGTAATCTCTACATCAATATTCTCTATTTCTTATGGCAAAACATCCCACAACCAAATACTTACCTTCTATGTACTTATATAATATATATATTTCAGAAACCATCTTTTTTTCATAATAGCACTTTATATTCTCTCCATACCCATTTTATTGTATTACTTTCCTATTTTATGGATATGTAAATATGTGTCTGTCAATATTACATAGGTTTTTGTTCAGTTATCTTCCTTAAAATTTCTCTTTTCAACTGAGACGAGAAGTCTAGTTTGCAGTTTGTTTTTCTTGGACTTTATCTTTATAATGCAGAAGCCTGATGATCCTTGTTTGCCTTTTTCTGTTTAGTGAACAATAGGATAGTGCAAATTAAAAGTGTAAGGGCAGAGCTGTTAACTTAACCAAACTTACTTTGGAAGGAGTCAAGAAGAAACTGACACAGAACTGTCAGACTCCCAAATGATAAAATGCAGAAGTCATTACTCGGAGGTGTCAATACCCCAGAATATTTGTGCTAGTTTTCCTCAAACTTATTTTTACAGAAGAATCTCATGCTGTTTATTCTGTCAGGACATGAGTACTTGGTTGTGGGATGTTTGCCTTAAGAAATAGAGAATATTGACATAGAGATTACTAAATGTCTGTTTATCCCATCCTCTACATTTCACTCTCTAATGTTCTTGAAGTTTCTGAGTTGAGAAATGTATTGAGAAATTCTATCCTCTGCCTCCTTTCTTGTAATTACTTCTTCATATATTCTAGGCTTTGTCTTCATGGCTTTTTCTCTTTAGTCACATCTCATTGATCTATTTTTGTCATCATAAATGTTAAAATTCATCATCTAATGTTGTTCCTGTTCTCATTCTATTCATCATTATGAATTTATGCATTTTTAGCCCATTACTGTTATTTAATTTGAGTCACACAGAAGCAGCATGTAAACATGTGTGCTCAATCCTCCCTCTTGAATGAGAGGTAGTCTTCACATAGTAAACAACTCAGTAAGTTGTTTTATTGTATGTTATCTCTATTAACAATTTTAAATCACATTTGGTACAAGATGTGTTATTCAGGAACATATAAAAAATTTGCACATATACATAAACATACATATACCCATATATGCTGAAGGGTTGTTTTCTGATGCCAGGGTTAAAATTCAAATCTATGTCTTTAGAATATGTTTCAAAGAGGAAGAACATTGGGTCCGAGTCTTCAGGGTAAGTTACTATAATAAGAAAGAGTAGCCCTGGATATTATTCTTTGTGTTGAAGGAAGGACTGTGGAAATTCAAAGGATTCAAAATTTAGAGAACAACCTAAGCACAATCAGTATTGAGGAAGAGGCTTACAGGTAAGAGAGGAGAGTAATTCTAGACATTATCAGTACTCAAAACCCAAAGATTTGAATTTTGATGCCAATAATCAAATTATGTAGGTGTGTGGCCTGGAGCAGAACATGTAACTCTCTGACCCTCAATTCTTTCTTTTGTTAAACAATGACGATACTTCAGAGTTGAGTATTAAATGAGATAAATAAAAACACAACACAAACCTGGAGGCAAAAATAGATGCTTAATTACAAGTTCAATTTCTTTCTTCTATTATTTTATTATAATTTGTTAATGTCTGGCATGGGACATTATGTCCCATGTTATCTTAGCCAGCTTTAATTCTCTTTAATAGCCCTTAAACTTTTTCTCTGTCACCTGGTTGTTAACAGCTTGATGGTGTGATCATTACTGAAACTATAGTATTTACTCCAAGTTCTACACAAAAACCAAGGACCCTCTTCTTTTCTCCTGAGTTTAAATGATCATTTAAGGTGTTTCTACAAATAAATTTAAATTATAATATTAATGTCATTTGCTAAGCAGTTATCAGTAGATTATTATAGAATCATGTTGAAGCATACACTAAACAGCACTGCCACACTATGCTTGGAGGCCATTTTAAACAACAAAGTCACTAACAAATTGCACAAAAGTACTAAAAAAAATGTGGCAGTAAATAGGCTGCAAAAAAAATACCTCTTTATTTAATTTTATATTTTCTTCATTTTTTTTTTTATTTATTTACTTCTTTTTTGAGACAGAGTCTCACTCTGTTGCCCAGGCTGGAGTGCAGTGGCACAATCTTGGCTCACCACAACCTCCGCCACCCGCATTTAAGTGATTCTCCTGCCTCAGCCTCCCAAGTAACTAGGATTATAGGCGCACACCACCACCCCTGACTAATTTTTGTATTTTTAGTAAAGACGGGGTTTCACTATGTTGATCAGGCTGGTCTCGAACTCCTGACCTCGTGATCCACCTGCCTTGGCCTCCCAAAGTGCTGGGATTACAGGTGTGAGCCACTGTGCCCAGCCTTCATTTTTATTTTTTAATTTTTTTGGTTACATAGTAGGTGTATATATTGATGGGGTATATTTTGATACAGGCACACAACGTATAATAATCACATGGGGGTAAAAGGGGTATCTGTCACGTAAACATTTTAACCTTTGTGTTAAGAACAATCCAGTTATACTCAGGTATTTGAAAATATATAATTAATTATTTGCTATTGTCACTCTGTTGTGCTATCAAGTGCTAGACCTTATTCATTCTTTAAAAAAATTTTTACCTTTTTTTTGAGGTTCGGGGTTACATGTGCAGGTTTCTTATACAGGTAAACTCATGACTCGGGGGTTTGGTGTACGGATTATTTCATCCGCCATGTACTAAGCATGGGACTTGATAGGTTTTTTTGTTATTGCTGTTGTTGTTATTCTGATCCTCTCCCTCCTCCCACCCTCCGCCCTCAAGTAGGCCCAAGGGTCTGTTGTGTCTGTTTCTCCTGCACTTTCTTTCAATGTGTGCTCATTATTTAGCTTCCACTTACAAGTGAGAACAGGAAGCATTTGGTTTTCTGTTCCAGTGTTAGTTTGTTAAGGATAATGACCTCCAGTTCCATATATATTCCTGTAAAAAACATGATCTAGCTCTTTTATGGCTGCATAGTATTCCATGGTGCATACATACCACACTTTTTTTTTTTTATCCAATCTACCATTGGCAGTTAGGTTGGTTTCATGTCTTTGCTATTGTGAATAGTTCTGCAGTAATCATATGTGTGCATGTCTCTTTATGGTGGAATGATTTCTATTCCTTTGGGTATATACCCAGTAGTGGATTGCTGGGTAGAATGGTAGTTCTTTTTTTTAATAATATGAAAGCTGAAACAAGATCAAGTATTTTCTTCAACCTATGCTGAGAATGTGCACAGCCACTAAAATTTTTTGACACTTTGCTTATGTCAGCAAATGGCTGAAAAAGTACTGCAAGTATTGATTTGGGGATACAAATAAATTTTAGCAAGTAAGCCAATTCACAAATAGACAATCTGGGAATGACGACGATTGACTACATCCTTGTAATAAAAACAATAGTGCACATTTATCCATCAGCACTGTTCTCTCTTCTAAGATAATAGATTTATCATGCATAAAATTGACTTAATAGCTATATAGTATTAAGAAGGACTAAATTGTTGGTGGGGCAGCAACAATGGAAGCTGGAAAAATATATTGAGAGTCTATTCTTAAGGCATGGCATCCCAAGCTTGGTCTTCTTTAACATAAGTTATCACTGGAAACACTATTACTTCTCTCTCCACAGAGCTATGTCTTTCTGTACTTACCCAGAAACATCTCAGTAGATACAGATAATTAATTTGGATTGTAGGCTAATTCAGAAATGTACTAAGCTCAAGTTTACATCTGCACAGTAGAAGACAATTGTAAAACAATCTATATATTTTTTGTCACAGCACTAGTTAACAAATTAAGGAAAAATCATGTTTCTAGCACTTTGAAACTTATGTACTAGCAGAAATATTTCTAATGAACTAAAACTTAGATGTCAATGCTCTACTCCAATTACAAAAAATAAGCAGCCTAAGGTTTCCACAGGGCAAAACTCTTTGTTACCATAGTCTGGAGTGTTACATCTTCCTAATAGCTAGAATCTTGAATTAACATAATTGCATATTTTCTGCCATTGCTCTTAGAACTTCTTTATGCAAACAGCTGGGATAAATGTGTCCTAGATTTGCTTGCACTCCACTCCAAAATATTACACTGATCTTAGGCATTGTATCTTTTAACTAATAGGTTTCCTATTTGATTGAAGAACTAGGAAGCACAAATTGATTTTAAGAGTATTTCACAATTGTAAAATATATTCTGTTACATAAATATTTTCTGATTTTTCTCACAGTTATTTTTTAATTTCTGCCTTGAATGTTTTCTTTTTACAATTTGGATTTTGTTCCTTCTGTTTTAAGTTGTATTTTTTTCTTATAATTTCAGCTTTTATTTTAGGCATGGGAGTACATGTGTAGATTTGGTACATGGGTGTATTGATCAATGCTGAGATTTGGGATATGGATTCTGTCACCCAGGTAGTAAGCATAGTATTCAAAAGGTAGTTTGTCAACCCATGGCCCCTCCCTCTCCCCTCTAGTAATCCACAGTGTCTATTGTTTTCATCTCTATGTCCATGTGTACTCAAGGTTGAGCTCCCGCTTTTAAGTGAGAACATGTGGTGTTTGGATTTCAGTTCTTGCATAAATTTGCTTAAGATAATGGCCTCCAGTTGCACCCATTTCCTGCAGAGGACATGATTTCATTCTTTTATTATGACTGCATAGTATTCCCTAGTGCATATTTTTTTTACTCAGTCTACCAGTGATGAGCACCTAGGTTGATTTAATGTCTTTGCTATTGGGAATACTGCTAAAATGAACATATGAGTGCATGCGTATTTTTGATAAAATGATTTATTTTCCTTTGGATGTAAAGCCAATAATGGGACTGCTGGTAGCTCTGTTTTAAGTTATTTAAGAAATCTCCAAATATATTTCCAATGTGGCTGAACCAGTTTGCATTCCCATCAACAGTATATAATTGTTCCCCCTCCTCCACAGCCTCAACACTTTCTATGGCTTCTTGAATTTTTAATAATCACCATTCTGACTGCTGTGAAATGTTATCTCATTGCGGATTTGATTTGCATTTCTCTGATAATTAGTGATGTTGAGCATTTTTTCATATTTTTGTTGGTTGCTTGTATGTCTTCTTTTTTGCCCACATTTTAATGAGGTTATTCATTTTTGCTTGTTGAATTCTTTAAGTTTCTTAAATATTTAATATATTAGACCTTTATTGGATGCATAGTTTGTGAATATTTTCTCCTATTCAGTAGGTTTTCTATTTAATTTGTTAATAGTTTCTTTTGCTGTGCAGAAACTCTTTAGTTTAATTAGGTCCCACTTGTCAATTTTCATTTTAGTTGCAATTGCTTTTGGGTACTTAGTCATAAATTACCTCACAAAGACTATGTACACTATGGTGTGTCCTAGATCTTCTTATATCTATAGCTTAAAGTATTATATTTAAATCTTTAATCCATTTAAGTTTTTTATATGGTAAAAGGTAGGAGTCCAGTTTTATTTTGCATATGGCTAGCTAGTTATTTCAGCAGCATTTATTGAATAGGGAGTCCTTTCCCCATTACTTGTTTCTGTCTGTTTTGTCAAAGATCAGACGATTGTAGGTGTGTGACTTTATTCCTGGGTTCTCTGCTCTCTTACCCTGGTGTATAGATCTGTTTTTGTACTAGTTCCATGCTGTTTTGGTTACTGTAGCATTATAACAGAGTTTGAAGTTGGGTAGTGTGATGCCTCCAGCTTTGTTCTTTTTGCTTAGGGTTGCTTTAGTTGTTCAGGATCTTTTTGGGTTCCACATGAATTTTAAAATAGTTTTTTTCTAATTCTGTGAAATATGATGTTGTTAGTTTGATAGGCATAGTGTTGAATCTGTACATTACTTAAGAAATATGGCCATTTTAATGACACTGATTCTTCAAATTCATGAGCATGGAATGTTTTCTCATTTATGTGTGTTGTCTCTGATTTAATTCAGCAGAGTTTTGTAGTTCTCCTTGTAGAGATCTTTAACCTCCTTGTTTAGCTGTGTTCCTAGGTTCCTGGGTTTTTTTTTTTTTTGTGGCTATTGTAAATGAGATTGTGTTCTTTATTTGACTCTCAACTTGATCATTGTATTTTGTTGGTGCAAAAGTAATTGTGGTTTTTGCCATTACTTTTAACTACTTTTGCACCAACTTAATATTTGTCCATTCTCATACTGCTATAAAGAAATACCTGAAACTGGGTAATTTATTATAAAAAAGGTTTAATTGACTCAAAGTTCTGCAGGCTATACAGGAGGCATGGCTGGGGAGGCCTCAGGAAACTTATAATAATGGTAGAAGGAAAAGGGGAAAGAAGGAGGCATGGTCGTCACATGAAAGGCAAAAGAGAGAGTGAAGGGGAAAGTGCTACACACTTTTAAACAAAGAGATCTCATGAGAACTCACTCACTATAATGAGGATAGCAATGGGGAAATCCACCCCCCTGATCCAGTCACCTCTCATTAGGGCCCTCCCCCAACACTGGGGATTACAGTTCAACATGAGATTTGGGTAGGGACACAGATCGAAACCCTATCATTCTGCCTCTGGCCCCTAAATATTCTCATGTCCTTCCTACATTCCAAAATCAATCATGCCTTCCCAGCAGTCCCCCAAAATCTTAACTAATTCCAGCATTAACTCAAAAGTCCAAGTCCAAAGTCTAATCTAAGATGATGCAAGTCCCTTTCGCCTATCAGTCTGTAAAATCAAAAACAAGTTAGTTACTTCCAAGATACAGTGGGGGTACTGGCATTGGGTAAATTGCCCTTTTGCAAAAGGAAGAATTTGGCCAAAACAAAGGGACTATAGGCCCCATGAAAGTCTGAAATTCAGCAGAAAGTAAAGCTCCCAAATAATCTTTGACCCCATGTCTCACATCCAGGGCACAGTGATGCAAGGTATGGCCCCCATGGTCTTGGACAGCTCTGTCCCTGTGGCTTTGCAGTATACAGTCCCTGTGGCTGCTCTCACAGGTTGGTGTTGAGTAACTGCAGCTTTTCCAGATGGACAGTGCAAGCTGTTGGTAGATCTACCATTCTAGGCTCTGGAAGATGGTGGCCCTCTTCTCACAGCTCCACTAGGCAGTGCCACAGTGGGGACTCTGTGGTGGCTCCAGCCTCACATTTCCCCTCCATAATACCCTAGTAGAGGTTCTCCATGAGGGTTCTCCCCACTACAGAAGTCTTCTGCCTGGAAATCCAGACATTTCCATATATCCTCTGAAATCTAGGTAGAAGCTCCCAAGCCTCAATTCTTGCCTTCTTTGCACCCACAGGCCCAACACCACATGGGAGCTACCAAGACTTGAGGCTTGCACCTTCTGAAGCAATGGCCTGAGCTGTACCTTCACCCCTTTTAGCCACAGCTGGAGTGGCTGGGACACAGGACACCAAGTCCCAGGCTGCACATAGCAGAGGGTCCCTGGACCTGGCCCCTGAAATCATTTTTCCCTCCTAGGCCTCCAGGTCTGTGATGGGAGGGGCTACCATGAAGGTCTCTGACAAGCCCTGAAGACATTTTCCCCATTGTCTTGGTGATTAACATTTGGGTCCTCATTACTTATGCAAATTTCTGCAACTGGCTTGAATTTCTCCCCAGGAAATTGTTTTTTCTTTTCTACCACATGGTCAGCCTGCAAATTTTCCAAACCTTTACGCTCTGCTTTCCTTGTAAACATAAGTTTTAATTTCTGACTCTCTCTCTCTCTGAAGTTCAAAGTTCCACAGATCTCTAGGGCAGAGGCAGAATGCTGCCAATCTCTTTGCTAAAGAATAGCAAGGGTCACCTTTATTCCAGTTCCCAAAAAGTTCGTCATCTCCATCTGAGACCACTTCAGCCTGGTCTTGATTTTCCATATCACTATCAGTATTTTGGTCAAAGCAATTCAACAAGTCTTTAGGAAGTTCCAAACTTTCTGACATCTGCCTGTCTTCGGAGCCCTCCAAGTCTCTAGGAAGTTCAAAACATTCCCACATTTTCCTGTCTTCTTCCGAGTCTTCCAAACTATTCCAACCTCTGCCTGTTACCCAGTTCCAAAGTCACGTCCACATTTTTGGGTATCTTTATAACAGCACCCCACACCTGGTACGAATTTACTGTATTAGTCTGTTCTCTCGCTGCTATGAAGAAATACCAGAGGCTGGGTAATTTATAAAGAAAAGAGGTTCAGTTGACTCATAATTCTGCATATATGGGGAGGACTCAGGAAACTTACAATCATGTGAGTAGGCACCTCTCCACACAGTGGCAGGAGAGAGAATGCATGCTGAGCAAAGGGGGAAACCCCTTATAAAACCATGAGACCTCTTGAGAGCTCACTCGCTATCATGAGATCAGCAAGGGGGAAACTGCTCCATGATTCAATGATCTCTGCCAGGTTCCTCCCATGACATGTGGGGATTATGGGATTACAATTTCAGGTAAGAT
The DNA here is from genome assembly GCF_000001405.40 of Homo sapiens. Taxonomy (NCBI): domain Eukaryota; kingdom Metazoa; phylum Chordata; class Mammalia; order Primates; family Hominidae; genus Homo; species Homo sapiens. The sequence continues at coordinate 52,631,496 of NC_000017.11, read as the reverse complement.
TTGGGTAGGGACACAAAACCAAACCATATCAGGTGTATATATATTTTGATATTTAATCTTTTCATTGAATTTTTCCCTTATCATTGTGTCATGCCTCTCTTTGTCCTTCTTCTTTACTGTTGATTTGAAGTTCCTTTTGTCTACTGTAAGAATAATGACTCATACTCATTTTTTGTTTTCTGTTTGCATGCTAGATCTTTCTCCATTTCTTTTCTTTTGACCTGTGGGTGTCATTAAATGTGAGATGGGTCTCTTGAAGGCAGCAGACAGTTGGACAGTGTTTTTATTCCAGCTTGCTACTCTATGTCTTTTAAGTGGGGTATTTAGACCATTTACATTCAAAGTTACTATTAATACGTGAGATTTGGATCCTGTCATCATGTTGTTAGCTGGTTATTTTGTAGACTTGATTGTGTAGTTGCTTTATACTGTCTGTGCACTGTGCTTTAGTTTTTGTGGAAGCAGGTGTCATTATTTCATTTCCATGTTTAGCACTCCCTTGTAAGGCTAGTTTTAGTTGTAACAGATTCCCTTAGTGTATGATTGTCAAAAAAGGGTTTAATTTCTCCATTGCATATGATGCTTAGTTTTGCAGGATATGAAATTTTTGGTTTGAATGTCTTTTCTTTAAGGATATTGAAAATAGGTTCCCAATCTCTTCCGGCTTTTAAAGTTTCTTTTGAAAGGTCCGCTGCCAGCCAGATGGGGTTCCCTTTGTATGTGACCTGAGCCTTCTTGCTAACTGCCTTTAAGATTTTTTCTTTCACATTGACCTTGGTGAATCAATAACCATGTGGCTTGGAGACAAACATCTTGTATAGTATGTAGCAGGATTTTCCCGCATTCTTTTTTCTTTACTTTTCAGTTGATTTGTAGAACTGGTTATCAAGCTCTGAGATTCTGTCTTCAGCTTAGTTTATTCTGCTGTTAATACTTCTGGTGGTATTATGATGTTCTTGTAAATGTTTCAGTTTCAGAAGATCAGTTTAGTTCTTTCTTAAAATGGCTATTTCATTTTTCAGATCTTGAATCCTTTTACTGGATTACTTGGATTTCTTTGATTGGACTTCAACTTTCTCTTGAATCTTGATGAGCTTCCTTTCCATCCAGATTCTGAATTCTATGTCTGTCACTTAGTCATTTTAGTCTGCTTAAGAATCATTGCTGGGGAGCCAGTGGGCTCATTTGGATGTAAGGGGAGACTGGTGTTTTTAATTGCCAGAGTTCTTATGCTGATTCTTTTTCATCTAAGAGGGTTGGTGTTCCTTTTATTGTAATGTAAGTTGAGTATAGTCAATTGACTTCATTTTGAGTGCTTTCAAAGGGTCAAGTTTCTGAACAGGCTGTTAATTGGTGTCTGGATTCTTGCCATTGGTTTCACAGGGTTGTATACTGGAAGAATATTTTTGATAGTGTTGTTTGGGCTGTGATCCAGTGGGTGGCACCTAAAAGTAATGGCTGGCAGATAGGCTCTTAATCAGCCACATGGCTCTTTCATATTTCCTCATGTTTGCAGTCATGCTCTGTGGTGGTGGGGAGAGAGATGACCCTTGCACAAGGTCCACTCCTGGCCTTGAAGGAGCCCCCTCTAATCAATGGCATTATTCCCATGTTTGCTTTGTTAGCTGTTCTGGGCTATGGGACTCCCTCAGGCAGAGGCCATGGCAGGGAGATAGGCCACACCCTTCATAGACCAGCATTGTGGAGGAAGCTACACACTGCTTGCATGCCAACCCACAAACCCATGCATCTCACCCCTCTCAGTGTTCTGAAAGTAGAGGCACCCTCCCTTTCTGAAGTGTTGGCCGCAGAGCTTGGCTTGGCACTCTCAATTTGCAGAACATAGCCCTAGGGCATTGGGACCAGCCTGTGGCTTTTACTGCTGGATCTTTGGGATTGGGCTCCATCTGTGCTGGAGGATCTGAAGTGCTCCCAGCATGCTAGGAAGGTACTTAGGTGGAGCAAAGTGTCCAGACTGTGCGGTGTACATGTTCCTGCAGGGTGGCCAGGCTGGGGTTGTGGGAGGGGCTGAAGGACAGAAGTACCTGCAGAACATAGGTGCCCCAGTCTAGTGAGGAAGCTGGCCCCAGTTTGTCCTGGACCATTGGTCAGCTGAGGCTAGAGCTACTTAAAGGGAGATGGGGAACCCTTGGGGATGGGCACCTATGGCCATGCTCTGCTGCAGATGCCCTGCACACAAAAGTCCCTGGGCTCCACATCAGCTGAAGCCCTGTCTCTGCCTACTTTCCAGGTGGATTCTCCTGCCAGTTCAAATGTTCATGGGAGATATGGGATCCTCTGTAGCTAGGACCCCAGAGGTCTGCAGCAAGAGCGGGTTGTCCCTCTGTCCCTTCCCTCACCCGTTACCCAGGAGCTGTTCAGGACTGGAAACTATCCCTAGCATTTGAGTACCACTCACAGGGCTCCCACCTTTCTCTCTCTTCAGCCTTCATGTCTATGTCACTTCTCTATAGACTCTTGGTGTTTCATCTGCAAAGATATGCTCAAAGTGTGTTGGTTTTCTTAGTATTTTGGTCTCTGTCTGTGTGAGCGGCATTTCCTGGCTGCATCTAGTCAGCCATCTTGCCCCCTCTAACTTGAATGCATTCTAGTTTGTATTCTATTCTGTAATAAGCATGATAAACAGCCACAGCCATTTTTCTGAAATGAAGATGGACATCTTTAATTACTTTGATAATATTAATACCAATAAAGTGGTATTTATATTAAAATAGTCAATAAATAGCATATTTTAGTAATGTGTATTTTTATTATTATTAAAATAGTTATATTTTATTGTATATAGTTCTAAATTAGTATTTACAGAGTTGCATATAATCATAATTTGTCATCGAGAATTCATGAAAATGTTGTCCAACAAAGAAAGCCTTTGTTTACCATTAGAAAACCGTATTCCATGAGAAATATAGTTTTAAATCTTGGGCTCATGTTACCTAAGAAAATTGCTTCCTTCAGCAAATTTGTATGGAAACTGAGACTTATGGGAGAAATATCTGACTCACTGATCCCATCTGAAGAGGATTTGTGGACATAGGTTCATTGAGTCCAATAGCAGATAGAATTAAATTTTAATTTCCTCTCTCTCTTTGAATCAGTGTAAATTACACACACACACACACACACACACACACACACACACACACACGTTGAGTATCTCTTATCCAAAATACTTGGAACCAGAGTATTTTGGAGGTTGGATTTTTTTTCAGATTTAGGAATATTTGTATATACATAATAAGATATATTGGGGATAGGATCCAAGTCTAAATGCAAAATTTATTTGTATTTCATATATACCTTACACATATAACCTGGATGTAACTTTAAACTATATTTTTAATAATTTTGTGCATGAGTAAAAGTTGTGTTAAGTACTTATTTGTGGAATTTTTCACTTATGACATGATGGTAGGGCTCAAAATGTTTCAAATTTTGAAGCTTACCAGGTTTCAAATTCTTGAATTAAAGATGCTCAACCTGATATACATATTTAACTGAAATATACATTGGTGGAAGGGAAGGATTTTGTTGTGCTTTTAATCACTGATGTCCTCTAGTAGCTAGAACAATGCCTGTCACATAGTTGAGATTCACATTTTATTAAATGCATGGGTGCAACTCTATAGTATGTATAAAATAATGCCTACACAAAAGTGAATAAATTAATTTCCAGTCTCTTCTGCAAGAAGAAAATTGACTAGCCTATTTAAAATGTGTTTTTAATGGTTTAAACATGTTCAAAACCAAAGACACAAACCAGAATACATTAACCTGACAATATTAAAAGGTGCTACTTTTCATTTAGTTGTGTCTATCAAATATATAGTCAGAGAAATCACCTAAATGAACTCATCCTCATAGAGTTAGCCTTACACTTTCAGACAAACTTATTTAAAAAAACTTCATGATCTTGGGTCAAAGAGTTCTTCGACATGACACCATAAGAATGACTCAGAAAAGTAAAAAAAAAAAAAAGATGATAAATTGGACTGGGAAAAAATTTCTGCAAATCATATATCTGCCAAATGACTTGTATCAAGCATGCATAAAGAACTCAAAACTCAACAGAAATAAAACAAATTTTTAAAAAGTAGGTAAAATATTTTAATTAAAGAAGGTATATGAATGGCAAATAAGCACAAGAAAAAATGTTCAACATTGTTAACCATCAGGGAGAAGTAAATTAAAATCACAATGAGGTACAATGACAGACTTATAAGAATGGCCAAAAAAAAAAAAAAAGATAAAACAACACAAAGGTTGGCAAAGATGTAGAACTACTGAAAAAGCATGAAGTGTTAGTGAGAATGTAAAATGATTCAGATATTTTGGAGAATGATTTTGTCATGTTTCTCTTAAAGTTATAATATGCACCTATATATGACCTAGCAATCCCATTCCTAGGTATTTATTCTAGAAAAAAAAAACCCTTATGCTCACACAGAAACATGTACATGAATATTTATAGCAGCTCTATTAAAAATTGCAGAAACTGGAGACCACCGTAATGACCTCCAACGGGTGACTGTATAAACACACTGTGGTATGTCCATGAAAAGGAATTTTACTTGGTAATAAAAATGCAATAACTGGGATGAATCTCATTTTGTTGTGTAGAAGAAACCAGTCTCAGTGTCACATACTGTATGATTCACTTTAAATGACTTTGTTAAGAAGACAAAATGTAGTAATAGAGAGCATTAGTACTTGTCAAGGGATCGGGTGAAAAAGTGGTGTGATTAAGAAATACTAGCATGAGCATGTGTTTGGGAGTGATATAAATATTATGTATCTTTATTGTGGTGGTGGATACGCAAATCTATACATGTGCTAAAATTTACAGAGATATACACACCAAAAAGTCAAGTTGACTAATTTTGGGGATTTCAAAAAAACAACACACAAAGACTTAAAAAAAAAAAAAAAAAAAAAAAAAAAAAAAAAAAGGAAAAGTTTGGGCATCTTTGGAGAAGCAGGACTTGCCCTGGAATTAAAACTTAAGAGAAAGTTTCTCCCATGAAGTTTCTTTAAGAAAACACTGTGCTGAAGTTAACAACAGGCAAATAAATTCCTATTCAATTTATGTGGCTCAGCATTCGCCAAACCAGGAATATAGTACAATCAATTTATATTAATGAATCTTGGTAGCTCTAGGTCTCCTTCTGCTTCTATTGGAATTTTGGGTCCTGAAAAAATGTCTTTTTTCCTCAAATATTTATAATCATTCATCTTTTCATTTGGAAAGCTGTTCTAGTGGTTGCTCAGATTTGACACTAGCAAAGTCAGGCCTTGATCATGTGCTATACCAAGATGAGCTGCATGCATGAGCCTAATGGCAACTGTCTCAGTGATATTTCAGTCAATGTCCTGCTATCAAAGTAGCTAAGATTATGGGACAGTCAGTCAACAGGTGTCACATAAATGCCCTGGAGCACTGAGGTTCTGACTCACTCCTTTTATCTTTGTGACTCTTCAGGGGTACTGCCATCCCTCTGCAGCCTGGTTTCTGTTGCCTACCTAAACCCACACCATAATTTCACCAGATTTGGTTTCTTATTATTGAACCCCAACTACGATCAAATTTATCTCCTTTCTTTTTCTGAAGAGGCTTCTCAGGCACTGTGCAAATCATAGTGACAATTACTATGAATCATTGTGTGAAATGAGGAATGTCAGCTAATTCCAAGGGTAAGTTTTGTACAGCTCCTTTAATAACATTCCTCAATGCAAACTGAGATTGTACTTATTTTCATTTAATGTATAAGTTACATATTTAATGTAACTTATAAGTTACATTAAAATACAATGCAGAGCAATCAATCGAAAGAGATCACTCTCTAAGATCACAAGAGTTAATTCAGTGTACCAGTTTGTAGAACACTGAGAAGACTGAATGGATTTCACATCCTTTAGGTAATTCTCCTGAACTGTTTGTAACTGGGCTTTAGGTGAGGGTTGGGCAGCTGCAGTGGAGAATTTTAAATTATATGTTCTGGCAAGGACCAAGAGTGTACAATGACTATAGGGTCAATTACAGAAGTAGCTGTGCTTTGAGAAATAAACCAAAACAAAACTCTAGCAACTCCATCTCAATAGATGTGAGTGAAGAAAGACATAAAAGGCAACTTCGTGATATTTTTTAGAAATGTATTGCTGAGTCCCTCAAAAGCTGTATCAGAAGTAGCAAAAAGTGTTGTGGAATATTAGGAATCAGTACAGTGTGGTGATTGAGAAATCACCCTGAGGATTCAGCCAGAACTTAGTTGGAATCAGTCTCAGATGCTTGTTGGCTAAATTAATATGTTAATAGATTACCTTGGCAACTAGTTAATTATTTTATGTTTTACTTTCTCTATGTGAAAAGTGACAATAATAATAGTAACATCAGCCTACATTGGTTAAGACTTATTTGAAATATGCACATATAGCCCTTCATATAATGGTATGGATAAAATACGTGCTAAATAAATATTAGCAAATACCATTACAAACCCATACATCCAGAGTCTTGTGATCCAATTAACTTTGGAAATATTGGGGTAGATTAATTTTAGAAGGCTTTAAAAATATTTTTCAGGACCTTTTAAATGTGAATGTGCATTGTGAATCTGTGAGAAGGTGGAAGTGTGTAGCATTTCTCAAAATGAGTTGAACACAATACTTATTTCTCAGAGCATACCAAAAGAACTAGGGTGCCATGGAAGCTACTTTAATAAATACTATTGCTTTCTCTAGGAGTTTGCTATAAAATTTTATCAAAGTGGCCATTTTGACATAGCAATTTTGATATGATCATTTTAATAAAAAATATAAGGCTTGACATAATTGCATAAAAATGACTTTTGTTTTAATTACAATGTAATGTGCACAGACCATATTCCTGATCCTCCCCCATTACAATAGCCACCTTCTACTTTATTAATTTCCATGTAATTTTGAAATTTTTTAGTCTGTATTAGTTTTATACCCCAGAAAAATATGTTGTCTAGTTTTATTTAGGTTATGTTATCTCAGTTATCTTAAAACCATCATTTAAAGGTTCACTTATGGCATTGTATTTTTCTGAAACAGCTAAGGAAAACATTTAATTGAAGATTAACTATACAGTTGACAGCTGAATATAAGAAATCTTTTTATGGGCTGGATGCGGTGGCTCACGCCTGTAATCCCAACACTTTGGGAGGCAGAGATGGGCGGATCACCTGAGGTCAGGAGTTCAAGACTAGCCTGGCCAACATGACGAAACCCCATCTCTACCAAAAATACAAAAATTAGCTGGGCGTGGTGGCATGTGGCTGTAATCCCAGCTACTAGGGAGGCTAAGGCAGGAGAATCGCTTGAACCCAGGAGGCGAAGGTTGCAATGGGCTGAGATCACCCACTGTACTGCAGCCTGGGCCACAGAGTGAAACTCCATCTCAAAAAAAAAAAAAGAAAAAAGAAATATTTTTTATGGACACAAATTTTCCCTTCACCTTTTTAGTCCAGTGCCTAATATAGATTCAATCAAACAAAATTACCACAGTTAAGAAGTTTACATAAGCAGATTAATTTGTCCTGTAGATTTTTAAGTGGAAAGCAAAATAAATTCCATTAGTATTCTAAAATTATTATTGGAAAGTAAATAAGTATGACCATCATAATGTTTAAAGAGTAATTAGTGAGTATGAGAGGGAAAATCACTCAGAATAGCAAGTAATTGTTAGGAAATTAGCAAACATTGTGCTTTATATGATTGAAATTCATTTCTGAACTAAGCTGGTGTGGTGCACATGTCTTTGGTTTATACATTATTCGACACTGATGGTGCCAAACTACTACATCCTCCTTCACCCCATCTCTGAGCACATGTCCTTCCTGACCCCTACCAATATGTCTGAGACTCAGTCTAATCCTTATCTCTAACCGACACTATTCCCTCTCTCTAGCCATCTATGTAGCCCAACCTTACCTTCAGGACAACTTCAGGGTCAGGAGTGAGGTTCAGCAATGGAATGAGGTTCAGGAATTATTAAAAATATAAACTTAATATGTTTTTTGGGTTCTGTGACATCACATTCTCCTGTTTTTTCTTATATTTCTCTGATAGTTTCTTTTCAGATTTCCTTGCCACATCATCCGCTCTAATTTCCAATTATTAAGGTTTTTTAAAAAAAGTCCTATGTTCTAGCCTCAAGGACACAAGTATTCCCAATGCACAAGAAAAACAGAGAAAAATTCAAACTGCCATTGCAGCTTCCCACATCCTTTCTGCCTTACATTAGGACATATGGGACATACATAAACCCATATATAATATACATAAAATTTCACTTACGTACTTGTGCATACTTACCAAAAAATGAATCACAAACTTCTGATTTCATACTATGATAGTAATAGAGTTTATGTGATGTTCTCCATAGAGAACATCTTATAGATCAACAGATTTTAGGTTTATTATAAGCCATTCTAGGAATATTAGGTATGTCTCCTAAAATAATTATTATTACACCTAGTTTGGTGAAGAGGAGACTGAGGTATGGAGAGCTTGAGTAACTCGCTTATCATCACATCATCAGTAAGTGGATAAGAAGAAAAAGGTCAACAGCAGGTCTGCAATTTATTCTTTCCCTTTACTGGGGAACATCCCAGGGGAAAAAAAAAGAAAGGTAATATGATCAAATTCCTTGTAAATATGGTAACAATAGGCATGCTGGAAAGCACATGAGTAGTATTTTGTAATGAAAGAATCCTTACCTATGTAATAATAGGTTTTTATTAGGATTAATTAGTATAAGTTAAGCTTCAGAAAAATGCCCAGCACTTGGTGAGTGCTCTCTAAGTAGTAGATATTAAGACAGCTCCAGTCTAAATCTCCTTTCTTAGTTTCAGTTCCACACACCCAAATGTCTGCTTGACAACTTCAGTTAGATATTTTAAGGTAATTCCAAACTCATGCACAAAACTGAGTTCATAATCTCTTCTACCAGTCTCTCAACCCCACCACAGATTCTGCTTCTGCAACAATATTAGTGAGTAACACAGTCCAGTCATTCATCTAACAGCTCATGAAGGAAGCCTTGCAATCATTCAAGAATCCTTCTTTCATATACACCAATACTCAATTTCTGTAGATGGTTGATGCTCAAATATGCCTACTTTTCCCAGAATCCTTTGTCAACACTCAATCCAGACTCTCTTAGGCTCTTACCATAATTACTTAGAATTTCTCCCAATTTGTTTTCCAAATTCGTATGCTCTACCTTTCTCCCAAAGCACAGCTTCAATCATGTTACTTCTCTACTTAAAGTGGTCAATGGTTTCCCATTGCTTTTAGAATATAGACCAAAATCCTCAGTATAGAACTATATCCCTACATCATCTGGGTTCTGCTTCTCTAGGGAGACTCATTTGTGTTTCCTATTTTTTCCTTGCCTCAATTTTTTTTCAATGTCCTGAATGATCCTTTATTCCTAGTGCCTCAGATTTCTCACACATTATGTTCTGTATTTGGAATGATCTCACCAATCTTTGACATAGTTTACTACATTTCATTGTTTTGAGCACAGCATGGACATCACTTTTTCAATAAGCCTTTCCTTGACCCCCAAGAGAAATCGGGTATTTCTATTAGAAATCTGCATTTTCCCTTCATAGCCTGCATGACAGTGAAAATTAAATCATTATGTAATTTTTAGTATAGGTGTTTTTTCCTAGGAAAAGGTAAATTTCATAGAGAAAAAGACTTTGTTCACAACTGTATTTCTGAGGAACCTTAGTTTTTGGCTTTTGGTAAGATAGCATTTTTTTTTTCTTTCTATTTGACAATAGCAAAAATGACATGACTTGCTTTTAGTATTCATAAAACTATTTGTATATGAAAATCATATCAAGGAGGCTGCATGAAAATGTCCTGACTAGAGAAATGTCTTAATATTACATACAGGAATCATGCAATTATTTTGCAATGTAAATGCCTGGCGAATTATCTAGGAAATGTTGATTATATGTAACTGAATTAGTTAATACATTATGTAGAATTTTTGGAGCTAAGTTATATAAATAGTGAAATACAACTGCCCAAGGGATGATTTCTGTTTTCAAAGAGTTGGTCTGAACCACAGATTCTAAGTCATATTTAGTCATATTAAATTACCACCAGTATTTTTAAGTTAAGACAGTATAACTATCATCAGTTTGGATTATAAGTAATATCTTTCTGTCAGCATAGCAGTTGGTCCTGAATCTTGATCTGACAAATATGATTTTCTGTACCTAACATAACCAATATTCTTAAGAAGGCGACAAGATAAGCCATAAACATTTTATAAACCAGTGTCTCAAACGATGTAAATACTCAATTTGCTCATCAATAGTGACTGGCTCTTACAGTTTTAGTGAGGTTTATACTCTGTGGAAGTATCTTTACCCAGGAGCACATTTTGAGCTTATATCATTTGTTCCATCATTGGTTGCTGTACAGAGTCAAAAGCTGAGTAAAACACAGCAGCAAGATGAATACAGTCTAGAAACAATCCCATTATGTTCTTAACACGTTCCTCCATATGGTACTAATAACAGTACTAATCTATTTGCTTAAATTTTGCCTCTTTCTCAGTAATGTGCTGTCCTGAGAAACACAGATTAACAATTTTTTGTAAAGGAAACCAAAATACAATGTAAAGAGTATGTCCAGAAAACTGCTGAATTTATACTTTAGGAAAAATAGATATATCTTTTAGAAAGATTAGCCTCTTACCTGAGACTATACTTAAGTTCTTTATCAATAAAGATGTAAACTGGCAATACTTAAAACCTTTAACTTGAGTAGACACTGAACTATTTAGGTGACAAAAAGTCTCAATTGGACAATTCTTTAAAGTTGAGTTTTATAATCTGGTGTGGTATGATTGCTAGTACCACATCAAAAAGAAATGGAAAACAATACGATTCTGGGCCCCTTTCTTGAGTGTAAATCTGTAATACATGTACCTTTCAATTTCTACAATTTGTTGGAACTAACATGCATATTTTAATATTACAGTCTGTCCACTTATTATGGCAAAGAACAACCACAAATTTCAGGGACTGGAGTTATTCCAGACAGTGGTTTTCTGATTTCCTTAGAGAATTAATTCTGAATGTTTTCAAATGAGTCTCTGATGAGAAAACAAGCAAAAAACAAAAACAAAACAAAAAGGAAAACAACTGCACATACTTATTTCACATGTGTAGAAAGCAGATAACCTCCTCTTGGACAAAGTGTAAAATGAGGACACTCAAGTTTTTGTTTCTTTTGTTGTTGTTGTTGTTTGTTTTTTGAGATGGAGTCTTGCTCTGTTGCCCAGGCTGGAGTGCAATGGCACCATCTCAGCTCACTGCAACTTCCACCTCCCAGGTTCAAGCGATTCTCCTGCCTCAGCCTCCTGAGTAGGCTGGGATTACAGGCGTGTGCCACCATGGCTAATTTTTTGTATTTTTAGTAGAGACAGGGTTTCACCGTGTTAGCCAGGATGGTCTTCATCCCCTGACCTTGTGATCCACCCACCTCAGCCTCCCAAAGTGCTGGGATTACAGGCGTGAGCCACTGCACCCGGCCAAGGTTTTGTTTCTTAAGTGGAGCAGGCTATTTTGTAGAAGGTAGAGACAATGTCTTGGCAGTCAGTAAACTTCATGTACAAATCCAAGTGATCTTATTTGCAGAGTCCTTGAGTAGCATTTTAAATGTTCTTCAACCAAGAATTTACCCATGTTTCAAAGCCTCCTATGTGATCTCAAGATTTATTTTTCTTTGCTTCTCCAAGATGTTTTCAGTTACTTCTCCTTCCAAAATGATTTCCCTAGCTGGCTACTTTACAAGGGAGAAATTTACCTGCCACTCTGAATTAAATTCAAGGAAGACAGTTAAATACACAACCAATTGTTTATCAGACTGATGAAGCAACAGAATCAGCTAGCTCCGTTCTCAGAAGACTCCACATTTTTCATTAATACCAATGCTTGAGGGATAAAACAACAAAGTGATTGATTAAATTCTTCATTCACTTTGCATATGTAGACATTCTCAGTTTCTTACCTTCTCAGGATCAGATTTTGTTTGGTTGTTTTTTTAAAAAAAAATCTGTAACTAAATTATGCACTCTTTTAGGAGTAATCTGTTTTTGAAAAAAAAGTAAATATTTTTGGAGGTTGTGATTGCCATTTTAGGGTGTTCAAGATTGCTGCTTTCTGGCAGTAAATATCCACAGAAGAAGACAAACAAGTTCACATCATGAATCTTCTTGTAGTGTCATAGGACTTGAAAAGATGCTGGCATGTAATCTGTATATAAATTTACTACTTTTATTACTGATAATTATAGCCAAAAATCTTCACAAATCAGTAATGCTTATCACAGATGATGAGTACTATAATCTAACAGTATATTTGTGTGCCTTTATCTAAAAAAAAACAAACTAAACAAACAGACCCCAAAATTCCACAATATATTTCTCTCACATCTTTTTCTTCTATAGAATGAAGAAATAAATCTCTCAGACTACTTAGGAAGAAATTTTACAGGTAGACCATGTACTATGAATGAGAGACTTCTCTGTGGATTTTCTGGGTATGATAGAATCTGTTTTAACGCTTTACAGCTAAATCAGAATAGTTAATAATAAGACAGTGCTAAACCTGTGTCTTCAGGAAGATATAGAAGAAATTCACTCCTAAACCATGAGGGTATCAACACTATGTGGAATCACAAATGAGTCAGAACTTCTTGACCTCTTAGATTATAAAAAGATGAATGTTCTTAGTGGAATGAGGAATTTTGTAACAAAATCCACCCAAACATGTGATGTATATATTGATTTTGTTGATAAAATTCACCAGAGTCCAAATTATCTCCCAGGAAGTCCAAGTAGTGTGGACTTCTCAGTCTAAAGCCTTTGCTTGATTCTCTTATCTCCTATCCTATTGCCCAACTTGATACTGAAATCATGTAAGTGTAGACCTGAAAGAGCTCAAAGGCATTATGAAATCAAAATCTTCCATCCTTATGTTCTCCAATAGTGAAATTTTAGTGACTTTTTGACATAAAATTGATACCAGACCTTATGTCAAGACCATGTGCTCCTTGATTGTACAGTCATTGTCTTATTCATCTACCACTCAGCACCACACCATACACATTGTAGACACTCCATTATTTTTGAATGAACACAGTTAATTAATAAATAACTCCTGCTAGCCAAGTGTGGGGGTTAATATTGTCAACTTGATTGGATTGAAGATGGGAAGTACTGTTCCTGGGTGTGTCTGCGAGGGTGTTGCCAAAAGAGATTAACATTTGGGTCAGTGGACTGGGAAAGGCATATCCACCTTCAATCTGGATGGGCACAATTTAATCAGTTGCCAGGAAGGTTAGAACAAAAGCAGGCAGAAGAATGTGGAAAGACTAGATTGGGTTCCTGCCAGTGGGTTCATGGTATCACTGACTTCAAGAATGAAGCCGTGGACCTTCGCTGTGAGTCTTACAGCTCTTAAAGATGGCACGGACCCAAAGAATGAGCGGTAGCAAGGTTTATTGTGAAGAGCAAAAGGACAAAGCTTCCACAGCGTGGAAGGGGACGTGAGCAGGTTGCCACTGCTGGCTGGGGTGGCCAGCTTTTATTCCCTTATTGTCCCCACCCATGTTCCATTTCCATCCTATCACAGTGCCCTTTTTTCAATCCTCCCCGCGATTGGCTACTTTTAGAATCCTGCTGATTGGTGCGTTTTACAGAGTGTTGATTGGTACGTTTTACAGAGTGCTGATTGGTGCATTTTACAATCCTCTTGTAAGACATGAAAGTTTCTGATTGGTGCATTTTACAATCCTCTTGTAAGACAGGAAAGTTCCCCAAGTCCCCACTCAACCCAGGAAGTCCAGCTGGCCTCACCTCTCAAGACTTCACCTTGTGATTGCATGAGTCAGTACTCCTTAATAAACTCCCCTTTATATATACATCTATCCTATTAGTTCTATCCCTCTAGAGAAACCTGACTAATACACCAAGACAGATCTTGTTTTTTTTTTGTTTTTTTTTTTAAATTATACTTTAAGTTTTAGGGTACATGTGCACAATGTGCAGGTTAGTAACATATGTATACATGTGACATGCTGGTGCACTGCACCCACTAACTCGTCATCTAGTATTAGGTATATCTCCCAATGGTATCCCTCCCCCCTCCCCCCACCCCACAACAGTCCCCAGAGTGTGATGTTCCCCTTCCTGTGTCCATGTGTTCTCATTGTTCAATTCCCTCCTATGAGCGAGAATATGCGGTGTTTGGTTTTTTGTTCTTACGATAGTTTACTGAGAATGATGATTTCCAATTTCATCCATGTCCCTACAAAGGACATGAACTCATCCTTTTTTATGGCTGCATAGTATTCCATGGTGTATATGTGCCACATTTTCTTAATCCAGTCTATCATTGTTGGACATTTGGGTTGGTTCCAAGTCTTTGCTATTGTGAATAGTGCCTCAATAAACATACGTGTGCATGTGTCTTTATAGCAGCATGATTTATAGTCCTTTGGATATATACCCAGTAATGGGATTGCTGGGTCAAATGGTATTTCTAGTTCTAGATCCCTGAGGAATCGCCACACTGACTTCCACAATGGTTGAACTAGTTTACAGTCCCACCAACAGTGTAAAAGTGTTCCTATTTCTCCACATCCTCTCCAGTACCTGTTGTTTCCTGATTTTTTAATGATTGCCATTCTAACTGGTGTGAGATGATATCTCATTGTGGTTTTGATTTGCATTTCTGTGATGGCCAGTGATGGTGAACATTTTTTCATGTGTTTTTTGGCTGCATAAATAAATGTCTTCTTTTGAGAAGTGTCTGTTCATGTCCTTCGCCCACTTTTTGATGGGGTTGTTTGTTTTTTCTTGTAAATTTGTTTGAGTTCATTGTAGATTCTGGATATTAGCCCTTTGTCAGATGAGTAGGTTGGGAAAATTTTCTCCCATTTTGTGGGTTGCCTGTTCACTCTGATGGTAGTTTCTTTTGCTGTGCAGAAGCTCTTTAGTTTAATTAGATCCCATTTGTCAATTTTGTCTTTTGTTGCCATTGCTTTTGGTGTTTTAGACATGAAGTCCTTACCTGTGCCTATGTCCTGAATGGTAATGCCTAGGTTTTCTTCTAGGGTTTTTATGGTTTTAGGTCTAACGTTCAAGTCTTTAATCCATCTTGAATTGATTTTTGTATGAGGTGTAAGGAAGGGATCCAGTTTCAGCTTTCTACATATGTCTAGCCAGTTTTCCCAGCACAATTTATTAAATAGGGAATCCTTTCCCCATTGCTTGTTTTTCTCAGGTTTGTCAAAGATCAGATAGTTGTAGATACGTGGCATTATTTCTGAGGGCTCTGTTCTGTTCCATTGATCTATATCTCTGTTTTGGTACCAGTACCATGCTGTTTTGGTTACTGTAGCCTTGTAGTACAGTTTGAAGTCAGGTAGCATGATGCCTCCAGCTTTGTTCTTTTGGCTTAGGATTGACTTGGTGATGCGGGCTCTTTTTTGGTTCCATATGAACTTTAAAGTAGTTTTTTCCAATTCTGTGAAGAAAATCATTGGTAGCTTGATGGGGATGGCATTGAAACTATGGATTCACAGCCGAATTCTACCAGAGGTACAAGGAGGAACTGGTACCATTCCTTCTCAAACTATTCCAATCAATAGAAAAAGAGGGAATCCTCCCTAACTCATTTTATGAGGCCAGCATCATCCTGATACCAAAGCCGGGCAGAGACACAACCAAAAAAGAGAATTTTAGACCAATATCCTTGATGAACATTGATGCAAAAATCCTCAATAAAATACTGGCAAAACGAATCCAGCAGCACATCAAAAAGCTTATCCACCATGATCAAGTGGGCTTCATCCCTGGGATGCAAGGCTGGTTCAATATATGCAAATCAATAAATGTAATCCAGCATATAAACAGAACCAAAGACAAAAACCACATGATTATCCCCATAGACGCAGAAAAGGCCTTTGACAAAATTCAACAACCCTTCATGCTAAAGACTCTCAATAAATTAGGTATTGATGGGACGTATCTCAAAATAATAAGAGCTATCTGTGACAAACCCACAGCCAATATCATACTGAATGGGCAAAAACTGGAAGCATTCCCTTTGAAAACTGGCACAAGACAGGGATGCCCTCTCTCACCACTCCTATTCAACATAGTGTTGGAAGTTCTGGCCAGGGCAGTTAGGCAGGAGAAGGAAATAAAGGGTATTCAATTAGGAAAAGAGGAAGTCAAATTGTCCCTGTTTGCAGACGACATGATTGTATATCTAGAAAACCCCATTGTCTCAGCCCAAAATCTCCTTAAGCTGATAAGCAACTTCAG
Organism: Homo sapiens; assembly: GCF_000001405.40. Lineage (NCBI taxonomy): Eukaryota > Metazoa > Chordata > Mammalia > Primates > Hominidae > Homo > Homo sapiens. The sequence goes on along the minus strand of NC_000017.11, from coordinate 52,615,094 downwards.
CAAAGTCTCAGGATACAAAATCAATGTACAAAAATCACAAGCATTCTTATACACCAATAACAGACAAACAGAGAGTCAAATCATGAGTGAACTCCCATTCACAATTGCTTCAAAGAGAATAAAATACCTAGGAATCCACCTTACAAGGGACGTGAAGGACCTCTTCAAGGAGAACTACAAACCACTGCTCAATGAAATAAAAGAGGATACAAACAAATGGAAGAACATTCCGTGCTCATGGGTAGGAAGAATCAATATCGTGAAAATGGCTATACTGCCCAAGGTAATTTACAGATATTGTTTTTTAACCAGTCACTTTAAAATGTGATACCTGGACCATTCACATCAGCAACACTTTGGAATTTTTGGAAATGTCAAATATTGGTCCCCAATACAGATGTAATGGGCCAGAAATTCTGGGTTTTAAATAGTCCTCCAGTGATTCTGATGCACACCGACATTTGAGAATAAATGCTAAAGGAGTAGTGTTCAACCCTAGTTACTCATTAGAACTACCTAAAGAAATTTAAAAACATACCAATATCTGAATCTCATCCCAGAACAGTAAGTTCAAAATATCTGTGGTTGAGTCTTTGTATTCGTATTTTAAAAAGCTCTAAGATAATATAATTAGGTGTAGCCGAAGCAGCAAATCACTATTCTCATCCCAAGTTGTGTGTGTGTGTGTGTGTGTGTGTGTGTGTGTGAGAGAGAGAGAGAGAGAGAGAGAGAGAGAGAGAGAAATAGTTAGGCATCAAAGTCTATGAAAAAATTAAATTAACTGGTTCAAATGTAGCTATAGTCACCGTAGTATCATCAAAATTGTCCTCCCAATTTCACTTCTCTCTATTTCAATCACTTTTTTCAAACCTTATTCTTCCTGAATTTTTTTCGTTTTCTTCTTTTGCAGTCTTCCTCCAATAACCCTTAAATTATAACCCAGTTTCTCCAGCCGGATTCATAAAAAATTACAAAGACATATTCCTAAAAGACTGGGGGAAAATTTTATTTTTTTCTGTTTACTGTAATACCTAACCTCATTCATAGACTTTTTTGTTGTTGTTTCAGATGTAAAACTGGCTATCTCATTAAATTTTGTTTTTAGGTTTCTCCCCCAAGTAACATACACCTACAGGTTTGATATATTTTTGCAAATTATCTCATTATGAAATATTTTGTTTCATTAGCTATAAAGGTCTATATTAAAGTAAGGTATTATTATTATTATTAATTGGGAATTAAATTCCTGGAAGATAGATAACATGTTTATTTACCTTTGTATCCAACACTTGAAAAAGCCCTGGGCACTCCAGAGTTCAACTAGGCTAGTTTTAATAGTATTTCATTGATTAAATTTTTCTGTGGACATAAAATCAACGCAAATAAGAACTTTGAAACCGTGACTTTAATAACTGAGTTATAAGTTACAAGATAGTGATAGAATCATATATAAGGTATAATGGATGTAAAAGAAAAGTAATAGGACATTTCCCTAAATTGATGGCAGGATAGCAATAATGATAACTGGAAGAATAAAGGATATCTTAGAAGAAACATGAAAAATAGTACTTCGAAAACATAACACTTTAATTATATGCACTCAATAAATATAGATTATAATAATGGTGATGAAAATAATGATGAGGAAAAGGAGGAAGAAGGCGAGGAGGACAAGGAGTTTGATTGAGGCATTCTGTCTACAATCTATGCTAAACGCAGTTCCTAAGAGTTCCTTTACCTACTGCCAACCCCCTCACCCTGAAAAAAAAAAAAACCAATATGAATAACTCAACAATTGAGACATTGAATTCAGGAATATTTGAAATAAATGCTATTTCTCTTCTTGATTTTTCCATCTGACTTTAGGTAGGTTAAATGACTTTTCTGAGACTGTTTTTCTTATGTGGGTTGCTGTGGAATTTAAATAAAATCATGTACCTAAGCTGCCTTGTAGAACGCCTAGCATATAATAGACAGTCAAATAAACCGGATTATCTTCTCTCTTTTTTCTTGAAAATATTCATGCATACATTTAAGTAAAATTATAAGTGTTGTTGTATTTAGTTTTATTTCTATTGATTTGTGAGAGCAAAACTTAGAACATAGGATCAACATTTTTAATAGCATTTCTAATCATATTCCCTTGTAAGCTTTTGGCCTAAGATCTGATTCTGTTTTGTGTGTTCTTTGACTGGTGATTGTTTCACACTTGTCTGAGGAGGAAAAAAGATATTTAAGAATTTAAAAAATGCTGAATTCTACCCTGCTCATTTAGTATTTCAGTAGTCAGAGCATCACCATTATCATATGTTATTTATTGGTAAAGAACTGTGAAAAGGTTTGATCCTCCTTATCCTTTCCCAGAATATTGTATTTGAATAACTACAATAATTTAGAGTAAAGCATTCTCCCTTATATTTTACCAACAACCCCTTTGACCTTCTCCAGAACGTTAGTGCTATGAAAGAAATAATTTTCCCCTACTTTGATGTGTAGTACAAGTTGTCTTAAATAATTTGTCATGAAGGCCTTTTTGCAGAAACAAAACCAACAATAGGAAAGGCTATTTCCCATTACCAAGGTGGAATGACTCGGACTGCAGATGAAAAAGTGATTTATATAAATGAAAGAACATACCTAGACCACATAGAAAAATTCTTCTGGAGTGATCATCATGAAGTTGATTATGTCTGCTTGCTATTTCAGTAGGAATAAAAAACAAAGCTATTCTCCCCTGACTCTTAGCGGTACTTGAGGAAGAACTATTAATACAAATAGCTATATAGTATTCTTTGAAATAAAATTATTTTCAATACATTTGAAATATTTCATTTGATCACTATTATTAGTTGTGTTTAGGGATATGTTAAAGTAGAAAGAAACTCAGACTGAGAATATGGGGACAAACAGCACTTTCAAACTTTAACATTCTGGAATGTATTAAGACTGTTTTCAAAGTTTACTCATTTCCTGATTTTTGGTTGCTTTGGAAATCCTTAAATCATTGATAATTGTTTTCATATTTGAACGTATATCAAAGCTTACCCTCTAGGGTGTTTAAAGCCTGCATATGTAGTTTGAGAGTTATGAAATCACTCCAATGATAACAAGGTATTTAATTTAAAATAAGTGTGTAGTTGGATATTACCCACAACACTGAAAAGGAAATGAAAATAATGGTCCAATGGCTTGAATTCATTAGGTTCTGCCTGAGACAGGATTTACATATGCATCTCTTGTGAAAGGATAAGAAGGGAATCAACTCCCCACTTCCCCATCCCTTCTAAATGTCTACCAAATGCCATTGTTTAATGTTTAATGAATTCCTACAGGTAGATGGCAAAAGCCATAATATAATTAGCAAGGTCAACAAAGAAGAAAACTCAGGAGGCCCAGTGGAGTATGGCATATTACTTAGGAGAAATGAAAAGGCTGAAATCTATTAAACATTAAGGATGTTTGCAGAGTATTTCCCTTGAGATATTAGAGACTTTAGGGTTCCTCCTCGGCAGGTTTCTTTTTTTACCTCCAGATTCTTAAAAGAAGGATAAAAAAGTGCATTTTTCTAGCACAGAAATTAAAAGGAGGGGATGATGGCTGTATAGTATAAACAGTCCATAAATATTGCACAGGAGTTTTTACCTTAAAAATGAAAAAAACTCATCATACCATAGTCTTGAAGCCAAATGAACTTGAGAGAAGAGAATTGGGGGAGGATGGCAGATTGCTCACAGAATTCCAACATCCTTAAGAAATCCACAGCCATGCTCCCTACTGAATGTTGAGCATGGAGATGCCAAGAGGAATATGCTAGGGCTGAAAAATGGCTTATACTGTAGACCCTATTCAGAGGACAAGAGAAAGAGTGTGTGGAAGAGCGTGAGACAAAAAGAGAGAAATAAGTAAGAAATGGGAGTGGTGAAAGTTACGAATGTACAGTAATGCAGAAACTAATTTATATGCTTGGCCAGATGGGGCTAAATAAATATAACTTGGAAATGATGTAGAATATTACCAAAAATTTGGCTAAACTACTTGAAATGCAATTAGCAGTCATTTTACTCTGTGACCAGGTTTCTTTCATTATCTGAAACGTATTTTTCTTAGAATAAGGTTAATATTTGTAGAAGCATTAGTACATTAAAACATAGCACTTGGGACTTCTATGCATTATTAATGCCTCTCATCCTTCTCCCAACTTCTAACTTGCCTTCATACCTAGCTAATGTAAAGAAAGAGCCAGAAGGTTCAAAACTAATCATTTTTGTACCTGCAACAAAGAAACCAATGTGGGTGTTAACAATAATTGAATGCTTAATGATTTATAATTAGTAATTGTTCTCTCATCATCTTCTGAATTCATCTATAATTGTTTCTTTCCTTAAAAGAAGCCTATATGTGTTAGAAATAATCCATATCTTTATTGTGACGGTAAGGGCGCATCTCTGTCAAAAATTATTGAAATATACATTTAAAAGTCGATTTTATAATGTATACACATTACACCTCAAGAAATAACTTATTTAAAAGTCCAGAACTTTTAAAAATATATAGTAAAACAAAAGAGTTAATGTGTCAGTAAAAGAGAACATAACTTTGGGGCTGATACATATCTGTACACTGTGACACCCTCCTGAAAGATTGTTTACAACTGGCCTCCACTCTCAGTGGTGGGTTGGTGCAGTGGAGCTGTATTGATTGTTAATTATTTTGAATGTGACCTCTGAATTAATCATAAGAATCCAAAATTAACCTAACTATATAAAAGAGGTAAACAAGATAATAATACATTCATTTAATAATTCATCACAAATGAAACCAAAATGAGATAGACATCAAGGGCAAAATCAGTTTGGGATATACATTATAAAGTCTTTTCAGTGCTGTTTATTGAAATTACATCCATGTTTCATTATTTTTAAGCCCATTATGAGCACAATGAAGGAATATAGAGCATACTTTTAGATAGAACAGAATGCATATTCTGATTTTGACAAACACTTTTTAATCTGGTTCCTCAAAAGGGATGTTATTATTATTTTATTATTTGTATCAAAAACTTTTTATAAAGGTTAAATGAAATAAACCAATGTCTGGCTCATAGACACTAAAGCAAATGTTCATGCTATTATCCTCTTTTTATAACACTTAAGTACATTTGGGAGAATGAAGGTCTTTAGAGGCTCATGCCCATCTACACTGACAGCAGAATGCTTTTCAATTTTTTTGTATATGTGGACCATTGTCCAAAGAAACACAGCACAAATGGCAGTCAAATAAATTACCCCCTCCACCGCAACACAAGGCTATGCACTAGTTTATATGATTTTTCCTTTGGTAAATTGAACCCAGAGTCAAAAATTAAGTCAAACATGTCAGAAATAATCCCTTGTTTATTTTTACTTTTTATGTGTCATTTGAAGAATGGGAACAGGCATTTTAAACATTATCAAAGTGACACCACATACTTGCTCACATTACTGATTTGAGAAACAAGAATTGCTGAAAGAAAATCAATTTCAAACATGGAGCAATACTATGTTTTGCTATAAAACTATAAATCGTTGGCTGAACATTTTTATAGATCACCTTCTATATCATTGATTTATATCATACTGTATACAGCAATTTGAAATCTTCACTTATCACCAATCCCCCATAACAAGAGTTCATTTAAGTGGTAGTCCAAAAGCAATAGCAATTAGCTTTCAAACGTGTTTGAATTTAATACTTACAATGCTTATTTCCTGGAAACATGATTGGATACAGTCTAAGCCATATGTACTCTGTTATAGACTTTGAGATTAAGTTACCTCCTACCATACTATGTCTACTACCACCTCTCAAATGATTCTGTTATCGCTTCATTCTACAACTGCCATCTTCATCCCCAGCAACCTCAGATGCACTGCCACTCTTAACACTATCTGCATTACCACCCCATCTTCACTGCCTAGCTTCAGCACTACTTTTTTCCTTCTTCCTTGAGGATTCCTTTACTTCTAACATGTTTTAAAAGGTATAAATAACAATGATAGTATCCCTATATTATTTCTTCATGAATATCTCCCATAATTTTCCAAGCTCAAAATGGAGTTTATTCTCCATCCTCTCAGGATACTTAGCATATCTGTTCCGAAGAAGGGATTTCACAATGGAGTTATTTGTAGGGTACATTACTTATGATTTAAAAGAGATCTAGGTTTTTGTCCATTTTTAGTTTCAGTTTTTTGCATGACTTAGCATTAGATTGGCAGTGGAAACAAAAATACTTTTTGAACAATCAGGTTTTTCATGGTTAGAAATCCAGGTGTTTTAAAAATTTTATTTATTATTCTCTAGCCAGCCAATGCAATAGGGAGAAAGTTCAGCCTACTACCAATGATCACAGAGCTATTACCCATGGCTGAAGTTTCCATCAAGTATATAAAAGCTTCTCCCCATGTGTACGATGAACAAGGAAAACTATAATAGACTTTCAGAGTTCTTCCTACTCTAGTATTATATGATCCTCTTTTATAATCAAAAGGAACTCTATGTTTTCAGTGACTTTGAATCTAAATATAGTTTTCACTAACTGAAAGCCTTTCCTATTTTAAAACCTAGAAGATTTGCCCGACCAAGAATCTGTTAATTTCAGGAATTCTGTATCAGGATTTTAGCAAGAGGTAGTGACTTTGACAAAAATATAGTAATTTTATTGGAGTTTGGAGTGCCTTCATGTATTCTTGCTTATGGGTTCAAGCTAATGAGGACAATATTCACAAAGTTAAAAACAAAATTAAAGTAAGCTTTCTAAACTTGTGGTAAAGCTGCGTATTAGTCCATTTTTGGACTGCTAAAAAGAAATACCCTAGATTGGGTAATTTATAAAAGAAAGGGGTTTAATTAACTCACAGTTCTGCATGGTGTGAGAAGCCTCAGGAAACTTACAATGATGGCAGAAGGGGAAGCAGGCACCTTCTTCACAAGGCATCACGACAGAGTGTGAGCATGTGAAGGAGGAACATTCAAACACTTATTATTATTTTTTGAGATGGAGTGGTGCTCTGTCACCCAGGCTGGAGTGCAATGGTCCGATCTCGGTTCATTCACTGCAACCTCCACCTCCCAGGTTGAAGGAATTCTCCTGCCTCAGCTTCCCCAGTAGCTGGGATTACAGGTGTGTGCCACCACGCCTACCTAATTTTGTACTGTTGGTACAGATGGGGTTTCACCATGTTGGCTAGGTTGGTCTTGAACTCCTGACCTCGGGTGATCCACCACCTCAGCCTCCCAAAGTGCTGGGTTTACAAGCGTGAGCCACCGCACCCGGTCTCAAACACTTACAAACCATCAGATCTCCTGAAAACACACTCACTATCATGAGAACAGCATGGGGGAAAATGCCCCCATGATCCAGTCACCTCCCACTGGGTCCCTCCCTCCCTCAACATGTGGGGATTATGGGGATTACAATTCAAGATGAGATTGGGGTGGGGACACAGCCAAACCATAACAAGCTGGATTGGAGAATGTAGCTTGGACCAGAAGCCTCATAGTTGGCTTCTGCTTTACTGAGTTGAAGACAAAGCGATTCAGAACAAATGCCTATTCTAACTCACTTATTTAGTCAATCCCAAGTAGAAAAGAGCAGGGACAATCCTAGCCTCCTTCCAATTTTACTAGAAAAGAGCAGGGACAATCCTAGCCTCCTTCCAATTTTACTATTTCCAAGAGACTTTGTTTAGGTGGACCTGATGCATGGACTTTGAAAACCAGTGCATTTCTTACTTATCCTTGAGGAAAAATGACGCCATTCAGTATTAAGAGTATGGCCCAATTAGATTAGTTCCCCTAGCAAAGAAGACAAGTAAGTAAGCTATGAGTTTGCATGGCTATTGAACCATGAGGTGTTAAGAAATATATAGGCTTTAAGAAAAGAAGAACAGTACCCAATACAAATCCCTGTAGGGAGGGAAGCAGACGTCTCTTTTTGTGTGGTCTCTCCTTCACGAGTATGAAGGAATGGAGGTACATCCTGTAGGAATCAAGGACATACATCTTTTGTTACCTCTTCAAATTCCCCTGTGAGAAGACATTAAAAACTGAGAAAATGTTTAATATCTGAGAGTGAGACATGCTCCAAGGAAACATGATTTTAATCATCATTTTTCATCTTATCAGAATTGGATTCCCTAGTACTTAATATGATCTTGGAGATAAAACGCCCTTCTCTTCACTCCAGTGCACCAAATGTAACAGATGTAAATATCGTAAATGAAGCTGAAAGATAATACTGTGTGTCTCATAGATAGAATCTTGTATACTAGAGCTTACTCATACTGTGTGGTCATGAAGCAGTCAGAAATGAGATAAATGAATGAATACATGATAATGTCTAAGAGATTTTGCTAAAGGAATCAACAAACTAAAAAACAAAGGATTTCATTAAGTCTAAGGTCTGAGCACCCTGCCAAAACAGGGAAGCAAAATTAAAAGTTCATAAGCTGAATAGATTTAGTAACACAAGGTGAATAGTGAATAAAACATACATGCTCACTGCCCCTCCCTCTCAAAAGTCCTCTAACTGACAATAAAATAGTAAAGTATAAAATCCACAAGAATGACAGAAATAGATAGGAGACCACAGGCAATGAGAAATGTAAATTGTTAAAGTAATATGAGCTGTTATACTAGGTAGGTAAGTTCCAATTTCTCAGTGGCACATCACAATAGAAGCTATTTTTTTTTCTTATACAAAGTCCGAATGGATATTCCTGCTTGGCTGGCAATTCTCCAAGAAATGATTCAGAGATACAAACTCCTTCTATCTGTGGCTCCTTGTATTGGTCATCTCAGACTGCCATAACACAATACCACAGACTACATGTCTTCAACAACAGAAATTTATTTTCTCACCATTATGGAGACAGAAGTTTGAGATCAGGACATCAGCATGGTTCTGTTAAAGGATCCTAGCTTGCAAGCAACTACCTTTGCGCTGTGTCCTCACATAAGTGGAGAGAGAGAGTGCTTTAAATTTTTTAAATAAGAATAATAGTATTATCAGATTAGGGAACCAACCTATGACTTCATTTAACCTTAACTGCATTCTAAAGTCCCTATATCCGAAACAGTCACACTGGGTTTTAGAGCATGATATGGTTTGGCTCTGTTTCCCCACCCAAATTTCACCTTGAATTGCCATAAACCCACGTGTCAAGGGAGGGACCAGGTGGAGATAACTGAATCATGGTGGCAGTTTCCCCCATCCTGTTCTTGTGATAGTGAGTGAGTTCTCATGAGATCTGATAGTTTTATAAGGGGCTTCCTCCTTTGCTCAGCACTCATTTCTCTCTCCTGCCACCCTGAGCAGAGGTGCCTTCTGCCATGATTGTAAGTTCCTAAGGCCAACCCAGGCATGCAGAACTCTTGAGTCAATTAAACCTCTTTTATTTATAAATTACCAATCTCTGGTATTTCTTCACAGCAGCGTAAGAATGGACTAATACAGGGCATCGGCATATTTCTGCGGGGAGGGGGCGCGATTCACAATTGCACAATTCACCCATAGCACACCTCTATCTTATGTAGGGCTTCCAAAATTATTTCAGAAGGAAGAGTGAAAGAGAATGCAGTTGCATGTCAAAGGCCACACTGCACAAGACCTTTGCATGGCATGCATTACCTCCCTTGTGTTTCATTACCACGACTCATTTGCATCGCTATAAGGCAGGCTCAGAAATATAAACCAGCTCTGTGTCCAGGAATGAAGAAAACGTAGTTGCTTAGAGATAACTTGTCTTTGTTATAGGATGTTAAGAGCAGATGGATAAGTAGGAACTGACTCAGAAGACAGAAGAAAGCAGATATCCAAACCTGGCAGGAGGATAGGGAGAGATCAACAAAGTGGAAAACTAAACTGAATTAAACTCAGAAAGCCTCAGAGATTAGGGCCATTAAGAATCTCTGAAATGTAAAGGTAAGGCAAGGCTGAAAAGAGGATCATAGAAAACTTGGATACATAAATATTAGACTTCCAGATATTTTGCTCCATTCCACCTAGTCAAGTGACTACTTATTCTCATTTCCAAAATGTAATGGAGTTTACTTAGCAGAGATGTTTGGACAGCTGAGAATAGAGAAGATATACCATGCTGATAACAACGAAATGTTTGAAAGTCAATGTGCATAGTGCTGAGAACTACTATAGCCTCTTTCTCTTTATTGAGCTGAAAAAAAAAAAAAAAACACTAGCATCCAGGATTACACTATGTCTACCTCCAGAGGTGAAGATTACCCTCAGGCTCAGGCCCAAAATTAAATGCTTATAGATATTCAATTGTGGAAAGGCCTTCCAATAAAAAAAAAATACCAGTTACTATCTAATCACTCTCTAGTTGACTTAGGTACACAATGAGTGCCCTCATTAGTGTGTCCTCCTGCCAATTTCATTTCAGCTTTTATGTTTTACTCTGAACCATGCACCATCAGCCAAGGATCAACATACATTGGAGGAAATTCTCCAATGTAAAACAAATGAGCTTGTGAGAAACAGAGACAATACAGAGAGCAGAATAAAAGATTTTTTACAACAGTCTATAATACCCTCAGGAGATAAAATATTACGTACATTAAAAATAACAATATAAAAAAATTCATAGCAGAAATAATATAATGATAAACAAGAAGAAAAGGCAGGAGCAAAAGAAGTTGATTAGTGATTAATGCTGTGTCACTTCCTCACCCTGTTTTTAACATCAAGCTTACACATCCAGCTCAGGAGCTTCTGCAGAGGGTGGTGACCCACTGGAACACTTATTAGAAAGTCAGACTATGTAACAAAGTGAAACCATTTATATAAAGGCTTTCATTGTTCTGTTTTTTCCCCTGCGCATTCACATTAAGTATGTTTCTTTCTCCTTCCCTGTATTTTATCTTTAGTGTGGCCCTAAGTTAAAACCTGTGTAGCCCAAAGACAACAAATTTTCCAGTTAAAAGGAAGAAATGTGTGTATGTATGTGTGTTTCTGTGTGTTTCCTTACCACTTACTAAATGGGCAATGTTGGCTGATAACTTTACTGAACTTCAAATTGTTCATCTGAAAAGCAGGGTTAATAATGCCTATTTAATATATTATTAAGAACATTACATGAGCTAAAGTAAGGCACCCTGTCTAGTACAGTGCTGATATGGTTTGGCTTTGTGTCCGCACCTGATCTCATCTCTAATTGTCATTCTCATGTGTTGAGGGAGGCACCTAATGGGAGATGATTGGATTATGGGGGCAGTTTCCTCCATGCTGTTCTTGTGACAGTGAGTTCTTATCAGATCTGATGGTTTTATAAGTTGTGCTTTCCCCTGCACTCCTCCCTCTTTCTCCTGCCATCTTGTGAAGAAGGTGCCTGCTTCCCCTTCCGCCATGATTGTAAATTTCCTGAGGCCTCCCCAGCCTGTGGAACTGTGAGTCAATTAAACCTCCTTTGTTTATAAATTACCCAGCCTCCAGTAGTATCTTTATAGCAGTGTGAAAATGGACTAATACAAGTGCCTAACATAAAGAAAGATGCTGAACAATATGAAGAAGGTTGTCTTTTCTTTCTTCCTAAGAGTGTGTGAAATTCTGTGTCATATTCCATTGAAAGGGAGACCCAGTGTTAACTATATTACAATAGATGGTGTTGTTTGACCCGTTGAAGGAAAACATTTCTGTCATTCAACCAGTTTCTTGTCATTAAAAAAGAATAAACAGTTTTCTTAAAAACAAAACAAAACAAAAACAACAACAAAAACGAGGATTTGGCATTGTCTACCTGTAATCTAAATTGTTACTAAATGAAAACAGTCCCTTTGCCTTTATAAATTGTTATGGTCAAATAGTTAATAATGATATAAACAAACACTATGATGATTTAGAGAACATAAGTTATTTTATTTTCAAGGCCAAGTCCATAGTTGTCTTAATGTAAGTGTGAGCTTCCTGTGCAGAGAATCTTCCCTTCATGTACAATGAGGACAGAATGGATTACACTCCTATTTATGAATTATATTGAATTAGTAAACATTATCTTTATGAATTCTACATTTAACAAATAAAGCTTTTCTTAGCAATCTAAGTAACAGAGGTACAGTCAGAGAACAAAACTCTAATCCTGCTTTCATCTTGAATGAATAGAGTCCTATTATTCATAGCATTTCGCTCTATACACTCTGTGCCATAGAACAAATTGCTAGAATTTTGAAGAAAGCCAAATGCACTTTTCTTTTCACTTTATAATGCTTGTTTGAGAAACCCATTAAAGAAGACTGAAAGATCATCAGTCCAAGCACATGTGTCACATGGGAAAAATAGGTATAGTTACTCCAGAGAGCACCATTTCTTCCATACTCAATAATCAGCTAACATTCAAATCATAAAGAGGAAATCCCTCTCTGCAGCAGTTAAATATATAGACAGATATAACATATGTGAAGCAGAGGCTGCTATTTTAGCCCAAACAGCCATCCCAGAAAGAATGCTGAGGGAAGTGTTGTCTATATTCTCCTCCCAATTGCCAAGTGCTGCTCTGTCAGTGACCTGGGAGTGGGAGGGAGTATTGGAACTTGGTTTAAATAAAATCACAACCCCTAATTGTACAGAAAGAATATGGCTGACCAGCTGAAATAACAAATTTTAATTAGATTCTTTGCAGCTATATGTCTTTGATGTGATCTATGTTCAATAAATCTCAACAGCCCTGTGTTTTTGTTGTTGTTTTTCCATCTTCTGGTGCGTGGGTTAAGCTTATGTAACATATTTGATTGATAGGAGCACAGATTGGGAATGGGAGAGGGAAACCAACCAAATTCTTTACTATTTCTACCAGTGATTTTAGAAAATTGATAGATCCCTTCTGAGGCTGAGTTTCCTCTCTCTATTAAGCTGTAGTAAAACTAGACTTCACTGTACCTACTTTCCAGTAAAAATCTCTGAACCCTGTTTTCTTATCTCATAGGTCAGGGTCCCCAGGTTCCAGGCCCCAGGCCATGGACAGGCTGCATAGCAGGAGGTGAGTGGCAGGCCAGGGAGTAAAGCTTCGTCTATATTTATAGCCACTCCCCACTGCTGGCGTTACAGCCTGAGATCCTCTGGCAGGAGGATTCCTGTCACATCAACAGTGGCATTAGATTCTCATAGGAGTGTGAACCCTATTGTGAACTGTGCATGTGAGGGATCTAGGTTGCATGCTCCTTATGAGGATCTAATGCCTGATGATCTTTCACTGTCTCTCATCACCCCTAGATGAGACTGTCTAGTTGCAGCAGAATAAGCTCAGGGCTCTCACAGATTCTACATTACGGTGAGTTGTACAATTTTTCATTATATATTACAATGTAATAATAATAGAAATAAAGTGCACAATAAATGTAATGCCTGTAATGTGCTTGAATCATTCCGAAACAATCCACTGCCCCACCCCATCTTGTGGAAAAAATTGTCTTTCATGAAATCGGTCCTTGGTGCCAAAAGGGACAACTGTTATAGGGTCTTCGTTGAGAAGGGTAACATTTAAATTATTTAGATTCCTGAAACTAGAATAGAATATCAATGACAAGATATCATTTCAGGATGATCATGTTCTTTTTAAACAATATATTGTTTATTTATTCATTAGTTTAGTTGATATATATGTGTTGGTCACCTAGTATATATGAGACACTGGGCTAGGGCCTACTATTAAGAATCAAGTTGATTGTATCTTTCCTTTATGGATCTTATGGTTCAATTGGAGGGGAGAAAATTAAACAATCAATTCAAGTTTCACGCATGCTGTGATGTGAAAGTTTAGGATGTCATAGAAGCACCTGTTTGGGGGAGAGGGGTCAACAATGCACTGAGGCCAAGAGACTCAAGAAATTATTTTTAATTACATATATTTAGCCACAAATATTTATTGATCACTTTCATCAAGAACTTCAATGGAATATGGTGATTAGAACAATTTGAAAACTGCTTTAAAAGTAAGGAAATGGAAAAAAAAAAGGACAGGTATTCTAAGAGGATTAGGTCTAAATAAAGGAAAGAGAAATGGGGTGCCAGCAAAAGTGGGATGTGGAGAATAGTTTGAGTTTGTGATCTTTTATAAAATATTTTGAGAAAGAAGAATAGGAACATGATTAAAAGTTCTAAAGTATTACATAAGTTAATATTACACAAGTAATTAATGTTCATGGTAAAAAATACAAATCTGAAAAAAAATTTGTAAAATTCACATATAATCCTACTACCTTGATATAAACACTAGTACCGTTGTGGTGTCTAATCTCATGTGTGTGTATATATATGCGTACATACACACATATACACACATATAAATATGTGTGTTTCATTTTTATTGATATATCTTCATTTTGTACATATTTTATAACTTTTTTAATAAAAATGTATATTGAAAATATATTCAGTTCAATAAAAATGTACCTAATTATTCTTAATGGCATCACTTTGTATTCCATAGTTGTCATTTTATCATTCTATTACTGAACAATTTGGAAATTTTCTCTCTTTTTTTTTTTTGAGACGGGTTCTTGCTGTTTCCCAGACTGGTCTTGAACTCCTGGGCTCAAGTGATCTTCCTGCCTTGACCTTCCAAAGTGCTGGGATTACAGGCGTGAGCCACCACATCCAGCCAGGATAGTTTTAAATGTTCATAAATATAAACAGTGCAATTATGAGTCATACACTTGTGATTACTTCATTTGGATAATTGCACACTTATCCCATTATTGCTTCAGGCTAAATTGCTAAAAGAATCGTAGATTTGCACTAAAATTTGCATCTGAGTTTGCACTAAAATTTGCACTAAAATATGCATCTCTAATACATAAGATATGCACTTGGAAAGCCAATACAAAGTAGCTAACCCCAGGTCTTGCCTGATTTAGCTCCAACTGGGCTTGGGAAGGATAATGGGGTCTCAATGAACAGTGGCTGAAAACCGTTATTTGAGCACTTGGGAGGCTACAGAAATCCTCTCCAATAAAGTGTTCAGGACAGAGGAGAAATAGGCAAATAGCTAATTAAACAAGGTCCATCAGAGAGACAGCCATATGAGGGGAGAGATTAGAGGGCCAAGCTGGCATTGACATTTGTGAAATGAAGAACCCACAGAGTCTCCTGCTTGAGAAGGGGATGGTTTGCCTGGATTGTTGTTATTAAGTTGGTTCTGGACTGGAAGACTGACAGACTGGCAACTGTTCACCAGGTTATATTTTGGGACTGTTGGCTTGGAAAAAGCTCAGCATTTGGCCAAACTGGTTAAGCCAACACCAAAGGGGAAAAATAACAATATGACAAAAGCAAAACACGTTTCTGAACTATCAGCCTCACTTTCTAGTATTTCACGTTAGATAATAATTATGAATTTGCTTTCTCTTCCTCAGAAAGTTATGACTGCCAAGAAGTTACCATAAAATACTTAAAGTATACTTAAAGTAAGAAGATCATTTAATCAGAACAACAGGAACAACAATAATGATGCAGGATAAAGTTATTTATTTTTGGTGGTATCTGTTATGTTTAGTTGTTATAACCAATTAAAATATGTTAGAGATAAAGATGCAGTTATGTCTTCCAAATGAATTTCTGAAGTACATTAATTCAGAACGAATGCGGAGGTAGCAAAGTGCCAGCATATTATACAGCCAGTTTTTTAGAAGTCAGCATTTAAAAATGATATTAACATATAAAATGTTTAAATGGGCTGTAAAATATTACAGAGCATAATTACTTATACATAAAATATCCCACAATATGGTAACACCTTGTCTTTGTTTACAATTATTATGAAATTTTTCATCTATGAAAACTGCATTCACGTTATGTTGATTTTTTTAAAATTGATAGGGCAAGTGTGTGGTCAATAAGTTCTGATGTTATAGTCCTTTGGGCTGCTTTACTCCTAAAGAAAACAAGCAGCCTCATATTTTGTGTTTGACAAAATTTTAATTGATATTCTTTAAATGAATTAAGTTGGGGAAGTACCATAAACTCTAGACCACTCTTTGAAATTCACAATGACACTTGCCTATTAAAACATCTGCAAAGTTCTGCAATAACTCCCATTTACCAAATGCTTATTAGACAGTACCAGGCACTGCATTAGCTGCCTTACATGTCTGATAATCACAACCTACAAAGTTTACATTAGCTTTGCTTTGCAGGAGAGGAAACAGATTGGTGAGTTAATTTCCTACATATTAACCTGTGTGTTAATACCTACATATTAACAAGTTAGGGAGATCTAGAATTATAAGTGTCTAACATCAATGTCCATGTTCTTTCTACAATGTGTTTCCATGCATGAAAACTAAATAATTCATAATTTGGTATATATTTATATTCAGTGAGTAATTAAGAATTTCAAAATCAAATTGTGTAATAAAACCAGGCTTTAAGTTTTTTCAAAGAATTGAGACACATCCCCAAACTAGGATATATGCCTGGTCTATGTGTATGCAGGGCACCTGGAGCCTGTAGCTGTCGCTGTAACTCAATTTCACCTTGCTTTCTAGGAGTTCCTGGGAGTCCCGTAGTATGGGAGGGGGCCTATGATACAATATTTCATAAGGGGAATATCCTATTCTTTTAGAAGGGGTACATCTAATCTTAAACAATATCATAGGGAGAGCTTCTACCCACTTTAATACTGTTTCTTGACACACTTTCCCTAAACTATTTTTGATAGTCCAGTTCATCTGCTCCACCTTTCTGGAACTTTGTGGTCAGTAGGCGGTATGTAGTTTCCATGTGATCCCCAATACCTTTGCTGTCTTCTGTACCAAGTCAGCCACAAACGACGGCCTGTTGTCCAAGCTGATTCTTAAGGGCAGTCCAAACCTAGGGATGAGATCTCGGAGAAGCACACGGGTTACTTCACGAGCTTTCTCAGTTCCTGTTGGGTAGGCCTACACCCACCCAGAGTATGTACACACTAGAACTAGCAAATACTTGTTACCACCACATTTGGGTGTCTCGGTGAAGTCTACTTGGAGACCTTCAAAGAAGTTGCTCCATAAGCTTGTATGCTGGGCGGGACGGTTGGACTTTACCTAGCATTGTGCTGCCGGCAGGTGACACACTGCTATGCCACTGTTTTGGCAAGGGCTGACAGATGTGAGATGTAGAAGTACCGGCCTAACAACTTTTCAAGTGACTCTTGGCCTAGGTGGGTGGTCTCATGCACAGCCAGTATGACTGTGGCTCCTAGCAGTTGTGGCACGGCTATTCTTCTGTCCAAAGCCAGATCCATCCCTCTTCTATCACCTGCCCTCCCTCTGCCTGGAGAAAGTCCTTCTCTTCTTCAGAATAAGTAGGTACAAGGTCAGGTGCCTGAGGGAGCAGGGGGCTGTGACTGATGCCTGGTAGTGGGTGGATGCTGCTTTTTGAGCCTCTGAGTCAGCTCGGGCGTTCCTCAAAGCAATGGAGGTGGAAGCTCGCTGGTGTCCTCTGCAGTGCATGACTGCCACCTTTTGGGGCTTCCACACTGCCTCTAATAATTGCAGGATCTCTTGCTGATACTTTATGTCTTTTTCCCCAGAGTTCAACAGGCCTTTTTCCTTGTATAATGCCCCATGCACTTGGAGAGTTAAAAAGGCATACTGAGAGTCAGTGCAGATGTTTAAAGTCTTACCTTCACTTAACTCTAAGGCGCGAATTAGAGCAATGAGATCGGCCTTCTGGGCTGAAGTGCCCTGGGGCAACGATTTGGCTTCAATGACAGCGTCCAGAGTTACCACCGCATATCCCACACACCTCTCTCCTTGTAGGTTGATAAAGCTGCTTCTGTCTATGTACAGCTCCCAGTCTACCGATGTCTGAGGATGGTCTCGGAGGTCTGGCCTGCTAGAATAAACTGAGTCCAACACCTCTACACGGTTATGTTCAACTGGGCTCTCTGATATCAGGAGCAAGATGGTGGGGTTCAGGATGTTGCAAACTTCAGTGGTTATGCAGGGATTCTCACAGAGCAAGCTTTGGTACCTAGTTAGTCTAGCATTTGTTAGCCAATGATGTCCTTTGGTACTCATTAAAGTCACCACAGCACGGGGGGCCTTTATGTTTATGTTTTGCCCAAGAGTTAGCTTATCCACTTCTTGTGCTAGCAGGGCTGTTGCTGCCAAGGCCCTCAAACATGGGGGCCAACCCTTAGAAACCCTGTCTAGTTGTTTAGAGAGGTAGGCCACCGGCCTTGGCCAGGACCCCACAGTCTGGGTCAAAACTCCAAACGCCAATTTTTCTCTCTCTGACACATACAGCATAAAAGGTTTTGTCAGATCAGGTAACCCCAGGACTGAGGCTGACATGAGTTTTTCTTTTAACTCATGAAAAGCTCGTTGCTGTTGGGACCCTCATTTGAAAGGTTACTTGTCTCCCCGCTTTGTGACTCCATACAGGGGCTTAGCCAGTACTGCAAAGTTTGGGATCCACAACCTGCAGAACCCTACAGCTCCTAAGAATTCTTTCACCTGCATTCTGGTCTTAGGCTCCGGCAGGTTGCAGATGACTTGCTTGCTTTCTGATCCCAGGCTGCACTCTCCCTGTCGAATAGTAAATCCCGGATTACATACTTGCTGTCTGCTGATCTGAGCTTTCTTCTTGGACACCTTATACCCACAGTCCTCCAGGTGTCAGAGCAGGATATCTGTTCCCTTGGTGCACCCGACTGCCATGGGGTGTCCCAGCAGGAGGTCATCGACTTACTGGAGCAGCACACAGCCTAGGTCTCTGGCAGGAAACTTCTGGAGGCCTGGAGCCAGTGCCTCCCCAAAGATGGTGGGGGAGTTCTTGAACCCTTGGGGGAGACAGATCCAAGTGTACTGAGTGGTGACACCTGACCCCAGATCCTCCCACTGAAAGGCAACCAGTTTCTGGCTCTCAGGAGCTAGTCTAATTCTAAAGAAAGCATCCTTCAGGTCCAGGTGGGTGAACAAGCTATCCTCAGCTGGCAGCAACCCCAACAATGTATACGGATTAGGTACCGTTGGATGCAAAGTCACTATAGCTTGGTTGACCATGTGCAAATCGTGTATCTGACTGTAGTCCTTGGTACCCGTCTTGGGAACAGGTAGGAGGGGAGTGTTCCCTGGAGACTGACAAGGGACTATAATTCCAAAGGCCCTCAGGCGCTTGAGATGGACCTGGATGCCCTCAAGGGCTTCTCTGAGGACCAGGTACTGCTTTTGCCTGACCAGCTGGGCCCCAGGCTTAACTTCTATTGGTATGGGTCCTGGTTGATTGCCAACCCTGGAGGATTGTCTTCCACCCACACCCTTGGCCACCACTTAGCCTGGCTCAGTTAGAAGAGTCTCCATTCCTCTTCCCGAAGAACCGTAAGGGCCATGATGACTCCTGTTCCAGGAAACTTTAGCTGTAAAGAGCCGTGCTTTGTAAAAGAGATAGTGACTCTCAGCTTGCTAAGTAGTTCCCTTCCCAGTAAAGGCAAGGGGCAGTCAGGCATGTACAGGAACTGGTGAATTACTTCATGCCCCCTAATAGTGCAGGTCCAGGGCAAACAGAAAGCTTGCTTTGCGGAAATCCCTGTGGCTCCGATTATATCAATAGTCTTTTTGGATAAGGGGGCGACCGGGGTGGTTACTAATGAACGTTCAGCACCAGTATTGACAAGAAACTCAATGTCCTTGCCCCCGACTGTCATCCTGACCATGTGCTCTTTGGGGGCATATGAGCCCAGTCCCCTTCATTCAGTAACTCTTCTGCCACATTGAACAAGGCCCTTTCGTCCTTGTCTGAGGCCTCCTGCTCAGAGTCAGCTTGTTTTCCTTTTAACTGGGGCACTTGTCCTTCCAATGTCCTATTACAGTAAGCACACTGGTTATGCTGCAAGCCTGGATGGCCAGACTGGGTATTTTTCCTGGGCCCCCCCCTTCTCTTGCCCCTTTGGGGAGACCCCTCTAATAGCTGTGGCTAGTAGGTCAGTGTTTTGCCAGGCTTGGCGTTCGCTCTCTCTGCGGTTCTCTCTGTGGCTTACCGCATCTCTATTCACAAACAACTGGTTGGCTATCTCCAATAACTGTGAAGTATTCCTCCCTGCAAACCCAGCCTGTTTCTGTAGTTTTCTTCTAATGTCTTCTGCACTTTGACTAACTAAAGCCATGTTAATCACGCGCTGATTCTCAGGGCTGTTGGGATCAAAGGGGGTATACATACGATAGGCCTCACATAGTCTCTTGTAAATAGGGTACCAGGCAGCTCTTGAGACACTTGTTCCAGGCGCTCACTCCCAGATTCCATTTCTAGACACACCCTGAACCAGATGGGAACTCACTACCTTGAGGGAAGGGTCCCAGTCATGGAAAGATTTATCACCTGCTGACTAAAGAGCCCTGGGGCCCTGAATAATCAGCAATTGGAGTCAGCCCCTTACTGTAGGCTGTGGGTGAAACTCAGAGCTCTACTGGCTTCAGCTGTGACACAGTACATTACCAGCTATGATGGTTATGGATAGAGACTTCTTCCACTTGAGAAAAGGAGAGGAAAAAGTGAAAGGGACTTTGTCTTGTAGCTTGGGCACCAGCTTGGCCAAAGTGGAGTAGAGCACCAAGCAGGCTCCTGAGTTCCCTTATTCCAGACCTTGGCTCCTGGATGGTATTTCTGGACCTTCCCTGGGCCAGAAGGGAACCCAGTGCCCTGAAGGGAGAGACCCAGACATGGCAGCATTCACCACAATTGGACTGAAGAGTCCCTGGGCCTTGAGTGAACATGGATGATAGCCAGGCAGTACTTTTCACAAGCATGCTGTGGTGGCAGCAATGGCAAGAGATTCCTCTGCTTGAGGAAAGGAGAGGGAAGAGTGGGAAGGACTTTGTCTTATGTCCTGGTTGCAGCTCAGCTGCAATAGAATAGAACACCATGTAGATTACTAAGGTTTCTGACTCCAGGTCCTGGCTCCTGGACAGCATCTCAGGACCCACTCAAGGCTGGGGGGATCTCTTCACCCTGAAGGGAATGACCCAACGGTGGCTGGATTCATCACCTGCTGATTATAGAGCTCTTGGGCCTTGAATAAACAGAAGCAGTAGCCAGGCAGTGGTCACCGTGGGCCTTGGGTGAGACCCAGTGCTGTGCTTGCATCAGGTATGACCCAGCACAGTCCTGGTGGTGGTGACCATAGAGGTACTTGTGTCACCCCTAGCCCTAGCTCCTGGAAGTTCAGCACAGAGACAGAGACTCCTTTTGTCTGGGACAAAGTAAGGGAAGAGAAGAAGAGTCTTTGCCTGATAATCCAAAGAATTATCCCAGATCTTACCTGAGATCACCTAGGCAGTACCTATAAGAGTCCACAAGAGCCATAGTTGTTCATGGGCTTGTGTTGTGCCCTAATACAGATACAGCTGCTGTGTCTAAAGACTTAAATCACAAAACCAAAGTACCTTCAAGTGTTTTGGAAATCCTTGCCAAGAAGGGTGGATACAAACAAGCCCAGACTGTGACGACTACAAGTAATACATAATTCTTTAATGCCTAGCACTGAAAAACATCCACAAGCATCAGAGTCATCCAGAAAAGCATAACCTAAACAAACAAATTAAATAAGGCACTAGTGACTAGTCCCATAGAGATACAGATGTGTGACCTTCCAAACAGAGAATTCAAGATAGTTGTTTTGAGGAAACTAAAGAAATTCAAGGTAACATAGAGAAGAAATTCAGCATCATATTAGATAAATTAAAGAGATTGGCGTTATTAAAAAGAATCAAGCAGAAATTCCAGAGATTAAAAATGCAATTGACATACTGAAAAATGCATCAAAATCTCTTAACAAGAATTGATGAAGTGGTAGAAATAATTAGTGAGCTTGAAGACAATCTATTTGAAAATGCACAGTAAGAGAGAACAAAAGAAAAGAGAACATAAAAGAATAAAGTATGCCTACAAGAGTTAGGAAAATAGCCTCAAAATGGCAAACCTAAGCAATATTGGCCTTGAAGAGGAAGGAGAGACAGAGAGACCAGGGTAGAAAATTTATTCAAAGGGATATTAAAACGACTTCCCAAACCTAGAGAAAGATATACATATGCAAGTACAAGAAGGTTATAGAACACCATGAAGATTTAACCCAAATAAGACTACTTCAAGATAGTTAATAATCAAACTCCCCTTGGCCGGGCACAGTGGCTCACGCCTGTAATCCCAGCACTTTAGGAGGCTAAGGCGGGTGGATCACGAGGTCAGGAGATCGAGACCATCCTGGCTAACATGGTGAAACCCCATCTCTACTAAAAATACAAAACATTAGCCGGGCATGGTGGTGGACACCTATAGTCCTAGCTACTCAGGAGGCTGAGGCAGAATGGTGTGAACCTGGGAGGTGGAGCTTGCAGTGAGCCGAGGTCAAGCCACTGCACTCCAGCCTGGGCGACAGAAGCAGCAAGAAACACACACACACACACACACACACACACACACACACACACACACACACAAATAACATGGAAGGGCATTCCAAAACATCTGGCAGAATTCTCAGTGGAATCTTTATAGGCCAGGAGAGGGTGGCATGACATACTTAAAGTGCTGAAGGAAATAAAAAGCTTTTATCTTAGAATAGTATATCCAATTTAAACATCCTTCAAACATGAAGGAGGAATACTTTCCTTGACAAACAAGTTGGGGGATTTCATCACACAAGACTTGTCCTTCAAGAAATGCAAAAGAGACTTCTTTAATCAGAAAGGAAAGAGTGATAATGAGCAATAAGAAATCATTTGAAGGTACAAAACTCACTGGTAACAGTACACAGAAAAACAATATTATAACAGTGCAATAATGGTATGCAAACTACTTATATTCTGGGTAGAAAGACTAAAAGATGAGTTGGTCAGAAATAATAACTACAACAACTTTTCAAGGCATAGACAGTATAACAAGGTACAAATAGAAACAACAAGAAGTTAAAAACGATGGATAAAAAGTGTAGAGTTTTATAAGCTATCTCTTAGTTACTAATAGTTTATTTTTGCAATCAGTGTTAAGTTGTCATCAGCTTAAAATAGTGGGTTATATTATTTGTAAGCCTCATGGTAATCTGAAATAAAAAAACACACAACAGATACACACACAAAAAAAAACAAAAGTGAGAAATTAAAACATGGCACTAGAGAAAATCACCTTCACTAAAAGGAAGATGGAAGGAGGAACGAAAGAAGGAAAAGAAGGCAACAAAACAACCAGAAAGAAAATAACAAAAATTACAGGAGAGTGTTTATACTTATCATTAATAACATTGAAAATAAGTGGCCTAATATCTCCAATCAAAAGACATAGAGTGGCTGAATGGATAAAAAACACAAGACCCAGTGGTCTGTTCCCTGTAAGAAACAGACTTCACCTATAAAGATAAACATAGATTGAAAATTAAGAGAAATGGAAAAAGATATCCTATGCCAATGGAAACCAAAAAAGAGCAGATGTATCTATATTTCTATCAGACAAAATAGATTTCAAGACAAAAACTATTTAAAAAAAGACAAGATCATTATATAAAGAAGACAATTCAGCAAGAAGATATAACCATTGTAAATATATGCACCCAACACTGGAGCATTCAGACATATAAAGCAAATATTAGAGCTAAAGAGAGAGAACAACTCCAATACAATAAGAGCTGAAGACTTAATCATCCCACTTTTAGCGTTAGAAAGATCATTGAAACAGAAAATCAACAAAGAAACATCAGACTTAATCTGCACTGTAGAACATTTCATCCAACAGCTGCAGAGTATGCATCCTTCTCCTCAGCACATGGATCTCTCATAAGGGTAAACTATGCATTAGGCCAAAAAACAAGTCTTAAAATATTCAAGAAAATTGGAATTATATTAAATATCTTCTTTGACAACAATGAAATAAAACTAGAACTCAATAACGAGACAAATGTTGGAAACTATACAAACACCTGGAAACTACACAATATACTTCTGAATGACCAATGGGTCAATGAAGAAATTAAGATGAGAATTTAAAATTTTTTTGAAACAATAAAAATGGAAACACAGTATACCAACATTTGTGGGATACAGCAAAAGTAGTACCAACAGGAAAATTTATAGCAATAAACACTTACATCAAAAAATTAGAAAAACTTTAAATGAACAGCCTGACAATGCACCTTAAAACACTGGAAAAGTAAGAGGAAACCAAACCCTAAGTTTATGGAAGAAAAGAAATAATAATGGTCAGAGCAGAAATAAATGAAATGGAAATAAAAAAATTACAAAATGTCAACAAAAGAAAAACTTGGGTTTTTGAGAAGATAAACAAAATTGACAATCCTTTAACCAGGCTAACTAAGAAATAAAGAGAGAAGACTCAAATAAATAACATCAGAAATAAAACAGGAGACATTACAACTGACACCAGATAAATTTAAGCGACCATTAGAGGCAACTACGTACAACTATATGCCAATAAACTGCAAAACTTTGAATAGATAGGTAAATTTCTAGACACATATGACTTACGAAGACTGAACAATTAAATTCAAAACCCAGACAGACCAATAATGAATAATGAGATGACAGCCGTAATAAAAAGTCTCCAGGAAAAGAAAAGCCTAGGACCTGTTGGCTTCACTACTGGATTCTACCAAGCATTTAAAGAAGAACCAATACCAATATTACTCAAATTTTTCCAAAACATAAAGGAGGAGGGGATACTTCCAAACTCATTTCATATCGTATCAACAGAATGAAGAACAAAAAAACATGATTGTTTCAACTGATGCTGAAAAACTATTTGATAAAATTCAACATTCCTTTATGATTAAAAAAAAAGCCCTAAAAAAACTCTGTATAGAGGGAACATACATCAACACTATAAAAACATATGACAGACCCATAGCTAGTATCACATTTAACAGGAAATAACTGATAGGCTTTCTGCTAACATCTGGAAGAAGACAAGAATACCTGCTTTCACCACTGTTATTTATCATAATACTGGATGTCCTAGCTGAAGCAATTAGACAAGAGAAAGAAATAAAGGGCATTCAAACTGGAATGAAAGAAGTCCAATTATTCTTGTTTGCAGATAATATGACTTTATATTTGATTCCACAATATAGTTGACTCCACTAAATTTGTTTATTAGTTCTAATAATTTTCTTTTGGAGTCTCCACAAGAAAACTATTAGAACTAATAAACAAATTCAGTAAAGTTGAAGGATACAAAATTGACATACAAAAATCAATAGCATTTCTATATGCCAACAGTGAATGATGAGAAGAAGAAATGTAAAATGTAATCTCATTTACAATAGCCACACAAAAATTAAATACCTAGGAATTAACTAAACCAAATAAGTGTGTAAGATCTCTATTATGAAAAGTATAAAACACTGATGAAAGAAATAGAAAAGGACAAGAAAGAATTGAAAGACAATCTATGCATTCATGGGTTAGAAGAATCAATATTGTTAAAATATCTATACTACTCAAAGCAATCTACAGATTCAGTGCAATCCCAATCAAAATACTAATCACATTCTTCACAGAAATAGTAAAAACAATCTTATAATTTATATGGAACCACAAAGGATCCAGAATAGACAAAGCTATCCTGAGCAAAAAGAATAAAGCTGGAGGCATCACATTACCTGACTTCAAATTATGCTACAGAGCTATAGTAACCAAAACAGCATGGCACTGGCATAAAAATAGGCATATAGACCAATGGAACAGATTAGAGAATCTGGAAATTATACATCTACAATAAACTCATTTTTGATAAAGGTGACATGAATATACATTGGGGAAAGGACACTCTCTTCAGTAAATGGTGCTGGGAAAACTAGATATCCATATGCAGAAGAATGAAACTAACTAGATGCATATATGTTGCTATATAAAACCAAATCAAGTTGGATTAAACACTTAAATCTAAGACCCCAAACAATGAAACTACTGAAATAAAGTATTGGGGAAACTCTCCCCAGCAAAGATAGATCTAGACAAAGATTTCTTGAGTAATATCCCACAAACAGGCTACTAACACAGAAGTGGATAAATGGGATCACATCAAATTAAAAAGTTTCTGCACAGAAAAAAAATCAACAAAGTGAAGAGACAACCTAGAGAATGGTAGAAAATATTTGCAAACTTTCCATCTGACAAAAAATTAGTACAACTGCTATGAAGAACAGTTGGGAGGGTTTGGAGTTTCCTCAAAAAAGCAAGAAGAGAACTACCTGGATATATATCTAGCAGTGGGATCCAGCAATCCCACTGCTAGATATGTATCCAAAGATAGGAAATCAGTATATCAAAGAGATACTGGCAGTCACATGTTTGTTTCATCACTATTCACAATATTCAAGAATTGGAAACAACCTGTGTCCATCCAGACAAATGGATAAAGACAATGCGATGCATATACATAATGGAGTACTGGGGAGTCGTAGAAAAGAATGAGATTCTGCCATTTTCAACTACATGGATGGAACTGGGGAACGTTATATTAAGTGAAATAAGCCAGGCACTGAAAGACAAAGTTTGCATTTTCTCACTTATTCATATGACCTAAAAATTAAAACAAACTCATGGAGATAGAGTGTAGAATAGTGGTCACCAGAGGCTGGGGGAAATTGAGGATGGCTAATGGGTAACAAAATATAGTTAGAATGAGTAAGATCTAGAATTCCATAGTACAATAGTGTGATTACAGTCAACAATAATTTATTGTACATTTTATAGTAGCTAAAAGTGTATAATTGGATTGTTCATAACACAAATAAAGTTTAAATGTTTGAGGTGATGGATACTCGACTTACCCTGATGTGATTATTTTGAATTGAATTCCTGTATCAACATATCTCATGTACCCCATAAATATATACACCTCCTATCTACCCACAAAATAAAAAAATTAAAAAGACACTAGTGTTCAGATTCCTCAGGGAAAAAAAAAAACAACTAAACATAGTACGACCATACAATCTAGCAATCTCACCACTGAGTTTTATCCAATAGAAAGGAAATCAGTGTATCAAAGGGATACATGCCTCCCATGTTTTTTTGTGGCAGTATTCACAATAGCAATGAGAGTGAATCAAACTAAGCATCCACAAATGGATATATGGATAATGAATATGTGGTACAATCACACAATGAAATACTATTTAGCCATAAAAAATTGAAATCATCTGGAGCAACATGAATGGAACTAGAGGCTGTTTTGTTAAGCTAACTAAGCAAAATGCAGAAAGACAAATATCATATATTCTCACTCATATGTGGCAGCTAAAAAAGTTGATCTCATGGAGTTAAAAGAGGTAAAAAGTGGAACAATGGTTACCAGAGGCTGGAAAGGATGCATGGTATTTTGTTTTGTTGTTTTTGCTTTTTTGTTTGTTTGTCTTGTTTTTGAGACAGAGTCTCACTGTGTCACCAGGCCGGAGTGCAGTAGCGTGATATCAGCTCACTGCAACCTCCACCTCCCGGGTTCAAGTGATTCTCCTGCCTCAGCCTCCCGAGTCGCTGGGATTACAGGAGCACGCCACCACGCCCAGCTAATTTTTGTATTTTCAGTAGAAACGGGGTTTCACCAGGATGGTCTCTAACTCTTGACCTCGTGATTCATCCACCTCAGCCCCGCAAGGTGCTGGGATTACAGGCGTGAGCCACTGCACCCAGCTGCATGTGTGTGTTTTCAGGGTTAGGGATGAAGAGGTTGGTTAATGGGTACAAACATAGAATTAGGTAGAAGGAGTAATTATAATGCTTGAAAGTAGAGTAAGGTGTCTATATTAACCCACATTGTAATGCACGTTTCAGGATAGCTAGAAGCGAGAACTTGAAATATTCTCAAAACATATAAATTATAAATGTTCATGGTGATAAATATCCTAAACACCTTGACTTGGAAACAATCAAAATGTGTATCAACTGTGAATGAATAAACAAAATGTGTTATATCCATACAACGGAGTATTACTAGGTAATGAAAAGGAGTAAGTACTGATACATAATATAACATGGATGAATCTCGAATGCATTACACCAAGTTAAAGAAAGCAAACACAATAGATCAAATATAATGTGACTTAATTTATATTTAATGTCCAGAATAGGAAAATAGATGTAGAAAACTAGATTAGTGATTCCCTAGGGTTGCTGGTGGGAGTAAAATGTGGAGTGACTGCTAATGTATATGGGGTTTCTTTTGGGAGTGATGAAAATGTTCTTAAATAAGATTGTGGTAATTCTAACAGAATTCTGAATATACTAAAAACCACTGAATTGTACATTTTAAATAGGTGAATTTTATGATATTCAAATATTCTTCAATTAAGCTATTTTTAAAAATCAAGTCATTAAGTTATAGAGATATTTTCAGATAATGTCTAAAATTTGAATAAAAACATATAAGTAATATGTAAATTAACTAAATAAGATTAACCATGGATTGATAATTGTTGAAGCTCTTTAAGAGCATCTGGGAGTTAATCATCCTGTTTTTTAGTTATATCTGTACTATGAATTTTCAATGAAACTAATTTAAAAAGAATTTTTCTAGCCATGGCTTGAATATCATGCCCATGTGCTTAGAAAAATAAACTACACTGAGAAAATTATGCTTATATCCTGTGAAATACGCCATTAATTATTTCAAATTAACAATTGGCAAGGATTAATAACATTTGATATATTACATAAATGTCTCAGAGAAGTAAAATAAGAAAACGTATCCTCTTGATAGCAGAATGATTGTTAGGTGGTCTCTTTGGTAATCAGTCACTTCAATATTAAAATGGAGCATTGAGATACTAAATTCTTTGTCTATATTCTTTCATATATATGGAATGAATGAATCATTTTGACAAGTTGTGACATTTAAAAAAGTGTATTTCCTCTAGGGAAGAAAACTTGGTCCTTAGGAACTCATGCCCTACTCTTTATTATAATAGAGACCAAAGCAGAGAATAATTTTCTTCTCTTGTCATATGACTTGCCAGCAATGTTTACCTTTAGGGAGTCAGGGCCAGACCAGGGCAAGGGGTATTATTAGGATAAGGACAGCAAATGCTTGGCACCCATGCTGCTCTCCTTTACTTCTGTATTAGGAAAGACATGGTTCATTGTCTCCAAATTCTTTCCCACTGAGTTTTAGCATCTTCCTCAACAAAGTGACCCTGAGAACACACTACCAGTCAAAGTTCATATGTGAGTTAAAACTTATTTGTTTTTCAGGTTTTTGTGTTGATGCTGGTATTAAGGGTACTGTTAGGGGTAAGGCTAGGATTCAACTTTAGCATGAAAATAAATGTTAATCTCCTAGAGTAAGAGGCTTTAAATAGATTGAGCATTAGCATGAGGATTTTGGCTAAGATTAGTGCTAGAATTAGGGTTAGCTTTTAGATGGTATAGTTACTATTTCGGGCTACAGTTGTGTCTTAAAATATTTTGCTTAGTATTAGAGACGATGAAAGTAGAATTGGTATATTTTACTGTGGTAGAGTCAGATTATATCATCTCGTTTATATCATACAGTAAAACCTCCCCCAATTCACATATTCCTTCTCTGATTATTCATCCTGATCAGGTATTTTGAAAAAAGTAGTAATGAAAGATCTGAAGAACTCTTAGTTCATACTAATACCTAAGCTTATAAGTTAGTAGAGTTTTATTTTGAAGATTATTCTATGTGAGTCACAAATTTTATGAGTTAACTTTAGTATTTGACTAATTACATTTGTTAGGCTACTTAAGAAAGATACTGCAACATGTTTCAAGTATCTTTTAATCACCCTTAAAAAAATCAAAGTGATCAAAAGCCACTAATAAGATGACAAACATAAATAACTGATCAGTGTATACAGTGAAGTAATAATCAGTTGAACTGAATACATCTGCATCTGCATTAAAATAGATAAATTATTTTCAACTACAATGCAGAATTTCCATTATATGAACAGATTTGAAGACATGACAGCAAAATGTCACACACGTATTGCTGTTCAATTCTATCAACCTTGTCCAATTTATCATTCTTGTTTCAAAATAGAGAGCAGGAAATACTTTATAGGTATTAGGAACCATGCCAAACAGGATAAATTGTTTAAATCCCTTTAAGAAATTTCTCACTTTAAACTGAAAACAAACAAAACAGGCTGATTGACACAACGTCGTGGAGTTAATGTAGCTTTCTTGCTTGCTTATTAACTAACCCTCTACCTATCGTCTTCATTTCCCAAAAGGATTTGAAAAAGTTTAAATAAGTGTAATTAATTAAGACACAAAAATGAATATATTTTTAAAACAGAGAATGGAAAAATAAGGGTAAAATATCAAAGTCAAAATCTGTGAGCAAATAGTAATACAGAATGCACACCATTAGATTTTCTACATTTATTCAAGTTGTACTGCAAATTGACCCCAGACCCCCTCAATTACAAATGTAAATAGAAAAACAAGGTGATGAATATCCCAGTTATCCAGAATTGATCATTATACATAGTATGCTTATATTAAAATATCACATATAATTCATAAGTTAAAAAATAAAGTCAATTTAAAAAAATAAACAGAAAAACACGATACTGTGAGATTTGAATTGTTAATAATATATATTGGGCAAATATAATTAGACATAATATGTTGTCAGTATA
The DNA here is from genome assembly GCF_000001405.40 of Homo sapiens. Taxonomy (NCBI): domain Eukaryota; kingdom Metazoa; phylum Chordata; class Mammalia; order Primates; family Hominidae; genus Homo; species Homo sapiens. The sequence continues at coordinate 52,584,447 of NC_000017.11, read as the reverse complement.
TTACCAGTTACTAAATGAATCAATGAAAAAAGTCATGTAAAATCTTTCTTCTCTTGAATTACTCTTTGCTCATCTATGCTTGCATATGATAAAAGATAAAAAGACAAAATGATATTCTTCCATCTATATTTCTCTTTAAGAAACTCCATTCCAAAGACCAAAGTTACAGTGTATTCATGTAGCTTTATTCAAGAAAGGTAGAAGCTATGGAATAATCCGCTTCTGGTCTTACAAGCTTTCAAGAGAATATAAGAAAGTGTCATTTCATCAAGGGCAAGGTTTCATGTCAAATAATGTGTAAAATATAATAATACTCAGCAGGTAATAAAAGCAATGCAGAGGAAAAAAAACTTAAAGGCTACATAAAAACATTACCGGGGACATTATAGCTGTGACTGAAAATTCTTGAAGTTCTTTTGTTTAGATTATGTAACCCAAGAAAGAAGGGGAATCAAAATCCTGAGTCTGTTTGTGGCAAGTGCAATTTTCTCCACCTTTTTTCCTTCTCACTTTCGATTGATACTTTCATACTTAATTTTATAGGCACTTAACAGCCCCAGTGAAGATAGTAGGTTAGAAAGAACACTTTTTAGCAGGCATAGAATCTGAGATCCAGTTTTGGCTCTGTCTCCAAGGCTTTTTCCTTCACATTTCATCTCATTCTCCCCATCTTTAAATGTCAGTTACTTCTAAGTTCACACTGCAAATCTACCTTCCAATAATTATATGACTTAAGGTAAATTACTCAACCTTTCCTACACCTTAAAGAGATTCAACCCGAAATATCTTACAGAACTTTTGGTAGGATTGAATGAGCTAACATATCTGGAAAGCTTATAGGAATAGATTGTGTGCCCAACTTATTTGTTCTCTGGGTTTTGTGTTGATGCTGGTATTAAGGACACAGTTAAGGTTAAGGTTAGGATTTAGCTTAGTTATTAGTATCATCTAAGAGTTCTTTTAAACACACGGATTACGTACCCAAAACATAACATTATATGTGCCCAATACATGCTATTTCCTTTCCCTTTTCTTTTGCATTCCTCTTTTCTGTAAAGTCTCAAGCTCTAAAATGCATGTTTATGTTAATAAACAATAGAGGAAACACATACCTCACCAGCATTAAATACAAAATATGATACCACTCTTTTTAGTGTAAAGTTAAATTATACCTTGGCCTCATCAGACTATGAATGGCAATGTCCTTTTCTCCTCCTTTGGAAGTCCTCAGTCCCAATATAAGTCCATGAATCTCAAGGAGATAATTTGGTCCTGGTTTCTCAGAGAAGGAAAGAAAGATGCAGAAAGAAAGGAAAAGAAAACTTTATGCATCCAATTCACCAAATTCTGTGTTATTTGTTGTGTAACTGCCACATGGCAACCCATACAGTGCTTGTTAGACGGGATTGCCCAAAGTATACACTACCTCCTCTGATCCAGCAAAAGAATCACTGATATACGTGTTAGCATGTATATGTATGATAGTGAAGGAGGGTAGGAAGCATAAAAGGAAATCTCTCCTCTATAGTACTATGTTCAACATTAGCTACTACATACTGTGATATTCTATGCCTAGACTTGGCTGCTACTATCATATATATATAAAATATACTTGTATGTATGTGTATATATATGTATGTGTGTATATATATGTGTGTGTATAAATATGTATGTGTGTATATATGTGTGTGTGTATATATATATACACTTTAATGAGTCTACTTTTGTAGACTCTTTAGTGAGTCTATTTTTTATGTGTGCAATCATACACACTCATAGTCATTTTGCAAAGATATGGCAGAGAGTGCCAGAGTGGATGAGTATGAGAGAATTCTAGCAGTATAAACACACTGTTCAAGGATCTTACCTTCCTTTATAACAAAGAGTCACTCTGCTGGGTTCTTGTTCTTTGTTGTTTGCTTGATGAGTCTGAGTCCTATATGAATTGCCTCTGACGTTGGAGCCCTACACCCAGTACTGCTACTAGCAGCAATATAGGGAGGACTAAGGATGAAGGATGAATTGAAAACTTTTTATTGCTCTTCTCCCTAAAGTATAAGAAGTTGTCTCATACTCATCTGATCCTTGAAGCAGGCTCTATTAGACCTGATCATAGTCTACCTTAGCATGGCCAGCAGTAGAAAATCCTCTTATCTTTACCCTTATGACTCCCAAAAGATAATCACAAAAGAAGTTTTGTCTGACTTTGATGTCTATTCAGAGATGGCCAATTAATATTTTCATTTTGTTATACACATAGGAAGAAATCTTTATATATTCAAGTGGCTATGTCTATTATGATGGTCATAAAAACCTGGATCAAATGGGGGCTTGTTTCATTCCCAATGACAGACTCTAAACACGATCCTCCCTGCCTTTGTTTTTATTCTTATCCCTTTGAATACCTCTGGCTTTTCTGCCTCTGTCAGATTCTACTTCAGTGTTCCCATTTCAAAAATCCCTTTGGAGAAATGGAACTCTTTTGGCTCTAATGAGTGTACTGAAATTGTTTTTCCAAGAATGATTAAGACATTCAGACTGTATGTGGTAGAGGTAACTGCTCCCCATACTGCCTTAGCAAGGAACAGAGCAGTTGGGAACAGCAAATACTGCAGTGTTATGTAAGGACTCATTACTCTCCTTTGCTCCTCTGCCTGCTGGCTCCCTAAGCAATAATGGGCTACAATATGCACCTATGAGAGAACCCTGAAGCCATTTAAGGGTATTCCATAAGACAAGCTGCAGAAAATAAACTAAACTTAGCCTAGAAGTGGAGAGAAGAAAATAAAGATAAGGCAAGTGATACCATAAGATACAGGTGTGGGTCTATCCACAGCAGTTGTCTCAGTGCCAAAAATTACTCCCTCAAGACTTAGTTGAATTATAAGCTGATTTATATTCCTGAATCATTTAATTTTGCTACAAAATGTCTTCCACTATTCCATCACCCCAAGCTCCTGTTCAGCAGTTTTTTCTCCTTTTCAAAGTAGGGCAGGAGTTTAGAGAGAAAAGCCTTCTTTCTGAGACTTTGAAATGATGAAGTCCAGGCATCTACTCCAGGAATATGTACTCACATAATAAATACAAAGTATAAGCCTATATGATACAGTGTTATAGACTCAATAATAACAGTGAGAATTGGCTTTAAAATGCTGGAGTATTAGGAAGTCAAAACATAAGACATGCAAAACAAACAAAGAATATACTTTTTGAGGAAATAATGAGCTTAAGTGGAGTTTCATTGAAATATCAAACTGTGTCCAGAGTTGGTCCCTGCCAGTGGGTTTGTGGTCTCGCTGACTTCAAGAATGAAGCCACAGACCTTCACGGTGAGCGTTACAGCTCTGAAAGATGACACAGACCCGAAGAGTGAGCGGCAGCAAGGTTTATTGCGAAGAGTGAAAGGACAAAGCTTCCACAGAGTGGAAGGTGACCCGAGCAGGTTGCTGCTGCTGGCTGGGGTGGCCAGCTTTTGTTCCCTTATTGTCCCCTCCCATGTTCCATTTCTATCCTATCAGAGTGCTCTTTTTTCAATCCTTCCCACGATTGGCTACTTTTAGAATCCTGCTGATTGGTGCATTTTACAGAGTGCTGATTGGTGTGTTTTACAGAGCACTGATTGGTGCATTTTACAATTGTCTTGTAAGACAGGAAAGTTCCCCAAGTTCCCACTCAACCCAGGAAGTCCAACTGGCCTTACCTCTCAATCCCCCCTCTTAACAGCACACCTCAACTGCTGGGAAGTGGGCGATGACCACTCTAGCTACTTCCTGCTGGATAGGAGTGAAGAAGGGGCCCTGCAGTTGTAGTGTCCTCCAGAGAGGGACTCTCTAGGCCAGTCAAAGGACCAGTGTGTTGGTCCAGGGGTCCTCGGAAGAAGTTGTGAGTTGAGCTCATTTGGGGTTCTATTTGTAAGACCATCTGTAGGTTAATGGCCTCAATCCTGGAGGAAACAAGTTTGACAAGGAGGTTAAAAATACAGGGGCCAAAGGCGAGTCATAGCAAGATGGCTGTCACAGGATGTACAAAGGGGAGAAGCCATGTCGCTCAACTCCAGAGGTTGGTGTAAGAGTTCGAAAGGCGTTGTCTGATTTCAGAAGCCTTTTCCTGTAAATGCTGGGCACCATTTCATACTATCCCTGACTGGTTACCGTAAAAACAACACTCTTCCCCTAAGAAGGTGCAAAGTCCTCCTTTCTCAGCAGTGAGGAGGACTAGGCCTCGGTGGTTTTGGAGAGTCACTGCTGCCAAAGAGTCTATTTGGGACTGTAGAGTAAGGACAGATTTTGTTATTTTTTGCAAACTGTCTGAGAAATCCTTTGAGAGTGTGTGGTAGTAGGATAATGAAGTAGATAAAATGGCTATTCCGGATCCTGTAGCAGTGGTTATTCCTAACCCTGTAAGTAGAGGCATTACTTGTATGCCCCTGCACTGACAGACTTGAGCTTTGAGGGGCACTGATAGGATCTGATTTCCTGGGGCAATGTCAATGTTGGGACTTAGGAAGACTAAGGTGCAGGTGCCTGTTCAGTTGGTGGGAAGGCAGATATATGTTGAAGTTCCACATAAGAAGAATATGCCTTGGCTGGGTAGACAGAACTGGTTGTGTATGTTAAAAAGGTGTGTGAGTTTGTTGTTTTCATTTTACCATACTCCTAGAGTACTTGCAAAGGTAGCTCCAGTGAGTGGCTGGAAAATGGTGTTGGGAACAAACTGAGAGGCTCCCTGTGTTCTATTTTCTCACTGGAGAAAAAAACCGTTTTGTATCTACTAGGAACCATTCTAGAGAGTAATTGAAATTGGGGATGAGAAGGCATTCACTAGTGGTGGGTGTGCTGCCACAGGGGTTCCAGGGGTGAATGGTCATGCAGGGAGTATGTTTGCCATTACAAAACCCAGACTGTTAAGCAGGGAGGATGTGATGATTTTGGGGGGGCTCTGAGAAGCTGACAAGCCATCTGAATGGAGCTGTTTGGATGACTTGGAGGTCTTTTGTGAGAAAAGGTCGTCCATACAGCATTTCATATGGACTGAGCCCCATTTTGTGAGGAGAATTATGGATTCTCAACAAGGCCATGGGCAAGAGAGTAGGCCATGGGAGATGAGTTTCCTGTGTTAGTTTCCTTAAGTGCCTCTTGAGTGTTCAATTTGCCTTCTCGACCTTCCCTGAGAATTGTGGCCTCCAGGTGCAATGAAGGTGATATTGTATCCCTGGTGCCCTGGAAATTCCCTGAGTTACATGGCTCTAAAAACTGGATCACTGTCACTTTGTAAGCTTTGGGGAAGACCAAATCTAGGAATGATTTCATGAATTAGGACTTTAACCACTTCCTGAGCCTTCTCTGTATTGCAGGGGAAGGCTTCTATCCAATTTATAAAGGTATCAACACAGACCAAAAAGTATTGAACTCCCTTGACTTAGGCATATGGGTGAAGTCTAACTGCCAGTCCTCTCCAGGATAGTGCCCTATTCTTTGTTCCCCCAGAGGGGCCTTACAGTGGACCAACGGATTATTCCTTTGGCACACCTCATAGGCTTTGACTACTTGTCAGATGGTCTGGAGGAGATTTGACTCTGTAAATACAGATTTGGCCATTTGAAGAGTGTTCTCAATACCCATATGAAAAGTTTGGTGAAGGGTCTTAAGTATTTTCCACTGGCTGGCTTCGGGTATGAATACCTTTCCCTCTTTTGTCATTAACCACCCCAAGGGGAGAAAACTATGCCCCCATGAAAGTCCCCATTCTGTTTCGGCTGGGGAATACTGGGGCTTAATCTCTTGGAAAGTGTTGTTCCATACCAAGGGTCCTTCCATAGGTATTTCTAATGGGAAGTTCCCCCGGAAGCAATTTTGGCCTCAGCATCTGTCCAACAGTTTCCTTCTGCTTTTTCTCCTTCAACTTTTTGATGGCTTTGGCACTGTAAAATTGCCACCTCCTTGGGATTTTGCACTGTGTGCAATAACTCCATGATATCCTTGTGGTATTTAATGGGGGTTCCCCTTTCTGTAAAGGAACTCCCTTTCTTTCCATATCACAGCATGGACATGTAGGATTAGATAAGCATGCTTGCTACCTGTATACACATTTATTCTTTTTTCCCTTCCCGGTTCTAAGGCTTGGGTAAGCGCCACTAGTTCTGCTATCTGGGTGCTGGTCCCTGCGGGAAGTGGCCTACTTTCAAGTAGTTACATCACTAACTATGGCATAACCTGCTCTTCATATCCCATTCTCCACAAATAAACTTCCACTGGTATATAGGTTAAGGTCAGGATTAGCTAAGGGGACTTCTAAGAGATCCTCTCGGGTGGCATAAGTCTGGGCCACAATTTGTTGGCAGTCATGCTCTATTGGTTCCACATCCTCTGGGAGAAAAGTAGCAGGGTTGAGGGTCACACATGTGCATATTTGAAGCACCAGTCCCTCAAGGAGTAGCACTTGGTATCTAAGCAGGTGGGTGTCTGATAGCCATAAATTTCCTTTGGTACCTAGTATGCCATTTACAACATGAGTAGTCCAGATGGTGAGATCCTTTCCTTGTATTATTTTGATAGCCTATGATACTAAGCTGGCCACCACCACAACTACCTGTAAACAGTGAGACCAGCCTTTTGCTACTACATCGGTTTCCTTAGTTAGGTATGCCACTGGTTGTGGGGTTGTCCCACGAGTCTGAGTAAGGACTCTAAGAACTATTCCCATTCTCTGTGACATATAAAGAGAAGTTTTGTCCTATGGGAAGGCTTAAGGCTGGAGTTTGTATTAGGGCCTGCTTTAAGGTTTTGAAGGCTGTTTCTGCCTCTGGTTCCCATTCTACTAGATGAATATTTGCCCTCTGGGTCTCCTTGATTTTAGAGTGGCCTGGCTATATCACTGTATCTGGGGATCCATAGTCAGCAAAAGCTGGTGATCCCAAGGAACCCCCACTACTGTTTTAATGTCTTAGGGCAAGGACAAGCCAGTATAGGCTGTATTCATTCTTTGCTGAGGGCTCTGGTTCCTCTGGCTAAGATCAGGCCTAAATATTTGACTTGTAGGCAGAGCTGGGCCTTCAATTTAGACAACTTGTACCCTTGATTAGCTAGAAAGTTCAAGAGATCTAGAGTAGCCTGCTGTTTAGCCAAAAGTAAATCATCCACATACTGAAGGACCAGAGTGCCTGGACTTGAGAAGTGGCCTAGATCTTGGGCCAGTGACTGACCAAACAGATGAGGGGTATCCATAAACCCTTGAGTAAAGACCGTCCACGTAAGTTGGGATGTGTGGTCTGTGGGATCCTCAAAGGCAAGGAGAAACTGGGAGTCAGAGCGCAGGGGAATGCAGAAGAAGGCATCCTTGAGGTCCAGAACAGTGAACCATTCTGCTTCCTCCAGTATTTGAGAGAGCAAGGTATAGGGGTTGGATACAGCTGGATATAGAGGAATTACTGCATCACTGATGAGTCTAAGATCTTGCACTTGTCTCCACTGACCATTCGGTTTTTGTACTCCTAGAATTGGGGTGTTGCAGGAACTGCTGCATTTTCTTACTAAGACTTGAACTTTTAAATGTCTAACAATATCCTGTAATCCTTTATGGGCTTCAGGCCTTAAGGGATATTGCCTTTGATAAGGAAAAGTGGTGGGTTCTTTTAGCCTGCTTTGAACTAGGCAGGCATTTTTTGCCCTTCCAAATTATTCTTCCAATGCCCAGACTTCAGGGTTGATTCTCTCCTCAAGTAGGGGACAACAAATGGGTAACATGTACCTCATATTCACATAGATAATAGCTCCAGCTTTGGCTAATGTGTCCCTCCCTAATAAGGGTGTGGGACTTTCAGGCATAACAAGAAAGGCATGTGAAAAGAGCAAAGTCTCCAATTACAACTGAGGAGGTGGGAGAAATACCTGGTTACGGCTGTCCCCGGATTCCTTGGATGGTAATGGACCTTGAGGTCAGCTGTCCAGGGCAGAAGATTAACACTGAGAAAGCCACACCACTGTCCAGGAGGAAGTCAATTTCCTGAATCTCAGTGGTTAAACTTACCCAGGGTTCAGTGAGGGTGATGACATGAGCTGGCACTTGCCCTGGGTGCCCTCAGTCCTGTGGTTGGATCATCTGGCTGGGGGCTTCTGGCCCAGAGAACCTTTGTCCTCTGGGGCAGTGTTCCTTCCAGTGATTGCCTTGGCATAGTGGACATGTGTGAGGGAGCAGCTTGTTTCTTGTTGGACAATCTTTTTTAAAGTGTCCTTGCAAACCACACTGATAATAAGCCCTACCGGGTGATTGGCATACTCCGTTTTCTGTCCTCTCTGAACTACCAAGGTTTGTTTGTCTGAGGCCATGACTAAAGCTGTGGCCTTTCTCTTAGCTGTGGCCTTTCTCTTATCTCGCTATTCCTTTCTGGTCTGTTCCTCTTGGTCCCTATTATAGAATGCCGAGGTTGCCAGGTTTAATAATGCCTCCAAATTTTGTTCAGGGCCCAGGGCTAGCTTTTGGAGCTTTCTCCTGATATCTGTGGCTCATTGGGTAATAAACATCTTTTAGGATCAATTGACCCTCGAGGGAGTTAGGTGACAAGGGAGTATATTTTCTTAAAGCCTCCCATAGCCACTCGCAGAAGGCGGTAGGATTTTCTTCCTTTCCCTAAGTTATGGTGGACATCATTGAATAATTCATGGGGTTTTTCCTAATTCTCCTTAGTCCTTCTGTAACACAGGTCAACAGATGTTTGCAAATCCAGTCCCCATGATTTGAGTCGAGGTCCCAGTCGGGATCCATACTGGGGATGGCTTGCTGACTGGTATGGAATTTGTCCCTTTCTTTGGCTGTCATTCTATCATTTACTGGACTAAGATACCAGCTATCTCCAAACTCTCGGGCTGCAGCTAAAGCCACATTCTTTTCATTAAAGGCAAACGTTTGATCTAACAATAGCATGACATCTCTCCAAGTGAGACTGAAGGTTTGCCCTAGACCCTGTAGGACATCTATATATCTATGAGGAGCATCTGAAAACTTCCCCAGGTCTACCTTGATCTGCTTTAAATCAGGGAGGGAGAAGGGGACATGTACCCGGGTTGGGCCAAATTCCCCTTCCTCTACAGCTTGAAGGGGACATAACCGATAGCCCAGGGGGTTTTATGGTCCCTTGGAGATTTCTTTGCTTGTTTCCTTCTGGGTGGGGGAGATTAGAGGAGGCTCATGATTAATAGGAAGGGGAGCTGTAGGGAGGCTAGGATATGGGGGTAAGCTGAGAGGTCCTCCTGTGGAATGTAGATTGCAAACTTGGCATAGCTGTGGATTGTCCTTCAATGAAAAGAAAGCTTGGACATAAGGTATTTCACTCTATTTGCCTTCCCTCTTACAGCAAACATCAAGCTGCAGGATAGTATTGTAATTTATACTTCCCTCAGGTGGCCATTTTTCCCCTTCAGAGAGAGAATATTCAGGCCAGGCTGTAGTGCAGAAAAAAGTAAGCTGCTTCTTTTTCAGGGTTTGTGGGTCTAATTGGCCCCAATGGCTTAGGATGCATTTCAGGGGTGAGCTTGTTGATACCTGAGTGTTTCCCATCTAAAACAGAAAGAAAAAAAAATTCTTGCAGTTTTGGCCTGTTTTTTTCCCCCACCCAAGACCCTACAATGGTCCCTGGACCCTGCTGTTAGGGATAGTTGTGCTCACCAAAGCAGCAGCAGAAACACTTGTTTTCCTTCTAGGCCACAAAGAGGACCGAGGAAGGTCAGATTTAGTGGCCCTTACTGACACATTCTCAAAAACCTGCATCATTGCCTTTCCTCTTAGACCACAAAGAGGACCGAGAAAGGTGGGATTTAGTGGCTTTTACCGACGCAGTCTCGAAAACCTGTTAGTTAGAGTCATAAGCATTTTCTCCTGTTGGTATTGGGACTTTACCCTTGTCCTGTAAACATGATATGCCTCAAAATGGAGTGAAGGGCCACATCCTGAGGGAGGGAAGGGATCTCCAGGGTTGGAAGAGTGATGCTTTTTGTCCTCACTTTACATATGAATAGGAGGGATATCCTCCAATTTTGGAGTCTATAATTTCTGAGGCTCCCCATATTCTAGCTTCGGGAATAGCCTCTGTTAGGCCTGCTAGTCTGAGGAGGGATCCTAAAATTCTATATAGTCCCCCCCGATGGGGCTTTGGGCAAAAATTATGTCTTTCTGATTGGTGAGCCCGGGTGCTTAAAGAAAGGAACAGAGTCCCAAAATTTATATTAGAAATCATCCTTACAGGAGAAACTAGAAGAGTACCAGGGACAGGGAGTGGTTTTTAGAAGCAGGACTAGCCTCGGAGAAGAGAGGCAGGAAGAAGTTTGACTGATGGGTGTTAAGACCCAGGAGACAAGGGTCAGGATAGATGGGATAGATGGGCAAGTCTCACTTTGGCAACGTAACTTTGAGAGCTCTGCTCATGGCTGCAGGGTCAACCAACTTTTTGTCGGGACCCTGGAGCTGAATGGCTTTCCTCTCTGTCGACCCTCTGCTCAGCCCAGAAGTGCAGGAAAAGCAGAAGCTGCTTCCAGGCAAACTAACGCTCCTGACTCCTTAGAGTTGGGGGTTGTTAGAGAGCCCTTTCCCAGAAAGCCTGACACCCGTGTCTTTAGTCCAGCAGCCATGCTAGTTGCTTTTAACTGGCCAACAGGTGCCCAGTGTTTAGCCCCTTAATTCTAAGGAAAAATAAGACAGAATAGCAAGCGAAAGGTGTCCAGTGGTACTCAATGCGTGGTGAATCCCAGATGAGTCCCTAAGATGTGTCTGGAGTTGGCTCCTGCTGGTGGGTCTGTGGCTCCATTCTTGAAGTCAGCGAGACCACGAACCCACCGGCAGGAACCAGCTTCAGACACAAAACCACAATGGGGGATTTAAATTGCTTAGAAACTGGTCAAAATGATACTTTATTCTAAGTTTTATTATTTACCATACCAGTAAAATTTTGGAATCAAATTAAGTATAAGTAGAAAAATATATATATTTGCTGAGCTCCAAGCATGTGAATGAACTATGCAATTGGTCCACCTATCATTTGAAATATTTATCACTCTCCCAATTAGAAATATGAGGAATTTGAGACCTCGAGATTTTAGTAATTTTCTGAAGATTACTGAAGCGAGAGCATAGGTAGAATTGAAATTCTGTGCTGACTCCATAGCTCAAGTGACCTCTATCACACCATGCTGCTGCTACCTTAACTGGTCCAGATAGTGCGAAAAGTGGAGCTTGCTTCTATGGGTAGTATTTGATGTAAAGCACCTGTCATCTGTGTTGCTTACATGACACCTCAAAGTCATAGTTGTTATCATGACTTGTTCTTGCAAAAGTCTGTCTTGTTTCTCATGCATGGCTAGCTCAAAAGTGGCTATGTACAACAGTCAATTCTACCTTTCTTAACCTTTATAATCCTAACCTTTGGTTTACACTCAGTTTACTCATCTTTAAAATAGATCATAGGACTGCGGACTTCAAATTGGTGTTCATGAGTTAATATCACAAAGACCTAGTAGAGTACTTGGCACAGACTTAACTCTTAACAAATTTAGCTAACTTACAGCTACATCTTCTATCCCCAATAATAACAAGCAGCACCAAGTAGTGTGTAGTCCCTTAAAGCTGCATATAATAATATTAATAATTATATTTAAGGCAAGAAGACATCACCTTAGACATGAAACCTTGGAAATTCACACAACTTTTCTAGTTTAGTTTTCAAATCTAAATGAATGGTGATAAGTATGGTTCCCATCTTATACAGTTAATTATGAAGACTGTATGTGTTAATAACGTGAAGAAACCAATGCTCAGTAGTAAGCTTGTACATGATAGCAGCTCAAAATTATCCTGTTTGTTCTCTCCTTTGACCTTTTAAGAATATTTTACACTTCATAAGGCATTCTGTTTGCTCTTCTTTGCTCTCATAGCACCTTGCAATACATCTATTTTAATATCTATAACATCTATCATTGCAATTGTTTGATTTTTGTCTTTCTGCCTCATGAAACTCTTACTTTCTAAGGATAGTTGCTATGGCTTATTTATCTTTGACTTACTGGCATTTAGAACAGTAATGGAATGTAGTGGATATGAGAAATAGATATGTAAAAAATGTTTCAATGTTTTCAAATTTAGAGGAAGAAAGAATAAGAGAAAGTGAGACAGAGACATTGAAAAAGAAGAGATGGAGGAAAATAAGTGAAAAAGGAACAAAAGAAGGATGGAAGGAAGGAAAGAAAAATGCAGAGTAGAAAAGATAGAAAAATAATAAAAACAATTTCAACAAGAAACCTATAGTTCTAGCAGTTCCTTGAGTTGAAAAACTATATGTCATGTCATAAAATAGTTACATGCAGAATAATTAATGCTAATTGAAATTTCAAATACGTTTTGAGAATATAGTGGCAAAACCTGAAATCTTTGTGTAACTATCAGTAATCCCTACTTGGAATTTCTCCTATTTATTATTTAAAAACATTTCCACTGTATTTACAGAAATTGCATCCTCCAATCTTCATTTACCTTCTTCTTATAAATGAGGAATCTTGTTAAGAGCAAGAGCTCATGGTTGTCTTTGTCTTTCCCATATCTCAACACAATTTTTATGTCAAGCTACTTACCTTTGAAGTGAATGAAGACAATATCAATAGATTAAAAGGAAAAAAAAGACTTTGGATTTTTTTCACTGAGCTCAAATTGTGGCACACAAAGAGTAAGGAATTTAGGTAGCAGGAGACATCAATCTGTTGAATAATGTTTGTTTTGTTTTGTTTTTTTGAGACAGAATCTCACTGTGTCACCCAGGCTGGAGTGCAGTGGCATGATCTTGGCTCATTGCAACCTCTGCCTCCCAGGTTAAAGTGATTATCCCACCTCAGCCTCCTGAGTAGCTGGGACTACAGGTGCACACCACCACGCCTAGCTGATTTTTGTAATTTTAATAGAGATGGGGTTCATGATGTTTGGCCAGGCTGGTCACAAACTCCTGACCTCAAGTGATCCACCCGCCTCGGTCTCCCAAAGTGCTGGGATTACCGACATGAGGCACCATGCCCAGCCCTGAATACTGTTTTTAAGTTATTTTTTAAAGTTATGAAGGAGGAAATATAGCTAATTTCACAAATATTTATTGAGTATCTACTATGTACATCCATATCCACACATGGATACAGACAAAAGGCTATTTCTCTCCAAACACTCAAGGGATCCACAACCTAAGATAGTTGCAGAATAAATAAATTACAACATGAAGGGACATTTATAACTCTATAACTGCATGAAGTTTAAAGTTATTAAAGGAGGGTGTGCTACATGAAGCATCGTGGGAATTTTTCTAGAATGGAAGTTTCTGAAATGTGATTGGACAGTATCAGCATCAGCAATAAGAAGGTAGGAAGACAAAGGGCATTTTAGACGGACAGGGGTACAGAAATACAACTAACATGAGTATAACTGGGAATCTACCATCACTTTGGTATTACTGGAATGTATATCAAAAGGAGGAACCTACCATGCAGTGAGGCTGGAGAGGAACAAGAACTTGAGCTTGAACTTCATCTTCTAAGGATTAGATAAGCCAGGGCTATGAAGATACACAAGTAAATGTACGATTTTGTTTTAGAAAAACACTCTTCTAACTACCATATAAGTTATTTTCAAATTTGTCTAGTAATTTACCTTACACCAGTATTTCTCAAACAGAACCACACATTAAAATCACCTGGGTAGCTTATTAATAATACCAGTGTGAAATGTAATACCAAATCAAATCAGAATACCTGGGCATGGAGCCCAGCCATGAATATTTTGTATTTCTCATACGTAGCCAGGTTTGAGCATCACTATACTAACCCAATAACAGCAGAACACCATTTCAGGGAAGAAATGCCATGCATTGAGGCCCAGGTGATGGTTTGTTAGTATCAGAACTGGTCCACTGAGGTCTTAACAAGAAATAAAAACAATGGGAGAATTAGAAACTGTCTTGGTAATGCTTTCTTATATAGGTAAACCCAGCAAGCTACAACTGTATGTTAAACTTCAAAAGAACTCAATTTAACATGTGAATAATGGTTACATTAGAAAAAAAATTATGAAACTAGGAACCAAATCCCCCCAAAAAAGGATGCTTCTGGGAAGATAGAAAGTTTGGTGAAAATACAGATAATTTTAATATAATAGACAACGAGTTGCCTGACCTGGCAATGGAGATGTAACATCTGTGTTGAACTTGATACTTTCTCTCTCTCTCTCTCTCTCTCTCTCTCTCTCTCTTCTTCTTCTCTCACCTACCTGTGACCTTTCTTCATACAACTTTGTAACCTGCTGTCCTACAGCTGCTGCTGAAACATTACTGCTAATAGGACTATTTTCCCACAAATGCAATGTACTCCACAAATCCTATCGGTCTTCTTTCACAGAACTATTAACCCCAAACTTAAGTCAATAAATGTCTGCACGGACTTTCCCACCATGGAATGCACAATCCAAAAAATTTAAAATTCATAATAAAAAACTTCATTTAAGCTAGTCCAGACTTACTGTTTTCTGAAATCATCTGGATGACTACAACAAGAACATTACTTTTTAAAAGTAGATGTTATATTCTTTTTTTTTTTCTTTTGAGACAGAGTCTCCCTCTGTCGCCTAGCCTGGAGTGCACTGGTACAATCTCAGCTCACTGCAACCTCCGCCTCCCAGGTTCAAGAGATTCTCCTGCCTCAGCCTCCCGAGTAACTGGGACTACAGGCACCCACCACCATGCCCAGCTAATTTTTGTATTTTGAGTACAGACGGGGTTTCACTATGTTTGCCAGGCTGGTCTCGAACTCCTGACCTTGTGATCCACCCGCCTTGGCCTCCCAAAGTGCTGGGATTACAGGCATGAGCCACCATGCCCAGCCAATGTTATATTCTAAAAACACAGTAAAACATGCAAAGCTATTAGAATTTGCAGAAATTTGAACATATCCATTCCCCACTGATTTATTCAACATCGTGAGATGCAGAAATATTTTGTTTGCCTAACACTGCTTAAAAGAATATTAATTGTTAAAACAATGGTCTACAGTGATGGCAATTAAAAGAAGCATCAGTATATTGAAACCGTAGCTAAACGAGAAGTCAAGGAAAGGACAAGGACCCACAGGTATGAAAATATTGCATCAGAAGTCCTAAGATGGGAACCTAAAATATTGTCTAAAGAAGTTAAAACAGCTTAAAAGCAAAGATTATGTTTGTGCAACGTATTACTTTCACTTTAATGTTCAATAGAAACAAGGGTTAATAATATTGATTTAAAAATATTTTGTAGATTAAAGAATGCAAAAATATCTAACACAACACCCAACACATGGTAGAGCTTAATATATTTGTCTCTTCTCTATTCAAAAACATATGAAACAAAATTTTTTCCAAGTAATGTGTCCTCTAATCTGTGCAACACATTCTGATATTCTTCACTAGATTTCTATTTTGCTTTTAAATGATTCTTTGGAAACATTAAATAGAATTTACAACCCACTAATTACTTGCCACCCCAATCTGAAACATAATTATATAAATGCTGTTGAACACAAAGTTATTAAGGATCAATATTCTTGATACCATACGTGGGAGATGTTTATTGGTTTTACACAGGTGACATTATGAAATCATAGAAAAAGTGAATGTTCCCATAACACAAATGGTTGGGAAAAAAATCCTTTGACTATCTTATTTCTTCTTATTATTCTTGAAACTATTCTCCAAAGCAGAGAAAGTGCTGGCAGGACAGATTATACAGAAAGAATGGGTCAAGGACACGGGTGGCCTCAGGTTCTCAAGAAAGCAGGACCCAGCATTGTCCACAGCATACTGGAAAATGAATACAGGTCCCCTAACCAGGGGACTATATAATTTATTCTCCAAACTGGAGCAATACTAAAATGGAAAACCATGATTAATTGCACCAGGGCAACTTTCATTAACCTAGAACCACACCAGGCAAAACTGGAAGTATAGTTACCCTCCCCAAAACTATTATAGTTGAGGAGAAGTTTTGAGAAACAGAAGATGAAGACATGAAGTATTATCTGCAAATAGTAATCAGTTCCTTTTTCAAATAAGAAAATATCTCACAATGTTCATGTGTGAGAGTTATATGAAGTAATGAATATAAAACACATGGAAACTGTCCTTTATGTAGGGAGTGCTATGTAAGTTTAGTAAACTGTACTCGGGTATTTCCTCCTTAGAAAAAAAGGGCCCACTTGCTATTTGCAGAAAACAGTGCCTAGAACCAAACATAATATACTCTTGTTTAAGTCCTAGTGGAGAACAATTATTGTCAATTTCTCAAAAAGGTTATTTAAAAATCACCATCAGATCCCACTGCCTATATTGTAGGGTCAACAGTTTTGAGTTCTCATTACAAACTAAATTACTAATTCCCAGCAAATTATTTGTTTGTCTCCTCAGCAAAATGTGCATACATACATACATACATTCCTTTGGCCAAGTGGAACTTGGTGGACAGTTACACTGCAAGATTGAAGGTTTCTAGGTTGAGTCAATTCTCTTAAATAATATGCCACACCTAGCTTGCTTTAACATGACTGACTTATGTGTTATCTACATGGTGAACATTCTTAGCTTTTGCTGATCCTTAATATTTCAAGAAGTCCAAATGAAAAGTGGGGCTGTTTTGACAAATCATAATTACAGAAATAAAATTAATATGTGCTCAGATATATGGAAAAAGAGAACAACTCCCTAGAGGTCGATAAATTCAGAAGTGAATGTAACATTATTTATTGAGAATCATCTTTGTGACAGGTACTGTATTAGGATATTTGCTTATTTTAAGTCACTTTTAGATCTAATCATTGCAAATACAATACAAGTCAGTGGGGCTTTAAAGGGGTGAAATAATGTATTTACCTTCAGAAATATTACTTTTGCAGCAACCTATATAAGTGATAATAGTGTGATTGAAACTCTGGTCTCCTGGCTGTAACACCTGGGTTCTACTCACCACTCTAGAGCCTCAATCAAATACTTCCAACTTTGTGTATCTCCATAAAACACATTCCCTAGGCTATTGGGCAGTTTTGATCAAGTTTGAGTCTAACACCTTAATCCAAGTGTCATGCTGGAGCAGTTGTAGAATGACGGCAAATGGTACTCGGTAGCAAGGTAGAGGGTTGGGGGCTTTCTCCTCCCTATGATGTCAGGCTGCAAGTCCTCTGGACTAAAAAAAAAATCTGTAGATGAAATTCTTGCAATCAACAGTCATCAAGCCTAAAGATAGCAATACATCGAAATAAAAACTGTTGTTTTGTGGTATTTCTACATATAAGAGTGCCCAAAAGGCATATGCTTCTCTCTTTACCCTCTTTCTGTATGCATCTGTGATAGAAAGGAAGGGAGCAAATACAATATCTGAAGAGAGAAAAGGCTGGAGTTAGTACTCTTTGCTTTCACCAGTCACCTCTGTTAGTTTTATAATGGATGCAAGTGCCAACTGGAAATTTTTCCCTTTCTTTTCTCCCCCACCCTCACATGGTACATTCTAAATACTACACTTGTATTTTTCGGTTAAGATTGTGCTCAGTGCTCCGACTCTCTTTCTCGCCACTAATATTTATCATCCGTTGGCATATTGTTTCGAGTAAACATAATAACCTCTGTAAATGCAAGTTGCTTTACTACAAAGTGGAAGGTGTTAATATCATGGGTACAGTAATTCTGCAGGAGAAAAAAAAAAACCTGTAGCTTATAATTTGGAGTCATTTGGCACCTCTGGGTCTATTCAGGAAAAGATTGTTTAAATGAGACAATAAGAGGAAACCAATTTACAACTTGAAATAAGCAGAGCTCATGTTTCCATATTGCTAAAAGGCAAGGTTAGATGAACACTTGTACAGTTATCATAAAATTTTTATCAAGAAGCTGCAGTACCTTTAATAATGTATTATTTTACCTTCTTGCAAGAACTCCTCTATATGCTTTTAAAATGTTGTTTTCATTATCCTGGAAGAGTTGGTTGTAGAAAGGAATCCTTCTCTAACTACATGGTGTCAAATGTATTATCAAGGAGTCATGATTAGTATAAACTAATTTTATCCCTCCTCTTTATACATCATCCAATTCATTGTATTAACAAAAGCATCCACTTTTCTGCCTACATCAACTTAATAGCATATTGAGGGAAACACAAAATTGCATATTCAAATCACCCTGAGAGGCTTGAAGAAATTATAATGCATGAGCTAAGGTTTCTTATGAAGATCTAGCATTAACAGGCATGTATCTTGTTTCACTAAAAAGAGAATTCCTTCTAACACCTTAATGAATGAAATTTTGTAGATTGCTAAATATATAATCTGCCAAGAACCTAACAATCTACTTTTGATAGCATTTAGTATGAAGGATGGTAAAAGTCGCATGACATTACATGATCAAGTTGAGTTAGTAGCTTAAACTTCAGCCCACAGATGAACAATCAAATGTGGATATGGTTGTCTGATCATTCTCAGATGTAGAGAAGCCATTGGTCTTTTGTTAGATATAATTTAATTGCACAACACATTCATCTGGCTGTCTTCCTGACTTCAGTGTATCTTGTCAGATTATTTTTTAAGGCCTTATCTAGTGACTGAGTTAGATGGTGTCATAAAATGAAAATATGGCTCACAGTGTGGAGGAATAAAATCCCCCAAATTTATTAAATTTTTAAAATACAAAGCTAGAAGCTTGAATCTATAATAAAATCTCCTGACCTGAGCTTTACATTCTTGAATTAAACAAATTTGTAATCTTAAAATGTGTTAAAGAATTTCAGCATGTTTGCCATGATTTGATCATTTCCAAATTATGAATTTTAAAACTTAACCCAGGGAATAACAACAACAACAAAAAAAAGCAAGACAAAACAAACAGGTTCTGCAGCATCCTAGTTTGGTGATTTCATAATTAACAAGTACATGTTTATAACAAATAAATACTTTTCATTCAAACACCATATTTATCATATAAAATCTCAGTATCATCATTTATAATACAAATAAAAATTTTTTTACACTTTCATTGAAAAACCATGGGCACCGAGTGTTTTCAACTTTCATATAAAATTTGAATTAATCGATAGAGAGATGGTTGGCAAAACCCGGGCCCAATTCTTGATATCTCAACCTTACCTGCACAGCATGCTGCATATAATTTGATCCTTTAATGAGCTAAATCCACACAAAATGTCTGAAACATCAAAGAATATTTACTCAAAAGGCCTAAAGGAGAGGTGAGAAGTCACTTGACAAATGTCCAAAGAGAGCTTGTGTGTTTATTTTAATAAATAGAACTTTGGCCTCAAGAGAAAAGCAAAAGCCCATTTTTGTTCCCTCTCTTCACGTCCTCCTGTCAGCCACCCCACTCCTGTTGCTGGTCTCAGAGGGGACTAAGAAGAGTATGAATAGTACGTGAAGTTTCCTTCAAACAAACTTCTTTTTGGACCCTTGTTTTTACCCTAAGCCTGTCCATAGCCATAGAATCAAGAGTATCATGAATAAACAATTAAGCTGGAAAACAGTGTGTGTGTGTGTGTGTGTGTGTGTGTGTGTGTGTGTGTGTAGAGGGGGAGAAGAACATTTGGTTTATCAGTCAAAAGTTGGCCATCTATACATCACCTGGATTCAGATCTAGCTTTGTCACTGGGCCTCAATTTACCCATCTGTAATTATGAGGTTAATATTAGAACCTAACTTATTAGGTTGTTGTGAATATGAAATGAGATAAAAATGTTTAATCCCATAATAATACTTATAGTGTGTACTAAGTGCCCAATAAATGCTATATTTTATGGAGCTTTCTGATCTGCTAACAGCAGCAGGTTTTATGTAGCAGTCCATGCCTTCATTCATTCACCCCTTCATTATCTGGCATCTGCTATAGGCCAGGCAGTATAGTTTACATACACTGAAGACAGCTGTGAAAAAGACAGATAAAGTGTGTGTGTGTTTGTGTTTGTGTGTGTGCATGTGTGTTTTCAAGACAGATCTTACTCTGTCACCTAGGCTGGATTACAGTGGCACAATCATGGCTGACTGCAGCCTCGATCTTCCAGACTCAAATGATCTTCCCACCTCAGCCTCCCTAGTAGCTGAGACTACAGGAGTGCACTACCATGCCAGGCTGAATTATTGTTTTTATTTTTATAGAGGCAGGGTCTCACTATGTTGCCCAGGCTAACAAATAAGGTCTTAACGCTCTTGAGTCTTATAGTGTTTTAACAATTTTCAGCTGATAAATATTTGACACACAGTACTCAATACATAATTAAGCACCCAAAAGAAAGGGGCTGCCAGAGCTTATGCAAGAAGGGTTTGATCTGATCTGCAAGCACAGGGAGAATTCTATTAAGAAATAAATGTTAAGCAAAGACCAGAAGGATAAGTCAGCCATTTACATCATCAGAAGATGGTTCAAGGCAGAAGGCATTTGTGTTAAATTTCTGTAATAGGAAGATGCATGGCATAGGGATGGAGTGTATTGAGGTAAAGCTGGATTCTTATCAGTCAAGGCCTCACCACCCATGTCAGAGATTTAGGGTTTGATCCTAAGAGTTATGGGCAGCTATGAAAGTTTTAATCATGAAAATGACCAGCTTTTCTTATTCAATAGACTACACGGTTGCAGCATAGAGAATGGATTGGAGAGGTGAGAGGTTAATCCCAGAGATCCATTGGGAATCTAATGCGGTCATCCCGGTGAGAAAAGATGGTGGCTTACACAATATGTAAAGGTAGAAATGGAGCAAAGTAGATAGACTCAAGAGAGGTGGTGGAAACCATTCAACTAATAATGTCATATTAAATACAGATAGGCAAAGTACTAGGTGATCAATCTATTTAAAACAAGATCCAAGTCAGCTGCTGAGGGACAATTGGAATTCTGCAGAATCCTCTTGCCTTAGAGAGTAGTGAGAAACAAGTAGAGCTTTTAAAAAAATTGTCAAGTGGCTGAGATTCAGCGCACAGGACAAGACTCCTAGTACCTATGAAGGTCTAAAAAACACAGTAAAATACAGATGCAAAACTTGGCTCCACCTAGGGGTTTTCAAAGAAAATCTGAAACCTGCTGGGTAGGAAGGTGATCAAAGTAAGTCCCAGAAATGGCCAGATGCACGTACCTATGACTAAGTGGAAGAGAAGTGCAAAGTAGAGGTTGAGAGCCTTAGATGCATGGCCAGACTGCCTGGGTTCAGATCCTGACTCTGGGCCAGTTACTTAACCTCTCTGTACCTCAGTCTCCTTCTCTGTAAAATTAGGATGATGATGATAATAATATGTGCTCACAGGGTTCCTTCTAATGACTGATTTAGAGAATTGCCTCACACATGCAAAGAGATAAGTACATTCTAGCTCTTCTTAAGATTTTGACGCCATTGGCTGATGGGTCTGAAATTGCTCTGCCTAAATCAGAATGAGCTCATGAGAGCTCAGTGAGGCTGCGACATTATTGAATGGCATCAAGACCCATAGCTGATTAGGGAGGGTTAAGCAAGACAGATGGGAGGGAGAACTAGGAACAAATAACCCAGATTCAAAACAAAGACCAACTGTGAGGTCAGAACTTTTGCTTTCTGTTCCCAAGCACTATCTCTTTTGGTGGGCTGAACAGCAGGAGATAAGGTTATCAATCTATGAGATAAATCAGTGGTTTGGAAACTATAGGAATGGGAAGATAGACTGATGAATGGAAGTCGTGTAATTGTTGCCTACATTCTTTGGCATGAAAAAAATTAATCTCTTATAAAAATCGATTGTATTCCTTTGTGTTCCAAGTTCCAAAGCACTTCCACTTACCTTTGATTTTTGTGGACCATAAAGCCCAAGATCTTAAGATCAATGTTAAAAATACAATTTTTATCCACTGTAAGAATTATTGTGAAGGTATTGCATGTCAGGGAGCAAATTAGCAAAGGAAGAATGACATCAGAATAAGTCACAAAGTTTTTATTTTTAAAAAAGAAGAAAAAGCCCCACTTTGATTTGATATTCCCAGTCAAGAAACTACAAACCAAATTTTCTTTCCATTTACCAGAAGAGTATTTTCTTGCTTTAAAACACTCAGAAATTTAGCATTTGGTGTGTGGCTGGCTTTGCAGCACTAAATAATGATTATTATTGTTTGGAAATGTTAATTAAAATGACAGCATTTTCTACAAATCTCAGCAAGAGACTTTTATGTCTGCCTTGTGGCTGCAGTTTGTCTTTTGCTTAGGATTCAGAGATAATATCTGGGCAGCATTAAGCTGGATCCGTCAACACTCTTGTCACAATAGATGGCTTTGGGTGCTGGTAATGGGCCTCTGAGCCATCTACCTCTGGGTCACTAGTTCACATGTGGCCCAAGCCAAAAGTGAATGAGACTCATTATTCTCCCAATGCTGTGAAGAACATTTTCTAGAATAAACCTGCAATGCCTGGCCAATATCTAGGGCAAAGGAAACCTAATTACAGAGTTGTATTGTATTAATTAGCTCAATTTTAAAACAGTAATAACAGCTCTTTAGAATTCAGGCAAAGTAAATGCTATATATCTATTTTTAAGTAATGGAGCCAAATCTGTTGATGTTTACGTTCCAAGTTAGCATAAGGCAAGCAATTTGAGAGAAAAGAGACATTGCCCTTATTCTCACTAAAGTGCTTGATCTCCTCCACTACTACTGACTATGCACTAGTAGGCCAAAACAGACACAGACTGAAATATGAGCAAATGGTATTGGTTGAAAATCATGATTCTACCCCACTCCCACTGACCTGGCAAACTGATGGATTGGGATCATAGTGGAAAGGAATTAAGTTGTGTTCTATATGATTACTACAAATCTTCAATATATGCCTTACTCTGTTTATCTATAGAATGAGAGTAATAACAATGGCGCCAGCTTCTAGGCTTCTTATGAGTATTGAATAAAATAATGCCTGTATAAACCTCAGTATATTGCCCTGACTCAATAAATGGTTGGTGATGATTATAATGACAATGATGTCAACAACTGAGTGTATTTGGCCTATTAGTTCAGTCTGTGCATGTGTAATAGAAAAATAGGCTAGCTACATGGTTAAAACAGACATAGAATATTAAGGAACTAAACAATTAATTACAGATAATTTAAAGGAAAGCATGTGAAAGCCTAACTCACAGCTAGACCTGTATAGTTACCCTGCAACTAGTCAACAATCTCTCTTCTCAGAAAACACATTTGATGTCTATTATATATGCACACACAGGGTTCTAGGTATAGCACATCTCTTGGAGTCCTGAAGTCAGCGCATTATAAATCAAGGAGCACTATGTTCTCAGCAAAGAACCAGCCATGAATTGCAACTCTGCTTCTTGTTTTAAATACAGTTTTGTTGGAAATACAGTTAAGTGAGTTATCTTGAAGGAAATAAGATAAGAAAATAAGGAATAATGAAAGTATATTTTGGCA